>NC_000005.10:37580548-38213073 GCF_000001405.40 Homo sapiens
CCTCAAAGGAATAGCATGTTGCTATATTCTCTCTTTACTTCATCACTCTTCATGTTAAGTTCTCATGATCATACCAGATTTGTTTTGTTTTTTGACTGATGTCTCTTGACTCGGATTTCCTTTGAGAGACTAAACTGGTCTAGGGCAGATCTTATTTTTAGAAGTCCCGAGAGTTAAGTTTTTCCCCTGTGTAGCCAATACATCCATGAATTAGGAAAGTAACTTTATTTTTTTCAACACAAATTATTATCAGTTCAAAACAGCACTATTTATTTTTTCTTTTGATTTGTTAATTTGATTGCTTGTTTTCACACACCTTACCTCATTCCAAAAATGATTTTGAAGAAATGTAAAACAATAAATGTAATACAACATTATATGAAACATTCAGGGCCATGGGAAGGTTAGGGTGAAGGAATAAAGTTAGTTCACAAAGAATTATTAAGAGAAGGTCTTGCTGCTCGTGAGAAGTTAGGTTATAGATTCATCTCCAAACTGTCCAGTGACTATGACAAAATTGGAGACATATTCAGTTAAGCCTCAGGATCTCCAAGAGGAGAAAATAGACCTTTCTTTTCAACAGAGTAAGAAAGAAACACTTTTCCCCAGGGACCTTCATATAGGGAACACTGGTGGATGTAGACAGTATCCTAAACAAAAAACACAATCAATCAAACTTTTCCCAGGACCCTCATATAGGGAACACTGGTGAATGTAGACAGTATCCTGAACAATAAACACAGTTGGGCATTTACTATGGGCAAGAGACTGTATTAAGTGCTTTGTGTATATTTCTCATCCAATTCTTTAAAATAACTATAAAGTATTTCCCATTAGGAAACTGAGGCTCTGAGAGGTCAAGTGACTTGTTCAATATCACCAGTTAGGAGACAGGAGTTAAAAACAGGCAAAATGACTTCATTGTCCTCACCCTCAATCATTTTTCTATACTGTTACTCATGTCGTTATTTTTTGTTGCACTCTTTAACACAAGTCCAAGCAGAACCTAAAAATGAAGAAAAGCCATCCTAAGAGGAGATCAAAGCAATGCAGTCTAAATATAAAATCAGCTCTCTGGGTAGGGGTAAAGTTTAGAGCCATGTTTTAATGTTTGTTAGATTTCTCTGATGATCTAAGGGGAAACTGTAGAACTTCTCTGTAAAAAGTACACATATATACGATTTTAGGTACCTCGCAGACCCTTGTCACCCTAACCCCTAGTGCACAAAACTATACACAGATCTAGAGGTGGACAGCAGAGAGGCAAAGCTATCAGAATTTCGTCTGATAAATCCCAAGTGTTTTACATGGAGACAGCTGTGTTGCTTTGACTGGCTGCTGAATATTAGGGGGCATGTCCCTTCATAAGGCCTAAGTTAGAAGAGATTTCACTAAATTCCAAATCCTAGCTCTCATAGTGCTTCAGACATTTCCTGGGATTGAGGGAAATGTTTGAAAACTTAAAAAAAAAAATCTTTAGTAGTACCTGTCTTACTAGGATGTTTGACATTTGATGGTCTCACTACTTAGTTACAGTTTTTATTTGTTACAGTATTAGTTAGTAACTAATAGTTACTAGGTATAGTAAGGGTCATTTTAAGTTATAGAATGGGTCATTTTTAGAATGGGTCATTTTTACTGTTGCATTCTGGTCCTCATTTCTGGAGTAAATTTAAGAGTTGTGCTGTCCATTGCATTTAGACTAGTTAACTATAGGGATAGGTGAAAACCAAACTATGAAAGCAAGCCTTTTAATATTTCAGGAAAACGTGTATTGATTACAGCCTCTGGAAACTGGACTAACAATACTGTAGGAATACTTTTCGAAGTCCCTGTATCAGATTTCCCTATATCAGCAATATAACATAAGAATGCTCTGCTTGCTTAGCAGTGTCTGACCCAATTTTATATAATGATTATACAACCATAGATTCACACACAGTTATCTTTTAGATGTTAAAGTAGAAGGGTATGCTTTGCAACCAGGTTGACCTGGATTAGAATCCTAACTCTGCTACTACTAACTGTGTCACCATGGGCAGATTATATAACTTCTCACATCATCTCTCAAATGGGGATAATAAAAGTAACCATGGTAAAATGCTGAGCTTAGATGAGATAACATGTGTAAAGCCCTTAACATAGTGCTGATATAATACAGACCTAACACATGTTTAGCTTTGATTCATATTATTGTACCTAATGGTGGAGCTGTAAGCAACGAGCATCTCTGTGATTGTTGGTGTAATCCTAAAGGTCTTAAGTAACTGGAAAACATATGGAGAGTATGCCAAGTTTCATCTTGTTTCAGCATGGGCTGTCCTTGTGCGTAGCACTTCTTTAGGATGTCGCCACCAGTACTTTTTATCAAATAGCCTGTTTCTGATGGTAAAATGCTGCTTAGGTGGTTCCACTTGCTCTGTTGATCCTAGTAGTTCATAGCCTCTGTGCAAAGTTTTAAAAGCTTTTCTGGATCTACTTTATTTTCTCATTTGAACTCTGTGCCTTAGCTGTTGGTGATTTTTTCTCCTACATGCAGTTCTTCCGCCCGTACACATAGAAAATGTATCCCCCTAGAGTTATTTAAGAGAATAGAGGCTGGGTGTGGTGGCTCATGCCTGTAATCCCGGCACTTTGGGAGGCCAAAGCAGGTGGATCACGAGGTGAGGAGACTGAGACCATCCCGGCTAACACCGTGAAACCCCTTCTCTACTAAAAATACAAAAAGTTAGCCAGGCGTGGTGGCGGGCTAGTCCCAGCTACTCTGGAGGCTGAGCCAGGAGAATGGCGTGAACCCAGGAGGCAGAGCTTGCAGTGAGCCGAGATGGCGCCACTGCACTCCAGCCTGGGTGACAGAGCAAGACTCTGTCTCAAAAAAAAAAAAAAAAAGAATAGAGCAGAGCTTATTGAGGGAAACATGCCTGGCTTATGAACAAATGTGTCACAGATATGGGGGGAGAAAGCATAAGGGATGATTGGCTATGACAAGCAGTCATAGTAGGTGGGATCCCTTATACTTGTGTCCTTTGAAAGGATGATTGACTATGACACGCAGTCATAGTAGGTGGGATCCCTTATACTTGTGTCCTTTGAAAGGATGATTGACTATGACACGCAGTCATAGTAGGAGGGATCCCTTATACTTGTGTCCTTTGAAAGTGTTTTCTCATTGATTATGTTAATTGGGAGAAAAGTTGATATTCATTTTGTTAAAGAGAAAGGACTTCATTTCTTTAACATACATCACATTAGCAAGACTTTCAGAGTAATTATCCCTAAAAGGTACAAAATACAAATAATATTAACTTTATTTTGAGTTACTTTTATAGATATGGAAAATTTGCAGTATTCTTCCTCAAGTGAAAGTACTGCTTGAACCAACAATATTGATAGCATACAAATCCAAAATTGTTAGGACCTTACTTGTTTTCATGGATTCATATAGACAGGACTATGAAATGTGAAGTAGACAGTAATGTGCCATGACAGCACATTAGGTCTGTTAGTTGATTATTTCACTTAACTGAATGTTTACGTTAATTATTACTTAATCCTTTTATACTTTTTGTCTCTACAAAATAGAAATAATAGTAGTACCTTCTTCAGAGAGTTGTGAGGATTAGATGGTAAAGTGCTTTTAGAATAGTGCATACTTCATTATGTGTACTTAAATGTTAGCGATCATGATTATGAGTCTTACAGGAATCTTATTCAGATTCTTAGTCCGGTATTCTGAATTCATTATCAAACACATTTTGACATTTCACGATTTCTTCGAATAATTCTCCATGTACAAGAGTTCTGTTGTAGATTAATTTGTTAGAGATATCGAAAAGGTTCATTTTTTTAGTGGAAACTTCTAAAGTAATATTGACTTCATTACTTAACTCTGTGACTTGATTAAGCATTGTTTAAATTTTCAGTCAGGAAAAATCATCAATTCCCTTTCAAAAGATGAATATTTATCTCCTTTTCAAATTTGCACTGAATCACTCTTTGGCATATAAAATTTTATCTTTCAAATCTGTTTTGCAGATGTAGAGTCTGGTGCTTTTAAACTTGGTTGGTCGAGTGAAAAATTAGTATATGTATTATACTTCAGAGGCATTAAAAATAAAGAATAATAGCCATAATTATGTTAAACTTTAGCAGTTTGTTGAGAAACCGTAAGCACCTGCAGATACCCAAGAAGAAGTTGTTCCAGAAGCCATAGTGAGCCCTGGCAGCACTCACAGTAAAGGGGTGGATAGAAGCAGATTTCTGTAAGATTTGTTCTATCCACTTGGTCCTATGCTGACCACCATAATCTCTTTCCTCTGTTCCCAAATATCCCATATTCCACCTCCACCTCTGCTTTGCTTCTGTCAGAAGGTAGTAACGTGGCATTACTTCTTAACATAAATAAAAAACAGTCATCTGTAGTTACAGACATACTAGATCTTTGTCCACTTTTTTTTTTGGAGATGGAGTTTCACTCTGTTGCCTAGGCTGGAATGCCATGGCACGATATCGGCTCACTGCAACCTCTGCCTCCCAGGTTCAAGTGATTCTCCTGCCTCAACCTCCTAAATAGCTGGGATTACAGGTGCACACCACCACGCCTGGCTAATTTTTTGCATTTTTAGTAGAGACAGGGTTTCATTATGTTGGCCAGGCTGGTCTCAAACTCCTGACCTCGTGATCCTCCCGCCTCAGCCTCCCAAAGTGCTGGGATTACAGGTGTGAGCTACCGCGCCCAGCCTCCTTGTCCATTTTTTAAGGCCAAATCCACATACAATTTTTTATCTTGATACATGTTTTGAGAGTAATTAGTGGAATAGAGCTGAGTGACTTGTTTTATGTCCCCAGATGGATTCATTGTGTGTTTCCCACTCCTCAATCATGTACAACATAGAAGTGCAGTTGGAGAGTTACAGAATTCTTCTCTTTGTTCTCAGTGCCCTCTTGAGAAGAGTAGGGTTCTATCAGTGACTTCTTCCTTTTCACTTCCAATTGGTCAGAAATTTGTACTATTAGATGCACTAGATCTTTACTATTCTCATTTCATTTTTTAGTGTCTTTCTGTCTTCTCCAATTCTCCATTTATGTGAAAAATACCATCATTCTGCTCTTGATCCAGTACCTTTGTCTGGGACACTGTCTTCATTCCTTTTTAGCCCCATACTGTATAGCCATGGGTCAGGCTCTGTTACTGGAGCGTCAGTCTAGGCTGACTTTGGGACACATTGCTTGGGTTCCTGCCCTGCCTGTCATAATCTCAGCCCCCTTACTAGTGTTATCTGTTGCCTTTCCAAGGTTTACAGAGTACTGTGCATAATCCCTAATGGCTTGCAAGGTCTTTCCCAATCTAGTACTAGCCTATTTCTGTCATCATCTCCAGATATGTGTGCACCTCCTCCCACTTCTACCCCTCAAGTTGTAACTATATCAGATATCAGATCATTTACCATTCCTTTCAAGACCCCTTTCAAGGCCTTTTGCTCTTGATTTTCCTTTTGCCATAAACTCCTTCCTTCAAATCTACCTTACAACCCTTCATATCATTTAGGAGCCAAATCGAGTGTTACCTTCTCTCCCCATTCTGGCATCCTCAATTCCATTCCTCTTTGTCTTGGCCAGGTTTTATTGATTCCCTTCTGTACTTAAATAGCATTTTATGCTTGAACACTCTTTGCCTGCTTTATCTCTCCCTCATTGTTTCCCACTCCTAATGCCATAGCTTTCTGATTTCTACCCTTATCATTCTACTGACATTGCTCTTGCAGAAGTCATCTGTGAGCTCTTGTCTATTAAATCCTGTGAAGGCCTTTCAGTCCTGTTTTTACTTAACATCTCTTTGGAATTTAATACTCATGATCACACCTTTTTTTTATTATTATACTTTAAGTTCTGGGATACATGTGCAGAATGTGCAGTTTTGTTAAATAGGTATATACGTGCCATGGTGGTTTGCTGCACCCATCAACCCGTCACCTACATTAGGTATTTCTCCTAATGCTCTCCCTCCCCTAGCCCCCCACCCACCGGCAGGCCCCAAGTGTGTGATGTTCCCCTCCCTGTGTCCATGTGTTCTCATTGTTCAACTCCCGCTTATGAGTGAGAACATGCACACACCTTCTTTTTAAAAGCATTCTCTTTTGGCTTCCTAACACTTCCCTCTCCTCGTATCCCTTTCTTATGGCCTGCCTAGCTCCTTTTCCTTTTTGCTGCCTATTCTCTCAGTGTTTGTTCCATGAGGGTCTGCCTTTTGCAGTCCCCATGGTTTCATATCTCTGTCTACATTCTAATAATTCCTAATTGTATTTCTTTCATCCAGACCCTATACAACAAGATTCTCCACCTGAATGTCACACAGCTCTCTGACACTTAACTTGCTATTGCCACTTCTACCAAAATTATTACCTTCTATCTTATACCATATCTTCCACAGCTCTGCTTCACTGAATAGTACCATGACTCTAGCCACCTCAAAGTAATGTTTTCTCCTCACTTTCCCTGTTCCATTGCCTTAGAACAGGCCTTTATCATCTTTCACTTGGACTGTCCAACCTACAGACTTGTCCCCTCTGGTCTTCCCTACTGCCATCCAAGTGATTTTCTAAAACACAAGTCTGATTGTGTAACCTAAGTCACTCTTCTATTTAGTGGCTTCACAGTCTCCTAGAGTATAAAGCCTGTAATCTCAACACATCTCACAGGATACCCTTTACAATCTGGTACTTGCCAATATTTTTACAATCTCGTCTTCTACTTGTGCCCACTGTGTACTTCATCCTCTTGTCAAAGCAAACTACTTTTTTTTCCCTATATAGACTGTGCATTTTAAGCCCCCTCCTCTTTGCGTCTTTTACACCAATTTCTAGGATGCACTCCCCACCCCGACACCCGTTTCCATTTTCATCCCCATCTCTAGTCTGTAAATTTCAGCCACAGAATCTCAGCTCTCCCCAAAAGTCACACCTCTATAGAATCCTTCCTAGATCTTTCCCAATGAAATACCTCTTTTTCTGGGTGACTGCCTCATGAGGCGATGGCATGTTTTCCTCTCTTCCCCATTAGGTTATGCATTTTTGGAGAAAAGACACTTTTGTATCTCCATGTATCCACCAAGGTACCTGGTTTGTGGAAAGTATTTAATTTATATTTGTTGAATTGTAGTCCTATGGCTTATACTTATAAAACATTTTCATCAGCCAGTCTGTGATTTCTGTGAAGGCAAAAGCCCTATTCTTTTTTTTTTTTTTTTTTTGAGACAGAGTCTCACTCTATCGCCCAGGCTGGAGTGCAGTGGCGTGATCTCAGCTCACTGTAACCTCCACCTCCCGGGTTCAAGTGATTCTCGTGCCTCAGTCTCCCAAGTAGCTGGGATTACAGGTGCACACCACCACGCCAGCTAATTGTCTCTACTAAAAGTAGAGACAGGGTTTCACCATGTTGGCAAAAGTCCTGTTCTATTCATCCTGGTTTCTTCAGGGCCAGGAACAGTGTTTATGACTTAACCAAAGTTAATTGAAACATTATTTTGAGGAACATTTCAAGAGAACTTAAGAATAGGGTAGTATTAAAGATCAATAGATAGATACTAAGACATATATAATATACATCTAGTATAGAATTTTAATTTGTCAAAGACTTATTTGTACAAAACTATGCTAGATATTAAGAAAAGAAAGGAAGTCAAAATGGGTAACTGGAAGATGTTAATTTGGCATTTGGAAGGTATATGAAGTTCTCTATAGATTATTTTGAAAGAAATATGAAGCATCTTTGCCATAACTCTGAGCAGAATAGTGCTTAGCATCTACACCCAAGGGTGTTATCTTAGAACACGGTACTATATTTTTTGTGAACTTCATGATAGGCTAAATTAAAAGAGGTTAGAGGGAAAAAAGGAACCCCATCACCTCAACATAATAGAACGTATATCTGAGTTCCCTTCCCTGCCCTCCCCTTCGCTCATCTTCCTTGCTCCCTCCCCCTTAACTTTCTTTTTTCCCCCACTCTCCATACTATATTTAAGGTCACTTATTTTTTATTTTTATTTTTAGAGATGGGAGTCACTCTGTCACCCACGCTGGAGTGCAGCAGTGCCATCATAGCTCACTGCAGTCTTGAACTCCTGGGCTCAAGTGATCCTCCCACCTCGGCCTCCCAAGTAGCTGGGACTACAGGCATGCATTACCACACCTGGCTAATTTTTATTTTTATTTTTATTTATTTATTCATTTATTTTGAGACAGAGTCTTGTTCTGTCACCCAGGTTAGAGTGCAGTGGCGCAATCTCAGCTCATTGTAACCCTCTGCCTCCCAGGTTCAAGCGATTCTCTTGCTTCAGCCTCCCTAGTAGCTGGGATTACAGGCGCTGGCCACCATGTTCGGCTAATTTTTGTATTTTTAGTGGAGACGGGGTTTCACCATGTTGGCCAGGCTAGTCTCGAACTCCTGACCTTGTGATTCACCCACCTTGGCTTCCCAAAGTGCTGGGATTACAGGCATGAGCCACTGCGCCCGGCCTATTATTATTTTTTAAGATAGTGTCTTGCTATATTGTTCAGGCTGGTCTAGAACTCCTGGCCTCAAGTGATGCTCCTGCCTCAGCCTCACAAGTAGTTGGGTTTATAGGTGTGAACCACTGTGCCCAGCTGGATCATTGATTGAGATATAGAGGTGAATACATACATACATATATACCTACACACATACACACACACACACACACACACACACACACACACACACGATATATTTAATATATATAAATATATGAACACAATGTAATAGGTATATAAGTATGTATGCATAATATATATGTTTATGTATCTCTGTATATCCTATTTGAATACCAGCTTTTAAGTTGGTGAACATTTGACATCTGGTACAGGATTTTAATTTAATGTTGGTTGAAAGCTGTTGAGTACTGTTTCACCTGCAGTGGTTGAGGAGGTCACTTGGAATAGAACTCTCCATGAAATGTAGCATTCTTTCCCTTCTTAATCAGCTACCAAACTGATTTTTCTTGCTGCTTATTTATTTTTATTTTTTATTTTCGGAGGCAGGGTCTCTTTCTGTTGCCCAGGCTGGAGTGCAGTGGTGCCCATCTCAGGTCACTGCAGCCTCTGCCTCCTGGGTTCAAGTGATTCTTCTTCCTCAGCCTCCCGAGTAGCTGGGATTACAGGTCTCTGCAAAAATACAAGAATTAGCTGGCCACCATACCCAGCTAATTTTTGTATTTGTATAGAGACAGGGTTTCGCCATGTTGCCCAGGTTGGTCTTGAATACCTGGACTCAAGTGATCCGCCTGCCTTGGTCTTGCAGAGTGCAGGGATTACAGACGTGAGCCACCGTGCCTAACTTCTTGCTGCTTGATTTAATGAAATAAAATATTTTACAAGTGCTTCATAAAGAGCTTTAGAGGTATTTGGTTTATAAGAGCAGAGTGTAAATTTTGGCTGAGAAGAATATTGGCATATGTTTTAAATTAGGAATCTCTTCCAATTCCATTTGATCAACTTCCTTATCTGAGGTTTGCTGAAGTTTCCTTCAGAAATGTTTAATTACTGATGGTCTTTTCTAGGAATTTAATGGAATTTTCAGCTATACTGATTACAGCTGAAAATAGAAAAGGATGGGGAAATTCAATGATTTTTAATATATTTACAGACTTGTACAACCATTGTGACCATTTAATTTATAGCATTTCTGTCACCCCAAAAAGAGACAATGTTTAATTATTCCCTATTTTTACCACCAGCCCTGTGCAAGTACTGATCTGCCATCTATATATTTGCCTTTTATGTATGTTTCAGATCAATAGAATCATGTAGTATGTCATCTCTTGTGTCTAGCTTCTTTTAGTTGGGAGAGTGTGTTTTGAGGTTCATCTATGTTGTGTACAGTGGGTTCAATGGTGGCCCCCCAAAAAGCTATTTTCACATCAAATTCCTGGAACCTGTGAATGTTTCCTTTTTTGAAAAAAGTCTTTGCAAATTTAATTGTTAGGGATCTTGAGATGAGATCATCCTGGATTATCCAGTTAGGCCTTAAATCCGACAAGTACCCTCATTAAAGGACAGAAAATGAGAAGACACAAAGGGGGAAGAGCAACATAAAGATGAAGGCAGAGATCAGAGTGATGTGATCATAAGCCAAGGAGGCCAAGGAATGGTGCCAGCCACTAGAAGCTTGAAAAGGCTACGAGGGATTCTACCCAGTTCCTCTAGAGGAAGTGTGGCCCTGCAGATACCTTGATTTCAGACTTCTGGAAAAACATAAGGGCCCCAAATCAGGTATCCAAGATTCAACCTTAAGAAACTGGAGACCCAAAAAACCAAAACAGAACAAAAATCAGAGAGAGAAAGAATTAACCTAGTAGGCAGAAGGAAGAAAATAATAAAAAGGAAAGAGCAGATGAATAAAACTGAAATTAAAAAACAAAGAAAAATAACCAATTTGAGAAGACAAATCAAATTGATAAATCCCTAGCTGTATTGATGATTAAAAAAGGAGACCAGGTGTGATGGCTCACCCCTGTAATTGCACTCTGGGAGGCCGAGGTGGGTGGATCACTTGAGCTCAGGAGTTTGAGATCAGCCTGGCCAATATGGTGAAACCCTATCTCTTCTAAAAATACAAAAGTTAGCCAGGCATAGTGGCTCGTGCCTGTAATCCCAGCTACTTGGGAGGCCAAGGCAGGAGAATCTCTCGAACCTGGGAGGTGGAGGTTGCAGTGAGCCGAGATCACACCACTGCACTCTAACCTGCTGGATCTCAAAAAGAATTGCAGGCAATATCAGACACCGATATCTTGAATGAAGGAGGTGACATCACTGTAGAACTTAATGACATTGAAAGATAATTGGGAATTTTATGACAATTTTATACAAACATATTTGATAACTTAGACGAAATGGAAAAATTTCCTTGAAAGACACAAATTATGAAAGATCATTCATAAGACACAAATAATTGAGATATTCCTGTCCTGTGTAAAAGACTGGATGTGTAATTAAAAACCTTTCCACTATGAAAACTCTAGATGGCTTCACTGTTGAATTCTACTTTAAGAAAGAAAAAATTCCAATTCTATACAAACTCTTCCAGAAACTAAAAGAAGAAACACACTCCAACTTATTTTATAAGGCCAACATTACCCTGATGCCTAACGCAAAGTCACTTCAGAAAAAGGAAACCATAGACTGATATCCCCAATGAACTGAAACAAAAATCCTTAACGAAACATCAGCAAGTTCAAGCTAACAGTTTATTGAAAGGATAATACATCATGATTAAGTCATATTTAAACCAAGAGTGCAAAGGAGGATTGAAAGGATTGAAAATCAGACAATATAATGCACAGACTTAAAAAAGAGAAAAGGTATATCATCATCTCAATTGATGTAAAATAAGCATTTGAAAAAATCCAGCATTCATTCATGATAAAATTTCTCAGCCAAGTAGGAATAGAATGGAATTTCTTAGTTCTGATAAAGGGCATCTATGAAAAACCTACAGGTTCAGGTCAAATATCTATTATCCAAAATGTCTGGGCTCAGAAGTGTTCTGGGTTTGGGATTCAAATTGTGGAATATTTGCATATATGTAATGAGATGTCTTGAGATGGGACCCAAGTCTGAGTACAAAATTCATTTATGTTTCGTAATACATTATACACATAGCCTGAAGGTAATTTTATATAATATTTAAAAAAATTTTTTGCATCAAACAGTGTGTGTACATTGAACCATTAGAAGGCAAAAATGTCATTGTCTCAGTTACACATGTGGAGAACTATAGAGTTTTGGCATCATCATCATTCCTGAATCTCAATTTATATGTCACTGATAAGCATTTTCTTACACTTATTCATACATAAGTACTTAACTGAAAAATATGACATATTAATACAGTAAAAAAAAGTAATGTGTTCAGGTTAACTGCGCAGCACAGTAGCATCACCAGAATACGTGTATCAACTGTTACACAGTAGCAACAACAAACAGTGGCAGACTGAATGAACTGTGTGTTGTGTACATGCATTTTGATTGCGACCCATCACATGAAATCAGGTATCAAATTATGGAGCACTTTGGATTTTGGATATTTGGATTAGGGATGTTCAATCTGAAATACACTTAATGGAAAAAGGCTGAATACTTTCCCCCTGTGCTTGAGAAAAAAGCAATGATGTTAACTCTCATTATTTCTATATGCTGGAATTGCCAGCCAGTGCAATAAGACAAATAAATGAAAGGCTTACTGATTGGAAGGAAGAAATAAAATTGTGTCTATTAAAGAGACCACATAATCGTCTATATAGAAAATTTCTGCCAGTAACGGTGGCTTGCCCCTGTAATTCCAGTGCTTTGGCAGACCAAGGCAGGAGGATTGCTTGAGGCAAAGAGTTCCAGACCAGTCTGGGTAACATATAGTGAGACCTTATCTCTACAAAAAATAAAAACTAGCCAGGCATGTTGCCATGTGCCCATAGCCCTAGCTACTTGGATGGATGAGGCAGGAGAATTGCTTGAACCTAGAAGTTCAAGTTATGGTGAGCTGTGATCACACCACTGTACTCCAGCCTGGACAATAGAGCAAGACTCTGTCTCTCTCTCTCTTTTTTTTAAAATACTTTTAAGTTCTAGGGTACACGTGCACAACGTGCAGGTTTGTTACATAGGTATACATGTGCCATGTTGGTTTTCTGCACCCATGAACACGTCATTTACATTACGTATTTCTCCTAATGCTATCCCTCCCCCTGCTCCCCACCCCTCAACAGGCCCCAGGATGTGATGTTCCCTGCCCTGTGTTCTCATTGTTCAATTCCCACCTATGAGTGAGAACATGCGGTGTTTGATTCTCTGTCCTTGTGATAGTTTGCTCAGAATGATGGTTTCCAGCTGCATCCATGCCCCTGCAAAGGACATGAACTCATCCTTTTTTATGGCTGCATAGTATTCCATGACGTATATGTGCCACATTTTCTTAATCCAGTCTATCATTGATGGACATTTGGGTCGGTTCCAAGTCTTTGCTATTGTGAATAGTGCCACAATAAACATATGTGTGCATGTGTCTTTATAGTAGCAAGATTTATAATCCTTTGGGTATATACCCAGTAATGGGATCACTGGGTCAAATGGTATTTCTAGTTCTAGATCCTTGAGGAATCGCCACACTGTCTTCCACAATGGTTGAACTAGTTTACGGTCCCACCAACAGTGTAAAAGTGTTCCCATTTCTCTACATCCTCTCCAGCATCTGTTGTTTCCTGACTTTTTAATGATTGCCATTCTTACTGGCGTAAGATGGTATCTCATTGTGGGTTTGATTTGCAGTTCTCTGATGACCAGTGATGATGAGCATTTTTTCATGTGTCTGATGGCTGCATAAATGTCTTCTTTTGAGAAGTGTCTGTGTTCATATCCTTCACCCACTTTTTGATGGTGTTGTTTTTTTCTTGTAAATTTGTTTAAGTTATTTGTAGATTCTGGATATTAGCCCTTTGTCAGAGGAGTAGATTGCAAAAATTTTCTCCCATTCTGCAGGTTGCCTGTTCACTCTGATGGTAGTTTCTTTTGCCGTATGGAAGCTCTTTAATTAGATCCCATTTGTCAATTTTGCCTTTTGTTGCCATTGCTTTTGGTGTTTTAGTCATGAAGTCCTTGCCCATGCCTATGTCCTGAATGGTATTGCCTAGGTTTTCTTCTAGGGTTTTTATGGTTTTAGGTCTAACATTTAAGTCTTTAATCCATCTTGAATTAATTTTTTTATACGGTATAAGGAAGGGATCCAGTTTCAGCTTTCTACATATGGCTAGCCAGTTTTCCCAGCACCATTTATTAAAAAGGGAATCCTTTCCCCATTTCTTGTTTTTGTCAGGTTTGTCAAAGATCAGATGGTTGTAGATGTGTGGTGTTATTTCTGGGGCCTCTGTTCTGTTCCATTGGTCTATATCTCTGTTTTGGTACCAGTACCATGCTGTTTTGGTTACTGTAGCCTTGTAGTATAGTTTGAAGTCAGGTAGTGTGATGCCTCCAGGTTTGTTCTTTTTGCTTAGGATTGTGTTGGCAATGCGGGCTCTTTTTTGGTTGCATATAAACTTTAGTTTTTTCCAATTCTGTGAAGAAAGTCATTGGTAGCTTGATGGGGATGGCATTGAATCTATAAATTACCTTGGGCAGTATGGCCATTTTCACAATGTTGATTATTCCTATCCATGAGCCTGGAATCTTCTTCCATTTGTTTGTGTCCTCTTTATATTTCGTTGAGCAGTGGTTTGTACTTCTCCTTGAAGAGGTCCTTCACATCCCTTGTAAGTTGGATTCCTAGGTATTTTATTCTCTTTGAAGCAGTTGTAAATGGGAGTTCACTCATGATTTGGCTCTATGTTTGTCTTTTATTTGTGTATAGGAATGCTTGTGATTTTTGCACATTGATTTTTTATCCTGAGACTTTGCTGAAGTTGCTTATCAGCTTAAGGAGATTTTGGCATGAGACAGTGGGGTTTTCTAAATATGCAATCATGTCATCTGCGAACAGGGACAATTTGACTTCCTCTTTTCCTAACTGAATACGCTTTATTTCTTTCTCTTGCCTGATTGCCCTGGCCAGAACTTCCAACACTATGTTGAATAGGAGTGGTGAGAGAGGGCATCCTTTTGAATCTACAAAAATGCTATTAGAACTAATAAGTGAGTTTAGCAAGGTCACAGGATACAAAGTCAGTAATTATGAGTCAATTTTATTTCTGTTGACTAGCAACAAACAATTGTTAATAAAATTGTGAAAATAATACCAGTGATTAACAGCATAATACATATGGAAATCTGGCCATGTGTGTGTGTAGTATTTATACATTGAAAACCATAATACATTTCTGAGAGAACTAAAAGATCTATATAAATGAGAAGATGTACTGTATTCGTGGATCAGAAGAGTCAATAGTATTAACATTTCAGTTCTTCCCAAATTCATGTTTAGATTTAATGTAATCTCAATTAAATTCCAGTTGAATGTTTGGAGATAGAAATTGGATAAGCTGGTTCTAAAATTCATCTGGAAATGTAAACAACTTGGAATAGCCTAAACAATTTTGAAAAGTACAAAACTAGAGAACTTACTTTACTCAGGTCACATAAATTGTAATTACACATATTAACATTTATTTCTTTTACAAGAAGAGCTCCTTGAGAGCAAGGATTTTGTTTTTGTTTTGTTTTGTTTAATCTGTGTATGCCTAGGGCCTTTACCTTTTCTTGAATATAGAAGGAACATAAATACTAGGTCCTCAATAAATGTTGCATGAATGAAAGAAATAATTTCACTTTTTATCCAAGCATTTTAGGAATCAACTTTGAGGTCTAATCTATATACAGTGAGGTGCAATTGAATGTTAAATGTGTAGATTTTGAATAGCCAGCGCTTTCTTTGAAGCTGTCAAATATTTATGATATATTCCAAAGGAAATTTTGGGGGTTTTGTTTATAAATTACTTTTGCAAGCTTTCTTCTCCGCTTTATTTGGGAACTTAATCGCTTAACATTACTGAAAGTCAGTTTTCAGAGCTGTCAAACCCAGTGCCTGACATAATGTTAAGATTGCGCTAACCAAATTTTACAAGCTAGTAACTACCAAAATGTAGGCTCAAGAAAGGGCTAGGGAAACAGTACACAGGAATAATAGAGAGGCACTTTGTAGCTCCGATATAAAGCAACCTAGTGAAGAGCAAGGGGACAGAACCCCAGTGTTATAAGACACCTTGGCATCTATAAACCAACAGAAATATAACAGATATTACTAGCTGCATACTCCAATATACATTTCCTTTCTTCTCAAATTCTGTATTTTCTAGCTTCTCTTGCAGTTAGATGTGATTAAATGTGGCAACTATGTTTTGACCAATGAGGTGTAACGAAAGGGTAGTGTGAAACTTTGAAGAAGTCTCCGAAAGAAGGTTACAGACCCTTTTCACTCCTTCCTTTTTACTCTTTCCTCTGCCAGTAATGTGGATATGATGGCTGTGCACAAACAGCATTTTGTCAGAGCAATAGAATAGAAGGTACCCTGGTCCTTGACTCTGGAACCACCAAACCAGCTCTGGAGTAACTAAATCTAGATTTCTCTTAATGAGAGAGAAGTAGATTTATTGATATTTATCACATATATATGTATATTGCATATATAATTATGTTACATTTATTGGAGTCTAACATACTTAAAGTTTGCCTTTTTACATGTGTAGGTCTGTGTGATTTGACAAATGAATGGTTGTGTCTCTCCAAAAACTTCCCTTGTGATGCCTCTTTATAGAAACCCCTCCATCCCCACCTTTAACCTTTGGCAACTGTTGGCCTATTTTTTATCCCTATAGTTATGACTTGTTCAGAATGTTAATATAACTGGAATTATATCGTGTGTAGTCTTTTGAGTGTGGCTTCTTTAAGCAGAATGTATTTGAGTTGTTTTATATGTCAGTACTCTATTACTTTTTATTGCTGAATAAAATTTCACTCTATGGATGTACTACTTTATTTAGTGCATTAACAGAATGAAGATTTGGGGTTGTTTCCAGTTTGGGGCAATTGTGAACAAAGCTGCTGTAATTATTCATCTACAGCTTTTTATTGTTTTTTAAAAAATAAATTTTCATTTATCTTAAGTAACACTTAGAAATGACATTGCTTGTGATATGGGAAGTATATATTTAACTTTATAAGAAACTGTTTTCCACAGTTGCAGTTCCATTTTGCATTCCCACAATCAATGTATGCACATTCCAATTGCTCCATATCCTCATCAGCACTAGGTATCGTTAGCTTTTTTTTTAAAGCCATTCTTATAGGTTTGTAGTAATAGTGTATTGTGATTTTTAATTTGCATTTCTGAAATGACTAGTTATGTTAAGGATCTTTCCATATACTATTTATCATCTGTTTCTCTAACTTGATGAAATGTCTGTAAAAATCTTTTCCCATTTTAAATATTGATTTATTTTTCTTATTGTTGAATTTTCAGAGCTTTTTAGATATTCTGGATACAAGTTAACACAAGCGTGGGTTTTTAAAAAGAGTCCGGCTTTCTTGGTTTCTCTACCTTGCTGCTGCTTTCACCATGTGATCTCTTTGCACTTGCCTGCTCCTTTTCTCCTTTTCACTATGCAGGCATGAGGTCTTCACCAGGAGCCAAGCAGATGCTGGCACCATGCTTTTTGTACTTCCTAGCCTGCAGAACTATGAGCTAAATAAACCTATTTTCTTTACAAATTACCCAGCCACAGATATTTGTTATAGCAACACAAAATGACTAAGACAGTCTAATTTACCAATATATTTAGGGATTGTATTTAAGAAATCTTTGCCTTACGCAGGGTGGTAGACATTGTCCTTCACAATTTTAAGTTTTACAACTACATCTATGAACTATTTAAATTAGCTTTTATATGTATGTAGTGTGAGGTATGACTCAAAGTTGATTTTTTTTTGCATAGGGATATCCAGTTGTTCCAGCATGATTTGTATCTGAGAATTATACAGCCTTCCCCCTATTGAATGTATTCTGTATCACTTACTTAGCTCTTATGTCTGTTTGCTATGTTTCCCAAAAATAATAAGTACAAAAAGTTGAATACCACATTTGTCTCTTCGTTCTACCCTCAACTTTGCAACAGTAGATATAAATTATGATAGTTTTTTTAAATAACTGAACATCACAAATACCAGATGATACTTTAGAATTATGATATGAAAGACCACACACAGACATAAAGTGTCATTATTTGGCTTATTTAAAGTTCTTCCTTTCTAAAAATGGGATCATAATACCAACAATAAGGGTTTGTGAGGATTAAATGAGATTAGGGATATAAACATATCTAGGATAGTGCTTGGAGAACATAGTAGGCACTCAATAAATACCAGGTCTTTTCTGCTCTTCTTCATAGACCATAAATAAAATATCAAAGCTAGTAAGTCCAACAGATATTTCCATTTATTTCAGTGGTATATTAACAGATTGAGACAGTTTTCACAATAAGGGAAAGGGAAAGAAAGCAGTTCACCTAGAAGTACAAATTTATCCAGCATCTGATAGTGACCAATTACACTATGATTTTATGGCTCCAGTTCTCTGAGTCTATGCCTAAAAAATGGATGCTAAAGTGCTAGGCCATTAGATATCTGTCAAAACATTTTATGCTGAAGAACACATATTTTGAAACTTGGAGTGAGATCTGGTCTTGTAAAATTAAAACTGTGTTTCATAAAAAAGATTTAAAAATAGAATAAGGATCTGCCTGGGCCTTTCTGGACACACAATGAAAACATCCAGAAGACAAGAAAACGACACAGGTGGGATCATTACATTGCCCCAGGCGCAAATGCTTTCTGTCTTAAAATTTTGAATTCTTTCCAGTTACAAGTTCTGAACTTTCTGGCATCTGCCGCATAAATGCATCACAGAGTTTGGCAGAGGTAAAGGGAAGCATTAATTTTGCATGGAAATCACTTTAGAGATCTTGGTTTAATTTTTCTTGAAGGACTACATAAGCAACTTGAGTGATATAAAAGTCTAAAACTTGCAGGCTTGCTTGGCAGAATGAATCTAACAAGGAAGACCTTCTTTTAAAAAATGCCCAAATATTAAGATATTAAAATTCACAGAAATGGGAAAATGTTCTAACTTCTATATAAAACCCAGAGTAATGTTTATAAACACTTTGGACACAATTTTTATACATGTACACAGTAATTGCACTAAGAATACAGTTGCATTTAGGAGAAATTTATTTGGTGCTCATGTTTTCTACTTACAGTTATTTAAGTTACATGGCTCTGGAACATACTCAGAATATTCATTCAATCAAAGGGTTTGGAAAAATAAAAAGGTCTTATGATATCTAGACTTAGGAATGAATGCTGCAATAAATAACCACTTACACCCTTACATTTATGGCCAATTGATTTTCCACAAAGATGCCAAAACAATTCAATGTAAAAAGAGTAGTCCTTTCAACAAATGATGCTGGGATAACTGGTTATCCATATGTAAAAAGGTGAATTTGGGGCCGGGCGTGGTGGCTCACGCCTATAATCTCAGCACTTTTGAAGGCTGAGGTGGGTGGATCACCTGAGGTCAGGAGTTTGAGACCAGCCTGGCCAGCATGGCAAAACCCCATCTCTACTAAAAATACAAAAAATTTGCCAGGCGTGGTGGCGCGTGCCTGTACTCCTAGCTACTCAAGGGGCTGACACAGGAGAATTGCTTGAACCCGGGAGGCAGAGTTTGCAGTGAGCCGAGATCGTCCTGCTGTACTCTAGCCTGGGCCACCGAGCAAGACTCCATCTCAAAAAAGAAAAAAAAAAAAGGTGTATTTGGAGCCTTACTTTACCATATAAAAATTAACTCAAAATAAGTCATAGATTTAAGTGTAAAGAAGGTCCTAAAGAAAACATAGGAGAAAATATTTTTAACCTTGGATTAGGCAGTGAGTTCTTAGATGCAACACCAAAAGCACAAATGATGAAAGAGGGAAAAAAAAGATAAGTTGGACTTCATCAAAATTAAAAGTTTATGCACTTCAAAAGATACCATCAAGAAAGTGAAAAGAAAGATAAGCCGAAGACTTGGGGAAAATATTTGCAAATAATGTATCTGATAAGGTACTGACATCCAGAATATTTAAAGAACATCTAGAATTCGGCTGGGTGCAGTGGCTCACTCCTGTAATCCCAGCACTTTGGGAGGCTGATGCGGGTGGATCATGATGTCAGGAGATCGAGACCATCCTGGCTAACACGGTGAAACCCCATCTCTACTAAATATACAAAAAATTAGCCGGCCGTGGTGGCGGGCGCCTGTAGTCCCAGCTACTCGGGAGGCTAAGGCAGGAGAATGGCATGAACCCGCAAGGCGGAGCTTGCAGTGAGCCGAGATTGCGCCACTGCACTCCAGCCTGGGCGACAGAGCAAGACTCCGTCTCAAAAAAAAAAAAAAAAAAGAACATCTAGAATTCAATAAAATGACAACCTAATTTTTTAAATGGGCAAAAGATTTGAGTACATATTTCACTAAAGAAAGATATGCAAATGCCCAATAAGCACACGAAAAGATGCTTGCCATCCTTAGTTATTAAGAAAATGCAAATAAAAATCACAATGGCATTTTTCATACCCACTAGAATGGTTATAATAAAAAAGACAATTAAAACTGTTGATGAGGAGGCAAAGAAACTAAAACTCACATATTACAGGTACAAATGTAAAAGGGTACAGCCACTCTGGAAAGCAGTTGGAAAGTTCCATAAAATAGCAAACATTTTGTAACTGACAACTTTCCTGAATTTGTTTCCCTGCTCTAACACTTTTTTTGTTTTTGTTTTTGCTTTTTTGTTTTGGTAGAGTCTTTAGAGTTTTCTGTATGTAAGATAATGTTAACAAAAAACAGAGACAATTTCACTTCTTTCCTATTTGGATAACTTATTTCTTTTTCATTCCTAATTGACTCCAGTACTGTGTTGAGTAGAAATTGTCAAAGTGGGTATCCTTTTCTTGATCTTGGTTTTAGAGAAAAAGCTATCAACTCTGCACTGTTGAGTATGATGTTAGCTGTGGGCTTATCATATATGGCCTTTAATAATGTTGACATGCATTCCTGCTACACCTATTTTGTTGTGAGTTTTTATCATGAACAATGTTGAATTTTATCAAATGCTTTTTCTGCATCTATTGAGATGTCATGTGGTTTCTGTTCTTAATTTTGTTACTGTGGTAATCATATTTATTGGTTTACATATATTGAACCATCCTTGCATACCTGGGATAAATCCCATTTGATCGTGGTGAATTATCTTCTTCATAAGCTGTTAGATTTGCTTTGCTAACATTTTTGTGATGATTCTTGCATCTATGTTCACTAGGGATATTGTTCTGTAGCTTTCTTTTTTATAGTATCCTTGTCTGGCTTGGTATCAGGGCAATGCTAGCCTTGTAAAATGGGGTTAGAATTATTCCCTTTCTCTTCAACTTTTTTGGAAGAGTTTGAGAAGAATTGGTATTAATTCTTCTTTAACTCTTTGGTAGAATTTATCAGTGAAGTCATCAGGTCCTGGTTTTTTTTTGATGGTGAACTCTTATTACTGATTCATTCTCCTTACTTGTTATTGGTCTGGTCAGATTTTCTACTTCCACACTGCCAACAATCTATATGAAAAAGACACATGCACACGTATGTTTATTGTGGCACTATTCATAACAGCAGAGACTTGGAACCAACCCAAATGTCCATCAGTAATAGACTGGATAAAGAAAATGTGGCACATATACACAATGGAATATATGCAGCCATAAAAAAGGATGAATTCATGTCCTTTGCAGGGACATGGATGAAGCTGGAAACTCTCATTCTCAGCAAAGTAACACAGGAACAGAAAACCAAACACCGCATGTTCTCACTCATAAGTGGGAGTGGAACAATGAGAACACATGGATATAGGGAGGGGAACGTCACACACTGGGGCCTGTCGGGGGGTGGGAGGCTAGGGGAGGGATAACATTAGGAGAAATACCTAATGTAGGTGACGGGATGATGGGTGCAGCAAACCACCATGGCGCATGTATACCTATGTAACAAAACTGCACATTCTGCACATGTACCCCAGAACTTAAAGTATATATATATAAAAAGAAATTAAGAAAATAACTTTATTTACAATAACATTAAAAAAATACTTAGGGAATAACTTTAACCAAGGAGTTAAAAGATCAGTACACTGAAAACTATTGGCCAGGTGTGGTGGCTCACGCCTGTAATCCCAGCACTTTGGGAGGCCAAGGCAGGCAGATCGCTTGAGGCCAGAAGTTTGAGACCAGCCTGCAACATGGTGAAACCCTGTCTCTACTAAAAATATAAAAATTAGCCAGGCAAGGTGGCGGGCGCCTGTAATCCCAGCTACTCGGGAAGCTGAGGCGGGAAAATCACTTAAACGTGGGAGAATCACTTGAACCTGGGAGGCGGAGGCTGCAGTCAGTGGAGATTGTGCCACTACACTCCAGCTTGGGTGAGAGAGTGAGACTCTGTCTCAAAAAAAAAGAAAAAAAAAAGGAAAGAAAACTGTCAAACATTGATGAAAGAAATTGAAAAAGACACAAATAGGCCGGGTGCGGTGGCTCATGCCTGTAATCCCAGCACTTTGAGAGGCCGAAGCGGGTGGATCACAAGGTCAGGAGTTTGAGACCAGCCTGACCAACATGGTGAAACCCCATCTCTACTAAAAATACAAAAATTAGCCAGGCGTGGTGGCATGCGCCTGTAATGCCAGCTACTCAGGAGGCTGAGGCAGGAGAATTGCTTGAATCCAGCAGGTGGAGGTTGCAGTGAGCCGAGATTGCGCCACGGCACTCCAGCCTGGGCGATAGAGCGAGACTGTCTTAAAAAAAAATAAAAAAAATAAAAGGACACAAATAAATGGAAAGATATTCCATGTCCATGGATTAGAAAAATTAATGTTGCTGACATGTCTAAACCATCCAAAGTGATCTACAAATTCAATGCAATCCCTTTCAAAATTCCAATGTCATTTTCCATAGAAATAGAAAAAAAAAAACCCTAAAATTCATATGAAACCACGAAAGATCCCAAATCACCAAGGCAGTGATAAGCAAAAGGCAAAAAGCTGGAGACATCACATCACACTCCCTGATTTCAAAATAAAAGCTATTGTAATCAACAGACACATCAACTACTGGAACATGATATAGTCCAGAAATAAACCCAGGTACTTACAGCCAATTGATTTTCAACAAAGATGCCAAGAACACACAGTCTCTTCAGTAAATGGTGTTGAAGAAACTGGATATCCACATGCAGAAGAATGAAATTAGACCCTTATCTCATACCATATACAAAAATCAACTCAAGATGGATTAAAGACTTAAATGTAAGACCTGAAACTGTAAAACGACTAGAAGAAAACAGGAAAAAACCTTCCTGACATTCGTCTGGGCTTAGATTTTTTATATGTGATCCAAAGGCACAGGCAATAAAAGCAAAAATGGGCAAAAGCGATTGCATTGAAACTAAAAAGCTTCTAATCTTTGTCTTTCAATTAGAATTTTTAGACCATTTCTAATTAATTTTATTATTGATGAGGTTGAATTTATATCTGCCATATTGCTTTTTGTTTTATGCTTATCACATTGCTTTGATTTCTTATCTTGTTTTTGATAGAATTTTTCATTGTATCTTCATTATTATGTATTGATTATAAAAATATGATAGCAATTGCTTTAGAGTTTGTAATATACATCTTTAGCATATCAAATTCTCTCATCAAATAATACTGTGCTATTTCAAATATAGTATAAAACAACATATTTTCCTTCTTCCTCCTAACCTTTACAATTATTGTCATACATTTTACTTGGACATGGTTATAAAACTCAAAGTACATTAGTGCATTGTTTTTTACCATTTTTGCTTTACATCAATTTATTTTTTAAAGAGATCTAAACATTTTTTAAAATGCATTTTACATTTACTTTCATTTTTACATTTGTAGTATTCTTCTTTTCTTTGTGTAGATTCAGATTTCCACTTTTGTCATATTTATTCTACCTATGTCTTTTAATGCTTATTTTAGTAGATGTCTGATGGTAGTGAATTACCTCAGCTTTTGTCCATTTGAAAAAGTCTTGAGTTCACCTTATTTTTAAAATATATTTTGACTGGCTATAGAATATTAGATTGACAATTAGTTTTTTCTTTTAGAACTTTAAGGATGTTGTTCCATAGTGGTTAGGCTTCCATAGTTTCTGGCAAGAAGCTGCTTACCTCATCTTTGTTTTTCTGTATTTTAAGCTTTTGAAATTCTCCCTCTGGGTCTTGTGGTGTTTGTTCTACCCTCCCTTACTGACAGTGCTCCTTCGCTTAGGACTGTGAGTACAAGGGTGTTACACCTCTGCTCCAGGACTAAGCTGTTGTTGCTTGTTGCTTGGCAAAAGCTCAGAAACAGACAGGTGTATTTCTACTTCTCCCCTAGGGGAATGAGATCTTTGCTTGGGCTCTAGAGTGGGATGTTATTCTTTTAATGACTTATTTTTCAGTGTGTTTTCTGGTGTATGTTAAAAACAGTGCATTAACACATGTAAGTGATTTACAAATACCTGCCTATATAGGGGGCAGACATTAAGCAGTTTGGCTGATCAGGGGTAAAGTCAGAATAATTTGGAGGCCACTTAGAGAGGGACAGAATTAATAACGTTGATCGATTGGAAGTAGAATTTGCCTCTTCCTCTTCAATTTGATGACAACATGATTCAGATGGTTTACTTTATTTCCATGAGTAACCTCATTTATAAATAGAGAATCTTTTACAGTGCATGTCTTATTTTATTTTAAAATAATTATTAGATTTATGTGCCAAAATGGCGAAGCAGTCTTTATGGACTCTTCCCTATTTTAACCTCCCCCCTCCTTCTTTTTTTTTTTAAATAAATGAAAAATCTCCTGATCATTTTTAGGACTGTGAGGACGTGGGAAGTTGAAAATCCAAAGAAGCAAAAAAGTGTGTTTAAACCACGGACGATGCAAGGCAAAAAAGTCATTCCCACTACGTGCACATATAGTAGAGATGGAAACCTCATAGCAGCTGCCTGCCAGAATGGAAGCATACAGATCTGGGACCGAAATTTGACTGTAAGTTAAATCTTTTCTTAGAACATGGCCACCTTAAATCTTTCCTTAGAAGATGGCCACCTTACAAAGACAAACGTGTTAAAGTATTATGAAGGTGAATTTCCTGAATTTAGACCTAATTTAAACTTCAGTGTTAGGTGATCAAACGTTGAGACTTTTGTAGTATACAGCATTTCAGCAGACATTTCAACTCTGTATTTTTCAGTACATATTATATTTTGTTTTTAAAATAAATTTACTCTTTTGGTATAAAATTTAAAAACCATAGTGCAGCTTATTATATGGCATCTCAGTTTATTTGATTTTGAAAGTGAAGTGTTTAATAGTAATATAAAACAACACTAAGCAGAGAACTAGAAAATACCCTTTAAAAGATTTAAGAAAAACATGAAAAGTCCAAGATGAGCCATCAGTTGTTTTGTAGTTATTTTTCTAGTAATTTAAGTAATATTTTAATATTCTATGACATTTCATATAGATAGGTTTCAGGTTTTTTCTTTACAGTTTCAGGCTATTAGTAGAATAAATAAAGTTTGGAATTGGAAGGAATGATAGAATCCATATAAATAATGAATACAAAAGCCCTTGGCTAGTTCTGTCAATTACCAATAAGCTGTAAAAAGCTTCTTGTTTTATGTATAGATGGTAAAACAAAGATGTTTGTTAAATGGAATGAGTCTAGACACCAGTGTTAAAATAAAATTCTACACAAACACATTTTGGATATCCTTATTTTATAAAAGTTTCTGGCCACATTATTAATTCAGTAAATGTTTACTACATACTATAAACTAGGCACTGTTCTAGGCACTGATAATACTTATCAAAAATTCCTGTCCTCATGGAGTTTTCATTCTAGTTAAATATATATGCATATATTCCACCTTTGTCTATCAAATATTTACATTTTGAAGGGGATCCCAGGAAACACAATTGTTTTTTCAGGCAGATGTGTTGGAAGAAGGTTAAAAAGTGTTGATAGACGGGAAAAGAATCTATACTGATAATGCTGAAAATATCTTTGGCATTTTCTGTTTGTCAGATCTTTTTATTTCTGTTTTCATCTCTACTGTAAACCTCATAAAGCTTCATAACAGCATAGAGATCTTAAAAACTTCTTTGAATTGTAAACTGAGTTTTAACCAAGCAGTAAATTTTTTAGTAACTGGTTTTCATCATCTCTGGGTGCTGTTAACTTAAACACAGAAATTATAAAACATGCAGTTTTCTTGTGTAGCTTTAATAGTAGTGTTTTTTGTATAGTGTATATGTATGTGACTTTCTCTTAAAACCCATACTTTTTATAAAGTTGAATATAGTTTTTAAAGATTTGTCTTGTGTATCTTGAAATAAGGAGTATCTCCTATTTTCAGTTTTGTAGAAAGAAAGCCATTGGAATGCCACTTTCTAACAAGTATCTCTTAAAGCCATTCAGCTAATTACAGTCTTTGATTGTTTTGTTAGAATGTATTTAATAAATGAATGTAAGTTTATTATACCATATCTCATTTGTTATATTTTATTCATATTTTTACATTTGGATACAAATGTGTGTCAACTGGAAACAAATCAAGTTGAAAAGAAAAACTTGCCAGCAGGAAACACAGCTTGATTTGAAAACAGATTTTTAAAAAATTCCTTGCTCCCCCCTCCCCTCCCCTCCCCTCCCCTCCCCTCCCCTCCCATCCCCTCCCCTCCCCTCCCATCCCCTTTCTTTTTTGACAGAGTCTTTCTCTGTCACCTAGGCTGGAGTGCAGTGGAATGATCTCAGCTCACTGCAACCTCTGCCTCTCGGGTTCAGGCAATTCTTATGCCTCAGCCTCCTGAGTGGTTGGGATTACATACAGGCCTGTACCACCACACCCAGCTAGTTTTTGTATTTTTGGTAGAGACGGGGTTCCACCATGTTGTCCAGGCTGGTCTCAAACTCCTGGCCTCAGGGATCCACCCACCTTGGCCTCCCAAAATGCTGGGATTACAGATGTGAGCCACTATGCCTGGCCTGGATTTTTAAAAAATTTCTTAACTTTTTTTTCAGCAAGAAAAATAACCATCCACAGGGAAACACTAAAGCTGAAATGAGAATGCCCAGTAACAATAGTTTTTCCAAACAGTAGTTAAATAATTATATGATGGATAATGGTTAATCTGTATTTTGTGATGATTAAGTAAAACATTCATAATTGCCCCATTTAATCCTAGAATTTTCATTAGATCAACTTGAACTTCAGTAAATTAAACAAAACATATCTTTTTAGAAGTAAGGTATCTCTATTAATGATACATTTCTGTGTTCTCAAGACCTACGTTTACTCTAGAGTTATATTGGTCAATATGCTAGCCACTAGCCACATTTGACTATTTTAATTTTAATTAAAATAAAATACAATTAGAATTTCAGTTTCTCAATCACACTGGACACTTTTTAGGTACCCAGTAGCATCATGTGACCAGTGGCTACTTAATGGACAATATAGACCATTTTCATCATTGCAGAAAGTTCACTGGACATTGCTCCTCAAGAGGAGTGGTTGTTTGCCCAAGGTTCCTTTTATTCATATGATGATGGTCAGCCTTTCATTTGAGAAGAAGGCCTCTTCAGAGAAGCTTCTGTGGATCTGCACTGCCTCCTTGATTCTCTACTTCCCATTCACCAGCATAATTTGAGCAACAGCAAGGCATCTATTGCCTTGTTGGCATGATGTGAGAGAGGGGGAAAGAATAGTGGGAGATGACATTGGAGCAGTAAAAGCATGCACCCTGATTTTGCACATGTTGAGCCTGACAGTCTGCAACACTCTTTTTTTTTTTTTTTTTTTTTGAGACGGAGTCTTGCTCTGTCGCCCAGGCTGGAGTGCAGTGGCACAATCTTGGCTCACTGCTACCTCCACCTCCCGGATTCAAGTGGTTCTTCTGCCTCAGCCTCCAGAGTAGCTGGGACTACAGGCATGCGCTACCACACCTGGCTAATTTTTGTATTTTTAGTAGAGAGGGAGTTTCACCATATTGGCCACGTTGGTCTCAAACTCCTGACCTCGTGATCCGCCCGCCTTGGCCTCCCAAAGTGCTAGGATTACAGGCGTGAGCCACCACGCCTGGCCATTCTGCAGCACTCTTATAGCTATTCATATGGCTTTTTCTCTCATCTCTTTCAGTTCAGAGGACTGAAATTTCTTCTTCTCAGCAAGACCTTCCCTGACCACACCATATTTAAATTGCAGCCTTCTCCCTGCCAGTGGTACTCTCTACCCCTCTTATTTTCTTCCATAGTGCTGATTGCTGTCTGACCTGCTGTACTGTATGTTTCACTATTTTTTTTTTTTTGTTTAACTTTTGAGACAAGTTCTCACTCTGTCACTCAGGCTAGAGTGCAGTGGCATGATTACAACTCACTGTGTGGCCTTGACCTCCTAGGCTCAGTTGATCCTTCTGCTTCAGCCTCTCGAGTAGCTGAG
Source organism: Homo sapiens (assembly GCF_000001405.40). Taxonomy (NCBI): domain Eukaryota; kingdom Metazoa; phylum Chordata; class Mammalia; order Primates; family Hominidae; genus Homo; species Homo sapiens. Next base: position 37,608,694 of record NC_000005.10, read on the forward strand.
ACCACGGGCATGCGCCACCATGCCCAGCTAATTTTCTTGTTTTTTATAGAGATGGAGGGCTCACTATGTAACCCAGGCTGGTCTTGAACTCCTGGACTTAAGCAGTCTCCCCACCTCAGCCTCCCCAAGTGCTGGTATGACAGGCGTGAGCCACTGCACCTGGCCCTCTTTATTGGCTGTTTCCTTCTAGTAGGATATTTGCTGCATGAGGGAAAGGATTGCTGTCTGTTCTACTCCCTGCTGTATTCCCAGAGCAAAGACAGTGCCTAGTATATAGCAGACCTTCAGTAACTATTTGTTGAATGAATAAATGGATGTGTATGTATTCTAAAATAGTAACATAAAATGAGATGGTCAGTTTAGTTCTAAGAATACATTTAAAGAATAGTAGCATAAAAACACTATCCTAGTTATGTGAATACACAATGAGATAGAGTTGGGTATGTGTACGAGTTTTGGGGTAGGGGGAGAGGAGAGAGGTATTGGGGTAGTTTTTGGTATATTCTTAATATAAATATATTAATCTGTATATGTGACTGATTTTGGATTTGCTAATAACAGGCAAATTTTTAAAAACTATGTTCATGTCTCTTTATAATTCTGGGCTTTCAAATAATTCAGCATGTATAGTCTTATGAATACCTAATAACTTCTCTTCATATCAAAACACCTATCAGATTTATTCTTTGACTTTGCACAAAGCACTGTTGCTGTTCTTTAATATCTATCAGGAATCTACAATATACTAGACTCTTGACTAAAAGAACATACTGTGTTTTCTTATCTTGCAATTACTGTTTGTAGGCTAAGTTTTTGTCAGGAAAATTGGGATTCATCTTATTCATGGAGTTTTGTTCTCCCTAGACACAGGTGATGGGAGGGAATAATATTTGAGGTTGTTTGATTTTGCAGTAGGCACCACTAGCAACTTGACCCCTGCTCTATCTGACTGCCTTCTATTGCCCTTTTGGCCTGCAAGCCCTTGCCCAGATTCTTGGGCTGTTCCTTTTGGGAAAGTCACCACACAGCACAATGCCTTACCAAGAAAGCCGCAAGATTTCCCCAGCTCGGTTGGCTGTTCAGTGCCCCCATTTTCAGCCATGCCAGAAAGTGGAACGGAGGAATCTGAGGCAGTAATCATATCAGGAAATCAGCTTTTGGCAAGTAAGACAACAAATATGAAGAAAAAAGAAATATCCAGCACACAGCAAATCTTTAAATGTCTCCAGTTGCTGTCAGATAACCCATGTTAAAAGATTACTTTATGTCTTTCTGCATCCTTCTTCTTATTAATACATGTATTCACAGATATATAGATTGGGCACGGTGGCCCATGCCTGCAATCCCAGCACTTTGGGAAACCAAGGTGGGCAGATTACAAGGTCAGGAGTTCAAGACTCCTGTCTCTACTAAAAATACAAAATTAGCTGGGCGTGGTGGCAGGCACCTGTAGTCCCATCTACTTGGGAGGTTGATGCAGGAGAATTGCTTGAATCTGGGAGGCGGAGGTTGCAGTGAGCCGAGATTGTGCCACTGCGCTCCAGCCTGGGCGACAGAGCAAGACTCCGTCTCAAAAAAAAAAAAAAAAAAAATTTGTTTTTATGTAGAGAGAATTTGAAGCTTGTTTTTTTAATTTGAAAGCATAAAATAGTAGATATAGCTTGATTTCTTTGCTTTTTTTCAAAATGTCTTTATTTAAATGGGATCCTGTAATTTTACCTACATGAAATATGTGCTTTTCAAAAAAAAAAGTTGGTTTTTTGGTTTATTATTATTTTATTCTGTGCCACTCCTCTCCTCTGTCATTGTCCCATCTCTATCCCTTGATGCTTGTAAATTACCTGATAGGTATCCTTTTGTGATTTTCTCCATATCTGTATATCTGTATCTGTTCACATCTGGAACATTTCAACTGGTATTTTTGAGGAGCTCTCACCTCACTGAGAATAAGACAAAAGAAATTTAAACCTATAAGTAGTTTGTAAAAAATTCAGGGAATGATCTGTAAGGTAATTTATGACCAGGTGCTACTTTGTATAATGCCCATCATATGGAAGAGTTAGGGAAGGCAGAGGTCAGGTGGGGAGTCATAGGGCTTCTGAAAGGTGCACAGTTTGGATGAGCAACAGGATTAATAGGGATTACAGAGTAATAATGTTCATAGTTTACTAAACAAAGCAGAAATAGTGAGCTATTCTGCATATAAAAATGATACTAAAGGATCTTTTGAGATTCTTACTTCCCAAAACAGTCTTGAATCTTCTCTTTTAGAATCACCAGCAAGCTAATTTGATATAATGAAGGAAAAGTAAAGCAGAATAAAGATAATGTTTTGTGGGAGAGGTGGCACTTGAGTCCCTGGGTGCCCTCAAGTTACTTAAAGTCTCTTAGAAGTCACTTCTCACCGTTGGACACCATCTGCTGTGCCTTACATTAACAATAATTTTCACAATTTAAAAATTTGCTTTTAGTGGGTTTTTTTGTTAAATTTTCGTAATGCAGCTTTGAACATTTTTCTCTCACACCTCAAGTACACTAATTTAAGACAAATTCTCATACTATTTGTTAACTACTTTCTGTAGTGATTTTTTTTTTAATGGCTGATAATTGCATCTTTTTGTTGCTTTTGGGATATTCTTATAAAGCTGTCATAGCCACTAAAAATGAAAGCAGTATTTACTTTTATGGAGGTTCCCTATGTATGTGTACTAAGCTAGATTGTTAGCAAGAAGGAAGAATTTTATGATAGCGTGCTCTTAATATTTTCTTTATATTTTTCATTTATATCTATTAGAGCAATCTAAACTCCCTAAATTGAGTGTTAAGCTGTTGGTATTCAAGATTTTGGAGATTTTTTTAAAAAAATGCATTGATATATTTTTAGCATATAATGTTTTATCCTTGTTTCCAGTCTTATTTGTGATAAATTTGTCATCTGTTATATAATTTTAAAGTCATATGACTTTGATTTTGAAAACATTTTATTACGTAGTTATTCATTATTTACTGCCGTCTGCAACTGTGAAGATGCGTGAAGAACTCATGTTTCATTTCAAAATTTTCCTTTGAGATTATTTTGATTTCAGCCTTTTTTTTTTTTTTTAAAAAAAAACTTCTTTGACATACCATTTTAGCTATTAATCTTTGGAATAATGTATGGAGAGCTTTTTAAATTCTGATTATAGTCGATAAGTATCCTTTATTTTCCTGATAGTGATATCATCAAAGACTTGTATAAGTTAAACATGACCTCCAATGGTTAAGACTGTGCTTGCAGCCCAGACTAATGACCTCATCTAGGTGTCTTCTCCTTTCTTTCTGCAAAGACTAATCATTTAACAATAATTCACAACTTTTACCTAATAATAGGTGTTCAAGTTAAAGTAGCACGGTATTCACTCTAAGGAGAGGGAGTAGTTGTAGACAAAAAGAACTCTATTTTATTTTTAAACAATTTTTTAATACCAAATGATTTAGAGAATGTTTCTGGTATCTTTGAGAAAAAAGATCATCTGTGTGAAATATAAAGAGCAATGCTAGAAATTCAAAGCTTTGTCTCTTCAATAGACCTAATTCTGGGAATGTAGAAGAATATATATGTATATATTGACAGCTAAATGTCTACTGCATAGTCCTACAGCATGTTTTATAGATGACATCTGAGATATACAATTACATTATATTTTACTTCAGATTTCATGTCTGTGAGTCCTGACTTTCCTAAGCTCTGTTCTTCTCATTTTCTTTATTTACAAAATGAGGGCATGATCCCCCCATGTCATATTGTTATGAGGATTGTATTAGGTAATATATATAAAGCATTCAGATAGGACGTGCACATAACAGGTTCTTAATAACTGCTGGTCTTCGTCTTTTTTCTTTTTAACTCCTAGGGTACTTACAGTTTTTGTAGAATGGTAAAGTTAGACCTCAAGATACTATTTAACTCTGGCTGTGAACATCTTACGCATCCAAGTCTGACAGATTTCTAGGCGACTAAAGGTTTGGTTTAGGAGGATAAAGAGTATAGGTGCCTTGCTCCAGCCAGTCATTCATTGTATGCAAATGTAACCACCATCAATAAGTAACAATGCTATGGACCCATGTTTTAGTTATGCCTGAGTAGATACATCAATTATAATGATCTTTTTACAAATATTCAACAGAACACGTGACATATGAACTATTCTATAGTGCTTTAACATGCCTATTTTCAATGGTTACATTTCCAAAAAAGTATATCATTGATTCAAAACACAAAACCATCATAACTGCAAATTACTTGCAGGCACTAAACTTAAATTCTAATTTGTCAATTATTTTCATAGAGTTATATAAGTTTTAATAATAATGCTCTTGTAAATAATGCTCTTATAAAATGCTCCTGCAAATGCTTTTGTTACACATGCTGTTAGAAGCAACATTCACTAAATGAAAAAATACTGGCTTTTGAGAAAGTTAGGGTAAAAGGTTTTTTAAAAATATGGATGATTATTATCCTTGTTTTTTAAGACTCTGAATAATATAATAATTTAAGACTTCCAGTTAAAACATGGTAGGTTAAACACATTTGTTCAACCATGCTTCCTCCTGAAACCTCACTAAAGTGACAGGAAAGGCTCTTTTTAAAGCATAAACCCAAATGGATGAAGAGAATTAGAGAGGAGATGATAGCAGAAAAGAGGTATCAAGATTCATTTGGAAGCTGGAAGCCAGATGCATAAATGGTAACTGACTTAGCCACCTAGAGAAAGCTGAAACCTTAGCCATGGTAGGAGAAGCCTGTAAAAGGCAAACTGATTTGTCTTATAATTCCCTCCTCTGCTCTATGCAGCCAAATCACTGCTCTCCCTTTACCATCACAGAAGACAAAAGAATTACTTTTAAAGGGGGCCTAATAAAGAGACCCTATATTCCAGGCAAAGAAAATCTTCATGTAGAGTTGTTTGTCCTCTCCTCCTTCTCTGTTGTTGTTATTATTGTTGTTTTTGTTATTATTATTATTGCACTTACTAAGTACTTACTGTGAGCCAGGCAATATTTTAAGCACTTGTAATATTTTATTTAATCCACACAGCAACTCTATGATATAAATGCTGTCATTATTGTTTTACTGATTTAAAAAAAATCCAGAAACAAAGAAATTGACTTGCCTACTAAAAACTACAGTTAGTATGTAGCGTAACTGAGGTTCAATCCCAGGCAGTCTGGCTCAAGAGTCTATACTGAGAGTCAGGAAAACTATGGCCATGTACCAAATCTAGCCCACTACCTGTTTTTGTATGGCAAGCTAAGAATGGTTTTTACATTTTTGGATGGTTGTATTATTTTTCTATGGCTGCTGCAACAAACTACCACAAATTTAGTGGCTTAAAATAACAGAAATGTATTATCTTACAATTCTATAGGCTAAAGTCTCTTTGGGCTAAAATCAAGGTGTTAGCAGGGTGTTCCTTTCTGGAGGCTCCAGGGAGAATCTCTTTCCTTGCCTTTTCCAGTTTCTAGAGGCCGCCCTTTTATCTTGGCTCCTGGCACACTTCCTTCATCATCAAGGCCAGCAACGTTGTTGAGTCCTTCTTATGTCATAACACTGCGACCTTCTGTTCTGCTTCCCTCTGCCACTTTTTAAAGACCCCTGTGATTACATCTAGCCTACTCAGATAATCTAGGATAATCTCCCTATTTTAAGGTCAGCTGATTAGCAACATTAAATCAATCTGAAACCTTAATTTCCCTTTGCCTCATAAGGTAATATATTAACAGGTTCCAGGGACTCAAATGTGGAAATCTTTGGGAGTATTACTCAGCCTATCATAATGGATTCAGAAAATCAAAATAAAAATATTTTGTGACACATGAAAATTATATGAAATTCAAATTTCAGTGTCCATAAATTTTATTATAACAGCCTTGCTCATTCATTTGTATATTATCTGTGACTGCTTTTGTATCATATTAGCAGAATTGAGTAGTTGCAACAGAGTATATGGTCCTCAAAGCCTAAGATACTTACTGTATGGCCCCTTATAGAAAAAGATTTTGACCCCTGTCATATAGTTTCTAATTTGGATTTTAGGGCTTTTCTCTTCGATATTAATGGTAGACGTGGGTCACTAGACATTTGGGGAAATCCTCTAACATGAAATACAGAAACTTATACTAAACAGAATAAGCAAGTCAGAGGAGAGAGAGATAATGTAGAAAACTGAAGAAATTTTCAAGGAAAAAATTATTCTCTCTAAGAGTATAATTGATACTCTTAGAGAGAAAATAGAGACTAGTACAACCAAGAAACTAAAGCAGATTACTACCAAAAAATTTGAATGTTAAGAGATTAAGAAAGATCTCTTGCAAAATAAATATGTGATTGAGGGATAAGGGAAGGAACCCCTAGGAGTATTAAAATCTCCTGGAAAGTATATGTAAATATAGTTGAGGAAGCCTAGGAAGTAGAATAAAATACAGTGATAGAAAAAAGATAGGAGACTTACAGTGTCAATTCAGGGTCTAGTATTTGACTAGAAAGTTCTAATGAAAATACAGGAGAGGGAGGTTGGAATTAGGTAAGAAAGAGTTACTAAAAATAAAGAGGTCTCAGAACTGAAAAAAAGTGATTTTCCAGAGAGGAAGGACTCATCTGGAAAGAATGAAAAAGACGCACACCAAGCCATGCGTCATGAAATTTCAGGACACCAGGAATATAGAGAAGATTTTACTCACAGGGAATACAATAGGAAACATGTGACACAAGAATAATAGGACCATGTAATTTGGGATGTTGGTAAGACAGCTGCTCAAATGTAAGACCAGGGATTCTGTGTTAGTGCAAAGGGACGTCATCTTTCTCAGTCTTCTGTTGAGGTGATGAAATATTTTAAGTTCGGTAATCATTACTTTTAGTGACTGCTCACCAAATCTTCTTAACTCTGTCCTAAGCATTATTTATTCCAGACATACATTCAGCTACATGTGAAACAACCCACCAGGATTATATGCCAGAACTTACGCTCAATATACCCAAAACACAACCTGTCTCTTGTAGAACTCATTCTTCCTTTTGACTTTGCTATTTTTATTATTTTTCCGTTTAGAACTTTAGAATATTCTTTGCCTCCTATAACCAGTGTCAGTCTTATCAGTTCTGTGCTTTAGTGTTTCTCACACTCACTCCCTCAATTGCGTCTCTCGCTTTCATTCTACTTCATACCCTCATCACCTTTAACTTGTGATGCTGGCTATCCTCACCCTTCTCTCTCCGTGTTCTGATAAACCTAGCCCCAGTTTAAATCACGTTAAACGCAATACTTACTACTTCAGTACTTGTCATATGCTGAATAATGTTCAGATTTTCTCAGACTGACACTTCCAGTCTTTCGGTTTATACTTTTTCCCAACCTTTGAGTATCTTCCATAACTTTCTCCATAATCAAAACACTTTTTTTTTTGACACAGGGTCTCACTCACCCAGGCTGGAGTGCAGTGGTGCAATCTTGGCTTACTGCAGCCTCTGCCTCCCAGATTCAAGTGATTCTCCCACCTCAGCCTTCCGAGTAGCTGGGACTACAGTCGCGCGCCACCATGCCCGGCTAATTTTTGTAGAGATGGGTTTTTGCCATGTTGGCCAGGCTGGTCTCGAACTCCTGACCTCAAGTGATCCACCCGCCTCAGCTTCCCAAAGCGCTGGGATTACAGATGGCAGCCACTGCACCCAGCCTAAATCAAAAAACTTTTTAGTCAGACTAGATTATACTTTGTTCCCTTATGATTATCCTCTGATTTACTGCCTTGGTGCCTTTTCCTATACTAAACACTCCACCCTATATGCCTCTCCCACAAGCCCCCCGCTGCTGGTAGAAATAGCCACCATCCACTATCCAACATCCGTTGAAGAAGGCCCAATCACATGCCATTCCCTCCATGATGCTCTGTTATGGACTAGAAGATTATGTATCTAGGGATATAAACCCTGAAAATATTTTGTTTTATTTTTAGTTTGCCTGGTGGTTATTTTGTTTCCCTTTAAGATTAATATGGTCAGGGACTTTTTGTCTTATTTGCTGTTTCTCTGTGCCCAAGATGAGCATGACATATTAATAAATATTTGTTGAATAAATGAATGAATGCTATCAGAGCATTATAGGTTTTATCTTAAATGGGTTTGGTTTTCAATTGCTTTATTGTTGTTTTTAAATTTTAAATCATTGTTCCTTAAACTTACTATCAAATAATTGTGTTTTATAAGTTGTTTGTTTGCTTTAGCCTTCAGTATGTAGTGATGCCTATTTGCATCAGTAGTATTTTTAGCCGATTCTTTTCCAATAACTAGATTTTAAAGCATATAGTATTAACAAGTGATATTTAATGAACACTTACTTTGTTCCAGGGACCATTTCAAGTGCTTTTTATATATTTTAATTCATTTAATCCTCAGAACAATACTGTGAATTAAGTACTACCATTAACTACATGTTTTAGATGAGAAAACTGAAGTACAGCAGTGAAGGGTTTAACAACTCGCCCAAGGCCATGCATCTAGTTAGTTTTGGAGCCAGGAACTCTGACTCTAGAATATGCACTCCAAAATTTCACTGCTATATGGTTCAAAAATAAATGACCCTGTTGGGAATATTCTAAAACAAGATTGTGGTGATGGTTGTACAACTCTGTAAATTAACTAAAAATCATTGAATTGCACACTTAAAATGGGTGAATTTTATGGTCTTAAATTATAATTTGATAAAGATGTTTAAAAAGTGGGTGATCTGTGTTCTTATTAAAATGGATTATAATGTTTTTCAATATTTCATGTGCAGTGGAACTTTTAGCCCTAGTTCTCTTGCCACTGGAATATGGGAGTGGGTGAAGTAGGTAATCTATGCCTTGCCTAAGTTGGCTAAGGACAGAAAAGTTTATATGTCACTGTTACGAGCTCTTTGGGGGTGAGAATTTTTTCTTCCTTACCTTTGGATCTGTTGGTATGTAAACCATCCATAGCAGGGACTTGATAAGTATTTGTTGAATTAAATCTCAAGGGCTTTATTTACCTGCACTGTAGATACTTAAATTGTATCCCCAGAAATCCTAGCTTTCATAGTCTAATTTTAAAATATAGACCTTGTGCAGTATACTTAAAAGGTGAAACATATACACTGCCTAGATGCATAGATATTAACATATAGAAGGGAAAAATGTAGCTGGTGAAAACACTGTGTACAAAACTTTGTAGATTAATATGATTGCATATTGATCAAAGTTGCTTGAGGAAGCCAGAAGGAAAATTGAGTTCACATAAGTATTTACTTATAAAGATTTTTAAAGGTATTCTGAAAACATTGGAACTCACAGGTAAAGTTGGAAGAATTAAAATTTTCTGGTAAACATGGCAGAAATAGAAAACATATAAATATTTATGGATGTGTATTGACATTTAGGACAGAAAAAATGGAAACCAATCATGAACCAAAAACTTCAGTTTAAAATATATCCATAAGAGTTGCTGTTACAGAGTCAAATGTATAAATATAAGCAAGCAGTTAATATAATCTTATATTTTCATTATATTGAATAAGCAGATTCAATAGAAGGATGTAATTTCACTTTGTCACTATTTAGTGACTTGAATTTAGTCAAAATATAAAGGTCAAAATGATGTATTTATTAAAAACAGCAAGATTTTATTTGTTTGTTTGTTTTGAGACAGAGACCTGCTCAGTTGCCCAGGCTGGAGTGCAGTGGCTCAGTTTCGGTTCACTGCAACCTCCGCCTCTGGGGTTCAAGTGATTCTCCTGCCTCAGCCTCCCAAGGAGCTGGGATTACCAGGTGCCCATCACCACGCCTGGCTAATTTTCATATTTTTAGTAGAGATGGGGTTTCATCATGTTGGCCAGGCTGGTCTCAAACTCCTGACCTCAAGTGATCCACCAGCTTTAGCCTTGACATAGGGAAAAGTGAAGGAGGAAGTGGGAAAAGGTTGAGGTGGGTGGATATATCAGATCAAATAGGGCTGTTTTGGCTATGTAGAGTTTGGATACTCTTCTGAGGTTAATGAGAAACCATTACATGGATTTTAGGAGAGGAGAGGATTGGCATTATTCAAGTTACATTTTTAAAAGAATCATTCTGGCTGTTCTGCATGGAGAATAACTACAAGAAGAGAAAGGTGGAAGCAGGGTGACTGGTTAGGGGCTATTTTAGACATAAAGGTAAATTCCTGGACAAGGGTTTTAGTGGTGAAGGTAATGTTTGGATTCTGAAGATTTTTTGAAGCCAGAGCTAACAAATGGATAATGTAAGGCTTATTTTTTACAGAATTTTAAATTATGCCTTTTTAAAAAAGAGTCAGGCAATGATATAAAATAGATAATTTAATTTGGAAAATGATTTTATAAAACGTATTTGCTCATTCCGTGTCATGGTGCCTTATTTTTTAATGGTTAATGGGCTCTTTGAAAGTGAAGAATTTGGGTTGCATGAAATAGGGGAAGCATGTTTTGAATTTGTGTTATTCTAGCCAATTTTGATCAGTTAATTTTATTATTATCTGGTATCAATTGGCAATATGGAGTAAATGCTCCCTAATTCTTAAAAAAAAAAAAAAACTTTTGACATATTACAAAGCACAATTAGTCCTCTGTGGTTATCTAGATAGGGCTATGTCATCTAAAATGTTCAGACTCTCTGCAGGATGACTATAGTCTCTAAAAAGCCTATATAAGGGATGCCTCTCTCTAGTAGAGATATTTCCTGAGCCATGTTTCTCAGCATCAGGACAGCTATGATTTATTTTGTAAGTGGACAAGGCCAAACATTACTGTTTTAACTATTATAAACAAAATAGTAAATGTTAAATGTTCACTTAATAGAGCCTCTAGTAGGGCTTTTTATATACACAAAGTAAAGTCTGAGCCAAAAATGTGAAACAGTTCTCTGGTCTGTGTGCATTCTCTTTTAACCTACTCTTTGATTCATTGCAACTGGAGAAGTGATGCAACCAGTGATGATTTGCACTCCAAAGCTCTTGGTGCTGCAGTGAGTCCTCCCTGTTTGGTTTTTTTTTTGTTTTGTTTTGTTTTTTCTTCTACTAATTACCCAAGCCACAGTAATTTATCAAATTTCTTAAAACTTTTCAGAAATGTTTATTATAATATGTTAGATCCAAAATAAAGAGCTTTGCAAGATTCTGTTAAACCTCATCCTTTTATAATATTTTTAAATATTTACCAGGTTTTTTTTTTTTTTTTTTTTTAGCACAGATTCAAACCGGTAATAGCAAAATGATACAAAACTGTCTTAAAAATGTGGAATGCTTCACAAATTTGCATGTCATTCTTGCACAGGGGCCATGGTAATCTTCTCTGTGTCATTCCAATTTTAGTATATATGCTGCCGTGAACACAATATTTACCAGTCTTGTTCTTTATCATTTTTTATGGTTCTTAGCTTTAGCCAACAAAGTAATGCAAGGATCAAATCTTAATTCAGATATAATTTTAAAGATACTTCCCCAATTTTTTATAGTTAATTACAGAAAGAACTATTCTCATTGAGTGGTGTTTTCACTGAGTAATCTGTTTTTTGTTTGTTTTTTGCCGCTTTGTTGTTCTTTGCCATCAAGGTTTTGACCTGGGTGGTAAACACTGATGCTGCATTGATGCTCATGGGGCAGGGCGCTAAAGAGCAAATCACTCCATTTTTCAGGTAGTAACCCTGTTTTATTCTGAAAAACAGTTTTTATATGCTCTCTATTTGAAAATGTAGCAGAAAAGACCTATTATACTTGTCTTGTAAAGCTGTATTTTTTAATCACAGAAAATTACATTTTATATTGTGACTGACTATACACATATCTTTGCATGGACACACAGGCATATATGAAACTGAAAAAGGAGTTAACCATAGCAATTCCTATTGCAGTGTGCACTCCATTTTTTTTTGTATCCCGATTTGTTCCGTGTTTAAAGTACTGATCATAACCTATTAAATTGTTTTTATGACCCACTAATGAGTTAGAATCCAGAGTTTGAAAAAACACTTCTAAAGCATGCCTCAAATATAATTTGATCTTTTCAGAGGCCTTGTGAGATAGGCAAGGCTAATATTAACCCTTTTCAAACATAGCTAAAGCCTACGCTTTGAAAACAGAAGTTGGACTAAAGAAATGAAAACAGAAAAAATGGTTTGGGGTGTTGAATGAGCAGAGGTCATCATGAACACAGTGTACACTTGAATGGTGATGGAGAGGAAGAGGGGCTGCAGAGATTTAGAACAGGAAGCAGATGGATGTACAAGATATTTTGTTTGCCTCAGGATTTTTGCCTAAGCCCTTGAAGACATCTGGTATGCCACTAGAAATCACCTGAAGCTAAAATTTACCAGATTGTTGGTATCTTGAAAAGCTACCAAAATTAGTTTGCAAGGCTCTACCCATCAGCTTCTTACAGTCTGCCTCTAGAAATCTCATCTATACCAATCCAGTCCAATTTCTCGAGGTAAGTCTGTTTCCCAAAATTCACTTATTTGCATACTACTTTTATAATTCTTGTCATATGTATACATCACCATATTGTTTTTTAAATTGTTAGAAATGATTTTATTTAAATATTCCAAATAATTAAAAAATTTGAGATTAACTTCAGACAACGTAACATTAATCATTTAAAGCATACAGTCGTTGATATTTAGTGTATTCACAGTGTTGCAACCACCAATTCTCTAGTTTCAAAAGTGTTTCATCACCCGATAAAGACACCCCATACCTATTAAGTAATCATTCCTCATTCTCCCATTTATAAAAGACACATTCTCATGTGTCATTTGGCTGCATAAATGTCATCTTTTGAGAAGTGTCTGTTCATATGCTTTGCCCACTTTTTGTTGGGGTTGTTTGTTTTTTTCTTGTAAATTTGTTTGAGTTCATTGTAGATTCTGGATATTAGCCCTTTGTTAGATGAGTAGATTGCAAAAATTTTCTCCCATTCTGTAGGTTGCCTGTTCACTCTGATGGTGTTTCTTTTGCTGTGCAGAAGCTCTTTAGTTTAATTTAGATCCCATTTGTCAATTTTGGCTTTTGTTGCCATTACTTTTGGTGTTTTAGCCATGAAGTCCTTGCCCATGCCTATGTCCTGAATGGTATTGCCTAGGTTTTCTTCTAGGGTTTTTATGGTTTTAGGTCTAACACTTAAGTCTTTAATCTATCTTGAATTAATTTTTGTATAAGGTGTAAGGAAGGGATCCAGTTTCAGCTTTCTACATATGGCTAGCCAGTTTTCCCAGCACCATTTATTAAATAGGGAATAGTTTCCCCATTTCTTGTTTTTGTCAGGTTTGTCAAAGATCAGATGGTTGTAGATATGCGGCATTATTTCTGCGGGCTCTGTTCTGTTCCATTGGTCTATATCTCTGTTTTGGTACCAGTACCATGCTGTTTTGGTTACTGTAGCCAAAACAGCGGCTCATCATCACTGGCCATCAGAGAAATGCAAATCGAAACCACAATGAGATACCATCTCTCACCAGTTAGAATGGCCATCATTAAAAAGTCAGGAAACAACAGGTGCTGGAGAGGATGTGGAGAAATAGGAACACTTTTACACTGTTGGTGGGACTGTAAACTAGTTCAACCATTGTGGAAGTCAGTGTGGCGATTCCTCAGGGATCTAGAACTAGAAATACCATTTGACCCAGCCATCCCATTACTGGGTATATACCCAAAGGATTATAAATCATGCTGCTATAAAGACACATGCACACGTATGTTTATTGCAGCACTATTCACAATAGCAAAGACTTGGAACCAAGCCAAATGTCCAACAATGATAGACTAGATTAAGAAAATGTGGCACATATACACCATGGAATACTATGCAGCCTTAAAAAGGGTGAGTTCATGTCCTTTGTAGGGACATGGATGAAGCTGGAAATCATCATTCTCAGCAAACTATAGCAAGGACAAAAAACCAAACACCGCATGTTCTCACTCATAGGTGGGAATTGAACAGTGAGAACACATGGACACAGGAAGGGGAACATCACACACTGGGGCCTGTTGTGGGGTGGGGGGAGCGGGGAGGGATAGCATTAGGAGATATACCTAATGTTAAATGACGAGTTACTGGGTGCAGCACACCAACATGGCACATGTATACGTATGTAACTAACCTGCACGTTGTGCACATGTACCCTAAAACTTAATGTATAATAATAAAAAAAGAAACATTCTAACCTGTCAAAAATGTAAAAAACCAATGTGATTCTAAATAGAATATAGCAAATTCTGAAAATAAAATAAAACAATCATTAGCCAGATACTAGCTAGATACTGTTATCTACCAAGTCTCTGTGTCTTAGATTCTTCCATGTTAAAAAGGGATATAGGCAAAAGTTATGGCGGTATTAAAGACCAATCAATGCTAAATCAAGACTTTCTGCTTGGTAATACTGAAAGAATTGAAGGAAATTTCAAAAATATACCTTTCTCACTATGAGATTCACTGCTATTTAATGTTATTTCCTTTACCATCTAAAATTTGTCTTGATACAGCTGAATTCATCCTTTTCTTCACTTTACTATTAAAGGGGTTGTATATTATTCCCAGAGTCCTTTATAACTGAATTCCTGGAATTCAGGGAGTGTGTTCTAAATATTGGTGATTGCAGTTTTCATTATTATCCTCAAACATATAAAATCCATTATTCACCAAGTAGTAAACTAGATGCTTTCAGAGTTTTAAAGAAAAGATACAGATACTACTTCCAAATAATATAAATCTTTGTTGTGAAAATCAATTTATGCACAATTAACACTTAGAATATAAAGCTGATAATAGTAAATAGACAAGTAGATTTTATTCTAAAAGTTATCTGGTTTAAATTATTTGGAACTTTTATACTATTTCATAGAGCTCAAGTTAATACCAGCTATTATGAGTATTCCAGATTAGCACAATATGGCTTATCTTCTTATGATCTTCTTTAAGTTCTCCAGGGGTGGTTCTGGTATGATAAAAATAGTACTTTGCATCACAAACTTCAGTTTCCTCATCTGAACAATAAACTTCATCTCTACCTAGTTATAGAGTTCAAATAAGATAAACTGTGTAAGTACACAGCACAGTCCCTGGTACTTTGTTGAAGGTCAATAAAGTATACATTTATTTATTCAGTTACTCATATTTGTAGCCATTTAAAAATTTTTTAATTGACAAGTAATAATTATACATATCCATGGCATACATAGTGACGAATTGATCCTTTCCTTCACTTCACTGTTACGTTTTATTTGATACATATAATGTATAGTGATCAAATCAGGGTAAGTAACATTCATCATCTCAAACATTTATTATTTCTTTGTGTTGGGAATTTTCAGTATCGTCATTCCAGCTATTTGAAAGTATATAATATTTATTGTTAACTATAGTCATTCTGATGTGGTACAGAACACTAGAACTTATTTCTCCTGTCTAGCTATAATTTTGTTTATCTGTTAACAAATCTCTTTCTAACCCTCCCTTCCCTCTACCCTTCTCAGCCTCTAGTATTCTCTGTTTTACTTTTTACTTCTATGAGATCAACTGTTTTTCTCTCACATGAGTGAGAACATGTGGAGTTTAACTTTCTGTTCGCAGCTTATTTCACTTACCTTCCACTTCAATCCATGTTACTGTGAATGGCAGGATTTCATTCTCTTTTATGACCGAGTAGTATTCCGTAGTGCATATATATATCACATTTAATTTATCTATTTATTATTGGATACCTAGGTTGATTCCATATTTTGGCTGTTGTGAATAGGGCAGCAGTACACATGGAAATACAGGTATCTTTTTGACACACTGATTTTCTTTCCTTTGGATACCGTAGGGGATAAGGGAGAGCTTTCCCTTGGTCCCCTGATGTTTTGCTGAAAAATCAACTCATAAAAGGCAGATTAATTAGAGAAAAGGCATACAGATTTATTTATCATGTATATATGGGAGCCTTCGGAATGAAGATCAAAAGATACAGGGGAAATTGTCCATTTTTATGCTGAGGTTCAACAAAGTATGGACAGTCATGTAGAAATATGATTGGACAAAAAGGGGTGATCTAATACTAATAGACTGGGGAAACTCAGGAGGGTCATCTGTTTAGATTCTTTTTGGGTTCTCTGAGTACGCATTCCTTCCTTCCGGGTATGGGACAAGACCCTCTCTAGAGTGGGACTGTTATAACCTACAGACAAACAATGTAGGTCAGATAATTCCTTTGTGGTCAGTTTTTACACTGAAAGCCAGAGGGAAAATTAGAATAATATTTATAGGATTTATGACTAGCTTTGAGGAATAGGGGTTCTGGTTTCTACGACCCACCTTGGGGACCAGGGCTTCTAGTTTCTATGGCTAGCTTCTGGGGAGAATGGGACAGAGAGACAGGAGGGCAGGAGAAAGAGAAAAATGTTTGCTTCAGAGGCTGCTTCTGAGGCTTTCATTTTGGGATATTGTTTTCTGAGCCCTAAAAAATGTATACTTAGTAGTAGCCTTGCTGGATCATGTGGTAGTTCCATTTGTAGTTTTTTGAGGAACTGTTCTCCATAATGGCTATACAAATTTACGTTCCCACCAATAGTGTATGAGTTCCCTTTTCTCCACATCCTTGTCAGCATTTGTTATTATTTTTTTCTTTTTGATAATAGTTATTCTAACTGGAATGAGATGTTATCTAGTTATAGTTTTGATTTGCACTTCCCTGATGGTTAGTGGTGTTCATGAGTATTTTTTCTTATACATGTTGACCATATGTATGTCGTCTTCTATCTGTTCAGATCATTTGCCCATATTTTTTGTTGTTGTTTTTATTTTTATTGTTTTTTGAGGCAGAGTGTCACTCTGTCACTTAGGCTGGAGTGCAGTGGTGTGATCTCAGCTCACTACAACCTCCAACTCCCGGGTTCAAGCAATTCTCCTGCCTCAGCCTCCTGAGTAGTTGGGATTACAGGTGCCCGCCACCATGCCTAGCTAATTTTTTTTTGTATTTTTAGTAGACATGTGGTTTCACCGTGTTGGCCAGGCTGGTCTTGAACTCCTGACCTCAAGTGATCTGCCCGCCTCAGCCTCCCAAAGTGCTAGAATTACAGGCTTGAGCCACCTCTCCCAGCCTGCCCATATTTTAATTGGATTTGTTTTTGTTTGTTTTTCTGTTCTTTGTATATTCTGGATATTAATCCCCTATTAGATGAGTAGTTCATTACTCATGTATAAAAAGGCTACTGATTTTTGTATATTAATTTTGTACCCTACAAATTTACTGAATTCTGTTATGGGTTCTAAGAGAGTTTTTTTTTTTTTTTGTAGTAAAGTCGGTATGTTTTTCCATATATAAGATCATGTCATCTGCAAACAGGGACATTTTGACTTCTCCCTTTCCGATTTGGATGCCTTTTATATATCTGTTGCCTAATTGCTCTGGTTAGGACTTCCATTAGTATGTTGAATAAGAATACTGAGATTGGGAGTCTTTGTCTTGTTCTAGTTCTTAGCTGAAAGCTTTTTATTGTTCATAAGATGTCATTTGTGGGTTTGCCATATTTGGCCATTATTATATTTAGGTATATTCCTTCTATACTTAATTTATTAAGAGTTTTTATCATGAAACGATGTTGAATTTTATCAAAAGCTATTTCTACATCTATTGAGATCATCTTGTGGTTTTCATCCTTCTTTCTGTTGATGTGTGTGATGTTTATTGATTTGTATATGTTGAGACATCCTTGCATTCCTGAGATAAATCCCACTTGATTATGATGTATCCTCTTACTGATGTGTTGTTAGAACTCAGCTTGTTAGTATTTTGGTGAAGATTTTTGCAACAGTGTTCATCAGGGATACTGGCTGTAGTTTTCCGCTTGTTGTCGTTGTTGTATCCTTATCTAGTTTTGGTATCAGGGTTCTGCTGGCCTTGTAGAATGAATTAGGAAGAATTCCCTCCTCTTTTATTTTCTGGGATAGTTTGGAAAGAATTGGTATTAATTCTTCTTTAAAGGTTTGGTAGAATTCAGCAGTAAAGCCGTCTGGTTTTGGACTTTTTTGTTGTTGAAAGACCTTTTACTACTGATTCTCTCTCATGACTTGTAATTGGTCTATTTGTGTTTTCTTTTCCTTCTGGGTTCAATCTTTATAGGTTGTATGTGTCCAGGAATTTATTCATTTCCTTTAAATTTTCAAATTTATTGGCATATTGTTGTTCATAGTACTCTCTAATGATCCTTTGTATTTCTATGGTGTCCATTGTGACATATCCTCTTCCGTTTATGATTTTTTCAAATTTGAGTCTCTTTTTTTCTTTTTTTCTGAGTTTCACTAACGTTTTGTTGATTTTGTTTATCTTCTCAAAGAACTAACTTTCTGTTTGATCTTTTGTGTATTTTTTAGTCTTTTTCTTTAGGGTCTCACTCTGTTGCCCAGGCTGGAGTGCAGTGGCTTGATCTTGGCTTATTGCAGCCTCAGCTTCCTGAGCTCAGGTGATCATCCTGCCTCTGCCACCTGAGTAGCTGGGACTACAGGTATGTGCCACCATGCCTGGCTAATTTCTGTATTTTTCTGTAGAGATGAAGTTTCACCGTGTTTCCCAGGAAACTTGAGAACGTTTCCATAGTTCTCAAACGTGTGGGCTCAAATGATCCTCCAACCTTGGCCTCCCAAAATGCTGGGATTACAGGCATGAGCTACCATGCCAGGCCTCAGTCTCAATTTTGT
This sequence comes from Homo sapiens, assembly GCF_000001405.40. NCBI lineage: Eukaryota > Metazoa > Chordata > Mammalia > Primates > Hominidae > Homo > Homo sapiens. The sequence goes on from NC_000005.10 coordinate 37,627,425, forward strand.
TTATTTATGCTCTGATTGTTTTTATTTCTTTTACTAATTTGGGGTTTGTTTGTTTTTTTTCTTCATTTTCTAGTTCTTTGAGGTGCATTGTTAGGTTTTTTATTTGAAATCTTTTTATTTTTTGGCATAGGCATGTATTACTATAAACTTGCCTCTTAATACTGCTTTTGCTGTGTGCCATAAGCTTTGGTACATCGTGTTTCTATTTCCATTTGTTTCAAGAAATTTTAAAATTTCATTCTTAATTTTGAGTTTAACCTGTTGGTTGTTTAGAAGCATTTTGTTTAGTTTCCATGTGTTGGTATAGTTTTGAATGTTCCTCTTGTTATGTCTAGTTTTATTTCATTGTGGCAAGATAAGATGCGTCATATCTTGATTTTTAAAAATTTATTGAGACTTGTTTTGTGCCCTAACATATGGTCAGTCCTGGAGAGTGTTCCATGTGCTGCTGAAAAGAATGAAGTTGTTAGGTGAAATATTCTGTAAATGTCTTTTAGGTCTGTGGTACAGTTTGTGTAGAAACAAGTTCTCACCCTGTCACCTTGGCTGGAGTGCAGTGGCGTGATCATAGTTCACTGCAGCCTTGAATTCCTGGGCTCAAACGATACTCCTTCCTCAGCCTCCTTAGTAGCTAGGACTATAGGCACATGACATCACAGCCAGCTTATTTTTTATTTTTTGTAGAGACAGAGTTTCACTACATTGCCCAGGGTTGTCTCAAATTCCTGGCCTCAAGTGATCCTCTGCCTTGGCCTCTCAAAGTGTTGGGTTTACAGGCATAAGCCTCCATTTCTGGCCTGTGGTGCAGTTTAAATCTATGTTCCTTTGTTGATTTTCTGCCTACATGACCTTTCCAGTGCTGAGAGTGGGGTGAAATTCCCTACTACATATTGAAGTGTTCCCCACTATGTACTGAAGCCCATTTCTCCCTTTAGATCTAATAATGTTTGCTTTATATATCTGGGTGCTCCTGTGTTGGATGCAAATATATTTACAATTGTTATATTCTCTTGCTGAATTGATCCTTTTATTATTATATAACGTACTTTTTTGTCACTTTATAGCTTTTAACTTGAAGTCTATTTTGTCTGACATAAGCATAGCTACTCCTGCTCACTTGATTTTCATGTGCATGTAATACTTTCAGTTTAAGTGTGTCTTTATAGCTGAGGTGAGATTCTTATAGGCAGAATATGTTTGGGTCTTGTTTTTTCATTCATTCAAATAGTGTATATGTTTTAAATGGGGGAATTTAATCCACTTACATTCAAGATTATTGATAGGTGAGGACTTACTCCTTTCATTTTGTTGATTTTCTGGTTATTTTGCATATCCTTTGTTCCTTATTCCCTTACTTATCATTTTTATGGTTAGGTGGTTTTCTCTAGTGGTAAGGATTGATTATTTTCTCTTCTTACTTTTGTATCAGCTCTACCAGTGAGTTTTATAGTTATACATGTTTTCATGATGGTAGCTGTTGTCTTTTCACTTCCAGATGTAAGACTCCCTTGAGCATGTCTTGTAAGACTGTTCTAGTGGTGATAAATTCCTTTAGTTTTTGCTTCTCTATTGGGAGATTTTATTTCTCCTTCATTTCTGAAGGATAGCTTTGCAGGGTATAATATTTTTAGCTAGCAGGGTTTCCCCACCCCTGCTTTCAGTACTTTGAATATATCATCCCATTCTCTCCTGGCCTGTAAGCTTTCTGCTGAGATATCTGCTGTTAGCCTAATGGAGATTCCCTTATTTATGACTTGACTCTTTTCTCTTGAATGCTTTTGGAATTCTTTGTCTTTTACTTATTACAATTTGACTATGTTGGGCTCCAGAGAGGACCTGTTTGGGTTGAATCTGTTTGGGGTTCTTTGAGCTCCCTGGACCTAAATGCTCATCTCTCTCCCAAGACTCAGGAAATTTTCTGCTATTATTTCATTAAATATGATTTCCTCACCTTTACCCTTCTTTTTTCCATCTGGAATGCCCATAGTATGAATATTTGCTTGCTTAATGATATCTCATAAATCCTTTAGGCTTTCCTTATTCTTTTTAATTCATTTTTGCCACTGCTTGTGTTATTTCAAAAGATCTATCTTCAAGTTCAGAAATTTTTTCCTCCATTTGGTATAGTCTGTTGTTGAAGCTCTCAATTATATTTTCTATTTCATTCATTTAATTCTCAGCTCTAGGATTTCTTTTTGGTTCTTTTTTATGATAATCCACCTCTTTCTTGAATTTATTACTTATATCATAAGTTGTTTTCCTGATTTTGTTGAATTGTTTATCTGTATTCTCTTGTATCTCACTCAGTTTCCTTAAGATTATTATTTTGAATTCTTTTTCTGGCATTGCATGTATTATGATTGTGGTCTGTTACTAGAGAATTATGTTTCTCTTTGGAAGTGACATGCTTCCTCGCTTTTTCATTATTCTGTGTCTCTGTATTAATTTCTGTGAATCTGGTGGTCGCCTCTTCCAATTTTATTCACTAGGTGTCACAAGGAAAGACTTACTCATATAAATGGATCTTGGGTTGTTGATTTGATGGAGTGCATTGGCTTTGGATCTAGGTGGACACAGTAGTGTAGTTGTCATAAAATTTCTTCAACCGTAATCCATACTGGGGGCATTTGAGAGTTTCTCAGTGGCCTAGGCTGAGAGAGTTTGTGGTGACAGTAGTGCAGCTTTGCCAGGCTTGGGCTAACTGGGCTGTCTCTTAGGTTGGGCATTTGTTCATGCACACAGTGGGTCAGGCAGCTTGGAGTCTGGCTCACTGGGGTTGTAGCCACAGGGATGTTACTCTAGCCAGGAGCACAGGCATGCTTGTAGTTGCTTGGCTAGACTAAGGCATGTCTGCTGGGGATGGCTCATAGGGCTGTTTCTCAGCCATGTATTTAGGCTCATGGCTGCTTCAACAGTCTGCAATGTTTCCACCAGGGGTGGCCTACAGCATTGTTTCTCAGACCCTTGTTGAGGATGTGAGGGGGTTGGGCAGGACATGTCTTGGGAGGGAAGAGGGCACTGTGTTTCTGAATCCCTGAGTGTGGGCACTTAGCCACTCCACTGGCCCAGGGCTATGTCAGCTGCTTGCAGACTTGTAGGCCTCTCCCACCTGGCAGAGGGCATGCAGTGGTTTGGCTAGCCCAAGGATGGATTTGTCCTAGGCAGGACTGGTAGGCTTTTAGTGCAATTGGGAGTGTGGCCCCAGGAGTTGGTTACCTGCTGTGTAGGACCATAGTCACAGCCAATCCTGGGCCCATACTCTGCACAGCTGGGATTGTGACATTCATATATAATGTATGGACTTGGCATAATCAATATGAAACCCCAGTGCTGGAGAAGTGCAGTAGGGCTACTGGCTCCCTGAGCAAGGAGCATTCCAGAGGTGCCTCAGGTAACAAGATGGCACTCTGCTGCAGTAGCTTGTCTCACAGGGGAGAGGGTGCACCTTGTGCTCCTAATCTGGAGCAGTGAAACTGCATGAATTCCTGGCATTTCTCCAGATGGAGCTGAGAGCTTGTAAGGACCATGGGATTCTTCTGTTTGAAGGACTGTAGGCATTTGTGGTGGCAATGGGGGTTGGTGGTGATATTCTGCTTACCTTTTTCCCATGATGGAAAGTTCCCTCCGACGCCAGGCAGATCTGATCCAGGTCGGGGAGATGGGGTTATAGAGGCTATGTGCTTCCATGCTGCCCTCCTGTCATTACAGATGCATCTTCACTCCCTTGCCACACTGCAGCACTCTATCTTCAACACTCAAATCAAATCTTAGTTGTTTATTTGTAGCCTTGGTCCTTTTTAGTCTGGGGGGACAAATGCCAGGCATCTCTAGTTAGCCTTCTTGCCTACCTTCATAGTCTTGTAAATATGTTATAGAACTAAATCAACAGAGTTTGCCCAATGAAGGCAGTTAGCTTTATTGTAATTTGATATATAGAGCTTGACCAGATAATTCATCTCCTTCTCGCTGCTATTTACCTCACCGTTAGTAACAATAGTGGTGATAACAATATTAGTGATAGTAGTAATAATAATTATTTTAATAACTGCTAACATTGTGTACCCACTGTGTACCAGGAATTGTTATTAATGCTTTTCAATGTACTAGCTCATTTTATAGTTATATGAGGTTAGTGTTTTTATCCCTGTTTTAAGGATGAGTTAACTAAGATTCAGTAATTTACCTAAGGACATACAGTAAGAGGCAGGTAGATCTGGGATTTGACTCTAGGCAGTCTGGCTCCAGGGTCTGTACTTTTAACCAACATCTCTAGGGCCTCTCAGTGTGTGGGATCCCATTCATCCAGCCTAAGTGAAGGGCCATCTGAAAGGTAGTGACTCTAGAGGGCTCATTTTCCTCTACGGGTTGTTTCAAAGCCAGGGAATGTATATTATCACGGGTGAAATTGTCTGTTGGAGGATCTGTCTCATATAGAAAAATCCTACTACTTATCTGTGCACCCACAGAGTACCAGCAGAGCCGGGTGAGTGGGGAGGAGAGCCAGGAGAGGCAGAGGGGACATACTGCAAAGATAATCTCCTGGTCCCCTCTGTTACAGTTAATAAGGATCAAAACGGAATACAAGTTGGAGAGGTCAGTTTAGACTCAAGTACAGTCATGCACCACCTAACATTTCAGTTAATGACAGTCTGTGTATGCGGTGGTGCTCCCATAAGATTAGTATGTAGCTGAAAAATTTATATTACCTGGTGATGTCATAGCCATCTTAACATTACAGCACAATGTGTTACTCGTGTTTGTAGTGATGCTGGTATAAACAAACCTATTATGCTGCCAGTAGTATAAAAGTAGAGCAGATACAGTTATGTATAGTACAAAATACTTGATAATAAATGACTTACTGGTTTATGTATATACTATACTATACCTTTAGTGTATTTTAGAGTCTACTTCTACTTATTTAAAAAAGCAGTTGACTGTAAAACATCCTCAGGTTCTTCAGGAAATATTCCAGAAGAAGGCATTTTTATCATAGGAGATGACAGTTCCATGTGTGTTATTACCTCTGAACACCTTTCAGTGGGTTGATATATAATGGTGGAAGACACTGATATTGATGATCCTGACCCTGTGTAGGTCTAGGCTAACATGTGTGTTTGTGTCTTAGTTTTTAACAAAAAAGTTTTAAAAGTTAAAAATTTTTAATAGACAAAAGTTTATAGAGTAAGGATATAAAGAAAGAAAATATTTTGTATAGCTATACAATGTGTGTTTTATGTGTTATTATAAAAGTTTTAAAAAATTAAAAGTTGATATACTCAAAAAGTTACAGTAAGCTACAGTTAATTTATTATTGAAGAAAGAAAAACACTTTTAATAATTTTAGTATAGCCTAAGCTTACTGCATTTATAAAGTGTACAATAGTGTACAGTAATGTCCTAGACCTTCACATTCACTAACTACTCAGTCACTAATTCACCCACAGCAACTTCTAGTCCAGCAAGCACCATTCGTGGTAAGTGCCCTATACAGGGATACCATTTTTTACTTTTTATACCATGTCTTTACTATACCTTTTCTGTGTGTAGATATGTTTAGATACACAAATATTGACCATGGTGTTACAGTTGCCTGTAGTACTCAGTATAGTAATATTCTGTACAGGTTTGTAGCCTAGGAGCAATAGGCTATTCCATGTAAGTCTTACCATCTATGTTTGTATAAGTACACTCTGTGATGTTCACATAATGAGGAAATCATCTAACGAACACATTTCTCAGAACTTATTCTCATTGTTTAGTGACCCATGACTGTAATTAGGCAAGGAGTGACTACCAGAGTTTTTTCCCCTTCACTATATTTCCAAATGCTATCTCTTAAATTGACTAGATTAGAAGTACTTCAGAATTTTATATCTGTTTCCCTTAAGGAAAATAATATGTCAAGCCCATGTACATTGAAGGAAATAATTTATTCTATACTATATTTATGTATTATATATTTTATTACCGAGATAGTGAGTCAAGATTATAGAAATGGTGTAAAATTAAAACATTTTGCTGAGTTTAAACGGCCATAACTTAAATGGAATTTTTTTGACATTCACTAGATCTAGTAGCCAGATGATATCTTACTATTTTAATTTTTAAACTTAGGAGGTTTGCCTATAAACCATTTATTAGCAGAGGAAGCTTTCTAAATGCTGTGAGTTAAAACATATGGAGATTCTAAAGATACTTGAATGGAGCTTGAATGTCTTCCCACACATGAAATATGTGTCGCAAAGAGGAAAATATATTTTAGACATTTCACTGAATCGTAGTTTGAAGTTAACAGCAAAATACATGATAGGCATTATTTTTATATTGATAAATTAAGAATACTTTGGTTAAACAAGATACATACAGTAAGCCAAAAACAAAGCATTCCCTACTATATTCCTAAATCTACATGCTTACACAGTAGTCCTCTTATATAAACCTGAAACATATAGGGCTGTGTGTATGTTCAAGTTTGATAGTGATCGCCAGTTTGTGTGGAGTTCCCCATTTATAAAGATAGACTTGGACCAAGTGATTCTATCTTATTCTACAGGAGAGTATTTTTCAATATTTTAAAAACTAGTACATATGGCCAGGTGTGGTGGCTCACACCTGTAATCCCAGCACTTTGGGAGGTCTTGGTGAGCGCATCACGAGGTCAGGAGATGGAGACCATCCTGGCTAACACGGTGAAACCCCATCTCTACTAAAAATACAAAAAATTAGCTGGACGTGGTGGCAGGTGCCTGTAGTCCCAGCTACTCGGGAGGCTGAGCCAGGAGAATGGTGTGAACCCAGGTGGCGGAGCTTGTAGTGAGCTGAGATTGCATCACTGCACTCCAGCCTGGGCGACAGTGTGGGACCCTGTCTCAAAAAAAAAAAAAGAAAAAAAAGAAAAAAAAAAACCTAGTGCATATTTTGTGTTTCCTAATTATCTAAGAAGACTTTATTAAGCTTTGCTTGCTGTACTCTGTATGTTACAAAAACAGTGGATAGATTGAATATACTTTTTCAAATGCATCTCTAACCTTACCTCACACATCTCTAACCTTACCTCTTTTGGTGGCATTGGAGTGGCGTGATATGGAGAGGGAAGTCTATGATCAGACTTACATTTTTTAGAAATGACTTTGTTCTATAAGGAAGACAGATTGGAGGAAATAAGGCAATAGGCAGGAGGTCAGTTCAGAGATACTGAGTGAGTCCAGTCTTAAGTGAGATGATGAGAACCTCAACCAAGTATGTGGAGTGAGAATGGAGAACAGAGTGTACTAAAGTGATATTAGGATGTAGGACACCTACACAACTTGGTAAATGTTTGTATATAAGGAATTTAGGATGAGTTGTTTATGAGAATAAGTAACTGGAGACCCAGGCTACCTGTCAAGGTAGGGAGATTTGCCCATGGAAGTCGGGGGACAGGGAAGGCTGTAATGAATTGTTTTGGATGTGTTGAGTCACAAAATTCTCAGGTCCATAACCAACTCAGTTTAAAAGTCAATGAGTTAATTTACTAATTTTGGGGGCTTGTATCCATGCCTATTACCCTCTTTCCCTAGATCCTAGCTAAAAATAGGCCCCAATTTTTTTGACTTGAGGCTGGATTTCTGTTTGCAGAACCTCACTGAGGTCTGATTTTTTTCCTCTACAGTTCCCTTGTCTTTTCATGCCTTGACCCTGTGCCTCTTTTACCTATATTACTACTTTGCTTAGGACCTCTGGCCCATGTTTAACTAGCTTTCTTCCTGCCTTACTCAACTTTGGATCAAACTTCCTTCTGGATGCATATCCTTACTGAAATGGCACAGTTATCCTCAGTAGAGATGCATTTCTCAGTATGTGTGTGGACTGATTTTGATAAGGGTTAGGAGAGGATCCTGCACTGTGGTGTGGAAGAAGAGCACTGTACTAACTTTTGTGCCGCTGCTGCTTCAAAACTAGCTGTTTAAGGTAAAGTGCTTGACCTCTCCTTGCCTCAGTTTTCTGTTCTGTAAAATGAGTAGATTGGGCTAAAGGACCTCTAAAATTCTCCCTCCAGCTTCAAAAATTCTTTTTAAAATTTACATCTGCAGTATTTGACTCTGCAGAATTGGATTTGGTAGAATTGTGGTCACAAAAGAAAATTCCCAGTGAATTTTTAAAAATAGATAAATATTTGGTGTAGAAGTTAAATGGACAACTGAATCTCAGTGAGAAAAATTTCAGTAAAATTAAACTGAAAAGGAAAAAAAATTGGAAATGGTTCATTTGTGTAGTAAAGATAATTGACAAAGGAATTAAGTTACCCTGATTGAGCTCACTCTGGAATATATTTTCTCAGTGATTGATATGGTTTGGCTGTGTCCCCACCCAAATCTCATCTTGAATTGTAGTTCACATGATCCCCATGTGTCATGGGAGGGTGGGAGGTAATTTAATCATGCGCGCGGTTATCCTCATGCTGTTCCTGTGATAGTGAGTGAATTTTCACGAGATCTGATGGTTTTATAAGGGGCTTTCCCCCCTCTTCACACGGCACTTCTTGCTGCTGCCATGCAGGAAGGTTGTATTTGCTTCTTCTTCCTTCTGCCATGATTGTAAATTTCCTGAGGCCTCCCTAGCCCTGTGGAACTGTAAGTCAATTAAACCTCTTTCCTTTATAAATTACCCAGTCTCTGGTATGTCTTTATTAGCCACATGAGAATGGACTAATACAATGATATTAGTCAAGTTGGGATAATTTGTTTAACAAAACAATGGGGGCATGTCAGAAGGACACAGGAGCTAACTGGGAGGAGCTCCCTATGACCGAATCAGGGGCAAGTCTGTGAACTATAACCCATAGAATAAGTTAAATATCATGAATCCATACTGATAGAAATAATAAGTAGATAAGAAACAACTCTTCCTTACAGTATAATTCCAATTAATAAATGTAGAACGAATAATAGAAAATCACCATGAGGCAGATACCATAGTAACACTTATTGTAATCAGGAATCATTAATGGATGCTAAAATTAGTTGAGCAAAGCTCTGATGAGAAGCAGAATATTTACATAGTTTCAAGGTATTTCCTCACAAGATATTTATCAGCTACAAAGGGAGAATTAATAACTTTACACTGAAGAAACCTGCCAGATACCACCTTAACAGAGACATTAAAGATAACATCATCTGTAATAAGACATATTGACATCATATAAATCTTGATATGATGCATATGAAGGCATAACAACACTTCTGTCAGATTCTTACAAAAATGTGTAGCCTTAACCTAATAATGAGAAAACACCAGACAAACCCAACTTGAGAGGGAGTCTGTAAAATAACTGGCCACTAGTTTTCACATGTCAAAATCATGAGCTATCCTAGATTGGAGGCGACTAAGGAAATATGACAACTAAATGCAATGTGAGATCCTGTATTTGATGTGGACTAGAAAAAAAAGCACATTAGTAGGAAAACTGGTGAAATTGGAATGAGGTCTGTAGATTAGCTAATAGAATTCTATCAGTGTTACTCTTCTGTTTTTTTTGATAATTATATAATCTTGATAGATGTTAACATTAGGGGAAGCTGTGATATGGACCTCTCTAACATTTTTAACAACTTTTTGGTAAGTCTAAAATTGTTTTAAAATGAAGAATTTTAGGCCAGGCGTGGTAGCTCACGTATGTAATCCCACCACTTTGGGAGGCCGAAGTGGGCGTATCACTTGAGTTCAGGAGTTTGAGACCAGCCTGGCCAACATGGTGAAACCCTTTCTCTACTAAAAATACAAAAATTAGCCAGGCATGATGACAGGCACCTGTAATCCCAGCTACTGGGAGGCTGAGGCAGGAGAATCGCTTGAACCTGAGAGGCGAAGTTTGCAGTGAGCCAAGATCGCCTGGGCTACAGAGCGAGACTCTGTCTCAAAAAATAAATAAATTAAATAAATAAATAAATAAATAAATAAATAAATAAATAAAAGATTTATAAATAGTATTTTAATCTTAAACATGTTTTTGAAATACCCTTGTTGGTGTCAACATAGCAGGGTTAAGTCAGCTCACTTAAGCCCTCATCTCACACACCCACATGCTAACCTGAAAATGGCAAAATTAATAGATTTTGAAAATTTTGAAAGAGACAATTTTAGGACATCAAGAAGGTCTGTTTAATAAATGAAGGGGTAAACTTTTGGTCTTTAACATTCCTGAGGATTACTAAAAGCTTAAGAACATGCACAGGGAGCATATGTACGTATACATGACTCAGCTTTTGAGAGTCACCACCTGGAAGACAATCACGTCTCCCGATGCCATTAAATGGATTGTAGAGCACATAATTCTTGGAAGTGGAGCACAGTTCTCACTCCAAAAGCCAAGAATGGCAAATGCTCACTTTCCTGGCCTCTTTGTATTATGAGAATGCAGGTATGCAACCTAGATTTGGCCAATCAATTCCATGTACTCTGGGCTTTGATTCAGGAGCTAGTGAAAGGAGAGAATATATTCCTTTGTGGCAGCAGGAGTAGTGGCAACATCCAATTTTCAGGGGTAGCAATGCCACTGACGGTGTCACATCCAGCATTCTGGAGTGTCAGTGGTGTCCTCCAGCCTGGTTCTGAGTCTGGAATCTGGCTGGGATCCGGGATGTGCCAAGACTTCTGTATTCTCATATATTTTCTGAGCCTGATTATATAGCCTCTCCAGCAATTTCGGGATCTACTTTCCATTCTTTGCCTAATTTCACTTTATACTGCAGTTGAGAATGCCATCTGATCTGTATCCCTATACAAAAAGTTTAGATATTATTCCATTAAAATGAATTTATGTTGTAAGAGTTATTATGTATATTTTTCAGCACTTCAAGTTTTAATTTGCTTTTATATGTATTATATTGAGTTAATGAATTTAGTTAAGTCATTATAGTACAGTGGTTAATAGTGTGGACTTCGGAAGTATGCCTGGATTCAAATTCAGGCTCTGCTGCTTATTAGCTGATTGAGTTTTTATGGTTATAAAATGGGGGTAATAGCAGTACCTACCTCCGGACTTGTCAGGAGGACCAAATGCATACATGCACGCACATGCGCGCACATACACATAAAGAGCAGTACTTGGCAAGGTAGTAAGTTTTGTGTCTCAGTATTAGCAGTTATTATTTTGATTCTCATATCAGCTTAGAAGTTTATATGTTTGTTTTCTGGTTGATGTTAATATGTTAAGTTCTCAAACTCCCTTCATGTTAGCAATACCATTTCTTTTGGTGAACCTCTCTAGTATGTATTTTATAGAAGAAAGTTCACATTGATCTGAGATCAGAGATCAGATTTTGTTAATTGGTATATTACTGAATTAACTCTGTTATTGACAGTTACTGGGATCTGTACATCATCTGAGTTTTTGGCTGATTTGCTTAGAAGGAAAAGTAATAACTGACACCTCAGACTTCAGAAGGAGAAAGGTTTATTGTTTTCAAAAGCAAGACTACAATATTAGCTTCAATTATCTTTAGGTATTTCTAGAATAATTTAATATACCATGGTACTTAAAAGGAAACAAAAATGTATCTAACTTGATTAAATAGATTTTTTAAGCCTGAGGAGCAAAATTAGACTATTCACTGGCTGCCCAAGGGATGAGTAAATCAGAACAGTTAGAAGAAATGCAGAACGTAAAAACAAACCCAGAGTGAGTATTTATGTAAATAATGAACAGTAGCATCATTGTGTCAGAGCTTTGAAATTCTTTCCCTAGTTGCTTATTTGAGTATTATTCCTTTAAGAATTATAACAATATGATGGAAAAACCTGAGAAATTTCCTGACAATTTTACACATTCTGATCATGTGATTAAGACTCAGTGAAGCAGTTTTTGATTCTTTCCTGGTGGATATGGAAATTATTATCCATCTCTGAAGACTCGTCAAAACTTACCTCAAAGTTTTATTGTAGTCAGTTAGCAGTCTATAAAAGGAAAGACACAATTCACGCTGAAAATGCTGGTAAGACAGGAAGAAGTTTAAAAATTACTCTCTAAATACTTTTCCTGTCTCATTTGTTGATCCAGGAACTCTGATCTGTGAACCTTACTTATGCATGAATGTTTTTATATCTTAATTCCTTTGTTGTTGTTGTTGTTGTTGTTGTTTTGCTCTTAAGCTCTTTCTGGTCTAAGTTTGTTGTACAATTCTGCCCATGGCTCTGACCTTTTACATGTTAGTTGGTGCCAGTGTCATCTGTTTTGGATAATAAGCTCCTTGAGGGCAATGACTCTTTTGGCTTGATTTCTATAACACTCTTTGATGGTGATCATAATGACTAAGTGGTTTGTTCCATTGATTTAAAATATATCCTTGACTTCTGCTTAGCATATTCTGAGAATTAATAATATGGCAACTGTTTCTCAATAGTCATTTACTTTTAAATTGCCTATATCATATTAAAATAAAACAATAGCTGTTATTTGTTGATCATTGCCAGAAGTGGTTTGAGCACTTTAAATTTATTATTTCATTTAATTTTCACCACAGCTCACTGAAATTGGTGTTACTATTATTCTCACTTCGCAGATGAGAAAACTAAGGCTTAAAGAGGTTAAGTAACTTGCCTATTTTACAACTAGAAATATTACAGCCAAGAAACCCAGGTGTGTCTGATTTCAAAGAGATTGCTTTCAACCACTGTATCATAGTTTTCTTTGAGCCCCTATGGACATTTGCAAGTGATTCTTTTATGTCTCTGAAGTCTATATTTTAAATTTTTTTTATACACAGCTTACAGAGAATTACCATGAAAAATGAGCGTTTCACTGATTTGTCTTTATTAAGAGCAAAAAATTCTTTAAAAATTCCTCAAATACCTGTTCCACATATCTAACACTGAAAAACCTGTTGTTTCAATTTTTAATGCTATTTGGACTGTGGGAGCAAACATTCCTGACGGTTGCTGTCAGTGCTGATACATTTTTTATTTCCATGATAATTCTTCTATAGATATGTGTTACTCTTTCTGATGTGGTGTTCACTAGTTTTTAATAAATAGGCTATATTGTGTGTGGTTTTTTTCATTGAGAGAATGATGGAGTTAAAAATAATCACAATAATAATTTTAAAAGAACATGCTGACATTTAGATCTACAGACTTTCTCCTCTAGGCTATAAAGTCTTAAAAGTAGGTCATACTTTGGGTTTAAACTCTGAACAGATACTTGCTCTCTATGTTAGCTTACCTTTTGATCTTAAAGCAGCATTTATTCTTAACTTCAGTAAATTTTAAATTGTCCTTCCAAATTTGGAAATTCTGTATGAAATGAAAAATCACCAGTCATTTAAAGGAGAAAATTAAAGAAACAAGTTTGGCACTTTTCTGTTCTGTCTCCTTGAAGAATTGGAACTTTTCTTTCTATCAGTGATCTAAGCTAGAAATATGAGACAGTTAAAAAAATACGGAAGTTCATCTTCACTTGAATAAAATTGAGGTTTGGGTAGCGTCCTTAAATTCTCTATAGGTTAACCAGATGATGGTGGAAAAAGAGAATGTCTGTAGGTTACATCCTGCCTCACTGAGTTAGCATAATCGTCAATTCACTTGCTTCCCAGTACTCTATTCATTACAAGAAAACTGCTGTGGGTCTTTGGAACTATTTTTCCTCAGCTCTATGATCACTACAAACCAATGACCTTTAGCCTTTTCTCTTTTATTTCCCTTATTCACAGCATGCTTTTTTCCCCCTGACACAATTTCACTCTGTCACCCAGGCTGGAGTGCAGTGGCACGATCTTGGCTCACTGCAACTGCAACCCACCCCTTCTGGGTTCAAACGATTCTCATGCCTCAGCCTCCTGAGTAGCTGGGATTATAGGCCTATGCCACCATGCCCAGCTAATTTTTAGTAGACAGGGTTCTGCCATGTTGGCGAGGCTGGTCTTGAACTCCTGACCTCAGGTGATCTGCCCACCTCAACCTCCCCAAGTGCTGGGATTACAGGCATGGGCCACCACACCTGTCCACATCCTTTTTTTTTTTTTTTTTTTTTTTAAGACAGACTCTCCCTCTGTCACCCAGGCTGGAGTACAATGGTGTGATCTTGGCTCACTGCAACCTCTGCCTCATGGGTTCAAGTGATTATCCTGCCTCAGCCTCCCGAGTAGCTGGGATTACAGACATGTGCCACTACGCCCTGCTAATTTTTGTATTTTTAGTAGAGATGGGGTTTCTCCATGTTGACCAGGCTGGTCTTGAACGCCTGACCTTAGGTGATCTGTTTGCCTCGGCCTCCCAAAGTGCTGGGATTACAAGCATGAGTCACCGCACCTGGCCTCACATGCTTTCTTATACTTAGATTTTCTCCTCCAGCCTATCCTGGCCTAATACTTCCTAGTTCCTGTAAGTATAAACATTAGGCTCATTTCTCTGCTATAGGTACTGGTGACTGAAACACTTACTTTTGCATACTGATTATTTTTCTGTAGTAGCATATTTTATATACCAACTATTTTAGAAAGGTCAATTCTGTGGCCAAAGAGAGTTGATGGGTTTGGGGTTGTAATTAAATGTTACTTTAAAAGTTTTAGATGTAGTGACTTTAACAAATAATACAGGATTTGATTTACATACACCTATAGGAATTTTGAAAGGATGATTGCTATAAGTGTGGTACCTGTTTACTTAGAGTGGGTATCCTTTAACAGTATAAACTTCCTACACTTACGCAAGTTTAACAAGTGTTTCTTCTGAGATCAGCTAACTGGTGATGATTCATTTCACATTTTAGTTCTCTTAGCCCTCTGATACCATCCCTCACCCTCACCCATAATACCCTGTCTGCTCTTCTGCTCCCTTCTATATTAACTCTATTTTTTCTTTCCAAATGCTTAGTAAGTTTGTTCTTCCCTTCCTTTCTTCTTCCATCTCTTCATCTTCTTATTGACTGAAGATAGTAATTTAAATTCTTTAAGTTTGGAAAATAAGAATATTTATATTTGACATTACATATTTTTAAAATGTTTTTAATTTTCATGGGTACATAGTAGGTGTATATTTATGGACTACATGAGATACTTTGATACAGGCATATAATGCGTAATAATCACATCAGGGTAAATGGGATATCCATCACCTCAAACATGTATCCTTTCTTCATGTTACAAACAAATCAGTTTGGCAAAAGCTCCAAACTGTTCTACATAGTGGTTGTACTGATTTACATTCCCACCAACAGTATATGAGTGTTCTCTTTTCTCCACATCCTCACCAGCATTTATTTCCTGTCTTTTGGATAAAAGCCATTTTAACTGGAGTGAGATAATTTCACATTGCAGTTTTGCATTTCTCTGATGATCAGTGATGTTGAACACCTTTTCATCTATTTGTTCTCATTTGTATGTCTTCTTTTGAGAAATGTCTATTCAAGTATTTTGCCCATTTTAAAATTAGATTATTAGTTTTTTTCCAATACAATTGTTTGCGCTCCTTACCTATTCTGGTTATTAATCCCTTGTCAGATGGGTAGTTTGCAAATATTTTCTCCCATTCTGTGGGTTGTCTCTTCACTTTGTTGATTGTTTTCTTTGCTTTGCAGAAGATTTTTACCTTCATAAGATCTCATTTATCTATTTTTGCTTTGATTACCTATGCTTGTGGGGTATTGCAAGAAACCTTTGCCCAGACCAATGTCCTGGAGAGTTTCCCTAGTGTTTTCTTGTAGTAGTTTTATAATTTGAGATCTTAGACTTAAGTCTTTAATTTTTTATTTGGTTGTTGTATATGCGGAGAGATGGGGTCTAGTTTCATTCTTCTGTATATGGATGTCTGTTTTTTCCAGCACCATTTATTGAAGAGACTATCCTTTCCCAAGTGTATACTCTTGGCACCTTTGTCAGAAATGAGTTCACTGTAGGTGTGTGGATTTATTTTGGGGTTCACTATTCCACTTCATTGGTCTATGTGTCTATTTTTATGCCAGTACCTTGCTATTTCGGTTACTGTACCTTTGTAGTGTAATTTGACATCAGATAATGTGATTTCTCCAGTTTTCTTCTTTTTGTTTAGGATAGCTTTGGCTATTCTGAGTTTTTTGTGGTTCCATATAAATTTTAGTATAGTTTTTTTTTTTCTATTTCTGTGAAGAATGTCATTGGTATTTGATAGGGATTGCATTGAATCTGTATATTGCTTTGAATAGTATGGGCATTTTAACAATATTGATTCTTCCAATTCATGAACATAGAATATCTTTCCATTTATTGTTGTCTTCTTCAATTTCTTTCATCAGTGTTTTATAGTTTTCATTAGAGGAATCTTTCACTTCTTTGGTTAATTCCTAGGTATTTAGTTTTTATTTGTAGCTCTTGTAAATGAAATTACTTTGTAGATTTCTTTTTCAGATTGTTTGATGGTAGCATATAGTAATGCTACTGACTTTTGTATGTTGATTTTGTATCTTGCAAGTTTACTGAATTTGTTTATCAGCTCTAATAGGTTTTTGACGGAGTCTTTAGGTTTTTCCAAATATAAGATTATGTCATCTGCAAACAAGGATAATTTGACTTCTTCCTTTCCAATTTGGATGTTTTTTTATTTTTTCACTTGTCTAATTGCTCTAGTTAGACTTCCAGTATTACATTGAATAACAGTGGTGAAAGTGAACATCCTTGTTGTGTTCTAGATCTTAGAGGAAAGGCTTTCAGTTTTCCCCCTAATCAGTATGATACTAGCTGTGGGTCTGTCTATATGGCTTTTATTGTGTTGAGGTGTATTCCTTCTATACCCAGTTTTTTGGAGGGTTCATATCATGAGGGGATGTTGAATTTTATCAAATGCTTTTTCAGCACCAGTTGAAATGATCATATGTTTTTTTGTCCTCCATTCTGTTGGTATGATGTGTCACTTTGATTTGCATATGTTAAACTATCCTTGCATCACTGGGATAAATCCCACTTGGTCTTGATGAATGATCTTTTTAGTGTGTTGTTGAATTCATTTGCTGGTATTTTCTGGAGGGTTTTTGCATCAACATTCATCAGTGATATTGGCCCATCATTTTCTTCTTTTCATGTGTCTTTGTTTAGTTTTGGTATCAGGGTAATATTAGCATTGTAGAATGAGTTTGGAAGTATTCTCTTCTCTATTATTTGGAATTGTTTGAGTAGGATTGGTATTAGTAGCTCTTTAAATGTTTGGTAGAATTCAGCAGTGAAGCCAGCAGGTCCCAGACTTTTCTTTGCTGGGAAACTTTATTATGGCTTCATCCTATTATTTGTTATTGTTCTGTTCAGATTTGGGATTTCTTCTTGGTACAGTCTTGGTAAGGGTTATGTATTTAGGAATTTATCCATTTCTTCTAGATTTTCCAATTTATTATATAATTGCTCATAATAGCTGCTAATGATCCTTTGAATTTCTGTAGTATTGGTTGTAATAGCTCCTTTTTTATTTCTAATTTTATTAATTTGGGTCTTCTGTCTTTTTTTGTTAATTTTTTTGTTAATTAGTCTGGCTAAAGGTTGGTCAGTTTTGTTTATCTGTTTAAAAATCAACTTTTCATTTCATTGATCTTTTGTATTCTTCATTTCAGTTTTATTTATTTCTGCTCTGATCTTTATTATTTCTTTTCTACTAGTTTTGGGTTTGGTTTGCTCTTGCTTTTCTTGTTCTTTAAGGTGTACCATTAGGTCATTTATTTGAAGTTTTCTTTTTTGATGTAAGTGCTTATAGCTATAAACGTTCCTCTTGGTACTGCTGTTGCTGTATCCCATAGGATTTGGCATGTTATATTTCTGGTACCATTTTTTTTTTTCAAGAAATTTTTCAGTTTCCTTCTTAATCCCTTCATTGACTCACTGATCATTCAGTAGCATGTTATGTTGTTTCATTTCGATTTCCATGCATTTGTATCATTTCCAAATTCCCCTTGTTGTTGATTTCTAGGTTTATTCCATTGTGGTCAGAGAAGATGTATGATATTATTTCAATTTTTGAATGTTTTAAGACTTGTTTTGTGACTTAACTTATGGTCTATTCATGAGCTAACAAAAAGCATATCTGTTCTGCAGCCATTGGACAAAATGTTCTGTAGATACCTGTTAGGTCCTTTTGGTCTATAGTGCAGATTAAGTCAGATGTTTCTTTATTGAAAATCTGTCTGGAAGATCTGACCAGTGCTGAAAGTGGGGTTTTGAAGTTTCCAACTATTATTGTGTTGGGTTTCTCTCTCTTTAGCTCCAGTAATGTTTGCTATATACATCTGGGTGCTCCAATGTTGGGTGCATATATATTTATAATTGTTATATCCTCCTGCTGAATTGACCCCTTTATCATTATGTAGTGACTTTCTTTGTCTCTTACAGTTTTTTGTCATGAAATCGATTTTGTCTGTTATAAACATATCTATTCTTGCTCCTTTTTGGTTTCTATTGGCATGGAATATCTTTTTCCATCCTTTGTTTTCAGTCTATGTGTGTCTTTGTGGATGAAGTGTGTTTCTTGTAAGCAACAGGTCATTGGGTCTTGTTTTTTCATCCATTCAGCCAGTTTGTATCTTTTGATTGGAGAGTTTAGTCCATTTACATTCAATATTATTGATAAGTAAGGAATTACTCCTGCCATTTTTAATTAAAAAAATTTTTTTTGTGGTCTTCTCTTCCTTCTTTCCTTCTTTCTTTCTTTTAGTGAAGGTGATTTTCTCTGGTGATATGTTTTAATTTTTTGCTTTTTATTTTTTGTGTATCCATTGTATGTTTTTTGATTTAAGGTTACCATGAGGCTTGCAAATACTGTGACATTTATAACCCATTATTTAAACTGGTGGCAACTTAACACTGATCTCATAAATAAACTAAAAAACAAACAAAGAGAAGACCAATAAACTCTACAATTTAACTTCATCCCTCCACTTTTTAGCTTTTTGTTTTTACTATTTATATTTTTTGTACCATGTCTTGAAGAATTGTTTTTGTTATTTTTGATGGGCTCATCTTTTGGTACTTTTCATACCACAATTGCAGTGTTTTAATATTGTATGTTTTTTGTGTACTTACTATTACCAGTACCTTTAGATGATTTTGTACCTTTTGATGATTTGTTTTTTGCCTATTAATATCCTTTTCTTTTAAATTGAATAATCCTTTAGCATTTCATGTAGGACAGGTCTAGTGTTGATCATGAAATTCCTCAGCGTTGTTTGTCTAGGAATTTCTTTATTTTTCTTTCATGTTTGAAGGATATTTTCACTGTCCATACTATTCTAGGGTAAAAGTGTTCTTCTTTCAGCTCTTTAAATGTCATGCCACTCTCTCCTGGCCTGTAGAGTTTCCACTGAAAAGTCTGCTGCCAGGCATATTGGAGCCCTGCTGTATATTATTTATTTCTTTTCTCTTGCTCCTTTTAGGATCCTCTCTTTATCCGTGACCTTTGGGAGTTTGATTATTAAGTGTCTTCTGCTCTTTTTTTAGGTTAAATCTGCTTGTTGTTATATAACCTTTTTATACTTGAATATTGATATATTTCTCTTGGGTTGAGAAGTTCTCTGTAATTACCCCTTTGAATAAAGTTTTTACTCCCATCTCGATTATTTTTTAACTTCCTCTTTAAGGCCAATAACTCTTAGATTTGCCCTTTTGAGGCTGTTTTCTAGATCTTATAGGTATGCTTCATTCTTTTTTATTCCTTTTTTTCCTCTGACTGAATATTTTCAAATAGCCTGTCTTCAAGCTCACTAATTCTTTCTTCTCCTTGATCAGTGCTGCTGTTAAGAGACCCTGATGCATTCTTTAGCATGTCAGTTGCATTTTTCAACTGCAGAATTTCTATGTAATTATTTTAAATTATCTCAATCTGATTGTTAAATTTATGTGATTTAATTCTGAATTCCTTCTCTGTGTTATCTTGAGTTTATTTGAGATTCCTCAAAACAGCTATTTTGAATTCTCCATCTGAAAGGTTACATATCTCTGTCTCCAGCATTGTTCCCTGGTGCCTTACTTAGTTTGTTTGGTAAGGCAATGTTTTCCTGGGTGGTTTTGATGCTTGGGGATTTTTTTTGGTGACTGGGAATTGAAGAGTTGGGTATTTATTGTAGTCTTGTAGTTTTGGCTTGTTTTTACCCACCATTCTTAGGAAGGCTTTTCAGGCATTTGAAGGAACTTGGGTATTGTTATCTCTGTTTTTGGTCACTGTAGTCATATTTTCATTAGGGGGCACCCCAAACCCTGTAATGTGGTGGCTCTCGCACACTCATAGAAGTACCACCTTGGTGATCTTGGATAAGATCTGAAGGAATTCTCTGGATTATCAGGCAGAGACTTGTTCTCTTTCCTTACTCCCAAACTTACTTTGTTTGTTTCTCCTAAACAAGCAAGAGTCTCCCTGTGCTGAGCTGCCTGAAGTTAGAGGAGGAATGGCACAAGATGCTTGTGGCCACCACCACTGGGACTGTGCTTGGTCAGACCTGAAGCCAGTACAGCATTGAGTGTTTTACATGGCAGCAGGCAAGAGAGAGAGTGTGGGGGTGCAGGAAAAACTACCGTTTATAAAACCATCAGATCTCATGAGAAATCGCTATCATGAGAACAGCTTGGGGGAAACTACCCCCATAATCCAATCACTTTCCTCCCTCGACACTTGGGGATTACAATTTGAGATGAGATTTGGGTGTGGACACAGAGCCAAGCCATATTAGGTGTTATATGGTATTTTATTATTATTTTGTAGGCATGTTCTTTATCTGTGTTGGGAAGAAACCTTACATAGGGTGAGGCTCAGCCATTTTGTATATGTTAAATCTAATGTAAAGATAATGCAGATAAACTTGCAAGGTATTTTAATGTATTTTACTTCCAAATTATGGGATGCTTCAAGATAGCCTCTGAGCTCTATGAAAGCAGAGATTTTTACCTGTTTTGGCTGGGTTCTATCTCCAGGTCTAAGCTCTTGGGTTCTGTTCCTGAAAGACACCATACCATGTCTTTCAGGCTGTTTTTATGCCAAATATCCTACTGTTTTCATCTAATTTTATGAAGCCAGTCCACTATAAAGAGTGATGATCACTATGATTATCTCGACATTGACTTGAACTACTTAATAACTTTTAAAAAATAGTTTTATTTTCCAGAGACAGAGAACTATTCTTTTAGTGGTAATCTCTTGGTAGTTCAGTTGTTAGAAGTCACTGTAAAATAACACCAACAAACATGGTTTTTACCAATCTTGTGCCATCTGGAATTTATGGATAAAAATTGTGGTTGGGGACATATCTTTGGCTTTAGATAAAACAACACTGTCAAGTTGAGTACTTCCCACTTCTTTGTAGTTTGTTGTTCATAGGATTTTGAATTATGGCTAAAATAAGTTTGTCTTCTTTAAGGAAGGAAAAGTAAATTGAGTTTTCAAATGTGAAGATTTATTCCATTTATAAAAATGTTCATTTGGAGCAAGAATTTTCTCTACCATTTTTTTACTTTCGTCTCTTTTAACATTCATTGATCCTATTGAATTTTGCTTCTTATTAGTTTAACACATTAATTTTTCATTAATAACATTGTCAATGGACTCACTGATTTTCAAAATGATCTTTAGAAATTGTTTAGGAATGACGTAAAGCTAAAAAGTGTTAATTCTGAATCATAAGCCACATAATGGCATCTTTCTGTGCCCAACTTTGTAAAATCAAACCAAAATAAGATATTAAAAAGGGTGCTCTGTGTACACTAGAAAAGATTCATGTAGGAAAAGGTGCCTGGACTAAGATGTATAAGGCAGGCAGAGAGGAGAGAAGAAGGTTCTCAAAGTAAAGGATAGCTTAGGTAAAGATATAAAGTGGAAGATGGAAGTCTTTCCAAGAGATAATGACCATTCAGCTGCATCTAGACCAAAGGATTTTCACTGGGAGAGTAGGAATTAAGACCAGAAATACAGGTTGGGACCAGACTTTGGAAGAGTATGAGTATCATTGTGCCTGTTTTTATTTATTTACTTACTTATTTTCCTGAAGGTCTGTACATATGGAAGTAACATGTTCAACAAAAAGTTTTAGGAATATTAATTTGGTGAGGCATACAAGATGGTGGGATGAGAGCAAGGGGATTGCTTCTTCCTTAATTCGGATTATCATAAAAATTGAGATGAAGGGAGGGGGAAGCATCATGGGAAGTGGGACTTGTGATCTGGGCAGGTCAGTTAAGCTTTCTGATCTTTTATGGTTTGCCTCTGGACTATAGATGTGATACAAGTATCTTTTCTGATTGTCTCACTGGGTTGTCATAAGCATGAAAAGTTATAGTACATATGTAAGCACTTTGTAAACTGTGAAGCTCATATACATTCACGATGTTATTACTTCTTTTTTTTTTTTTTTTTTTTTTGAGACGGAGTCTCGCTCTGTCGCCCAGGCTGGAGTGCAGTGGCGCGATCTCGGCTCACTGCAAGCTCCGCCTCCCGGGTTCACGCCATTCTCCTGCCTCAGCCTCCCGAGTAGCTGGGACTACAGGCGCCCGCCACCACGCCCGGCTAATTTTTTGTATTTTTAGTAGAGGCGGGGTTTCACTGTGTTAGCCAGGATGGTCTCGATCTCCTGACCTCATGATCCACCCGCCTCTGCCTCCCAAAGTGCTGGGATTACAGGCGTGAGCCACTGCGCCCGGCCTATTACTTCTTATTATCATCATTTATTGGCAGATCAGGGGTTGTAGAACACTGTTACTAGTTACTGAAAGAAAGTATTGGGCCGGGCGCAGTGGCTCACACCTGTAATCCCAGCACTTTGGGAGGCCAAGGTGGGTGGATCACGAGGTCAGGAGATTGAGACCATCCTGGCTAACACAGTGAAACCCCGTCTCTACTAAAAATACAAAAACAAAATTAGCTGGGTGTGGTGGTGGGCGCCTGTAGTCCCAGCTACTCAGGAGGCTGAGCGGGGAGGATGGTGTGAACCCAGGAGGCAGAGCTTGCAGTTAGCCGAGATCACGCTACTGCACTCCAGCCTGGGCGACAGAGTGAGAGTCCGTCAAAAAAAAGAAAGAGAAAGAAAAAGAAAGTATTGGATGTAAGAGACAGATGATATCAAGGACTACTTGGTAAAGAGTCAGAGATGATGCTTAGTGACTGAGAAGAGTATTGTACATTAATGAAAAAATAGGAAGTCAAGACTGGGAGATGCTTTGGAAGTAAAAATGTATGCGTTTAGCTCTAGGAATATTGGTTGGAGGAGATATAGTACATGTAAGTGGAGATATTCAGTATCATTAACATAAAAGGCTTTGAGAGCAAGGTATGGAATAGAATGAGATTTTAATTTAGGGATTATTTGCATGGTAGGTAATTGAAGCCCTTTGCATTCTTGAGCTCTTGGGGCAATGGGTATGGAGGGGAGAGCAGATGGGAAAACCATGCATATATTTGCTCCTTTACATACTCTCCGTCCTGTGCTCTGGTCCCTGTTTTGAGGAGGAAAAGAAACTGTTCTTTATAACTACTACCCATCCACCCACTTGTTTTTAAAATTCTGCCTTGAAATGCAACATTTCCTTCAACAAAACTTCCTTTCAGAACTTCAATCTACAGAATGGGCTTCATTTTTTTTTTTTTTATACTTTAAGTTCTGGGATACATGTGCAGAATGTGCAGGTTTGTTACATAAGTGTACACATGCCATGATGGTTTGCTGCACTCATCAACCCGTCGTCTACATTAGGTATTTCTCCTAATGCTATCCCTCCCCTAGCCCTCCATCCCCCAACAAGCCCCAGTGTATGATGTTCCCCTCCCTCTGTCCATGTGTTCTCATTGTTCAGCTCCCACTTATCAGTGAGAACATGCGGTGTTTGGTTTTCTGTTCCTGTGTTACTTTGCTGAGAATGATGGTTTCCAGCTTCATCCATGTCCCCGCAAAGGACATGAACTCATCCTTTTTTATGGCTGCATAGTATTCTGTGATATATATATGTGCCACATTTTCTTTATCCAATCTATCATTGATGGGCATTTGGGCTGGTTCCAAGTCTTTGCTATTGTGAATAGTGCTGCAATAAACGTACATGTGCATGTGTCTTTATAGTAGAATGATTTATAATCCTTTGGGTAAATACCCAGTAATGGGATTGCTGGGTCAAATGGTATTTTTGGTTCTAGATCCTTGAGGAATTGCCACCCTGTCTTCCACAGTGGTTGAACTAATTTACACTCCCAACAGTGTAAAAGTGTTCCTATTTCTCCACATCCTCTCCAGCATCTGTTGTTTCCTTTTTAAGGATCACCATTCTGACTGGCATGAGATGGTATCTCACTGTGGTTTTGATTTGCATTTCGCTAATGACCAGTGATGATGAGGTTTTTTTCATATGTTTGTTGGCCACATGAATGTCTTCTTTTGAGAAGTGTCTGTTCATATCCTTTGCCCACTTTTTGATGGGGTTGTTTGTTTTTTTCTTGTAAATTTGTTTAAGTTCCTTGTAGATTCTGGATATTAGCCCTTTGTCAGATGGATAGATTGCAAAAATTTTCTCCCATTCTGTAGATTGCCTGTTCACTCTGATGATGTTTCTTTTGCTGTGCAGAAGCTCTTTAGTTTAATTAAATCCCGTTTATCAATTTTGGCTTTTGGTGTTTTAGTCATGAAGTCTTTGCCCATGCCAATGTCCTGAATGGTATTGCTTAAGTTTTCTTCTGGAGTTTTTATGGTTTTAGGTCTTACAAGTCTTTAATCCATCTTGGGATAATTTTTGTATAAGGTGTAAAGAAGGAGTCCAGTTTCAGTTTTCTGCATATGGCTAGCCAGTTTTCCCAACACCATTTATTACATAGGGAATCCTTTCCCCATTGCTTGTTTCTGTCAGGCTTGTCAAAGATCAGATGGTTGTAGATGTGTGGCATTATCTCTGAGGCCTCTGTTCAGTGCCATTGGTCTATATATCTGTTTTGGTACCAGCACCATGCTCTTTTGGTTACTGTAGTCTTGTAGTGTAGTTTGAAGTCAGATAGTGTGATGCCTCCAGCTTTGTTCTTTTTGCTTAGGATTGCCTTGGCTATGTGGGCTCTTTTTTTGGTTCCATATGAAATGTAAAGTAGTTTTCTCTAATTCTGTGAAGAAAGTCAATGGTAGCTTGATGGGGATAGCATTGAATCTATAAATTACCTTGGGCAGTATGGCCATTTTCACGACATTGATTCTTCCTGTCCATGAGCATGGAATCCTTTTCCATTTGTTTATGTCCTCTCTTATTTCATTGAGCAGTGGTTTGTAGTTCTCCTTGAAGAGGTCCTTCACATCCCTTGTAAGTTGGATTCCTAGGTATTTTATTCTCTTTGAAGCAATTGTGAATGGGAGTTCACTCATGATTTGGCTCTCTGTTTGTCCTTTATTGGTGTATAGGAATGCTTGTGACTTTTGCACATCAATTTTGTATCCTGAGACTTTGCTAAAGTTGCTTATCAGCTTAAGGAGATTTTGGGCTGAGATGATGGGGTTTTTTAAATATACAATCTGTCATCTGCAAACAGAGACAATTTGATTTCCTCTCTTCCTATTCCAGTACCCTTTATTTATGTCTCTTGCCTGATTGCTGTGGCCAGAACTTCCAATAATATGTTGAATAGGAGTGGTGGGAGGGGGCATCCTTGTCTTGTGCTGGTTTTCAAAGGGAATGCTTCCAGCTTTTTCCCGTTCAGTGTGATACTGGCTGTGAGTTTGTCATAAATAGCTCTTATTATTTTGAGATACATTTCATCAATACCTAGTTTCTTGAGAGTTTTTAGCATGAAAGGGTGTTGAATTTTGTTGAAGGCCTTTTCTGCATCTACTGAGATAATCATGTGTTTTTTGTCATTGATTCTGTTCGTGTGATGGATTATTTTTATTGATTTACATATGTTGAACCAGCCTTGCATCCCGGGGATGAAGCCGACTTGATCATGGTGGATAAGCTTTTTGATGTGCTGCTGGATTCAGTTTGCCAGTATTTTATTAAGGGTTTTTGCTTTGATGTTCATCAGGGATTTGGCCTGAAATTTTCTTTTTTTGTTGTTTCTCTGCCAGGTTTTGGTATCAGGATGGTGCTGGCCTCATAAAATGAGTTAGGGAGGAGTCCCTCTTTTTCTATTGTTTGGGATAGTTTCAGAAGGGATGGTACCAGCTCCTCTTTGTACCTCTGGTAGAATTCTGCTGTGAATCCATCTGGTCCTGGGCTTTTTTTGGTTAGTAGGCTATTAATTACTACCTCGATTTCAGAACTTGTTATTGGTCTATTCAGGAATTCGACTTCTTCCTGGTTTAGTCATGGGAGGGTGTATGTGTCCAAGAATTTGGCTATTTCTTCTAGATTTTCTAGTTTATTTGCATAGAGGTGTTTATAGTATTCTCTGATGGTAGTTTGTATTTCTGTGGGATCAGTGGTGATATCCCCTTTATCATTTTTTATTGCATCTATTTGATTCTTGTCTCTTTTCTTCTTTATTAGTCTAGCTAGTGGTCTGTCTATTTTGTTAATGTTTTTAAAAAACCGGCTCCTGGATTCATTGATTTTTTTCTTGAAGGGTTTTTCATGTCTCTATCTCCTTCAGTTTTGCTCTGATCTTAGTTATTTCTGGTCTTCTGGTAGCTTTTGAGTTTGTTTGCTCTTGCTTCTCTAGTTCTTTTAATTGTGACGTTAGGGTGTCGATTTTAGATGTTTCCCGCTTTCTCTTGTGGGCATTTAGTGCTATAAATTTTCCTCTAAATGCTGCTTTAGTTGTGTCCCAGAGATTCTTGTATGTTGAGTCTTTGTTTTCATTGGTTTCAAAGAACTTATTTATTTCTGCTTTCATTTCATTATTCACCCAGTAGTCATTCAGGCACAGTTTGTTCAGTTACCATGTAGTTGCATGGTTTTGAGTGATTTTCTTAATCCTGAGTTCTAATTTGATTGCACTGTGGTTTGAGAGACTGTTTGTCATGATTTCTGTTCTTTTGCATTTGCTGAGGAGTGTTTTACTCCAGTTATGTGGTCAATTTTAGAATAAGTGCGATGGGGTGCTGAGAAGAATGTATGTTCTGTTGATCTGGTGTGGAGAGTTCTGTAGATGTCTATTAGGTCTGCTTGGTCCAGAGCTGAGTTGAAGTCCTGGATATCCTTGTTAATTTTCTGTCTCATTGATCTGTGTAATACTGATAGTGGGGTGTTAATGTCTCCCACTGTTATTGTGTGAGAGTCTAAGTCTCTTTGTAGGTCTCTAAGAACTTGCTTTATGAATCTGGGTGCTCCTGTATTGGGCACATACATATTTAGGATAGTTAGCTCTTCTTGTTGCATTGATCAATCCCTTTACCATTATGTAATGGCCTTCTTTGTCTCTTTTGATCTTTGTTGGTTTAAAGTCTGTTTTATCAGAGACTAGGATTGCAGCCCCTGCTTTTTTTGGCTTTCCATTTGCTTGGTAAATATTTCTCCATCCCTTTATCTTGAGCCTGTGTGTGTCTTTGCACGTGAAATGGGTTTCCTGAATACAGCACACTGATGGGTCTTGACTATTTATCCAATTTGCCAGTCTGTGTCTTTTAATTGGGGCATTAGCCTGTTTACATTTAAGGTTAATATTGTTATGTGTGAATTTGATCCTGTCATTATGATGCTAGCTAGTTATTTTGCCCGTTAATTGATACAGTTTCTTCATGGTTTTGATGGTCTTTACAATTTGGTATGTTTTTGCAGTGGCTGGTACTGGTTTTTCCTTTCTGTATTTATTCTTCCTTCAGGATCTCTTGTAAGGCAGGCTGGTGGTGACAGAATCTCTCAGCTTTTGCTTGTCTGTAAAGGATTTTATTTCTCCTTCGCTTATGAAGCTTAGTTTGGCTGGTTATGAAATTCTGGGTTGGAAATTCTTTAAGAATGTTGAATATTGGCCCCTACTTTCTTTTGGCTTGTAGTGTTTCTGCAGAGAGATGCGCTGTTAGTCTGATGGGCTTCCTTCTGTGGGTAACCCAACCTTTCTTCTCTTGCTGCCCTTAATATTTTTGCCTTCATTTCAACCTTGGTGAATCTAACGATTATGTGTGTTGGGGTTGCTCTTCTGGAGGACTATCTTTGTTCTCTGTATTTCCTGAATGTGAATGATGGCCTCTCTTGCCAGGATGGGAAAGTTCTCCTGGATAACATCCTGAAGAGTGTCTTCCAATTTGGTTCCATTCTCCCCATCACTTTCAGGTACACCCGTCAAACGCAGATTTGGTTTTTTCATATAGTCCCATATTTCTTGGAGGCTTTATTCATTTCTTTTCATTCTTTTTTCTCTAATCTTGTTTTCACGCTTTATTTCATTAAGTTGATTTTCAATCTCTGATATCCTTTCTTCTGCTTGATCTATTCAGCTATTTATACTTGTGTATGCTTCACGAAGTTCTTGTGCTGTGTTTTTCAGCTCCATCAGATCATTTATGTTCTTCTCTAAACTAGTTATTCTTGTTAGCAATTCCTCTAACCTTTTTTCAAGGTTCTTAGTTTCCTTGCATTGGGTTAGAACATGCTCGTTTAGCTCAGAGGAGTTCATTACTACCCACCTTCTGAAGCCTACTTTTGTCAACTTGTCAAACTTATTCTCCATCCAGTTCTGTTCCCTTGCTGGCGAGGAGTTGTGATCCTTTAGAAGAGAAGAGACGTTCTGGTTTTTGGAATTTTCAGCCTTTTTGCCCTGGTTTTTTTTTCATCTGTGAGGATTTATCTACCTTTGGTCTTTGATGCTGATGCCCTTTGGATGGGGTTTTTGTGTGGACATCCTTTTTGTTGATGTTGATGCTCTTCCTGTCTGTTTGTTAGTTTTCCTTTGAATAGTCAGGCCCCTCTTCTGCAGGTCTGCTGGAGTTTGCTGGAGGTCCACTCCAGACCCTGTTTGCCTGGGTATCACCAGCGGAGGCTGCAAAACAGCAAAGATTGCTGCCTGTTCCTTCCTCTGGAAGCTTCGTCCTGGGGAGGGGCACTTGCCAGATGCCAGCTGGAGCTCTCCTGTATGAGGTGTCTGTCGACCCCTCCTGGGAGGTGTCTCCCAGTCAGGAGACACGGGGGTCAGGGACCCACTTGAGGAGGCAGTCTGTCCCTTAGCAGAGCTCAAGCGCTGTGCTGGGAGATCCACTGCTCTCTTCAGAGCTGGCAGGCAGGAACTTTTAAGTCTGCTGAAGCTGCGCCCACAGCTGCCTCTTCCCTCAGGTGCTCTGTCCCAGGGAGATGGCACGTTTATCTTATAAGCCCCTGACTGGGGCTGCTGCCTTTCTTTCAGAGATGCCCTGCCCAGAGAGGAGAAATCTAGAGAGGCAGACTGGCTACAGCTGCTTTGCTGAGCTGTGGTGGGCTCTGCCCAGTTCGAACTTCCCAGTGGCTTTGTTAAAACTGTGAGGGGAAAACCGCCTCCTCAAGCCTCAATAATGGAGGATGCCTCTCCCGCAACAAAGCTGGAGTGTCCTAGGTCAACTTCAGACTGCTGTGCTGGCAGTGAGAATTTCAAGCCAGCGGATCTTAGCTCACTGATCTCCATGTGGGTGGGAAAATTTCAAGCCAGTGGATCTTAGCTTGCTGAGTTCCATGGGGGCGGGATCTGCTGAGCTAGACCACTTTGCTCCCTGGCTTCAGCCCCCTTTCCCAGGGAGTGAACGGTTCTGTCTCGCTGGCATTCCAGGTGCCACCAGGGTATGAAAAGAAACTCCTGCAGCTAGCTTGGTGTCTGCCCAAATGGCCGCCCAGTTTTGTGCTTGAAACTTAGGGCCCTGGTGTTGTAGGCATCTGAGGGAATCTTCTGGTCTGTGTGTTGTGAAGACTGTGGGAAAAGCATAGTATCTGGGCTGGAGTGTACCATTCCTCACAGCAGGGTCCCTCATGGTTTCCCTTGGCCAGGGGAGGTAGTTTCCTGATCCCTTGTGCTTCCCGGGTGAGATGACACCCTGCTCCTGCTCGCCCTCGTGGGCTGTACCCACTGTCTAACCAGTCCCAATGAGATAAGCCAGGTACCCCAGTTGGAAATGCAGAAATCACCCACCTTCTGCATTGATCTCTCTGGGAGCTGCAGACCTGAGCTATTCCTATTCAGCCACCTTGCCAGCCACCCCGGGCTTCATTTTTATAGAGGCATAGTATTAAAAGAGTGAACTTGCTACTTACTATGAATTTCAAAAGGGTAATGAGAGGGTCTTTTATCTCTGGATAGTTCCCTCTCCACTTCATTTGTACATGATGATTTGGAGAGTCTGGCACTAAACTTGTCTTGATTATGAAAAAGGTTGAGAACCATTCAGCCGATGTCACCCTGGGCATCAGATGTATATTGGAGTTCAAATCCCTTAGTCTTTGTCACTGAATCAGGACCATCTGGTAGGATTGTACAAGTTGTGCCCTGTCATTAAGACCCTTGATAATCTGACTCCAGTAAGTCTTCTCTGCCTTACCTTCTACATTTCTATATTCTAACCAAACAAGTCTGTATAATGTTTCCAGAACATACCGTGTACTTTCCTTCCTCCATACTTTTGACTCCTACATAATAAAAAATACACGTTTAACTTTTGACTCGCAGAAATTAACCTCTAGTAACCTATTGTTAACCAGATGCCTTACCAATAAATAAAGTCAATTATCACATAATTTGTATGTAATATGTACTGTCTTCTTACAGTAAAGTAAGCTAAAGAAGTAAAGTAAGTAAAGTAAAGTAAGCTAAATGTTACTGTCATTAAGAAAATAATAAGGAAGAAAAAACATATTAATTAAGTGGAAGTGGATCACTATAAAGGTCTTCTTCCTCATCATCTTCACATTTAGTAGGTTGAGGAGGAGGAAGAGGAGAGAAGTTGGTCTTGCTGTCTCGGGGGTAGCATAGGCAGGGCAAAGTCTGCATATAAGTAGACGCTGCAGTTCAAACCTGTGCTGTTCAAAGGTCAGCTGTAGATGCTAGTTAAAAAAGACACATATTCACAAAAGATACCTTTTTAGTGGAAATTCCTTTATTGACAACCCTCTAGTCATATATAATTCTGAGAAACAGCAGCATGAGTATTAGGCTACCAAGCAATTGGTTGTCTTTTCTAAACATAGTATGCAGTTTCCCACTCCTTGCCTTAGAAAATAATGTTCCCTCTGCCTAGAATATGCGTTGCCTCTTTCCTTGCCTGGCAACCTTCTAGTTATCTTTCAAAACCCCCCTTAAATATCATCACCTCTGTAAGGACATTCCTGTCCCCTAGGCAGAATTAGTCACTTCCTCCTCCCAATCTGCCTGTGTGAAAGCCCATATAGTACTCCTGTACTCCATTGTGAGGTCCCCTAAATAGGTGCCATCTGTTTAGCCCCAGCTTCAGAAGTGCTAGGTGCTCCAACCGTTAAGAGAATGAATGAGTTAATGAATAATACAGAAACCCCAAAATGGTCAAAAGTCCAGATTTTTGACAAGAATGATGGGCTAACATCCTTCCCTTACCTAACCATTTGCCAGTTGTGGTTTCTGTTTTGTATTATTTTAATACAAAATTAAACATTTGAAGTTTTATTTTCAATGTTTGTCTTCCTAGGTCCTACTAGAAGACCATTTAATTAAAGGGAGGGCCTGAAGAAGGGGTCTAGGCAGTTTGCATTTGGGCTAATTAATCCCTGATCTCCATACTAGAAGGTTCTCTTTAGTACTAATCATATTTTCTATCTGTAGGAGTAGTCTCAATAATCTGTACACAATTCATTCTATTGTTTTCCCTTCAACCAGTCTTAGAAAATGATTTGCAAGAATGTTATTATTTCCTTTATTCAGGGAAAAAGAAAACATGTTCTAATTCCCCAGTGGCATATACTATATACAGATTTTAAGGTAGATACTTCTACAGTCAGAAAATAGATTAATACTTCCTAGCAACATACTGCAATGAAGTAGTAGCAATGACATTTTTGTTTTAACTTCTTTGTTATTAACTATGGAAGTCATAATTTGATACAGATTTTTATTTAATTCCATGTTTTTGATATTCTTGAAAATAGTATTTTTAATTTCAGTTTCCAATAGATTTTGTTCCTGTTTTTCTATTTTTTTTATTTCTACTGTTTGTTATTGTCTTCCTTCTTATTTGCTCATTGTCTTCTAATTTCTTAAAGTGGAAGCATAGGAATTTTATTTGAAATATCTTTTTGAATATATACATTAAATGCCTTAAATTCTTCTCTAAACACTGCTTTGTGTCTTAGCTCAGGCTGCCATAACAAAATACTTTAGACTGGGTAGATAACAGATATTTATTTTTCACAGTTCTGGAGACTGGGAAGTTCAAGATCCAGGTGCCCCCAGATTTGGTTCCTAGTAGAGGCCCGCTTCTAGCTTGCAGAGGGCTTCCTGTCTGCATCCTCATGTGACTGAAAGAGATGGAGTGGAGTAGGGAGGGACAGGCTCTGTCTTCCTCTTCTTATATGGACACTAATTCCATCATAGCGGCCCATCCTCATAAACTCATCTAAACCTAATTACCTCCAAAAGGCCTCACCTCCAATGCTAAAACATTGGGTGTTAGAACTTCAACATATGAATTTTGGGTGGCACAAGCATTCAGTTCATAACACCTTCCAAAAGTTTGATATTTTATGTTTATGTTTTCAGTGAGTAAATATTTATGTCAAAATATTTTCTACTTTTGTGATTTATTTTTGAACTATGGAATATTTAGAAGTGTGTAGTATAATTTCCAAATATTTTGGGTTTCTAATATTAATCTGTTGATTGTTAATTAATCTGTTAATTGATAGAAATCAATTGCTAATTGAGTTCTATTTTAATCCCATTGTAGTCTGGAATATAATTCCTATGATTTTAAACTTTTAAATTTATAATGATTTGTTTTTTGATCCAGAATATAGTTTATCTCAATAAATATTTCATTTATACTTAGCAAGAATATGTATTCTGTTTGGGGATAGAGTATTCTATAAATATCAATTAGGTCAAGTTGGTTGATAGTGTTGATCATGTCAGCCTATATCTATTGATTTTATGTCTTACTTATTTTATCAATTACTGAGAGAGGAATATTGAAATCTCATCTATAGTTGTGGATGTGTCTATTTCTCCTTTCAGTTTTTTTTTTTTCTGTATTTTAAGTCTCTCTTATTGGGTACATACACATTTAGCATTATATTTTTTTGCTGAATTGACCCTTTCATCATTATGTTACATACCCTGACTCCTGGTAACATTTCTTATTCTTTAGAGCCTCTACTTTGTCTGATATATAGCTTCTGCAGGTTACTTTTGATTTGTATTTGCCTGGTAAATCTTTTTCTGTTCTTTTATTTTTAGGCTGATCTTCAGTAAGTTTTTTATAGATGTCTGTGGTTGACTCTTGCTTTTTAAAATCTCATATAACAACTTTTGCTTTTTAATTGAAGCATGTAGATCTGTGCTGTCCCATATATGTGACTACAGTTGGCCCAACATATATTCAGGTTCTGCATCAGCAGATTCAACCAACCACAGATTGAAAATATTCAGAAAAAATTATAATACAACAATAAAAGAAGGCCAACAAATTTAAAAATACAGTGTAACAACCATTTATGTAGCATTTACATTGTATTAGGATTATAAATAATCTGGAGATGATTTAAAGTGTATAGTAGGATGTACATAGTTTTCATGCAAATACTACACCATTTTATATATGGGACTTGTGCATCCTCAGATTTTGTTATCCACAGGAAGTCCTGTAGCCAATCCCCACAGATAGCAAGGGACAACTGTATTTAAATGTAACTTAGTTAAAATTAAAATTTAATTTCTTAATCACAGTAGCCGTTTTTAATGATCTCAATATATGTGGCAGGTGGCTACAACATTGGACAGTATGGCTCTAGAACATAGGAGGGTTTACTGCCCCTTGTCTTGATGGCAGCTGAATGCTGCTTTGTGTCTGTAGGGGGTCTTGGGTCAGAGCAAACGCTTTCTTTTTCTCTGTGAAGGGATAGGGTATAGGAGGGCTTCCTGACCCTATGTCAGTGGCAGATAGTTTTAGCCCTATATCGAAATGTAGTATCTGGCCTGTGGCCCTGGGCCAAAGCAGTGCCTGCCACCAGTGGATAGTGTGAAGGACTGCCTAGACAGAGCCAATTTATCAAGACAGAGGAATTGCAATGGAGAAAGAGTAATTCATGCAGAGCCAGCTGTGTGGGAGACTGGAGTTTTATTATTACTCAAATTAGTCTCTTCAAGCATTCGGGGATCAGAGTTTTTAAACATAAGATAGATATAAGTGGGGAGTGCTGATTGGTCAGGTTGGAGATAGAATCATAGAGGATGGAAGTGAGGTTTTCTTGTTGTCTTATGTTCCTGGGTAGGATCACAGAACTGGTTGAGCCA
This sequence comes from Homo sapiens, assembly GCF_000001405.40. NCBI lineage: Eukaryota > Metazoa > Chordata > Mammalia > Primates > Hominidae > Homo > Homo sapiens. The sequence continues at coordinate 37,661,730 of NC_000005.10, forward strand.
GATAACCAGTCTGGGTCGTGTTAGCTGATCCATCAAGTGCAGGGTCTGCAAAATATCTCAAGCACCGATCTTAGGTTTTGCAATAGTGATGTTATTCATAGTAATTAATAGTGATTTTATCCCCAGGAGCAATTTGGGGAGGTTCAGACTCTTGCAGCCAGAGGTTGCATGACCCTTAAACTGTAATTTCTAATCTTGTAACTAATTTGTTAGTACTGCAAAGGCAGAATGGTCCCCAGGCAAGAAGGGCTCTTTTCTGGAAAAGGCTATTATCTATTTTGTTTCAGAGTCAAACCATAAACTGAATTCCTTCCCAAGATTAGTTCACGCCCATGAATGAGCAAGGACAACTTAAAGGTTAGAAGCAAGAAGTCAGTTAGGTCTGATCTCTTTCACTGCCATAATTTCCTCGGTTATAATTTTTGCAAAGGTGGTTTCATTAGGAACAAAGTGCACTTATGAATAGCCTTTCAGAACATGACATACTGGTAAACAGCAAAGCTTCAGTGTTTTCCCTTTAAAACTCAGGTGAACAGGAGAGTTTAAGAGAAGATTCTGAGCTTGTGGAAGTAGCACAGTTTTACAGATAAGAAAATGTTTTCCAGGATAAAGGTAAATACTAAATACTTCAAGGAGTTTTTTTTTTAGATTTCAACTTAAGAAAGACTGATTTGTGTTCATCCCCAAAACACATTTGTCTGCCCAAAGGGGAAAACGACCTGACCTACCTTAATTAAAATGGGTTCAGTGCATCCCTGTGCTTGTATTTAATGATTTACTAATAAGTGAGTTACAACATCTTTTTTACTTCAGATTAAGACAGTTTGTTTCGTCATGTTACCTTAAGGCAGTCTCTTTCCTCCATCAGCCTGTTGTTGCAATGTGGAAATGAGGGGTGTTAGATCTTTTTGTTTATTAGGAAAAGCTGGAAATCCCTAATTTTTTGAATGCCTGTAAATTGTTGTAAATTCCTCTTCATTTCTTCCACCGTCTCTCTTACTCAAATTAAAAATAAATGATCCTAAGTATAGTTGGGAGTGTTAAAAAAGATAAATGAAAATACAATTTTATTTCTTGTTTTTCTCTGACAGTTACTACTTGGTTAATGATTGTTTTTATGGTTTTAGTTGAAAGGGCTACGTCAGTAGGATCATCAAATCTGAGAGGTTTTTAACAAGGAAAAAGTGTTATTAAAATACTGAGACTATGAATTACAGTGTAATCTTCTTGAAGGCAGAGATTATGTTTTACATCTGTTCCCACAAGCACAGCACAATGCCAGGGACCCAGAAAGCAACCAATAAACATTTGCTTCAAATTGATTTTCTCAAGTGAGTAAATTGGAACTCCTGCTTTTTTGAAACAATACAGTCCTCATAATAAACAAAATATTTATACTCATTTTTTGTTATTATGAGGGCACTTTCTTTAACAAAGTGATTTTAAAAAGGGAAAATGGTTTTAGTTTTGTAATAGAGCATTACAAAAGTTAAAGTTGCATTATACTGACTGCGGTTTTGACTTTTGAGCCAAAAATGCAAATTTAAACCAGTTAACTCCAGAACATAGTACTCGGAGAAAAGGCAAAGGATTATTTGATTTCTGTAATACATATTTTACCAAGATTTTAAACTGTGCTTTATTTTCTGTTTTCTACTCGACTATCCCAGTAATATGATTTCCTTGCTTCCTTGCTCTGGCTCTTAAGTCCGACCTGAAAAAAAGCCCACAGTTTTGCAGGGTAGTGCCATTCCAGATTTATGATTTTTATTTTCTTTTGGGCCTTCCTGGCCTTGGCAGTCTCTTTTTTTCTATGTCCAGTTAATTCTTGTCATTCATCTCATTGGGTGTTTTCAAACTTCCCCAACTCTTCTCTGGTTTACGTTACAACCCCCATTTCCTACTCAATTATCTCCTCTCATTTACTTGGAAAAATAGGGACAATAGGCCGGACTTCTGGTAGACTTTGTGCCCTTGTATGTATCTCTGTGCGCATACTGCTGTGGTCTCTCAGCCTCCTTCCCTGCAGTCGCCAAGGAAGAGGTCTTTCTCTTGTAGTTCCCCACTAATCCTTCCACCTGCGTGCCTGATTATGTCCTTCCTGCTTCCTTTGAGCCCTAATTCTATCAGTTACTCCCTTTCCTGTATTTTTATCCTTTTCATCCCTACTGGCTCCTAGAAAATATGCTCAAGTTTCTGCTTTTTATTTATTTTATTTAACAAAAGCTTTCTCCAACTCTAACTTTTTTTATTGCCAGGTTTCTACCCAGAGTAGACTATATTTGCAACATCCACTTCACAAATTAGCTGGAACTGCCCATACCAAAGCCACCGACTGCAATTTAAATTGCTGTCTTACCTACTCCTCCATTAATGACACAGCTCAAGCCCTCACCTAGAACACTGCAGATGTTTCTTGACTCATCCTCCCTGTCTTCAGTCTTCCTTTTTCCAATTCATCTTTCCCACCACTGCAGGGTGATCTTTTAAAATACTCTTATGACAATATTACTCCTCTGTCCTTAAATCCCTTCAAAAAATCAACATTACCCACAAGTTGAAAAATTAAACTCCATAGAAGGGCATATGAAGCCACTAATGGTTTGATCTCTGGCTCTCCAGTTTTATCTGCTCCTGGTCTGTTATTGAGTCCTACCTATAGATCCAAAAGTAAGGTGCTATTTCACACTTCTAAGACTTTTCTATTCAGTGTCCTCTAGTGGAGTAGTATTTCCTTGTATCCCTAGAGATCTCCTCCTTAACTTTCAAAGACTGTGATCCAGCATCCTCACCAGGCTTTACCTGACTTCTTTTCCCATCTTCTATTCCTTCTGAACCTATTAATATTATACTACCATGATAAAGTTGACCTTTTCTTGGTGTTTTTACTATACAGTTTATGGATATTGCCATTTTTTTGTACAATTTATTGTAGATATTTGTTTTGAATGTTTGCCTCCCTTTCTAGACAGATCTCATTGTTGGGTAAGGAGCCATTTAACCGATCTTGACATCTGCCACACCTGGCATAGTGCCTTGCACATAACAAGGGCTCCTAAATGTTTGTAGAATGAGTGAATTTTAGCAAATATTAATTGGTTGTTCTTCTATAAGATCAGCATTATACTTTTAAATTTAGATAATAAGTTTTGGATTGGATGTGTTTAGTATCACTGAACTTAGTGCTGGATGCTGTGTCATACAGTTTCAAGGCAATCTAAAGAATAGGGAAGATAAATTTGTAGCTAGTGACTTAATAAGATGGTCTGTACGAATATGTAGGTCTTTTGTTCATATTGTCAAGTGTACCAGCTCATCCATGCATTCCTTTTTTAGTCAAATTGTACTAAACAGAGAAAAGATTTCCTGAGATGTATGATCCTTTTTCTCCTTGGCTTCTAATCTATCTTTCCTTCATTGCCATATAGCTGCCAGAGGACTTCATATACAATGAAAATCTGATGATTTACTTTTCTCTTTATACCTCTTCAGTTCTTCTTTCCATTCACCTATATTCTCATCACTTTGTCTCCTACTTTACCAAATTTGAAGTCTTGTTATTGAGTAGACTTCTTTTGAGAGTTTGTGGTCACTTACAGAACTGCTCTGCATCCCCTTTGTACCTGCAGCTGATAACACTCACTATTCCCTACTCCAAGCATGTGGGTTCAACAGGATAAACATAACAGCACATTGGTAATGTTTATGTTAAATAAGCCAGTCTTGTCCAAGCATCTGCTGCACAGGCGCAGAAACAGATAAGTTGTTTCAGCAATTGGCTGCCAGGGGAACAGAAGGGTTGCCACAACAAAGTCAGCAAACAACCCCCAAAAGTCTCTAAGAAGTGTGAACTCATGCTGCTGGAAAATAAAAATCAGTCAAAAATTTGTACATTTTGATGCTTGACCTTGACTTTGTTTCTCACATCCCTATGTAGAGATAGGACTATTTTCTGCAGCAATTGGGTTATCTTTAGATGAGTACATTTCAGATTCACTCAGCTTTTGAAGGAAAGTGTATTTGAAATCTCCCTGTTCTCTGGAAAGTTGCTTTGTCGTATAGTTGGATTGTACTCCCTTTGGAAGCTTTGTCTTTTTGACTGACTTTGATAAGGTCAGCTCCAAGGAAACCCAGCATCCTCTTTTCCCTGGCGCCACTGGGCCCGCCACCCTCTCCTCTGCTTCCTCACCCTCCCTTCCTTACCACCTCTCTATCCGTCACTTGAACTGGCTGCCAGCGTTCACAGACAGCTGGGGAGAGAGTGGCTAAATCTGCCCAGCTGCCCGGGAAGCTTGGCAGCCAGGCTGAGGGAAGGAAGCATCGGCTCTCTTTGAAGGTCGGCTGCCAGTGAATCTCAGGCAGCTGGACTTCAAAGGGGGGCACCGCCGGGCTTTCCCTCCCGTCTAGGCAGGTCATTCCACGGCGCTGTGCTTCCGGTGTTGGCATGGTGGCTTTCCTCTTCAATTAAAAGCTGAATTGGGATCTGCACTTGTGTTCACACTTGTGTTTCTTATGTGACATAGACAGCCTAAGATCCCCAACTCCTGTTACCCCAGACTTAGGAGTTAAAGATAAAGAAGAAAAGGTGATATCATATAAAGGGCAACTAAGGAGATCTACAGCAGCGAGTGTGTTTTCCTTATTGCCAGTTAGTAACTGTGCTATTTGCCAAGTTTTAAATTACTTTAGGGACTCTTGGTGTGATCTTGAATAAAGGCCAATCAGCTTGTGCTTATGGACTCAGTTTAGCTATGGCCTGAGATTGGGTCTAGCAACGGATGATAATTTTATCTGTTTTCAGAAACTGTGGTAGTGCTAATAGAACCCACTATTCTACACCTAACTCTTGCTTTACTTCCCTACTTTTCACATTCAGATTCCGTTGGTGGTTGGTGACAGGACTGGCCTAGCAAGGGAAGAACAAGGGTGCTGCACAAACAGAGTCTAGGCTCACTTTAGTTGCAAATGAGGGTCAGAGCAGAGGTAGCCTGAAATCAGAGGAACCATGAGTACTATGTACCATGTATAGTGGTCGTTAAGTGTGCAGATCCTGGGACACACTGCTTGGGTTCAAATCCTGGCTCTGCCCCTTACTGGTCACATGTCTAGGGTAACTAACCTTACCTTTCTGCACCCCATACTCTCCCTGGAAAGTGGGGATAATAATAGTACTTATCTCTTAGGACAGTTGAGAAGATTCAAAGGGTTATTAGATTCCATGCACTTAGGACAATATCTAGCCCATAGTGAGTGTCCAATACATGTTTTTGCTATTACTATGTACCAGCCCCCATGACTGGATCTAGAGGGAGGTAACAAGTGACTGGTAGGTGATTTTTATTGCCTCTTCGTGGATGAAACACTACTAGCTTCTGCCTTAGATTGAATTTATACTAGACTTTTTTGAGAAATCTAAAATAATGCAAAAAGAATGCATTATATAATTTGAAGGAGAAAAAAAGTTATTTTATGCTGTCCATCTCACTCCTTGCACTGTCATCCCTGGGGATACAAGGAGGTGTCATTCACTGAGGGCCATTCATTTCACTCAGCCTCAGTTTTCTTGTTTGTAAAATGAGATAATAATTACACATACCCCAGGAGGCTTTCTTTTAATGATGAAATTGGAAAATGTATGTTTTACTGCACTGAATAGCAACATGTTCAGTAACTGTAGCTGTTGCTGTTATTATCATCATTATTATTATTTCCACCACCATTAATGTTGCCATTTAAAATTCTTACTGAATCACAGGAGGCCTTTAACTTAGCTAACAGTGATTTGACAAATAGAGGTCTTTTTCCTAAGGTTTTAGTTTTTTCCAGATAAAAGTGAGCTAATTGTGGGCCAAATTCAGCCTGTCCTCTTTTTTATAAATAAAGTTTTGCTGGATTGCATAGCCTTATCCATTTGTTTATGTATTAGCTATGGCTGCTTTCATGCTACAACAGGAGAAGTGAACAGTTGCAACAGAGTCTGTATGGTCCTCAAAGCCTAAAATATGTATTATAAGCCCCTTTCTAGAAAAAGTTTGCTAGACCTTGCTCTAGGTATATGTTTCTCCAGTGAGGTCCAGAGAATGTTAGTTCAATCCATGCTAGTCTGTACGATCTGAAAAAAAAAAAAAAAAAAAAAAAAAAAGGTTCTATAGTCAAATAAGCTTTAGAAATGTTAAGGAGGTTGATTTATTCTAGGACTACTACTTAAAAGACTTTGGCTTTTAATATACTCATGTTTATTGTGAATCTTCAAGACAAGGCCATGGTGTGCAAATAAACTCTAGTTTCGCAGGCTTACTTGGCTGTAGTCCCCTAATATGATGATGTTACAAAAACAAACAAAGCAAAACAAAACAAAACAAAAAACAATTCTCTAGGAACCCTTGCTCTTGGGCTTTCTCTCTGGAAGGACTTTCTTTCTAAATCATTCCTCTTGGTGATTTAGGTGATATCCTCATTTGGAGACCTACAGAATATCATATGAAATTCTGTGTTAGTTGTATCATTTTTTTCCCAGTAAAAATTATATTTTGCTTAGCATCAGAACAGTAAAATATACCAGATATTTAAGTCATCTAATCAGATAATATCTGCCTTTTTGAATGATTCTGTATGATGTCTGAAGATTATAAATTAGAGTCTCAAAGTCCAAGAAAGACAGGATGTTTCATTTCATGCCTTCTTGAAATTCTAAAAGCATGGGTCTTCTGTAGGACTTAAAATGTTTTTTTGCATTCAGATTTCTGAAGCATAAATTTAGAGTGCCTAAGTGATATACCAACTGGTCTCAACTAGGGTTTATAAGAAGAGAGATTAATGTGAAGGTAACTTGTGCATTAGCCATAAGGGGTTTGTTTTATAGACTAAAGTAAACACCTTCAATTTCAAGTTGCAAGCACACAGGGAGCCAGAAGATTCCAGAGCGGTGGCATCATATTCTGCCTGTGACTCACACATCTAAGTGGTTGAGCTTTCTCCCGCAGCTGCAGCTTCCAGCTGGTCATCAGTTAGAGTCCTAGGTAGTCACACACTGTGGTCACCTGGTTTGAGATGACCAAACAGGCATATAATTACAACATAGGCCAGTTATGAATGAAGGCTGGGTTATCTCTTTGCCAAACACAGATAAAAAATAAATGCTAAGTCATAGCTGTTTTCTGAAATCCCAGTGGTTGCAATAGTGAACCTGGACTGAAAGTAGAGAACCCTCCTGGAAGATTCCACCCTGGTTGTAAATGCACACTCTCTTTCTCATTTGTGAGCTTCCTCATTAATGGCATAGAGCATTCTTAGCCATTTTGGTGCCCTCCAAAATGCCTGGTTTATAGTTGGTGCAATAAATGTTTTATGAAAGAATATGAGGTCATACATGTTTTCCCCCTTTCCCAACTTGCAAATTATTTCAAGAAAATTCTGTATTTTCTTTTTATTTATATATCTCAGTGTTGTGTGTATAACAGGTTCTCAGTAAATGTTGTTGACATTGTAAATGTAGATTCCAAAAACTTCCTTATTTCACTTTTACATTATGGGGATGCTGAATGGACTTTTCAGAAATCTTTGTCAGATCCCACTGTCTTTTGTTTTTAAATTATTTCTTTAAAAGAAAGGAAGGAAGGAGAGAGGGAAGGGGGAAAACATCTTGACCTGGAACATAATTATCTTTTTTTTAAAAAAAAAAAAACATTTTGTTTTCTTTAGAGTCAGGGGTCTTGCTCTGTAGCCCAGGCTGGAGTGCAGTGGTGCAGTAATGGCTCACTACAGCCTCAAACTCCTGGACTGAAGCTATCCTCCTGGGCAATGAGTGAGGCAGTCCCAGATTCTCCTCTTACCACCTGTGTTGTCAGACCACTGCTGGTACCACTTGTGTTAGTCTGGGTCCTCTGAGAAGCAGACACCAAGACAGGATTAAATGTGTAAGAGATTTACTGGGGAGTACCTAGAAGGGAAATTGGGGAGGGAGCCAGAGAAGTCTGGAGAGAGTCAGACCATGATGTAGACCATGCGTTTGTGAAGGAGAGAGGAAAGAATGGAATATTGAATATCCATCAGCTGATGAATGGATAAATAAAATGTGGTACATCCATACAGTGAAATATTATTTGGCAATAAAAAGAAATGAAGTGCTGATACATACTGCAACATGGACGAACCTCAAAAACATTACGCTAAATGAAAGAAGCTGTCACAAAAGGCAGCATGTTTTATGATTTCATTTGTATGAAGTGTTCAGTTTAGGCAAATCTACACAGAAACTAAATTAGTGGTTGCTTAGGACTGAAATATTAAGAAAAAAAAGGGAGTGATTGTGATTGCTCATGTGTATGGGGTTTCCTTTTGGGGTAGTGCGAGGTTCTAAAATTGATTGTACTGGTGGCTGCGCAACTCTTGGAATATACTGAAAACGTTGAACTACATAGTTTAAGTGAGCAAAGTGCATGGTATGTGAATTGTGTCTCAATAAAAATCTTATATCAAAAGAAAAGAAAAAAAGGGGGAGTATATGCTGAAAGGATCTTGGACTACTGCACGATGCTAAGAAAGTTTTGGCCAAGCTAACTGGAATTCCATTTATCCTCCACACTCAGGCCTTGCAAAGCATACTCAGTGACAGAGGCAGCGAGAGTGTCAGTCATTTATGCTTTTCACGATGGGAGGTGTGAGAGGCTACATTTCTCATAAGCCAAAGCAAGTCGCGTGTCCATACCAAGATACAAAGTATAGAGAAACAGATGCCACATCTTGATAAAAAGAACAGCAAAATTATATTGTAAAGGGGTGTGCCACATTTTCAGTAACTCATTAAATTTTCCCAGCAGCTTATGAAGTGGGTACTATTACTATTCTCATTTAATAGTTGAAGAAACAGGCATAGGAAGATTAGCCCAAGATCATATAGATGTGACCTTGGAATCACAAGTAATTGTGACTACTTGTAAGTGGAAGAGCCAAGATTTGATCTCAGCAGTCTGGCTCTATAGTCTGTGCTCTTCATCATTATACCATACTTTCATATAGTATATTAATTTGAATGTCACAAAATCTATTAGAGATATTTTGTTATCCATTTTCCCTCACTGAAATGAAACCTTCACGGAATGGGGTCTTTATTTTGTTCACTGCTATATCGCCAGTGGCTGGGACAATATTTGGCATGTAAATATTAGTTGAATTTATATGGATTTGCAAAGCACCTTTATATGACAGTTCTATACTTGTATCCGCATTGTCCTTCCTACAGGTCTCTAAAATCAGAGAAACAGGAGAAAGTTATATTCAGTCTAGACCTGGATTTATTTTATTTTTTAAATCTTGGCATATTGGAGTACTTTAAATCCTGGTATAGTAAGTAACCCTAACATGTGATTGAAAACATAGAATTATTGGAATTGTTTGGTTACCACTAAGCTTGAAAACAGATTCCCAATGAGGAGAAAAAACAATTCTATTGAGAGGTCATAGGGATAGGTATGAGAGGACAGTCAAATGTTGGTACACCCAGTTTGTTAGGTAGCCTAGCGTTTGGCTCATCTTATTATTGGAATTTGTGTTTTGCAGCATAGTTGCATTTTAGGACCTTTCTGAGAAGAGGTACGCATGATAGACTTAATAAACCTGTAGTATTGACATAAGACAGGGAAATAGCAGATTAACTGTAACTCAGTCTTTTTGTGAGTGGGGGAGAAGGGCAGGGGTGGGAGGTTGCAAGGCATATTATTTTAAAGATTAATAAACTGAAAACTGGAAAAGTCTAGCAGCTTGGCCAGGATCAAACTTAAATGTAGTAAGCTAAAATTTTAGGTCAAGTAGTCCTAGCCCTAGGACTAGTAATCTTTCTATTAATATTTTCTCTATTTTCAGACAGTAATTCATTTAAATTCTTACCTTTGAAATAGTTTTTTCCACTGTTTCTATTTCTTATGAGAGGCATTTTGACCATTTTGAAGACTGTCTTTCTCCTGCATTGATAGATACACTAGAGTAATAGGCAGACATTGGTATCTAGGCAGCTACTGGATATAAACTGACTGACTTTTGGTACCACTGTAAAATGTTAAGATTATTGACAATTTCCAGAGGTGGCATATTTAGGGCTTTGTGGAACAGGCGTGGTGGCTCACACCTGTAATCACAATACTTTGCTGGTTTTTTGGGGGGGACTTTTCCTGTAGGGAAAAAGAGATCAGACTGTTACTGTGTCTATGTAGAAAAGGAAGACATAAGAAATTCCATTTTGATCTGTATTTGAACAATTGTTTTGCCTTGAGATGCTATTAATCTGTAACTTTAGCCCCAACCCTGTGCTCACAGAAACATGTGCTGTATGGAATCAAGGTTTAAGGGATCTAGGGCTGTGCAGGATGTGCCTTGTTAACAATATGTTTACAGGCAGTATGCTTGGTAAAAGTCATTGCCATTCTCCATTCTCAATTAACCAGGGTCACAGTGCACGGTGGAAAGCCGCAGGGACCTCTGCCCAAGAAAGCCTGGGTACTGTCCAAGGTTTCCCCCCACTGAGACAGCCTGAGATATGGCCTCGTGGGAAGGGAAAGACCTGACTGTCCCCCAGCCTGACACCCGTGAAGCGTCTGTGCTGAGGAGGATTAGTAAAAGAGGAAGTCCTCTTGTGGTTGAGATAAGAGGAAGGCCTCCGTCTCCTGCATGTCCCTGGGAACGAATGTCTAGGTGTAAAACCCGCTCGTACATTCGTTCTGTTCTGAGATAGGAGAAAACCACCCTGTGGCTGGAGGCGAGATATGCTGGCGGCAATGTTGCTCTGTTACTCTTTGCTACACTGAGATGTTTGGGTGGAGAGAAACATAAATCTGGCCTATGTGCACATCCAGGCATAGTACCTTCCCTTGAACTTATTTGTGACACAGATTCCTTTGCTCACATATTTTCCTGCTGACCTTCTCCCCACTCTTAGCCTGTTCTCCTGCCACATTCCCCTTGCCAAGATAGTGAAAATAGCAATCAGTAAATACTGAGGAAACTCAGAGACCAGTGCCGGTGCAGGTCCTCCATATGCTGAGCGCTGGTCTCCTGGGCCCACTGTTCTTGCTCTGTACTTTGTCTCTGTGTCTTATTTCTTTTCTCAGTCTCTCGTCCCACCTGATGGGAAATACCCACAGGTGTGGAGGGGCAGGCCACCCCTTCATCTTCTGACTTTTACTTCAGGTTCAGGGCTACATGTGCAGGTTTGTTATATAGGTAAACTTGTATCATGGAGGCGGGGGGGTTTGTTGTACAGATTATTTTTTCACCCAGGTATTAAGCCTAGTACCTATTAGTTGTTTTTCCTGATCCTCTCTCTCCTCCCACCCTCCACCCTCCCATAGGCCCCAGTGTGTGTTGTTCCCGTCTGCGTGTCCATGTGTTCTCATCATTTAGCTCCCACTTATAAGTGAGAACATGCAGTATTTGGTTTTCTGTTCCTGTGTTAGTTTGCTAAGCATAATGGCCTCCATCTCCATCCATGTTCCTGCAAAAGATGTGATCTCATTCTTCTTTAAGCTTTTGTAGTATTCCATGGTGTGTATGTACCACAGTTTCTTTATCCAGTCTACTATTGATGAGCTTTTAGGCTTATTCCATGTCTTTGCTATTGTGAACAGTGTTGCAGTGAACATATATATGCATGTGTTTTTATAATAGAACCATGTCTATTCCTTTGGGCATATACCCAGTAATGGGATTGCTGGGTCAAATGGTGGTTCTGTTTTTAGCCCTTTGAAGAATCAGCCACTGCTTTCCACAGTGGTTGAACTAATTTACACTCCCACCAACAGTGTATAAGCATTCCTTTTTCTCTGCAACTTCATGAGCGCCTGCTATTTTTTGACTTTTCTTACCCCCCCCCCACCCTTTTTTTTTCTTTCCAACTTTTATTTGAAGTTCAGGGGTACATGTGCAGGATGTGCAGGTTTGTTACATAGGTAAATATGTGCCATGGTTATTGGCTGCACAGATCATCCCAACACACAGATACTAAGTCCAGTGTTCATTAGCTATTCTTCCCGATTCTCTCCCTTCACCCATGCCCCCTAACAACAGGCCCCAGTGTGTGTTGTTTCCCCCTCCCCATGTGTCCATGTGTTCTCATCATTTAGCTCCCACTTGTGAGAACATGCAGTATTTGGTTTTCTGTTCCTGCGTTAGTTTGCTAAGGATAATGGCCTCCACCTCCATCCATGTCCTTGCAAAAGGACATTATCTTCTTCATTTTTATGGCTACACAGTATTCCATGGTGTGTATGTACCACGTTTTCTTTATCCAGTCTATCATTGATGGGCATTTAGGTTGATTCCATGTCTTTGTTATTGTGAATAGTGCTGGAATGAGCATATGCATGCATGTGTCTTTATAATAGAATGATTAATATTCCTTTAGATATGTACACAGTAATGGGATTGATGGGTCAAATGGTATTTCTTCCTGTAAGTCTTCGAGGAATTGCCACACTGTCTTCCACAATGGTTGAACTAATTTCCATTTTCTTTTTTTTTATTTTATTATTATTATACTTTAAGTTTTACATGTGCACAATGTGCAGGTTAGTTACATATGTATACATGTGCCATGCTGGTGTGCTGCACCCATTAACTCGTCATTTAGCATTAGGTATATCTCCTAATGCTATTCCCCCGCCTTCCCCAACCCCACAACAGTCCCCAGAGTGTGATGTTCCCCTTCCTGTGTCCATGTGTTCTCATTGTTCAATTCCCACCTATGAGTGAGAACATGCGGTGTTTCATTTTTTGTCCTTGTGATAGTTTACTGAGAATGATGATTTCCAATTTCATCCATGTCCCTACAAAGGACATGACCTCACCCTTTTTTATGGCTGCATAGTATTCCATGGTGTATATGTGCCACATTTTCTTAATCCAGTCTATCATCGTTGGACGTTTGGGTTGGTTCCAAGTCTTTGCTATTGTGAATAGTCCCGCAATAAACATACGTGTGCATGTGTCTTTATAGCAGCATGATTTATAATCCTTTGGGTATATACCCAGTAATGGGATGGCTGGGTCAAATGGTATTTCTAGTTCTAGATCCCTGAGGAATCGCCACACTGACTTCCACAATGGTTGAACTAGTTTACAGTCCCACCAACAGTGTAAAAGTGTTCCTATTTCTCTACATCCTCTCCAGCACCTGTTGTTTCCTGACTTTTTAATGATTGCCATTCTAACTGGTGTGAGATGGTATCTCATTGTGGTTTTGATTTGCATTTCTCTGATGGCTAGTGATGATGAGCATTTTTTCATGTGTTTTTTGGCTGCATAAATGTCTTCTTTTGAGAAGTGTCTGTTCATGTCCTTCGCCCACTTTTTGATGCGGTTGTTTGTTTTCTTCTTGTAAATTTGTTTGAGTTCATTGTAGATTCTGGATATTAGCCCTTTGTCAGAGGAGTAGGTTGTGAAAATTTTCTCCCATTTTGTAGGTTGCCTGTTCACTCTGATGGTAGTTTCTTTTGCTGTGCAGAAGCTCTTTAGTTTAATTAGATCCCATTTGTCAATTTTTGCTTTTGTTGCCATTGCTTTTGGTGTTTTAGACATGAAGTCCTTACCCATGCCTATGTCCTGAATGGTAATGCCTAGGTTTTCTTCTAGGGTTTTTATGGTTTTAGGTCTAACGTTTAAGTCTTTAATCCATCTTGAATTAATTTTTGTATAAGGTGTAAGGAAGGGATCCAGTTTCAGCTTTCTACATATGGCTAGCCAGTTTTCCCAGCACCATTTCTTAAGTAGGGAATCCTTTCCCCATTGCTTGTTTTTCTCAGGTTTGTCAAAGATCAGATAGTTGTAGATATGCAGCATTATTTCTGAGGGCTCTGTTCTGTTCCATTGATCTATATCTCTGTTTTGGTACCAGTACCATGCTGTTTTGGTTACTGTAGCCTTGTACTATAGTTTGAAGTCAGGTAGCGTGATGCCTCCAGCTTTGTTCTTTTGGCTTCGGATTGCCTTGGCGATGCGAGTTCTGTTTTGATTCCATATGAACTTCAAAGTAGTTTTTTCCAATTCTGTGAAGAAAGTCATTGGTAGCTTGATGGGGATGGCATTGAATCTATAAATTACCTTGGGCAGTATGGCCATTTTCACGATATTTATTCTTCCTACCCATGAGCATGGAATGTTCTTCCATTTGTTTGTATCCTCGTTTATTTCATGGAGCAGTGGTTTGTAGTTCTCCTTGAAGAGGTCCTTCACGTCCCTTGTAAGTTGGATTCCTAGGTATTTTATTCTCTTTGAAGCAATTGTGAATGGGAGTTCACTCATGATTTGGCTCTCTGTTTGTCTGTTATTGGTGTATAAGAATGCTTGTGATTTTTGTACATTGATTTTGTATCCTGAGACTTTGCTGAAGTTGCGCATCAGCTTAAGGAGATTTTGGGCTGAGACAATGGGGTTTTCTAAATATACAATCATGTCATCTGCAAACAGGGACAATTTGACATCCTCTTTTCCTAATTGAATACCCTTTATTTCCTTCTCCTGCCTAATTGCCCTGGCCAGAACTTCCAACACTATGTTGAATAGGAGTGGTGAGAGAGGGCATCCCTGTCTTGTGCCAGTTTTCAAAGGGAATGCTTCCAGTTTTTGTCCATTCAGGATGATATTGGCTGTGGGTTTGTCATAGATAGCTCTTATTATTTTGAAATACGTCCCATAAATACCTAATTTCTTGAGAGTTTTTAGCATGAAGGGTGTTGAATTTTGTCAAAGGCCTTTTCTGCATCTATTGAGATAATCATGTGGTTTTTGTCTTTGGTTCTGTTTATATGCTGGATTACATTTATTGATTTGCGTATATTGAACCAGCCTTGCATCCCAGGGATGAAGCCCACTTGATCATCGTGGATAAGCTTTTTGATGTGCTGCTGGATTCGGTTTGCCAGTATTTTATTGAGGATTTTTGCATCAATGTTCATCAAGGATATTGGTCTAAAATTCTCTTTTTTGGTTGTGTCTCTGCCAGGCTTTGGTATCAGGATGATGCTGGCCTCATAAAATGAGTTAGGGAGGATTCCCTCTTTTTCTATTGATTGGAATAGTTTCAGAAGGAATGGTACCCGTTCCTCCTTCTACCTCTGGTAGAATTTGGCTGTGAATCCATCTGGTCTTGGACTCTTTTTGGTTGGTAAGCTATTGATTATTGCAACAATTTCAGATCCTGTTATTGGTCTATTGAGAGATTCAGCTTCTTCCTGGTTTAGTCTTGGGAGGGTGTATGTGTCGAGGAATTTATCCATTTCTTCTAGATTTTCTAGTTTATTTGCATAGAGGTGTTTGTAGTATTCTCTGATGGTAGTTCATATTTCTGTGGGATCGGTGGTGATATCCCCTTTATTATTTTTTATTGCATCTATTTGATTCTTCTCTCTTTTCTTCTTTATTAGTCTTGCTAGTGGTCTATCAATTTTGTTGATCCTTTCAAAAAATCAGCTCCTGGATTCATTAATTTTTTGAAGGGTTTTTTGTGTCTCTATTTCCTTCAGTTCTGCTCTGATTTTAGTTATTTCTTGCCTTCTGCTAGCTTTTGAATGTGTTTGCTCTTGCTTTTCTAGTTCTTTTAATTGTGACATTAGGGTGTCAATTTTGGATCTTTCCTGCTTTCTCTTGTGGGCATTTAGTGCTATAAATTTCCCTCTCCATACTGCTTTGAATGTGTCCCAGAGATTCCGGTATGTTGTCTCTTTGTTCTCATTGGTTTCAAAGAACATCTTTATTTCTGCCTTCGTTTCGTTATGTACCCAGTAGTCATTCAGGAGCAGGTTGTTCAGTTTCCATGTAGTTGAGCGGTTGTGAGTGAGTTTCTTAATCCTGAGTTCTAGTTTGATTGCACTGTGGTCTGAGAGACAGTTTGTTATAATTTCTATTCTTTTACATTTGCTGAGGAGAGCTTTACTTCCAACTATGTGGTCAATTTTGGAATAGGTGTGGGGTGGTGCTGAAAAAAAATGTGTATTCTTTTGATTTGGGGTGGAAATTCTGTAGATGTCTATTAGGTCTGCTTGGTGCAGAGCTGAGTTCAATTCCTGGGTATCCTTGTTAACTTTCTGTCTCGATCTGTCTAATGTTGACAGTGGGGTGTTAAAGTCTCCCATTATTATTGTGTGGGAGTCTAAATCTCTTTGTAGGTCACTCAGGACTTGCTTTATGAATCTGGGTGCTCCTGTATTGGGTGCATATATATTTAGGATAGTAGCTCTTCTTGTTGAATTGATCCCTTTACCATTATGTAATGGCCTTCTTTGTCTCTTTTGATCTTTGTTGGTTTAATGTCTGTTTTATCAGAGACTAGGATTGCAACCCCTGCCTTTTTTTGTTTTCCATTTGCTTGGTAGATCTTCCTCCATCCTTTTATTTTGAGCCTATATGTGTCTCTGCACGTGAGATGGGTTTCCTGAATACAGCACACTGATGGGTCTTGACTCTTTATCCAATTTGCCAGTCTGTGTCTTTTAATTGGAGCATTTAGCCCATTTACATTTAAAGTTAATATTGTTATGTGTGAATTTGATCCTGTCATCATGATGTTAGCTGGTTATTTTGCTCGTTAGTTGATGCAATTTCTTCCTGGTCTTGATGGTCTTTACAATTTGGCATGATTTTACAGTGGCTGGTACCAGTTGTTCTTTTCCATGTTTAGTGCTTCCTTCAGGAGCTCTTTTAGGGCAGGCCTGGTGGTGACAAAATCTGTCAGCATTTGCTTGTCTGTAAAGGATTTTATTTCTCCTTCACTTATGAAGCTTAGTTTGGCTGGATATGAAATTCTGGGTTGAAAATTCTTTTCTTTAAGAATGTTGAATATTGGCCCCCACTCTCTTCTGGCTTGTAGAGTTTCTGCCGAGAGATCCGCTGTTAGTCTGATGGGCTTCCCTTTGTGGGTAACCCAACCTTTCTCTCTGGCTGCCCTTAACATTTTTTCCTTCATTTCAACATTGGTGAATCTGACAATTATGTGTCTTGGAGTTGCTCTTCTCGAGGAGTATTTTTGTGGCATTCTCTGTATTTCCTGAATCTGAATGTTAGCCTGCCTTGCTAGATTGGGGAAATTCTCCTGGATAATATCCTGCAGAGTGTTTTCCAACTTGGTTCCATTCTCCCCGTCACTTTCAGGTACACCAATCAGACGTAGATTTGGTCTTTTCACATAGTCCCATATTTCTTGGAGGCTTTGTTCGTTTCTTTTTATTCTTTTTTCTCTAAACTTCCCTTCTCGCTTCATTTCATTCATTTCATCTTCCATCACTGATACCCTTTCTTCCAGTTGATCACATCAGCTCCTGAGGCTTCTGCATTCTTCACGTAGTTCTCGAGCCTTGGCTTTCAGCTCCATCAGCTCCTTTAAGCACTTCTCTGTATTGGTTATTCTAGTTATACATTCGTCTAAATTTTTTTCAAAGTTTTTAACTTCTTTGCCTTTGGTTTGAATTTCCTCCTGTAGCTCGTAGTAGTTTGATCGTCTGAAGCCTTCTTCTCTCAACTCGTCAGTGTCATTCTCCGTCCAGCTTTGTTCCATTGCTGGTGAGGAACTGCATTCCTTTGGAGGAGGAGAGGCACCCTGCTTTTTAGAGTTTCCAGTTTTTCTGCTCTGTTTTTTCCCCATCTTTATGGTTTTATCTACTTTTGGTCTTTGATGATGGTGATGTACAGATGGGTTTTGGTGTGGATGTCCTTTCTGTTTGTTAGTTTTCCTTCTAACAGACAGAACCCTCAGCTGCAGGTCTGTTGGAGTTTGCTAGAGGTCCACACCAGACCCTGTTTGCCTGGGTATCAGCAGTGGTGGCTGCAGAACAGCGGATTTTCGTGAACCGCGAATGCTGCTATCTGATCGTTCCTCTGGAAGTTTTGTCTCAGAGGAGTACCCGGCCGTGTGAGGTGTCAGTCTGCCCCTACTGGGGGGTGCCTCCCAGTTAGGCTGCTTGGGGGTCAGGGATCAGGCACCCACTTGAGGAGGCAGTCTGCCCGTTCTCAGATCTCCAGCTGCGTGCTGGGAGAACCACTGGTCTCTTCAGAGCTGTCAGACCGGGACATTTAAGTCTGCAGAGCTTACTCCTGTCTTTTTGTTTGTCTGTGCCCTGCCCCCAGAGGTGGAGGCTGCAGAGGCAGGCAGGCCTCCTTGAGCTGTGGTGGGCTCCACCCAGTTGGAGCTTCCCGGCTGCTTTGTTTACCTAAGCAAGCCTGGGCAATGGCGGGCGCCCCTCCCCCAGCCTCACTGCCACCTTGCAGTTTGATCTCACACTGCGACTAATTTCCATTTTCACCAACAATGTAAAAGCATTTCTTTTTCTCCACAACCTTGCCAGCATCGGCTGTTTTTTGACTTTTTAATTATAGCCATTCTGACTGATGACACATGGTATCTCATTGTGGTTTTGATTTGCATTTGTCTAACCATCAGTGATGTTGAGCTTTTTTTTTTTTCATATGTTTATTGGCTGCATGTATGTCTTCTTTTGAGAGGTTTCTGTTCATGTCCTTTGCATACTTTTTAATGGCATTGTTTTTTTCTTGAAAATTTGTTTAAGTTTCTTATAGATGCTAGATATTAGATGTTTGTCAGATGCATAGATTGTAAAACATTTCTCCCATTTTGTAGGTTGTCTGTTTACTCTGTTGATAGTTTCTGTTGCAGTGCAGGAGCTCTTTAGTTTAATTAGATCCCATTTGTCAATTTTTGCTTCTGTCGCGATTGCTTTTGGCATGTTCATCATGAAATCTTTGCCTGTGCCTATATCCTGAATCATGTTGCCTAGGTTTTCTTCTAGGATTTTTATAGTTTTGGGTTTTACATTTAAGTCTTCAATCCATCTTGTGTTGATTTTTGTACATGGTGTAAGGAACAGGTCCAGTTTCAGTTTTCTGCATATGGCTAGCCAGTTCTCCTAGCGCTATTTATTAAATAGGGAATTCTTTACCCATTGCTTGTTTTTGTCAAGTTTGTTGAAGATCAGATGGTTGTAGGAGTGTGGCCTTATTTCTAGGTTCTCTATTCTGTTCCATTGGTCTACGTGTCTGTTCTTGTACCAGTACGATGCTATTTTGGTTACTGTTACCCTGTAGTATAGTGTGAGTTGGGTAGTGTGATGCATCCAGCTTTGTTCTTTTTGCTTAGGATTGCCTTGGCTATTCATGCTCTTTTTTGGTTCCATATGAGTAGTTTTAAATGGCTTTAAATAATGTTAAAATAGAAATAGTTTTAAAATAGTTTTTTCTACTTCTGAGAAGAATATCATTAGTAGTTTGATAGGAATAGCATTGAATCTGTAAATTGCTTTGGGCAGTATGGCCATTTTCTTGATACTGACTCTTCCTATCCATGAGCATGGAATGTTTTTCCATTTGTTTGTGTCATTTCTGATTTCTTTGAGCAGTTTTTTTTTGTAGTTTTCATTGTAGAGATCTTTCACCTCACTGGTTAGCTGTATTTCTAGGTATTTGATTCTTTTTGTGGATATTGTGAATGGGATTGCATCTTGGCTTGGCTGTTTTTTGTGTATAGGAATGCTAGTGATTTTTGTATGTTGGTTTTGTATCCTGAGGCTTTGCTGAAGTTGTTTATTAGGTTAAGGAGCTTTTGGGCTGAGACTGTGAGGTTTTCTAGATATAGAATCATGTTGTCTGCAAACAGGGATAAATTGACTTCTTCTCTTCCTATTTGGATGCCCGTTATTTCTTTCTCTTGCCTGATTCCTCTGGCCAGGACTTCCAATACTATGTTGAATAGGAGTAATGAGAAATGGCATTCTTGTCCTGTTTCTGGTTTCAAGATCAATGCATCCAGTTTTCACCCATTCATTATGATGTTGGCTGTGGGTTTGTCATAGATGGCTCTTATTATTTTGAGGTATGTTTCTTTAATACCTAGTTTATTAAGAGTTTTTAACATGAAGGGATGTTGAATTTTATCAAAAGCCTTTTTTGCATCTATTGAGATAATCATGTGGTTTTGTGTTTAGTTCTGTTTATGTCATGAATAACATTTATTGATTTGCATTTGGTAAATCAACCTGGCATCTAGGGGATGAGGCCTGCTTGATTGTGGTGGATAAGCTTTTTGATATACTCCTGGTTTCGGTTTACCAATATTTTGTTGTGGATTTTTGCATTGATGTTCATCAAGGATATTGGCCTGAAGTTTTCTTTTTTTTGTTGTGTCTGTGCCAGATTTTGGTGTCAAGATGATGCTGGCCTCATACAATGAGTTAAGGAAGAGTCCCTCCTCCTCAATTGTTTTTGAGTATGTTTAGTAGGAATGGTACTAACTCTTCTTGTACATCTGGAAAAATTCAGCTGTGAATCCTTCTGGTCCTGGGCTTGGTTTGTCTGGTAGGCTATTTATTACTGGTTTATTTCAGAGCTTGTTATTGGTCTGTTTAGGGATTCAATTTCTTCCTGGTTTAGTCTTGGTAGGTTGTATGTGTCCAGGAATTTATCCATTTCTTCTAGATTTTCTAGTTTTTTTGCATGGAAGTATTCATAATATTCTCTGAGGGTTCTTTGTATTTCTGTGGAGTCAGTGATAATAACCCCTTTGTTGTTTCTAATTGTATTTATTTGGGTCTTAGCTCTTTTCTTCTTTATTAGTCTAGCTAGTGGTCTATTAATTTTTTTCAAAAAACCAACTCTTAGATTCATTGATCTTTTGAATGGTTTTTTTGTGTGCCTCAATCTCCTTCTTTTCAGCACCGATTTTGGTTATTTTTTGTCTTTTGCTAGCTTTGGGGTTGCTTTGCTTTTGCTTCTCTAGTTCTTTTAGTTGTAATGTTAGGTTGTTAAGTTGAGATCTTTCTAACTAACTTTTTAATGTGGGTGTTTAGCGCTATAAATTTCCTTCTTAACACTGCCTTAGCTGTGTCCCAGAGATTCTGGTATGTTGTATCTCGTTAGTTTCAAAGAACTTCTTGATTTCTGCCTTAATATTATTATTTATCCAAAAGTCATTCATGAACAGATTATTCAGTTTCCATATAATTGTATGGCTTTTTGAGTGGTTTTCTTGGTCTTGATTCCTAATTTTATTCAGTGGTCCAAGAGAGTGGTGGTTATGATTTCAGTTATTTTGCTTTTGCTGAGGAGTGTTCTATATCCAATTACGTGGTCAATTTTGGAGTATGTGCCATGTGGTGATGAGAAGAATGTATGTTCTGTTGTTTTGGGTGGAGAGTTCTGTAGTACTGTCAGTGAGTTGTTGAAGTCTTCCATTACTAATATGTGGGAGTCCAAGTCTCTTTGAAGGTCTCTAAGAACTTGCTTTGTGAATCTGGGTGCCCCTGTGTTGGGTGCATATGTATTTAGGATAGCTAGGTCTTCTTGTTGAAATAAACCTGTTACTGTTATGTAATGTACTTCCTTGTCTTTTTTGATCTTTGTTGTTTTAAAATCCATTTTGTCTGAAATTAGGATTGCAACTCCTGCTTTTTTCTGTTTTCCATTTGCTTGGTAGATTTTTCTCCATCCCTTTATCTTGAACCTGTGGCTGTCATGAGTCTCTTGAAGACAACATACGATTTGGTCTTGGTTCTTTATCCAGCTTGCCACTCTGTGCCTTTTAATTGGGGCATTTTGCCTGTTTACATTCAAGGTTAGTATTTACATTCAAGATTAGTATCAAAGTTAGGATTTGATCCTGTCATCATGATGTTAGCTGGCCATTATGCAGACTTGTTTGTGTGGTTGCTTTACAGTGTCAGTGGTCTTTGTACTTAAGTGTGTTTTTGTAGTGGCTGTTAATGGTCTTTCCTTTCCATATTTAGTACTTCTTCAGGACTGCTTATAAGGCAGGGCTGGTGGTAATGAATTCCCTCAGTATTTGCTTGTTTGAAAAGGATCTTATTTCTCCTTCACTAATGAGGCCTAGTTTGGCTGGATATGAAATTCTGGGTTGGAATTTCTTTTCTCTAAGAATGTTGAATATTGGCTCCCAGTCTCTTCTGGCTTGTAGGGTTTCTGCTGAGAGGTCCACTCTTAGTTTAATGGGCTTCCCTTTGTAGGTGACCTGATTTTTCTCTCTAGCTGCCTTTAACATTTTTTATTTAATTTCAACCTTGGAGAATCTGATTATTATGTATCTTGGAATGATCTTCTCATGAAGTATCTTACTGGGGGTCTCTGCATTTCCTGAATGTGAATGTTGGCCTCTCTAGCTAGTTTGGCAAAGTTCTCATGGATGATATCCTGAAATATGTTTTCCAAGTTGTTTCCATTCTCCCCATCTCTTTCAGGGACGCCAATTAGTCGTAGATTTGGTCTCTTTACATAATCTCGTATTTCTCAGTGGTTTTAGATGCTCCTTTTCATTCTTTTTTCTCTATTCTTGCCTGACTGGCTTATTTCAGAAAGCCAGTCTTCAAGCTCTGAGATTCTTTCTTCATTTTGGTCTATTCTGCTATTAATACTTGTGATTACATTATGAAATTCTTGTAGTATTTTGTCTGTCAGTTCCTGTATCATTTTGTTGTGATTCTTAGTTTATTTGGATTGGATTTCAGTGTATTTCTGCACCTCAGTGATCTTTGTTCCTATCTATATTCTGAATTCTATTTCTGTCATTTCAGCCGTCTCAGCCTGGTTCAGAATCCTTGCTGGAAAGATAGTTCAGTCGTTTGGAGGAAAGAAGGCACTCTGGCTTTTTGAGTTGTCAGAGTTCTTGCACTGGATCTTTCTCATTTTTGTGGGCTGATGTTCCTTCAGTCTTTGAAGTTGCTGTCCTTGGGATTTCTTTTTCTTTTATCCTATTTGATGACTTGAGGATTTGATTTTGGTGTAATGTGGGTTCAGTCAACTAGCTTCATTTCTGGAAGATTATAGGGGGCTAAGGCTCCGCTCCCACTCCCGACTCCCGGACTGCATGCTCTAACTCTGGGGAACTTGTATCACAACCTGATTTTGTTTTCTGGCTCCTTGAGATTAGGAACCCATTGTGCTG
Source organism: Homo sapiens (assembly GCF_000001405.40). Classification (NCBI taxonomy): domain Eukaryota; kingdom Metazoa; phylum Chordata; class Mammalia; order Primates; family Hominidae; genus Homo; species Homo sapiens. The sequence continues at coordinate 37,684,675 of NC_000005.10, forward strand.
GGGTGGGGGCTGAGATGCCCCCAGACTTCTGATCATTACACTTGGATGGGTGGTGTCAGCAAAAGCATTTTGTAGGGTGGTGGCAGCAGGATCCATCCTTGTTCACATGTGCTAACAGCAACAGTAGCAGCAGTGCAGGGGGCTGGAGGGGTGAAAGGTTGCATGCTCACTGGCTGCAGTGCTAGCAGGTACTGGGGTGCCTGCCTCTGCACAGGCATTCCCAGCAGCAGTGGAGGAAGCAGAGCTCAGGGGCATGAGGGCCCACACTGGTGTGTATGTGGTCATGCTGGTGGTGGTATTAGCATGGGGTTAGGAAGCTGGCAAGCACAGGTCTGTGTGTGCCCTCTGTGCATGTTCATGCAGCCAGGGGTTGGCTGCTCAGGGTTGGGGAGGGTCCAGTGTTCTCCATCTCTATTTTCACTCTGGCAGCAGTGTTGGCACTGGGATGGGGTGCTGGTGGGGGTGGGGCTGATGGGCTCTGTGCCCACCAAGGCACTGACTGCAATGGTGGTATAGTGGGGGTGAGGAGGTGGTGTGCGCTCTTACCAGTAACAGTGTTAGGACAGGTAACAGGCAAACACTGGTTGGGCAGGGAAGGCAAAATCCACTCATGTAGACACACACCAGCAGAGTGATGTAGGTGGTTGCCGTGGGCCTGGGGGAAGCTGCAGTGAGGGGAGGGAGTGGGCAGGCTGGTGCATGGCCACAGGGGGCTGCCCCACTGGAGCTCTCCACTGGTCAGGCATGGTCTGCCAGTGTAGGAGCTATGATATAGGCCCCCAGGGTTGCCGAGGCTGCACTGCAAGCAGACCTAGCCAGGCTGGGACCCTGGAAGAGGCCAGCTGACTTAGGGGTACTCAGGTCAGACCAGCCCCATCTGATGGGCAAGACTGCCCCTACAGTGTTCATGTCAAACAGTTTCCCTACAGCCAAAGTCTTCTACGGAAGCAAGTCAATCCTAGGGGTATGGGCATCCCTGCTGGTGCTCTACCACAGATGCTCCCACACCAAACTCTATTGGCTGGCACGCTGCCCCTACTACTTTTCTGAGCAGCTCTCCCTGCCAACTAAGTGTCCATGGTGGTTGAAGGGTCTCTTCCTCCTGGGATTCTAAAGGCCCGTGGCGAGAGTGGGTTGCTCCTTGCTATTTCACTTCACCTGCTCCCCAGGAGTCACTGGGGGCCAGAAATGAGTCCAGTGTGCTCTAACCCCACACAAGTTCCCAGCTTCCTCCCCCTTCAGCCCAGCTTCTGTGTCTTCTGTCTACTCGCAGTGTCTTCCCTCTGAAGATCTGCTAGGAGCGTGCCAGTCATCCTGGTTCCTTGGTGGCAGCTGTTCCACCCGGCTGCATGTAGTCAGCTGTCTTGCCCAAATCTCCCCCAACACTGTGAAGCCTAGGCGGGAAGATCGCTTGAGCCCAGGAGTTCATGACCAGCTGGGCGACAAAGTGAGACCACCCCCCGCCCCAGCTCTACAAAATAAAAGTATAAAAACCAGCCAGGCATGGTGGCTTGTGTTGTAGTCACAGTACTTGGGAGGCTGAGGCAGGAAGATTGCTTGAGCCTGGGAGGTTGAGGCTGGAGTGAGCCATGATTATGTCACTGCACTCCAACCTGGGTGACAGAAGGACACCCTGTCTCACAAAGGGAAAAAAAAAAGACTTTATGGAAGACAGAGTTTTCTGTTGATAATTTGTCAGACTGTCAGAGAAGAAAAACTAGATTTAGTCAGCATAGCCACAGAAGACAACCAGGACCCATGAGTAGTTGTTAGAAGTGAGTCTTGGACCCAGCTTAAAAAGTTGTTGCCAGTTAGAGCCTAGGCGGGAAGATCGCTTGAGCCCAGGAGTTCATGACCAGCTGGGCAACAAACTGAGACCACCACCCCCGGCTCTACAAAATAAAAGTATAAAAACCAGCCAGGCGTGGTGGCTTGTGCCTGTAGTCCCAGTACTTGGGAGGCTGAGGCAGGAGGATTGCTCCAGAAATTGACTGATATTCCTTATAATGTAATGCATTTTGAATTTCCAGAGGCTCCATGACCATCTGCTGAGAAAAGAGGTATACAGACAATTTTTCCAATTGGGAGTTTGTATTGTGTGATCCCAGACAGGGCCTTCAAAACTCTGGGATTTTGTGCTTGCGTTTTCCATCTTGGTGAATATTTGAGTCTTGATATTCTCCAAATCATAGTGTAAGGCACACCTAAGAATAAGAGGCCTACGAGATTGTGCCATTGCACTCCAGCCTAGGCAACAAGAGCAAAACTCTGTCTCAAAATAATAATAATAATAATAATAATAATAATAATAAGCCTATATAAGGTAGTTAATTATCAATCTCAGCTTCCTAAAGAACGATATTCTTTGCTTAGGATGATTATAACAGCAGTTAAAGGACAAGTTGCAGTTTTAGATTCCCGACATTATGCCTGAAGTGTTCTTCAGTTAGGTTGACATTGTTTTCAAAGTGTGAGGATATTTGTCATAATGGACTGTCCAAGTGTTGATGTTTGATGCAAATTTTAGGTCACCTTTGTCTCTTTTTCCTCATTGGAATATACTTTTGTTTCTGGTTAAGGTGAAGTTAATAATTGAAGAGCACTTTTTGATATAAAATTTGGGAGGTCTTCATCTCAATCAACTAAAGACATTGTGCCTCTTTGTTTTATTAGGTCCTTTAAAAGACAAAATGAATTAATTTTGAGTGCATCTCTCCCTCTCCTGTGGGATCTTAATTATTAATATCCAGCCATTTATTACTTTAAAGAGGTGTTGCAATGGAATATGTTGGAGGTCAGAAAGACTGGATGGGGCTTGTTTTGTAGCATATATTCACTCATTCTGCATTATAAATAATGAATTCTAAAAGTTTCAAAACATTACACCTCCAATATAATGTTCCTTTAAAGGGAATCCTAAATGAGGAGACATAAACACGTAGCAGATGAATATTTGGTGAAGTCTCCTCATACTACAGCAAGACAAAATCACCTGTAGTCAAAATCCCATATTCTCATTCCGTTCATTATATTGTATCTACACTATCACCTGTTAGATCTAGCAGAATTTTTTTTTTTTTTAATTTCAGAAACAGATTACTTTTTCTTTACTTGAGCACTGGAAGGCTATATGTCTTTCTACCTTAGAATCCCACTCAGGGTAGTGAAAAGCACAGGGAAGGAAGACCAATTTAGGGAGCATCAGATTCACAATACCATCTCTTTTCTTCTCCAGAGCAACAAGTTAAGACTGTCATATGGAACTGTCTGCATGCTCTGGGCTCACACTGAAGTTTGTGTGATGTGAATCCACTGGACTCTATAACTTTTAAGGTTCTTTATCTCACTTTGTTTACTGGTATATATATGCATACACATCTATATGCATGTGTTTACTTATATTTTCAAATATCGACATTCAAGATTTTATCTTATTAATAAAGTATATATTGATCAGTTAATTGAATGATAAAGTATTATGCATTTGCCTGTTTTGCCTTTTCCCTAAGGGTCATAGAGCTGTAAATGACCCTGGAAATCATTTACTTCAATCTCTTTATTTTACAGAAGACAGAAGTGTGAACCAGACAAGCTAAGTAATTTGTCCCAGGTCACAATGCTAGCTTTTGCTTGAACTGAATCTAGATTTTGTGCCTCCTGGTTCCTGGCCCAGTGCCCTTTTTACTGTACTAAACTGTCTTATCACTCATGAAATGATAGGTCTTTCTTCTATTTGGATATCTATACGTATTGCTTAACATTAAAAACAAACAAAACTTTTAAAACAAACAAATAAAAAACTAAATTCATTTAGGCCAAATGAAGTACAGGACTTTTGGGTAAACTGCTACCACTGTTTATAAGATCTTCCAAAAGTTTCATTTAGAGTTTAGTAGTTGGTAACTTGATGGGATATAAGGAAGTGGCAAATTTTCCTTATTGAGGTTGGTAGCAGAGTTTCGTTTGTCCTAGGAACAGAATATTCCCAGTCTGTTCACATGTGTTCAGAATGATCATTTAAAAATAAGCAAATTTAGGTTTCCAAGATGGCCAAATAGGAACAGCTCTGGTCTGCAGCTCCCAGTGTGATCGACGCAGAAGATAAGTGATTTCTGCATTTCCAGCTGAGGCACCTGGTTCATCTCATTGGGACTGGTTGGACAGTGGGTGCAGCCCATGGAGGGGGCAAGCCAAAGCAGAGCGGGGCATCGCCTCACCTGGGAAGCGCAAGGGGTCGGGGGAATTCCCTTTCCTAGCCGAGGGAAGCCGTGACAGACTGTACCTGGAAAAATGAGACACTGCTGCCCAAATACTGCACTTTTCCCAAGGTCTTAGCAACCGGCAGATAAGTAGATTCTCTCCTGTGCCTGGCTCGGCGGGTCCCACACCCACACAGCCTTGCTCACTGCTAGCGCAGCAGTCTGAGATCGAACTTCAAGGCGGCAGCCTGGCTGGGGGAGGGGCGTCCGCCATTGCTGAGGCTTGAGTAGGTAAACAAAGCAGCTAGGAAGCTTGAACTGGGTGGAGCCCACTGCAGCTAAGCAAGGCCTACTGCCTCTATGCACTCCACCTCTGTGGGCAGGGCATAGCTGAACAAAAGGCAGCAGACAACTTCTGCAGACTTAAATGTCCCTGTTGAGAGCTCTGAAGAGAGCAGTGGTTCTCCCAGCATGGCGTTTGAGCTCTGAGAACGGACAGACTGCCTCCTCAAGTTGGTTCCTAACCCCTGTGTAGCCTAACTGGGAGACACCTCCCAGTAGGGGCCGACAGACACCTCATATAGGTGGGTGACCCTCTGGGACGAAGCTTCCAGAGGAAGGATCAGGCTGCAATATTTGCTGTTCTGCAATATTTGCTGTTCTGCAGCCTCTGCTGGTGATACTCAGGCAAACAGGGTCTGGAGTGGACCTCCAGCAAACTCCAACAGACCTGCAGCTGAGGGACCTGACTGTTAAAAGGAAAACTAACAAACAGAAAGGAATAGCATCAACATAAACAAAAAGGACATCTACACCAAAACCCCATCTGTAGGTCACCAACATCAAAGACCAAAGGTAGATAAAACCACAAAGATGAGGAGAAACCAGAGCAGAAAAGCTGAAAATTCTAAAAACCAGAGTGCCTCTTCTCCTCCAAAGATCGCAGCTCCTCGCCAGCAATGGAACAAAGCTGGACAGAGAATGACTTTGACGAGCTGACAGAAGTAGGCTTCAGAAGGTCGGTAATAACAAACTTCTCCGAGCTAAAGGAACATGTTTGAACCCATCGCAAGGAAGCTAAAAACCTCGAAAAAAGGTTAGACGAATGGCTAACTAGAATAAACAGTGTAGAGAAGACCTTAAATGACGTGATGGAGCTGAAAACCATGGCACGAGAAGTTCATGACTCATGCACAAGCTTCAATAGTCAATTCAATCAAGTGGAAGAAAGGGTATCAGTGATAGAAGATCGCATTAATGAAATAAAGTGAGAAGACAAGGTTAGAGAAAAAAGAGTAAAAAGAAATGAACAAATCCTCCAAGAAATATGGGACTATGTGAAAAGACCAAATCTATGTTTGATTGGTGTACCTGAAAGTGATGGGGAGAATGGAACCAAGTTGGAAAACTGTCTTCAGGATATTATCCAGAACTTCCCCAACCTAGCAAGGCAGGCCAACATTCAAATTCAGGAAATACAGAGAACATCACAAAGATACTCCTCGAGAAGAGCAACCCCAAGACACATAATTGTCAGATTCACCAAGCTTGAAATGAAGGAAAAAATGTTAAGGGCAGCAAGAAAGAAAGATCGGGTTAACCACAAAGGGAAGCCCATCAGACTAACAGTGGATCTCTCAGCAGAAACTCTACAAGCCAGAAGAGAGTGGGGGCCAATATTCAACATTCTTAAAGAAAAGAATTTTCAACCCAGAATTTCATATCCAGCCAAACTAAGCTTCATAAGCGGAGGAGAACTAAAATCCTTTACAGACAAGCAAATGCTGAGAGGTTTTGTCAGCACCAGGCCTGCCTTAAAAGACCTCCTGAAGGAAGTACTAAACATGAAAAGAAATAACCAGTACCAGCCATTGCAAAAACATGCCAAATTGTAAAGACCATCGATGCTATGAAGAAACTGCATCAATTAATGGACAGAATAACCAGCTAACATCATAATGACAGGATCAATAATGACAGGACCAAATTCACACATAACATTATTAACGTTAAAGGTAAATGGGCTAAATGCCCCAATTAAAAGACACAGACTGGCAAATTGGATAAAGAGTGAAGACCCATCAGTGTGCTGTATTCAGGAGACCCATCTCACATGAAGAGACACACATAGGCTCAAAATAAAGGGATGGAGGGGGATCTACCAAGCAAATGGAAAACAAAAAAAAGCGGGGGTTGCAATCCTAGTCTCCGATAAAACAGACTTTAAACCAGCAAAGATCAAAAGATACAAAGCCATTGCATAATGGTAAAGAGATCAATTCAAGAAGAGCTAACTATCCTAAATTATATGCACCCAATACAGGAGCACCCAGATTCATAAAGCAAGTCCTTAGAGACCTACAGATACTTAGACTCCCACACATTAATAATGGGAGACTTTAACACCCCACTGTCAATGTTAGATCAATGAGACAGAAGGTTAACAAGGATATCCAGGACTTGAACTCAGCTCTGCACCAAGCGGACCTAGTAGACATGTACAGAACTCTCCATCCCGAATCAACAGAGTATACATTCTTCTCAGCACCACATCAAACTTATTCCAAAATTGACCACATAGTTGGAAATAAAGCACTCCTCAGCAAATGTAAAAGAACAGAAATCACAACAAACTGTCTCTCAGACTACAGTGCAATCAAATTAGAACTCAGGATTAAGAAACTCACTCAAAACTGCACAAGTACATGGAAACTGAACAACCTGCTCCTGAATGACTACTGGGTAAATAATGAAATGAAGGCAGAAATAAAGATGTTCTTTGAACCAATGAGAACAAAGACACAACGTACCAGAATCTCTGGGTCACATTTAAAGCAGTGTGTAAAGGGAAATTTATAGCACTAAATGCCCACAAGAGAAAGCAGGAAAGATCTAAAATTGACACCCTAACATCACAATTAAAAGAACTAGAAAAGCAAAAGCTTTTCAAAAGCTAGCAGAAGGCAAGAAATAACTAAGATCAGAGCAGAACTGAAGGAAATAGAGACACAAAAAACCCTTCAAAAACACAATGAATCCAGGAGCTGGTTTTTTGAAAAGATCAACAAAATTGATAGACCACTAGCAAGACTAACAAAGAAGAAAAGAGAGAAGAATCAAATAGACACAATAAAAAATGATAAAGGGGATATCACCACCGATCCCACAGAAATACAAACTACCATCAAAGAATACTATAAACACCTCTGCACAAATAAAATAGAAAATCTAGAAGAAATGGATAAATTCCTGGACACATACACCACCCCCCACCCCTCGCAAGACTAAATGAGGAATAAGTTGATTTTCTGAACAGACCAATAACAGGCTCTGAAATTGAGGCAATAATTAATAGCCTACCAACCGTAAAAAGTGCAGGACCAGATGGATTCACAGCTGAATTTTACCAGAGATACAAAGAGGAGCTGGTACCATTCCTTCTGGAACTATTACAATCAATGGAAAAAGAGGGAATCCTCCCTAACTCATTTTATGAGGCCAGCATCATCCTAATACCAAAGGCTGGCAGAGACACAACAAAAAAAGAATTTTAGACCAATATTCCTGATGAACGTTGATGCAAAAATCCTCAGTAAAATACTGGCAAACTGAATCCAGCAGCACATCAAAAAGCTTATCCACCATGATCAAGTCAGCTTCATCCTTGGGATGCAAGGATAGTTTAACATACGTAAATCAATAAATGTAATCCCTCACATAAACAGAACCAATGAAAAACACCACGTGATTATCTCAATAGATGCAGAAAAGGTCTTCAACAAAATTCAGCAGCCCTTCATGAGAAAACCTCTCAATAAACTCGGTATTGATGGAACATGTCTCAAATTAATAAGAGCTATTTATGACAAATCCATAGCCAATATCATACTGAATGGGCAAAAACTGGAAGCATTCCCTTTGAAAACCAGCACAAGACAAGGATGCCCTCTCTCACCACCCCTATTCAATATAGTATTGGAAGTTCTGGGCCAGGGCAATCAGGCAAGAGAAAGAAATAAAGGTATTCAGTTAGGAAAAGAGGAAGTCAGATTGTCCCTATTTGCAGATGACATGATTGTATATTTAGAAAACCCCATTGTCTCATCCCAAAATCTCCTTAAGCTGATAAGCAACTTCAGCAAACTCTCGGGATACAAAATCCATGTGAAAAAATCACAAGCATTCCTATACACCAATAACAGACAAACAGCCAAATCATGAGTGAACTCCCATTCACAATTGCTACAAAGAGAATAAAATACCTGGGAATCCAACTTACAAGGGATGTGAATGACCTGTTCAAGGAGAACTACAAACCACTGCTCAACAAAATAAAAGGACACAAACAAATAGAAGAACATTCCATGCTCATGGATAGGAAGAATCAATATCATGAAAATGGCCATACTGCCCAAGGTAATTTATAGATTCAATGCCATCCCCATCAAGTTACCAATGACTTTCTTCACAGAATTGGAAAAAACTACTTTAAAGTTCATATGGAACCAAAAAAGAGCCCGCATTGCCAACACAATCCTAAGCAAAAAGAACAAAGCTGGAGGCATCATGCTACCTGACTTCAAACTATAGTACAAGGTTACAGTAACCAAAACAGCATGGTACTGGTACCAAAACAGATATATAGACCAATGGAACAGAACAGAGGCCTCAGAAATAACACATCTACAACCATCTGATCTTTGACAAACCTGACAAAAACAAGAAATGGGGAAAAGATTCCCTATTTAATAAATGGTGCTGGGAAAACTGGCTAGCCATCTGTAGAAAGCTGAAACTGGATCCCTTCCTTACACCTTATACAAAAATTAATTCAAGATGGATTAAAGACTTAAATGTTAGACCTAAAACCATAAAAACCCTAGAAGAAAACCTAGGCAATATCATTCAGGACATAGGCATGGGCAAGGACTTCATGACTAAAACACCAAAAGCAATGGCAACAGAAGCCAAAATAGACAATGTATCTAATTAAACTAAAGAGCTTCTGCACAGCAAAAGAAACTACCATCAGAGTGAACAGGCAACCTACAAAATGGGAGAAAATTTTTGCTATCTACCTATCTGACGAAGGGCTGATATCCAGAATCTACAAAGAACTCAAACAAATTTACAAGACAAAAATAACCCCATCAAAAGAGCAGTGGATATGAACAGACACTCCTCAAAAGAAGACATTTATGCAGCAATCAGACACATGAAAAAATGCTCATCGTCACTGATTATCAGAGAAATGCAAATCAAAACCACAGTGAGATACCATCTCACACCAGTTAGAATGGCGATCATTAAAAAGTCAGGAAACAACAGATGCTGGAGAGGATGTGGAGAAATAGGAACACTTTTGCACTGTTGGTGAGAGTTTAAATTAGTTTAACCATTGTGGTAGACAGTGTGGCGATTCCTCAAGGGCCTAGAACTAGAAATACCATTTGACCCAGCCATCCCATTACTGGGTATATACCCAAAGGATCAGATATTATGCTCCTATAGAGACACGTGCTCACGTATGTTAATTGCGGCACTATTCACAATAGCAAAGACTTGGAACCAATCCAAATGTCCATCAATGGTAGACTGGATTAAGAAAATGTGGCACATATACACCATGGAATACTATGCAGCCATAAAAAAGGATGAGTTCATGTCTTTCAGGGACATGGATGAAGTTGGAAACCATCATTCTCAGCAAACTATGACAAGGACAGAAAACCAAACACTGCATGTTCTCACTCATAGGTGGGAATCGAACAATGAGAACATGTAGACACAGGGCGGGGAACATCACACACTGGGGCCTGTTGGGGGGTGTGGGACTGGGGGAGGGATAGCATTAGGAGAAATACCTAATGTAAATGATGAGTTGATGGGTGCAGCAAACCACCATGGCACATGTATACCTATGTATCAAACCTGCATATTGTGCACATGTACCCTATAACTTAAAGTATAATAATAATAATAATAATAATAAAGCAAGTTTAGTCATGCTACTCCTCTGCCTAAACTCCTTTAGCAACTCCCTTTTGCCTTCAGGATAAAATCTAAGCTCCTTAACATGGTATATTGGTCTGTTCTCCCATTGCTAGAAAGAAATACTTGAGGCTGCATAATCTATAAAGAAAAGAGGTTTATTTGGCTCATGGTTCTGCAGGCTATACAGGAAGCATGATGCTGGCATCTGGTTGGCTTGTGGGGATGCCTCAGGAAACTTACAGTCTTGGTAGAAGGCAAAGGGGGAGTGAGATATCTCACATGGCAGGAGCAGGAGTAAGAGAAGGGGGAGGGAGGTGCCACACACTTAAATCTCATGAGAACTCACCCACTATCATGAGGACAGTACCAAAGGGACTGGTGCTAAACCATTCATAAGAAGCCACCTCTGTGATCTAGTCACCTCCCACCAAGTCCCACCTCCAACATTGTGAATTAGAATTTGACATGAGATTTGGGTGGGGACACAGATCCAAACCATATCCCATGGCTTATACAGCCTTGATATCTGGGGCCTGTTCATATCATTTCCCCACCATGCCTTTGGTTTCTCACATTTCCTATAGGTAAGAAGTCTGGCACAGCGTGGCTGGATTCTCTTCTCAGGGTTTCACCAGGCTAAAATCAGAGTATTGCCTTGGTATGTGCTCAGGGTCCTCTTTCAAGCTCATTGGTTGTTGGCAGGACTCAGATCCCTGTTTCCTTGACATGTGGCCCCCTTCATCTTTAAGTCGATAGTGACATGTGAAACACTTCTCATATCTCAAATTTCTCTGAGTTCCTCTTCCCTCACATTTCTGTGACTTTCTTGTCGGCACTGTAGCTCATGCAACTGCTTCAGCCCCACCTGCAATCCAAGATAATCTCCCTATTTTAAGGTCAGCTGACTAGTAACCATAATTACACCTGCCAAGTTCCTTTGACCATATAAGGTATTCATGGACATCACACTAGGGGGCAGAGGTCACAAGGATAAAAATTCGGCTTACCACAGTGCAGTACCCTCTGACTGAAATACTCTTTCTTGCCCTCACCTCCTGCTCCTGCAACTGCTAACTTCTACTTTATCTGTTAGGTCTCTGATTTATTTTTGCCCCTCTTTTCTCCCTCATTGTCAAGTTTGGGTTAGGACCTTCTCAGTGCTCACGTATTACTCTGTATTTCCCCATTGTAGCACTTGTCGCTCTGTGTGCTGATCTGTATCCTTTCTGGGGACTGCCAAGTCTTTTAGAAGCTATGTTTATCTGGGCACATTTGTGTTTTCTCTGCTTAACTGAGTGTCTGCCATACATACAGTTGATATCCAATAAAAAAACCGTTGAATCAATGAATTCTTTGTATCCATGAAAGATGGAAGCATGATAACTAATATAAAATTCCAAGACTGTTACCCAGAGGAAGAACTGAGAAGCCAGTTTTCACTCAATATATACAGATTATTATTATTATTTAAATGAACTGGCCTGCTTTTGTAAGGTGGTGTACTCATTACTGGATTTTTTTAGGTGTAAGCCCAGGGATTGGGTGTCAGGGATATTATTTGGAGGGCAAAGTACATGAGCTCTGTTTTGTGACTCATTCTTCATAAGGGTTGCTACAAGAGCAATGGAGATGAGCTCACTTGCATTACCATACCTGTGGCTCCCAGGAGGGACTCACATGCTGTCATTACCAGCAGTGCCCCTGTCTTTCGCTATGGAATTACCCTAGGAAAGTTGGTAATGGCCCAGAACCATTGTGTAATTAGCCAGCATGGCATGTGTGTGTGGGTACACAGGTACACACACACGCGCGTGCACACACACCTATTATAGAGGTTACTCTATTAATGACAGCTATGTAGGGGAGAAAGTTTTTAATGGACCAAATGTCTTTGTTCATATAGACCACACTTTTTGAGGTAATTGACTTCCTAGTACCTTGTGCCAGTTACTGAGTCATAACTGAGTGGCAAGATTGGTGTAGAATTACAAGTCTTTAACTGTGTAGAAGCAACATTAGAAGCAAAAATACTATTAAGATAAATCAGTAAGAGAAGGATTATAATGAAGTATTTAAGAATAGTCTTTTTGGTTTCAAACCCCCAGCTCTACTACTTACTAACTGTGTGGCCTTGGACAAGGTCCTTAAGTTTCTGTACCTCAGTTTCTCAAACTATAAAATGGAGATGATAATAATGGAACCTAACTTACAGAGTGATTGTGAGGACTAAATAGGCAAGATAGGAAAGCATATAGTGCCTAGGATATGATAAGCGTTGTGTAAGGGTTAGCTGCTGTTATTATTATCATTATTCATTCCACAGGCACATTAAGACCTCCAACCATGTGCAGAGTGTATGGCATATCCTAGGAATACAATAAATATTTTGGGGTAAATAAATAATGTGCTCATTTGTAATTTTGATTTATATTTGCTCTTTCAGATAAATACTGGAAATTGTCCCAATAACTTTATAAGCATAATATGAAGAAGTAAATAAGAAGAAGTTATTGTAGTCTTGTCTTGTATAGAGCTTGCTAGGGCAATCTGGAAAAATGTCTCCTGCTAGGACTTACCTTCTCTGTTCTTTATTAAAGCAAATGGATATTTTTAAAAGCCATTTGGTTTTTCTTTTTTTTAGAAAGCAAATTATAATCATGTGAAATTAGTACTTTGCTTATAGGTGTGTATTATTTTCATCGTAATAAAGTGAAATGTTCTTGCCACAAAACTGTTCTCTTCTGAATTGAGGTGAGATATTAACACTTTGTTTGTCTTTGTGAATAGGTTCATCCTAAGTTCCACTATAAACAGGCTCATGACTCGGGCACAGACACTTCTTGCGTGACTTTTTCCTATGATGGTAATGTCCTTGCCTCTCGTGGAGGTAGGTTAAAAGCTTTCTTTTTGATGTATTTCTCTATATAAAATAATCATCTTTAACAAATATGACAATAATATCCTAGTGCTTAGTAAAGCTTGCTTTGATTTTTGTTAATGCACCTTTGCCAGTCTGATTTCTTCATTAAAATACATTTCTAACTTTGCAACATTGTTTGTATTAAAAATTACCAAGTAAAATGTTTAAATATTTACTTTTTTTTGGCCTAAGTTTTTCATTTAGATTCAAATTCCATAAGAGTTTGAAGCCTCCACAAATGATCCTTGCTTCTGCCTTGGGAAGTTTATAGATGATCACCTATATTCTTTCTATACCATTTTATAATTCTGTGTCTGGTACTTCAAAGTCTTCTATTTGTTGCTTGACCATTGCTTTTTTTTCTCTGCCAGTTCAAATACTAACCCAATTTAGTTTTTTTAAAAAAGTCTATATCTAGATGAGATTTTTAAAAACAGTTCTATATGATCATATTGTAAGTTTACTTATCCACATTTGTATGGTTGGATATAGCTTCCTAATTTTTTTGCTAAATCTTTATCACATAGATAGGTTGTGTATTGGTAGAAGGAGATGGAGAATAGTGAAGGCAGCATTATGGGAGAGTATGGGACATAGCTGAAGATTTTCCTACAGACCTATTTGTGGGGAGAGAAAAGAAATAGCATGGTAAGTAGTTTGGAGCCATGTTACAGAGGGTCTTAAATATCACATAAGGAAAAGAAATACTAATAGCATGGTTAAGTAGATGGGAACTATGCTACAGAGGGCCTTTAGGCAGGTGAATCTAACAGTGCTATATTTAGCTATTCATTCAGTCACTCGACTACTGTATATTGAGCATCTACTATGAGCTAACATTATGCTAGGTGCTGGGTGTAAACCTTAAACATCATAGACAGAATCCTTTTCCTGAAAGACTTTACAACCCAGTGTATAGGATAGTGGAAATGAAGAGAGAGGCAAGAGATGTGGCACAGCTTTCCCCTCAATTTAACTAGTCCCTGTCCTTTTACCCTGGGGAACTCATTCAGATTCTCTTTAAGGAAACTTTACTGTTGTATCTAAACTACTCTCATTTGTATAACTTTAAAAAATCAAAGCACATGTACATGTAATTCTCTATTTATGATACACATGGCAAATGTGGATATGTATAAAATATGTATTTTGGTCCATCAATTCTAACCTGCTACTTGAGTTCAGAGATGATTCCCAATTAAAATTCTATATATTCTTTATTTAAAACAATGGTTCTCATCCCAGTAGTGTATCTGAATCCCCTGGGAAAGTTTTCAAATGATAATTGCTCCACTTAGGAATTCTTACATCCACTCTTGCATCTTTGGGATGGTATATCCAAGTCTCTGAGGTGGAGTTAGGGGAGAAGAGGGGAAAAAGGGAGAGTGTAGCTTGAAAATTCTTCACAGGTGATAAAATAGGTGAGCCCAAAATTACTCAACTGAGTAATTACCCAGTTGATATTTGCTCCCTTAGAAGTATAAAACTAAGTCTATTTCAGTCAAAGCCATTTTGGTGATAATTCTTACTTTCCTTTCCATCATACACACACACACACACACACACACACACAGTGTGTGTGTGTGTATATATATGTATGTGTGTATATATATATACACACACACACACACACACACACTAGCTTTTGGATAACTTAATTGGTCAATACCACATGTATGCTGTATTCCATCGTTTTCCTTCCTGGATGTATACAATATGGCAGATGGAAGTCTATTCAGCAAAGAATCCTCAGGGTGTTACAAGGTGCTTCTGCTAGCTGCATAACCCGCTGGATTAGATGGAATTAATACAGGTTAATGTTTTCTTATTGTTTGAAGATTGTGGAGATATGTAACCTTTTTTTAAAGACTAAAAGCAGGCCAGGTGCAGTGGCCCACACCTGTAATCCCAGCACTTTGGGAGGCCGAGGCAGGTGGATCACTTGAGGCCAGGAGTTTGAGACCAGCCTGGAAAACATGATGAAACCCTGTCTCTACGAAAAATACAAAAATTAGCTGGATGTAGTGGCGCATGTCTGTAGTCCCAGCTACTCGGGAGGCTGAGGCAGGAGAATCACTTGAACCTGGAGGCTGAGGTTACAGTGAGCTGAGATCATGCCACTGCACTCCAGCCTGAGTGACAGAGCAAGACTCTGTCTCAAAAAAAAACAAAAAACAAAAACAAAAACAAAAAAAAAAACAGACTAAAAGCAATAAAGTAACATTCCAAAGGTGAGCCTTACAAAGTTCTCCCAGTACAAGCAGGTCCTGAGTCCAGCCAATTGTGGATTAGTGCACCTGCCAAAAGTTGGGTTTCAGAGGAAGCTTCGCTGTAAAAATGGGGATTTTTACTGAACTCTTTACTCTCCTCACTTGCACCTGATTCTCATTCCTTATTGGACCCAAGGGGTTGAGGCAGGTCTCAGCTGTGGGCACTGGGGAGAAAGAACAGCGAAAACATTATGTATATAAGTTTGGCTTTTCTGTTCAGGAATTCGTCCTATAGAAATATTAAAAAGGGATTTTTAAAAATTTATTTTTAAGATACATATGGAATACTTCACAAATTTGCATGTCATGCTTGTGCAGGGGCTATGCTAATCTTCTCTGTATCGTTCCAGTCTTAGCATATGTGCTGCCAAAGCGAACACAAAAAGTGATTCCTTAAAAATACTCATTATTCTTTAAATAGCTTGGCAAAGCTGTACTCCCCAGCAAAGTGAAGAATGATAGCTGTAGGTAGAATTACACTGGAGAGAAGGGAATCACATGGCTCACCCTTATTAATGTTAATGGATAGCTTTACCCATACACCAGTGGGAAAAGGAATCTGTTGTGGATTGAACTGTTTTCAGTCCTGATAGTTGTTAAATTAAACTCTTCTCAAGAAGTAACGTATGCTCAAATACACCACGGGGGAACTACCATCTGCTCTAATATCATACTTCAGAGTAGATTCTCCAGGGTTCCTTCTAGCTTGCAGATGCTACATCTATCTGGAAAGTAATTTCCAGAAGCCCAATTCATTATCAAATAGCTTTCAACTGCTCTTGCGACTACCGCTTTTTAAGCTCTCTGAACGGTTAAAAAAGTAAAACATGCTTGTGTGAATCTAGCTTCTTTCTTCCTTTCTTTCTTCTCTCTTTCTCCCCTTCCCCTTCCCTTTCTTCTTTACAGTTATACATTAAGTTTAGCAGACTCTAAACTGGGAGCGAGTTCTTTTTGCACAATTCACTTTTCTGTCTTTTTTTTCCCCTCATTCCTCTGTCAGGTGACGATTCATTAAAATTATGGGACATCCGACAATTTAATAAACCACTTTTTTCAGCCTCGGGTCTTCCCACCATGTTCCCAATGTAAGTAGCATATTTTAAATATTTGATCAGCATAGAAGAATGGAAAAGAAGTACTTTTACTTTAATGTTAATTTATATCATACGTCTTTTAGATCTTCTGGAAAAGAGACTTGAGAGAGTGATCAAAATCTGTTTTTTGAAAAATATGTATTTTTTTTATTTTTCACATTCCTCAGACTTCAAGAACTTTTTTGAAGTTAAAATTATGTATTTGATTTATTCATGTGTTTGTGTGTATTGTATGCACGCACAAGTCTTGGAGTATTAAAATATATTTTAAGAGATTCAGTTGTTCTTTTAATATTGTATAAATGACAAGGTAGGCCTTTTAAAATTTGTGGTTTTTAAAAATTTGAGCTCTAGTCAGCCAGGCATGGTGGCTCATGCCTGTAATCCCAGCACTTTGGGAGGCCGAGGCGGGCAGATCACGAGGTCAGGAGATTAAGACCATCCTGGCTAACAACGGTGAAACCCCGTCTCTACTAAAAATACAAAAAATTAGCCGTGGTGGCGGGTGCCTGTAGTCCCAGCTACTCGGGAGGCTGAGGCAGGAGAATGGTGTGAACCTGGGAGGCGGAGCTTACAGTGAGCCAAGATTGCGCCACTGCACTCCAGCCTGGGGGACAGAGCCAGACTCCATCTCAAAAAAAAAAAAAAAAAAAAATTGAGCTCTAATACCTTCAAGGCAGTTTTTAATATTACTGAGCATTTATAGTACAGCTTATTTTCTCATTTTTTAAATCATTCAAATCAATAATTCAGCATCCTTCACTTGTTCAGACTGTCTTGCTGTGGGTAGCTGAACGCTGTTATCTCCAATCTACTAAATTGGCACCTGAAACTTTTAAAGGTTTTTTTGAAGCAGCTGAGGCAAAACTTGACCTCTAAGTCCTATAGTTGGTGCTTAGGCAAATTGTTCTATTTTGGTAGAAATGAAATAATGGTCAACAGAGAAGAGCATGAAGATAATGGAAGTGTCAAGGGAAGGAAGCTGTATGAAAGCTGTATGATAATGCAGTACTAACTCTAACATGTCTGCTGCCCATGGCATTTTATGTTAAAACGAACAAACATGAGTTTATAGCTGATGATAATTTTTTGAGCTATTATACCTGCTACAAGTAATGCTAACTATATAACTTCTGATGGTAATTTTTTGAGCTATTATACCTGCTGCAAGTAATGCTAACTATATAACTTCTTTGGGTCATGTCTTAGATTAGTCACAATCAGATGGCCAGACTGCTAACAACAAAAGCCTTGGAATCATAGCCATCAATTAGGTTCCAGCAATGCAACCTGTGGCTCATTTCATGGTGCTCAACTTGATATAACTCAAATTATTTGGGGGTGATGGTAGTGGTGTTAGTGAAAATAGTTTTTAAAATGGCCAAAATAATCATTACTTAGACATTAGTCAAATATATATCTGTCCGTAGACACTCTTAATGTCTATATTGAGTCTTTTTATACTTCCTTTACATTAAAAAAATTACAATGTAGAAGTTAAAAAGCACAGATTCTGGAGTCTGACTGCCTAAGTTTGAATCCCAGCTGTGCTACTTACTTTTGTTGCCGTGTGCAAGGTGTAATTAAATTATTTTCTTCAGTTCCCTCATCAGTAAAATGTGGATAATAACTACCACATAGGATTATTGTGACGATTAAACAAATTAATATAAGTGCTTGACTCATAAGCCCTATATAGGAGTTACAGAGATGTTTATATTTTATTTAATTCACTAATGATTGCTGGACTGTTGTGGAGGTCATAAGCTTATACTCGTAAACTCTTTTTTTCTGTAGGACTGACTGCTGTTTCAGTCCAGATGATAAGCTCATAGTCACTGGTACATCTATTCAAAGAGGATGTGGCAGCGGCAAACTTGTTTTCTTTGAGCGTAGGACTTTCCAAAGGGTGTATGAAATAGACATCACAGATGCGGTACGTATATTCTTTTCTCCTCAGCCTTGAGAATACATAAAGTTTGCCTCTTACCCATCTTTTGGTTTTGTTTGTTAAGTAGAATATAAGCCCTGGCCCTTAGAGCACGGTGATAGCTGCTTTTCACTCTAGCGTAGGAGTTATCAGTATGTTGTGGATGGCTGAGCTACCCTATCCCTTTCCACAACCCAATATTTCCTATGGACCTACACTTTAGTAGGAATTTCAGCTGGGTTTCCCTCTCTGCCAAACAAATTGAGGAGTGAGGAAGATGATCATCATGTAGGATACAGAAAGGAGCATCCCACAATGGGCATGTTTGTGAGGATCTAGGGATTGTCGACAGAAGTGAAAGATTAATAAGTGACGAAGTTTAACATTGTTCCCGAAACCATGAAAACTTTGACAGAACTCTGCTTGTGTGGGTTGTAGTCATTAAAGTCAGGCTCAGCTTGCGCTGAACTTAATTGCTATTTAATTATTTGGAAGTTTAAAGCATTTCAGATTTAACTTCAACACCTTAAAAAAACACATTAGTTTTCTTTACAGATTTATATGAACACTAAAACACCAGCATTCACTGATGCATTCATTCATTTGTTCATGTCCTGAGACTGAGACTGGAGCCACATGTAATACAATAAGAATGAAAATTCCCAGAGGAAAATTTGAATTCCTTTAAGCTGTATATTATTATTTACATGGTAAAGCAAATCATTGTAATTTTCTGAGTATGAAACAGGCCAATTAATGTCTGTGTAAATTTTCTTTGGCTCATTGTCAAATCTTTTAGTAATATCCTATATCTTAAACAGTGCTCTTATGTAGGTTTTTCCAGTTGTTTCAGCTCTTTGTAAACAGTTGAGACATATTATGCACTTACGTGACTCAGACAATTGAACAACTGTTTTTAAATTACCAGCAAAAAACTCCTGTCTCTAATGTTCTAGTATTACTATGAAGTCTTAATTTGCGGGTTCTGAATGTAAAACCACGGTATAGAGTATTATAGGAAAAGTGAAATAAAAATGAGATTAATTCTAGATGAGTACTTATGTTTAATAGATTCTAATCTCATGACGTAATTTGAAATGTGCCAGCACTCACAGTGCTTTTTCTGGGTGCATTAGGAGCCAACTAAAACACTAGAATCAAAGAAAACAATTGAATCTATCAACTTTCATCTCAGAAAGTAAAATTATTGTAATTGGTTGTTCCAGAAATAAGCTGTGTTCTACTATGCCTCTAAATGACTATACATTTCAGTATCACACTTGATGTATTTTTAAATTGTAGCTTAAGTTGAACTGTAAATAAATTAAGGGATGTAGACATATGATTGCACTTTTAAAGACATGCTGGGCTTCTGTAGTTTATAGGAAGAACATACTGTTTGCTGGAAAAATCAGTGTCTCATAATGTGATACATTTTTGTTCTCTGTGTTACTTTTATAGGTAGATCTTTTTCTCCGTGGTACTTACCACTGCCTCATATATTGTATATTTGTTTGGTTTCGTCTGTCTTCTTCTACCAGGATGTAAGTCACACAGGGCGGAAACTTTTTGTTCACTGCAGTATCCTCGATGCTTTCAACAGTGCCTGGCACATAAATAGCTCTTAATATTAATTGAATGAGTGAGAGATATACTTGGGAAGTGCAAGTAAGGCATATTGTAGATCATGTGTAAATCTTCGGTTAGGTGTGTCTTTGGAGAGTGAGGCAGGAGAGAGATATCTAGAGTTAGAAAGGTAAAACTGGTCTTGTATACAATTAGAAGATGACTATCTTGTGTCTTTTTTTTTTTTTTAAAGCAGAGGAAGACACATTCAGATCTAAGTTTTGAAATGGTTAATTCTTGTTGAAATACAAGGTTTAGTTATATAAGATTTGGTGAGTCTGTGTAGATGAAGCCAGAAATTTATAATTTGGGAGACTGGGTGAATGTTCATTGACGTAAAAATACATAGAGATAAAATAAAGCAGATTTTGGAAGAAAGACAGTGAATTCTGTTCTTGATATGTTGAGCTTGAAATACCTATAGGACTTCTGTGTAGAGATACTCAGTATGCAGATGGTTTAATAAGTTTGGTGCATAAGAGAAAGAAGAGACAGTTTTGGTAAAAACATTTATAGTGCATAGTTGAAATGTTGATTGCTGATGAGTTTGATTAAGGTAAGGGAATAAAGGATAGAAAAATGAGCCCTAAGAAATGTCATCATTTAAGAGACGAGCAAATGAAACTAAGAAAGGAGAAATTTCATTAAATAAATAGAACATACAATATTGAATCATCTGAGAAAAGCTGGAAGACAAATTATGAGATCCATTGTAATAGATGGATGAAGAGAGAACTTCAAATAGGAACAAAACCACACACCCCAAAGAGTCCTATTAAATTGTTGATTTAGTGAGGGTGAAGGCTTGTTGTTATTGTTAACATCAAACAGCATCATTTTTCTGTTTATATATTAGAATGCTATGTTAAATAAATGGGGCTTTTAACAGTCCGTTTGACCTATTGTCCCAAGTTTTACGTCTTCTTGGAATGTAAAAAAAAAAAAATACATTTCTTGGAATGAATAAAAGGTGGACACTTTGCTAGAAGAGCCAAAAGACACCTCTTTTATAATTTTGTGTTGGAAATACCACACTCCAAGGTAGTAAGGAACTTAACTGTGTTGAGTTTTAATTTGCATAAAAGGCAGCATCTCAGATTCTTAATATCAGCAGTTAGTAGTGTACTTGTTTGACTAAGGCACAGACAGTGATGGCATTATGTCTATCCTAGATGTGTTCATTTACTGGACACATATAATTGGTTACGCTCTTCCCACGCCCTCTTCTAAAACAGAATAAACCCCTACATGCTTATATTCTAGGACACCAGGCTCAGTATACATATGTGGAGCCAAACATTGTTTTCAGTCAGAAGATGTTAACAATCTATGCAGTTATTCCTTTTAACTAAAAACTATCTTCACAAAAACATAGCTTCTTAAAAATATAGCAAGGGCATTTTCTATAATTATTTTTGAAACAAAGTTTTTTAAAAACCCAAAACTTGTTTTAATTCTGTTCTCTGCATTGTCATATTCTTTGAAAAATTTCCTTTCTCTGTTCATTGTAGATTCTCAAGTCTGTTTGCTAGGAGATGGTGTATGTTTCTTTAACATTTGCTATTTCACCATACGATGTTTGCACGCATTTTACAATTCTGCTAAAATTTTTAGACATTCCCTTGTAGTCTAATTGCATTTCCTCAAATTATACACTGAAATGATTTGTTTATGTCCCCACCCAAATCTCATCTTGAATTGTAGCTCCTCATATGTTGTGGGAAGGACCTGGTGGGATGTATTTGAATCATGGGGGCGGGTCTTTTCCGTGCTGTTCTTGTGATAGTGAATACGTCTCATGAGATCTGATGGTTTTATAAATGGGAGTTCCCCTGCACCTGCTCTCTTGCCTGCCACCATGTAAGACGTGCCTTTGCCCCTCCTTCACCTTCCACCATGATTGTAAGGCCTCCCCAGCCATGTGGAACTGCGAGTCAATTAAACCTCTTTCCTTTATAAATATCTCAGTCTAGGGTATATGTTTATTAGCAGTGTGAGAACAGAGTAATACACACACACACACACACACACGCACACAGACTCACACTCACACTCTCTCTCTCTCTCCCCTCATTTGTTATCTAATTCTTTGTGATTTGAATAGTATGCTTGGCCTCTTTTCTAAGATGAATTCCAGAATATAACTTGAATCTTGAGTTTACAAATTCACTTTTGTTTTTTTTTGTAAGACAGCAGTTTATGCTTTTTATGTATTATGTAAAGGGCTTCCATTACTCTGTTTTATACAATAAAAGCACAGGAAAGAAAGAATGGATAAAATACAACTTGGTGATGACATGTCAATTTTTAAAGTTAATTTTATTTAGATGAAATTATTAAATTTTAAGCTTTTCTTAAGAGCCAGTATTTAGGGAAATGTTCTGAAATAACAATATTATTAGCTTGGTAGTTTTTCAACAAATGATAATTTATTGTGAAATGACTAATAGAATTTTCTTTTTAACTAGTATGAACCAAGGGACATGGTTTATGCAATTGTACCAGTATATTACCATTTATATTTTTTAACTTAAGCATGGTTAATCAGGTTGTTTTAACCTGATATTGTTTCATGGTCTCTGTACCTCATTCACTTTTGGCAATAATTTCAGAGATAGCAGGCATTCCCATGGGTAAAGAGGGAAAAGGAGGAAAGGAAAAAAGCCAGAAATTTTACACCTGAGCCTAACTTCTTTTCTAATTTATTTGTTTGCTTAGGTACTTTGGTGAGAGACCTCTAGTTTTGTAAATACTGGCTGAACAAAATGAGGATAAGAAAGAATTAAAAAACTAAACCTTTATTTTTGAAAACACTGCTATAACATCTAGCATAACCTAGCATATAGCCTCTGAAGCAACAGAAAAGGAAATATGCTTTGATATTTTCAACTAGTATGCCTTGGACATTTTAAAGTTGATTGAAAAGGCCTGGCATGGCGGCTTATGCCTGTAATCCCAGCACTTTGGGAGGCCAAGGCAGGTGGATCACCTGAGGTCAGGAGTTCAAGACCAGCCTGTCCAACATGATGAACCTTGTCTCTACTAAAACTACAAAAATCAGCCAGGTGTGGTGGTAGGAGTCTGTAATCCCAGCTACTCCATAGGCTGAGGCAGGAGAATAGCTTGAACCTGGGAGGCAGAGGTTGCGGTGAGCTGAGATGGCGCCACTGCACTCCAGCCTGGGCGACAGGGTGAGACTCTGTCTCAAAAAAAGAAAAAAAAAAAAAAAAAAAAAAAAAAAATATATATATATATATATATATATATATATATATATATATATATAGTTGATTGAAAATCTTAATATTAACATAAGAAATATGATAGTAAAGGTATTTTAAGGAAGAAAAAACCTCATTTTTGATTTCTAGATAATATTTGATTTTCTTTGGGACGTTTTTTAAATAGTAAAGAACAAGGATTATCTTATATTTTTACTTCCTTCTATCATGGCTTGTTTTTCAGAATATCCCTTTCCTGTGAGAAATGAAATGTATAATATGCATACCTCATTCATGTTCTCTAAAAAAGAAAACTGAAAATATTAAGTATCTGGTGTGTTCTGTCAGTTTGAAGTATTATGATGATCATTGTTTTCAAGAGGCTAACTCTACAGTTTGAGAAAGTATATATTGTGGAAATGAAAGTGCTAACATTTTCAAGTTGATTGAAAAGGCCTGGTGTGGTATAAATGTTATATATAACATATAAAATTATACATAACATTGTATATGTTATATATAATTACATGTTACACATGTAACATAATTATACATAACATAAATTTAAAAAGTATATTCTGGAAATGAATGTGTTAGCACTTTTCATTTCACAAAAAAGTTTTTGTGTTCTTATTAAGAGAGAATATTGATGTTTTAATTCAGAGAGATTGAAGAGGAAGACTAAATGGATAAAAAGGGCCATGAAATAATAGACCCTTTATGAACCTAGCTATTTATCTTAATTTATAATGTGTAAGGGACATACGGCCATTCAGACTATAGTCAGCCTCCATTATTTGTACTTAGGGAGGGAAGCAGAAAGGTAATTCAAATTAATGGATATTCCACAAGTCCTCAGAAATGGCTTTGGAATGTATCTTTGTTCTTACATTTGAATGTAGATATAGCCGATCTGGGAATTCACTTCAAACAAATTAATGATACTATGCCTGTGAAAGTTTGATTCTGAAGGAGTTGAGGAACTCATCTGTTCTTTCATTTCATACTGGGAATAGAGTAATTATCTGTTTTACTGATATAAAGTCCCAACTCAGGCAGAATGGCACCTCCTTCTAAGTTTCTAGAAATAAAGGAGTCAAGCATTGTCTTTGCCCAGAGTCATACAAGGAGTAGCATTACACAGGGAGAACTTGAGCTATCAGCACTGCAAATGCTAACTGAAAATAAACTTGAAAGACTACATTTGGCATTTGTCTGCCTTCTAAAATATAGTGAAACCTCCTTAATGTGAAACACAAGGAGATGGAAAAAATGGGCTTTGAATTAACCAGCTTTCCATTATCTGATTTTTATTATGGAGCAATCAGGCAGCTGGTTGACTAGGGAATAGCATTTGCTTTGAATTATGTATTATTTTGAATAACATGATATCAGCTTAATGAAATTTTACTGTAATTCACTTTTTTTAGGAGGATTAAACAATGCATATCCTAGAGGGAGCCTGAGTAACATATTTGTATTTAATAAAAATATTATATTTGCCCACAGCCAAGTGATAGGACAGTATACCTAACATAGGTGTGTGGAGCACTTGCTCACTGAGAACAGAAAGGTGGAGTTTCAGAGCACTGGTTGTTTCTTGGTCTTCCAAGATGTATGAATATTTGATAGGAAAACTGGGAGCAAGTAGAAAATGATGGAGTTTTAGTGTAAATTTGCCAGTACATGTTTCTTTCTCTGCCCCTATCTTTTTTCCAGGGTCAAGAGCCAACTTCTAGCATGGCTTATTAGGACAATGTTTTACTGTCAAGAAGTGCAGTGGTCACTCAGTACTGCTATCTCTAGGAGTATTTTCTTTAATCACTGAAGAAAAGAGATGCCAGTGGAATATGGTGAAAAACAATGTTGCATTTTTGCTGCCTTCATAATTTGGACTACAAGACCACCTTGAAAAACTTAAATCTTTTTGGGGAATTTCCTAAAGCAAGCAGCATACACATATAATTTAAATGGGAATTTGAATTCAGCTGGGCTCACCTACTAAGCCAGCATCAATAAGACTTGATTAAATTACTTCTTGGTTCTCATTCACCTAGAGGTATCATATTATGAAGGTTCCAGAGCAGTTGTTCTTCAGATTTGAAGAATACAGTTGAATGTTTATTTGTAGGCACATGAGAGTAAAGAGGAAAGATACCTCAGATTTCTTGGTGGTTTAACTGTTAATATCTACGATATCAAATCTTAACATGTTTTTAGTTAGGGAAGATGACAGGAACTAGTTTAGTGCTGATTCCTTTTTATTATTTTAAAAAATTATGATACTGTAAAATTGATCTTTTTAAGAAAGCATACGGTTCTGTGGTTTTTAACACATGTATGGATTCATGTAATCACTATCAACACAATCAGTATACAGAAGAGTACCCCCTAAAAACTCCTTTTTGCTATCCCTCTATAGTCACACACACACCCCCTCTTCCACCCCCAACTCCTAAGCCCTGGCATTCACTGATGTGTTCTCCATAATTATTGTGTTGTGGTTTCAAGAATGTCATATAAATCAGCGGTCCCCAACTTTTTTGGCACCAGGGACTGGTTTCGTGGAAGACAATATTTCCACAGACAGGGCCAGGATTAGGGTGAGGCAAGTGAGATGCTTTCCTCAATCACAAAGTTTACAGGGACACTAAGACACTTAGTAATCAAGATAAGTAACATTTTAATGCAACAATATAAAAAATGCAAAAAATCTATGGTGAATAAAATACCAAATTTTAAAATAAAAATGGGATCAGTAACAGTGCTGTGCCAAGCTGTATTACAGCCTAAGGCAAAAGGAAAACTCAGTTGGACTGATCCCGTCTTTATTTAAAATGTTGATGTTTTGTTTGCCATAGATTTTTTGTTTTTATTTATTTATTATTATTATTATTGGTGGAGGCTAGAGTTGGGGAAATGGTAACTCACTTCTGCTTGACTGATACTTTGAATTATGGACTTCTTCCCAAATCCACCTACTACTGTTTACTTTTCAGAGTCCTCAGATAGGTCTCTGAAAAGTATGTAGGTCTCTGAAAAACCCTATGCCTTCTGTCCTGGTTTTTAAACAACATTCAGAGGGAGAGACTGAATGGAGTATGTTTCTACTGTCTACAATGGTGATGGAAAAAACAAAATGAAACAGTACAGATTATAGCAAATGTGCTTAGGAGGAAGCTTCTAAGTTAGCTGCACATTTGGAGGGACATTCATATGGTAGGAAATAAAATAATGTCATTGCTCCTAGAATGAGTCACCCCTCTTACTTGGGCAGTATGTTCCCTTGACATAACTGTGCCACAAGGCAGAGCTACTGGCTTTTGCTTAATTAGCTGCCATTGGTATTAAGCATACTTGGCCCAGTTTCTCAATATTATTTTCCAGAGCTCATTCCTCTTGCCTACCTGCACACTACGACGTAACTCTCCTGTATAAAAATTAGACTTAACAGATTTTACAACTTCCCTAAAGAGTTCATTTCTGTGTATGAAATCCCTTACCGTCAGATCATTTTTTTCTTTATTTTTAGCCTCACATTCTCATGTTTAGAGCCTACATCCTTTGCTCTGGTCCTCATGGAGTTGGAGAACAGCTGGTTAACATCCTCTGTTTCCTTGAAGATTATAAAGTTACTGTTCAGTCTTGTCTTTGTCTGAGGGAACCAAACTTAGTCTTTTGTTCTTTTTGTTTGTTAACATTTCCTTGTGGATCTTGTTTTCTCCACACCTCTGTTGTCTTTGATACTCTCTTCTCAGCCATTTCTAAACTCTCCAGTGACCAAATTGGAGTAAGGGTCTCCTCAGGGCTGATGGTGTCATGTGGGTGGTAAGGGCATCATCATATTACTAATGTTTATTAATGTAATACATGGCACATAGTAGATGCTTGGTGAAAATGTATTTATTAATTTTGCTTTACCTTTTATTACATTTTATTCTATTATATTCTTGTTGGGACTAACTGTAATGGCCTATTCCTTACCACCTTCTCAAGTTTTTATTTTTTGGTTAATAGTTTTTAAAAATCAATTTGGAATTTCAGTGCATATATTTTTTCTTTTTTTTTTTTTTTTTTTTCTTGAGACGGAGTCTCACTCGGTCACACAGGCTGGAGTGCAGTGGCACGATCTCGGCTTACTGCAACCTCTGCCACCTGGATTCAAGCAATTCTCCTGCCTCAGCCTTCTGAGTAGCTGGGATTACAGGCACCTGCCACCGCACCTGGCTAATTTTTGTAGTTTTAGTAGAGACGGAGTTTCACCATGTTGGCCAGGCTGGTCTTGAACTCCTGACCTTGTGATCCACCCGCCTCGGCCTCCCAAAGTGTTGGGATTACAGGCGAGAGCCACCGCACCCGGCCACATTTTCTTTTAGGATTGATAAAAGAAGTATACATTTATTTTAATTGTCTACTACTTTAAAACTTTAGATGATCCTTTTTTCAGATTCATTGCAAATAGCCAGGTTTTGGGTTCATTAGAGGAAACACAGATTTACTGCAGATGCTTAAAATACTGGTAATTTAAACTCTAGTGAATATAATTTGTTTTGGTTGTTACACTGTTAATGAATATGATATGTTTCCTGGATCTATTTTGTAAAATATACTCTGTGCTTTGAAGCAAAAGTTATTTGTTTGAATTTGACACTTTATTTTATCAGAAGTCTAATCATTACTCTTCATTAGAATAGGGGACAAATACTGATGTGATATAGTACTTATCACTTTGTTTTTCTCATCTTTATTATCTCTTTAAAAAAAAACTTTTTAATTTTATTTTTATTTTTTGAAACATAGTCTTTCTCTGTTGCCTAGGCTGGAGTGCAGTGGTGTGATCTCAGCTCACTGCAACCTCCACCTCCTGGGTTCGAGTGATTCTTGTGCCTCAGCCTCTCTAATAGCTGGGATTACAAGCGTGCACTACCATGCCCAGCTAATTTTTTTTTTCTTAGTAGAAACAGGGTTTCACCACGTTGGCCAGGCTGGTCTCCAACCCCCAATCTCAGGTGATCTACCCAGCTCAGTCTCCCAAGGCGATGAGTGAGCCATCGCGCCTGGCCTCATTCTCTCTTAAAATAATAACTTTATAAATTTTTTGTAACTAGCAGATTCTTGATTCAGATGCAGTTTTTTAGATTCTCTATTCTATGTTCTCTTCTTTGAAATAACGTTTACTGTAGGAATCCAGATTCAAACCCTGCAGTGAAGTGTCTTTTCCTATGACCACCTATTTAACAGTGATCTCATTTGGGAAGTTACAGGGTGAGATGAAGGGCCAATCACGTGCTGCCTTAGACTTCGCGAGCAAAAGAATGAGGATCAAAAGGAGGGCTTATCCAGTTTAATAGTTTATCCATTTCCTAGTATCATTTAACCCCATTACAAGCTATATTAAAAAACATCCACTCCTTAGTAGTGCCAGCATTTGCAAATGAAGATTTTTCTGCTTCTATTTCTAGTCCTTTGAAACAATAGAAATAGTCAGTGTATCCCTTTTGATTAAACAGGAACTTTTTTCCCCTTCTCTACACAAAAGTTTGATATTTTATTTAATAAATATTTAAATTTATTTAATAGGTATTTAAACTTGTGTAGACATGATTGCCATGAATGGCAAAGCTAGATAAGGAATCAGCCACTAGGTAGTACTTAATTTTATTATTATAATGTTATATTTACTTATTATTATTAGGTAATACTTATTCACTAGGGAGAAACATACTTCCTCTATAAAATATAAAAAAAGAGAACTTGATTTGTAGATGTTTAAAAATGTTCAGAATGATACTATTCTTTTCATAATGTGTAAACAAATAATACAGTAATGACTAGAGCTCCATTGTCTAACCCTAGCACCGTATCACATCCCACTGATGGACCAAGTGAAGGACTTTATGTCTTGTAGGATTTTCTGACAGTTTTTCTCCCTCAGCCTGAATCTGATGAATGATCTTTGGTAACAAGTTTTCCAGCTGTTCTATCAGAATTCTGGCCAAACTTTCACAATTATATATAGTGTGGGGAAGAACAAGTTCTATAATTAAAATGCATCCCGGGATAGTATTTTTCCTTTTTGGAAATGATAGATAGTGGTCTTGTAGGAGGATGGGTTGTGAGACCCCCAAAGGACTGAATAAAAGAGTATGATATTTAAAACATCTTTACCTGTACTATAGTAAGATAAATAATATTTTACATATCCTGCGTAGTTCGTCTATACAGGAAGATTCAGCTTTTCCTGTGTTTTCTTGGTTTTACATACTTAATGATTTCCAAGATCTGATTACATATATTTCTTATCTAGCAGTTAGAGATTTAAAAAGTTTCATGCATTACTGTTTTATTTATATAAACATAGGATTGATGGTCATTATCTTTATGCCTATCTCTGTTGATAAATGAAGAAATGTAAAGGAGCCCAGGTCTGTGTAGACCAAACATAGAAAAACCAGGTGGAGTTGGGTTTACACTGTGGGTCTTAAATGAAGAGAAATAGCCATATAGTGCTTCCCATGCCTTCTCACAACCTGGTCTCCATAATAAATGATAATATGTCATATAAACAGATAAGGCTCCTCTTCTCTAGAAATGACTAGCCCCAGTGCCCCAGGCTCCTCTTAGGCATGAGGGGCTCCATATCTTGATACACCTACCATATCTTGGTATCCCATTCTGTGCCCACCAGTGGGAAGCTCTGCTGCATCTAAGTGGATCCCATGAGGTGGGACCTCTGGGGTCATTTGCCTTGCAGGACGACCACCCACCTGGGTCACTCACCCTGTGGACTCCTGTTCCCAGTCTCCTGTTTGTTTCCTACTCACAGACTATCATTAATAAGAATAATTACCAGACTTTCTTCAGTCTTTACTTATGCCTTCTTTGCCTTCACAAATTCTTCTCAAGTAACAGGGTTGGAGCAAACTTTTACTGTTTTGAATTAGATGAACAAAATTGTATTTAATTTTACTTCCCAAGAGACCTTCCATTTTCTCTGAGAACTTTTTCTCATGATGAAATTCTTTAAGCAGGTTTATTATCAGATACAGATGGGATTCATTTAGTGCCAAGGATGACTACCAGGTTCCAGATTTTTGCTGCTTTAGTGGTTACCTTTATTTTATAGCACAGACTGTAAATGAGTTATTTTAGTAAAAGCATTTTCCATGAGTTTTCTGGGAATTAATTTGATAATTAGATGCCAGTTTTTAAAATGCATAATATATGCATCTGTATCAAATGTGTATGACAGGTGCAAAGCAACACTTTCCCTTACTTGGTTTTTCTGCAGCAGCCCCCACATTTATGAAAGTACTATGGCATTTTTTCTTTTCACCATTGCACTCCTATCTGGCCTATTAGAGAATTTTTCAGGATAGGGAAGGGAGAAGATTGAGAAGATTTCTGGCAAAAAAAAAAAAAAAAAAAAGACAGTTGCCACAAGTCTGGCCCATGGTAGAATTTCCTTGGAACTGGAGGAATGTGGAGGAGGGGAAAAGGAGAGGCATATGCTCACTTAGCAAGATGTGTAGAGAAAATGTCTGCCTTTAAACTTTTCCATTGAGGGGATATCTGTAGAGATCAGGAGGTGGTGATGAGTCTTAGTTATTGGAGACTGGGGCTTACTCACCATGTTTGCTTCCTGAACTTCAGAGGGATGAAGCCAAGTCTTGTGGCCCATGCATGTGGCAAGGCCATCCCAAGTTTGAGAAAAGCAAGGCTTTGGGAGAGAGTGGAGGGAACAAAGACAGGACAAATAGCCTGGAAAAGTTGAAACAATTCCCATTTTACTCTCATACTTCCCTGGCCCAATATTTTAATATAGAAAACAGTTTTTCTTTCTCTGTGAAGAATATCTTGGGCTTGTGGAAGTCTGAAGAAAGTTCTTTCTCCAGTATTTTTTTTGTTTTTATCTGTTTTCTTTTTATTTGTTTTGGGTTCACATCTTGATCTTCTTTCTTAGTGTCTGGAATCTGCACACACAAACACACACACACGCACACACACACACCCATTCAAATGTGTTGGATAGTCCCAAGGATGTCTGTAACTCTAAGACTGCCTCTATACAAGTCTGCAAAATTGTGTAACAGACTCCTTCACGGACAGGTGTCAGGCTTTTCATTTGAAAATTGTGAAAAATGCTTGTTCAGGGAATCACTGCATTAGCTTATCCATTCTTGTACTATATGACAAAAACCAAACGTGAAAAAACCAGATGGAGTTTGGTTTACAGTATGGGTCAGCAGCTGTGGAGGATCCGGAAATGGAGTTTCAACATAATCATGTTTAAGGTATAAAGTTATGAAGGCTGTTGGCTTTCTTTTAGCATGTAGAATAAGGGCGTTGTTTAGATATGTGCATTGCAGATCCCTAAGATGTTACGCAGGCATTGATTTCTTTTATAGTAACATTTGTGAACTGGGAACTAGTGGGCTTTTTAAAAAAATGATTTTAGTAATAACTCCTTTTTAATACAAACTTGCTAAGGTTTCTACTGGGTTAGGTGGGTTTGGATATGATTAAATGTCAGCTACCTTCTTTCTGCCCCATCTTTCCAAATAGGGCTTTGCATGGTTAAGTAGTAAGGGAATGAACAGTGGAGTTGGAGAAACCTGCTTATTGACCCAGCTCCTCTATGTGCGAGTTATTATGTGACCTTGGGAAAGTTACCACTCTCTACAGCCTCAGTTTCTTCATCTGTGAGATGGGATGAGATTATTAATTTTGTAGTATTTGTGAGGACTCAATTATATTAAATAATATAAAGTTCCAGTACCTAATAATTCCCTTTCTACCATGTCCTAAAATGTAAATCATTTCTCTCTTTGGTTTCCTTCTCCTCCTCCCCTTATTTGCTTCCCTGGTTCCTCTAAAAGTAAACAAAATAACCACAGAAATAAATTATTTGGAAATTTTTGTGGTCTTTTCACTTTTGCTAAGGGGTAATTCCAAAATTCCTATTTTGGAATTTTGACACTGCTAGCTCGACATCGTGCTCTCTTTCTCCCCGGCCTACCCCTCTCTTTTTTCTTTGGTCTCTGCAGAGAAGAAAAAAATCTCTCTGTTGAGCACATTAAGGTCTTGTAACTCCTTCTAGTCATGCTTATGGTCTCCTATTCCAGTTCTTGTCTCTTATTTTTGGGCAAATTTGTGGTTACCCTCCACTACCAAATTAAAGGGTTAAAATGAAAATGGGCTTTGGTTTAAAAGAATAAGCTTCATTTTGTGCTGAAATGTAAAGTTCAACTTTGGCAGCTAGAGGAAGCCATTAGTGAACCCACATGTTTTAGGAAATGAAGTAGATTAGTGTAAGAATAAAACACTTTGTCAATTTAATTAAGCAAATAAGTTTATTAAAATATGCAGACTAATTTCAGAACCTAGTTCTTTGCACTGCAGTGGCCTTCTGCCATTGGAATCTCATGATATAATGTGAGGGCTTTCTCTTTGATTCTGTAGATCTCATGTCTTGATGTTCCTTCCTGGTTCTCTGGTCCTTTTATTCAAATGTGCTCTCTATGCTTTATTTGCTGCATTTCTCAGTGACTCCTTAGGTCTGAATGTGTCACGCTCCCAGTAAAGAAGCACTTCTTCAAGAACAGGATGAAGAAAGTTTGGGGTGGTTGGTTGATCGAGGGATTGTACTCTTTCTAAGTATTTATAGCTCATCTGTCTTCTGATGTTGGTTCCTTAGGCTTCTAGCAGGCACGTGTCGCATTGTTGTTAAGCAAAGCCGGTATGTATGTTTGACAAGTTAGCAGCGTGGCAGCTCAGCTTGCTTCCCAGCCCTGCCGCAGTCTCAGGGATTGTTTGGTTTGGCAGGTAGCCAGCTCTCTGCTATAAGATGCATTTCCTTGACAGGATAAAATGTGGAGCCGCATTAGCTGCAAAGTTTACAAAGGTTAGCTAAACACACACAATAAATATTAATAAACAAAAAAGGCCCACCCACCTTTGGCTTTAAATTTTGTTTCTTCATTTCGTGTTTTAGAATCCTTGTAGTATTTGATTAATAACTGGTCTTAGGGTAATTGAGCCTTAAGTATCCTCTGCCTAAATCAGATTGCTCACTGGCCTCTCATTTGCTGCTTAGTGACTCATTGCCACAGTGCATGGGGCTCTGGAATGACTGTTTAGTTTAAGGGGTCTTATTTGCCTCTCCCTGTTTCGGCATGAAAGGAGGGTAAATATGCTTCTCTGTAAGAACATATACTAATCAGCTATATGTGTGTGTAAAGGCTCTGGAGGGTACAGGATGTGAACAGGAATAGAGGTGAGGTGTCCTTGGACTCCCTGGAAAGCAATTGGACCTTGGTCTGTTGGCTTGGGCAGTTGCCTCTCTCTAACATTTACACCCTCAGTGAAGAGGGAGAGAGTAACAGTAACCTGCTGCCCCTGGAAACTGCCTGTTTGGCTGGATGTCTTGGAATTTATCAGGCCTACATTGTGGATCTTTTCCAATTCTGCACCCTGCTCACTTGAAAACATATTTGAGAACTAGTAATCTTAGACTGCTGAGCCAGACCTCTAGAGAACCAAGAAAGAGAAATAACTCTAATACTGTGCCCTTAATATTGTCCTGGGCCATTTATGGGTGGCTGAGATTTCTGAAAGCCTTTGACAGCCGCTTTCATTATTCTGTGATTCATGTACATTCTCTCTCTCTAGGACCACATTAGGAGGAATCTAACCCTGCTACATTTGTAGGATACCTGAGTATAATAATGATATGAGGAAATCAAATTATTTCTCATGGAGTAATGATTTTAATTTGAAAATTGTCTCCAGCTCTACCTAGCAAAGCAATCCATTTAGGCATGGGTGAACTGTAGCTTTTAATTCATTCCTTTGGTGAACATTTTTTGAGCACCAGACACTAATCTAGGCACTTGGGATATGTTGCCAAACAAAACTGACTGAGATCTTTGCCCATGAAATATGTGTTCTAGTGGGGAAGGCAGACAATCAGCATCATTAATAAATAAGTTATATATTATATTAAAAGATGATACATGCTATAAAAAAAGAAAAGCAGACTAAGGGGAGTTCTGGGGCACAGTTTTAAATTGGGTGGTTTAGATAGCAATGACATTTAAGCAAAGACTAAAAGAGATGAGTCTTGGCTCAGATGGATTTCTTCTACATAGGGTTTCATAAACATGACTTCATGAAGTTATGTTTGTGACTCTCCTTATGTTTCCATATACCTGGCTGTGGCCATCTGGGAATTTCCAGTGGTCTATCTCAAATTAGTCTCAGTGGTGGAGCACCTAGAAGCTGCACTTTGTAGACCATGAGCTATTGATATACTTAATTACATCTTCCCAACCAGGAGCAATTTTATTAGGAGAAAATGTGACTTTTATATGTATGCATTATAAACTAGGTTTTACAAGCATAGGTACAAAGCAACAACAACCCCCCCCCCAAAAAATACCCAAACTATCAAATTAAATATATCTTATTTTTTCAAGTTTTTCTGTTAATATTTACTCACTATTATATTTGTTTTATCATCTTTTAGAACTTGCTAGCCTGGGTAGCAGGCACCATAGATTTGAGAAAAATTGTGGAAAGCAAGCCTAAAGTTGTGAAAACCTGCCCCTTTAACTTAATTTTCCCCCCAGCTGATGGGGAAAACACAGCCATTCTGATTTGATTTTCTCTGTACAATATCCCATTCCTCTTCAGTGGTACATAGGTTAAGAACCACTCTTCTAGAGTAAGTCTGTTAAATCAGATATGAATTAAATAAAAGTCTTGTAGACTCTTTTCAGCTTTCTCCTTAGTTCCTCTGGAATCTCAGGTAAGGGTTTGCAGCCATTTACCTATTTTTTTTTGGCCTATTTTTTTGCCATTCACATGGGAGTCAGAATTTTTATTTCTTTGTTTTTTTCTTTCTTTCTTTCTTTCTTTTTTTTTTTTTTAAGAGACAGAGTCTCACTCTGTCACCCAGGCTGGAATGCAGTGGCACAATCATAGCTCACTGAAGCCTCAAACTCCTAGGCTCAAGCAATCTTCCTGCCTCAGCCTCCTGAGTAGCTCGGACTACAGGCGCGTGCCACCATGCCCAGCTGGGAATCAATGTTCTATCAAAAAGGATCTGAGAGATTTCAAGATATTCTGTCTTAACAAAAGAGTGGAATGAGTAGAGACAAGGAACCAAAGAAATTCAGCCCAAAGTAGATTTAGGAGACGTAGTCATGATTTTCATTTTACCACTAGAACTATAAAATGCTAATATCTAATCATACCCTTTTCCCCTTTAGTCCCTATATATAGTTTGACAAGTGATAGATTATTAATAAACATTGAATTAATGCTTCCACTCATATCTTGTTCTATCAGAGTGAGTTCTATAGAACCTAGTACATGGGGTTTCTGTTTACTAACATTAGCTTCATCTTTTTTCCCTTTAATTCTGTCCACGCTATCCCTCCCACCTCTGCCCTCTTACCACAGACAAAAATTAAAAACAGGTTATAGTTCTCACTGAGAACTTGTGGTTCTTTTCAGCCCCAGAGCACCACTTATTTTCCTTACCAGTAATGAATTCATAGGATCATAACTTCCAGTGAACCTTCTCTTAAACAGCTTTTCATTTAGGTTAATGTCAAGTCTTTGTATTCTGTATCTCTGTTTTACTTCTGCTGTTGTCCTGCTGTTTTATCTCATAGATAGGGAGACATTATTAAATGCCTACAAATGTGCATTGTTTCTGAAAAAGCTTTATGAGATTTGGATCTTTGTGAACTAAAAACAATAACCACCTGGTCTCAATCTGCTGTCCAGAGGGACATATTGTATGTGTGTAAGAGCATGAAATTCGCTTCAGTGGTAAGTGTAACTGAGTTATGTGGATTTAGCATTCCATGATGCCAGCCTCACGTGGTAATGGACCTGGGAAACCTAATTTTGTGGTTTCAGGGCTGTCCAGAAAGGGAGATAATGTCAGGAAGAGAACATCTTTTTTATTTTTATGGAGTATCACCCAGATAATAAGTGATGGAATGGAATTTTACTTCAGGAACACAACTTTATGGTTTAAAAGAAAATGTCTGAAAGTTAGAGGTAAACCATCAGGATGATATTTGATATAGTAGACTAGCCATCAAAGTACCAGCAGGATTGTTTCCATTTTTATCTGGCCTCTTTAGTCAACCACTGCGCTTTTCCTTTGCAGAGTGTTGTTCGCTGCCTGTGGCATCCAAAGCTGAACCAGATCATGGTTGGAACTGGAAATGGATTGGCTAAAGTCTATTACGACCCCAACAAGAGTCAGAGGTATTTCATAAGTATTGCCTGTTTTAGATGGATGACAACAACTGGGGGGAGGGATTTCCCTCCCACCCCCGCTTTTATTTATTTCCCACTTTGATGGAGATCCACCCATTTAGAAAATGCAGCTGGAACAAAGTAAAGCCTCAAACTCCTGGTATTGTGCTTTAAAAAGGATTTGAATATTGCCCTTGATCCACACTGAATTCAAAGCGAAAGTTTCCTGGGAATTTGCAGTTGTTTAGCTGAAATGTTGAGTGCAAGGGGGAAAAACGTTCTGCCCACTTTGCATACCACCCTGGACAGAGGCATTAGCAGTGATACATGTAAGAGATTTAACAAAGCAGGGAACTAACCACTTACAGGAAATGGAATCAGCTTGTCCATTTTGCTTCTTTCTTTTTTGGCTTCTAGCAGTTTGGATGTTTGGCAAGATTATTCTCTGTCCGCAGAAAGGGACAGCACAGATACGTTTCCCCTCCACCCCCATGCCCACCCAAGTTTCAAACTTAAGCATACCACTGTATTTCAAAAGTCTGAAAACGTAACTAGAGGTTCAGTCATTTCCTCAGTTATTTCCGTTTTGCTTAGGCACAAAGATGGATATGTGTCATCACCCAGAAAAGATGGTTTTGTTTCTCTCTCTTAAAGTACAGTGACTGATAAGCTTTCTTTAGAGTAAGACTTGGTTAACTAGCATTAAAATTCACATGTGAAATTTACTGGGGTCCCATATAAACCTGTTTTAAGGTCCCACATCCTTTGAGGAAAGGAAAGCCAGCCTCTATTAATGAATATTCATTGGCCATAATTTTGCTCTGAATAGAAGCAGACAGCCCCATCTTCCTTCAGAGCTTCCTGGACTAGAGTTGGAATCCTGGCCTTATACAATAAAGTATATTTATGGTATTTGAAAACAAATAGGATTTTATTTGTTTTTTAAAAAAGAAATTAAAAATGCTAATGTACTTAGGATGGGAGTCTGTTTCACTTGAGAAAATGATGAGCCTCATTTGATAGCACCCATTTAGAAGGCACTTTCTGTGGAAGCTTTGCTTTAAGAAATTTACTTATTTGTATTTGCTTCTCTTGAAAAGGATAACTCTGTACTACTAAGGAGAAGTGCAATGTTCTAAGCACATTTTTGGTTAATCCCACACATTCTTGGGCCATAGCCCCTCGGCAACACTGCCAAGCCAACTCAGTTCCAGACACTTGTACTCTTGTATTTGAAAAGTGGACATATGCCATTTGGGGTGTAGACCACCCAGGTTGCTTTAGTCTGAGACATAAACTAAAATTTTAACCCTGTGACCTTTAGAGTGAAAAGGTTGGGTAATTTTATTATTTAAGATCTTAAAATTTCACATTATTCCTATAG
Organism: Homo sapiens; assembly: GCF_000001405.40. Lineage (NCBI taxonomy): Eukaryota > Metazoa > Chordata > Mammalia > Primates > Hominidae > Homo > Homo sapiens. The sequence goes on from NC_000005.10 coordinate 37,722,591, forward strand.
GTTTTGTAAACTTGTGTCCTGTTGCCCTGTTACCTCTCCAACCCTCTTGCTTGTTAATAACCACTGACTGACAGACTTGCTTTTCCATAAGTTTAAGCTTTTATCACTGAGAGCCCATCTGTTGCCATCCCTCAGAAAGTCAAGTACTTGTGTAGATGGAGTGCATGCACAGAGTATGTTCCTGAAAGTATCTCATGTTTTCAACATGAAATTTTCTGTTTCTAAGACCAAGTAAAGAAAATAATTTGCTTTTACACCCGTTAGGGGAGCAAAATTATGTGTGGTTAAAACCCAGCGGAAGGCAAAACAAGCTGAGACTCTAACTCAGGACTACATCATCACCCGTAAGTCGTTAACATGCCTCTCAATCATGCATCTCTCTTCTACTCTCATGTGGTTTTGATTGCATAGCTTTAGAGACAGAGAAAGCCCTCAGAATTCAGGCATATATTACAAAATTGCCCATTCATGTGGATAGGACTACGAGTCATGTAACAGCTAACCTCTGTGGCTTCTGTGACTCATCACAGGGACAGGGTTATTTCATGCAGCTTTCAACCCAAAAGGGAAAAGCCTGTTCGAGTCCAATACATTACTTTATAGCAGTTTTTTCAAGAGTAACAGTCTATTCCAAGTGTGAACAAGAAAGAGTGCTGGTCTTGGAATCAGGAGGCCTGGGTTTGTCCAGTTCCACCACTGAGTGGCAATGTGATGTTGAACAACTTAACTTTTAATCAGGGAAGTGTGGCGACCAGAGGAAGGGTCTCTTCCAGCTTTCTCTGAAATTCTATGACCATGTGCTAGACTGATCCACAGGAATTTGTATATAAAATTAACTACCTGGGGTATGAGTAGAAAGCTTACTAGGGCAGAGTGGTTTCTCTCACGTATGTCACACAACCTCATTAATCTGGCAGATGTGTGTTCCCAGAGCCACAATCTCAAACCTGCAACAGGTGACAGCTAGGAAAGAAATAATGGATGCTACAGCGATTATCATTAGTGGATGGCCCTGTGGACTTTATCAGTGACTCAGTCTGGAGCCCAGGGGGCGCTGTACTGCTGGGTTTTCTCACTGGTGGTGGGTCTCATATGAGACCAAGTCCCTTGGAGCTTATGACCAGTAAAGAGATCCCATGACACTTTTTGCAAGAGTAGAAGTGTTAAAGTCAGTGTCATAACTAGTCTAGCTCATGTAATTACATGCGGCCTACTTAAATTCCTCCAGTCGTTTGAAGTGAAAAGCTATTTTCCCCCTCCTAAAAATACTGTTGTGTTGTGTTGCCCAACTGAGTGACGGGTGGCTATGTTTCTCAGCTCCCCTGACTCAAGGCAGGCATGTTTTACTGGTGAGTGATATGGTCTGGCCTCAGTTGGCAGTATAGGTAGAAGGTAGGAGGGGATACTGGAAGAGGTTTTGAGGTGTTATAGACATTTTATTGATATTATAAATTCCCTTTAACCTTTCCCTTCCTTCCCCTGGTCCCCCGGGAAAAGTTTCTTTTAAAGGGGGTTTAATCTGCACGTAAGAGTCAAAAGAAACTGCTAGTACTTTTCTGGGGCAAAAAAAGGGAGTTATTTAATACTTCCCCTAATAACTCTTTCCTTTTCCCCTAGAATATTATACTGTTTTCCTTTTTAAATTCTTATAATCTTTTATATTCTGAAATTTAATTTTGACATTGAGTAAACAGTAACAGCAATTGAACGCATATTACTTTGGTTTTTATTTTCTTATTTTGCTACCATATAGCAGGAGGGATAAGGCCCCATTAAGTCCCCATGCCAAGAGATTTAGGCACCTCTTGCATTCATGGCAACCTTTATCCCAGTTTCAGTGGGATAAGTGTTCCTCCCTTCCGGTTACTCAGTGTTGTCAACTCCTCCTGAGAGGTGGTCACATTTCAGAAACGTGTGAAGTGATTCCAGTGTTTATGAGACATCTGAGGAAACTTCAGGGCTGACAGCAAGCTGTTGGCATTATTCACATTTGGGTCCTGTAAGAAAAAATAAGAGGCAGTCCCAATATGTGTTTCTTTTCAAAACCACGGTAATTAAGTTTTAACTGCTACCCATGGTTTGGGAGATGGGGAGCCTCACCGATGTTTCCATGACAATATTTGACAGTATTTCCTGAGTGCTGTTAGCTGCCAGGAGAGGTGACCAGTGAGTCTGGTCTCAAGCAAAATTGGCTAATTGGTTACAGTAAGACTGTCTTTTATTATCAGATCAAGACTGTCATTATGACTTCCATTTCATCTTTCAGTTAGTCATGCTTTAACTATGTTTTTGGATGGGAAGGTTATTGTTATAATGAAATTTTTCAAATGTGACTTCTTGTAGCTCATGCCTTGCCTATGTTCCGTGAGCCCCGCCAACGGAGTACAAGGAAACAGCTGGAGAAGGACAGACTGGATCCCCTGAAGTCGCATAAACCTGAACCTCCTGTAGCAGGCCCAGGTGACTGTGATCCAGCTAGTGACCTGCAGAGGGGGTTCAGAGGCAGGGTGGGGTAATTGATATAAAATTGGGAAGGTCTTTTGGGCCTGGATGCTTCTTTGTCTTCAGAGAGATTTTACTAGTGTTTTAAAAATGTTTTCTTTTTAGTAACAGAAAAGCTGATGCAGAATCCAGATGTATAAAGCTGATAAAAATTGAGCTTCTATACTGAAATAGGGAGGAAGACTGGGGCCCTTTCTGCTTGGTCTCCAACTAGAGTTTTCCTAGCTGGCCTCAGGGGAACTCGGGGGCTCAGTGGACCTTGGAACCCAGTGTTAAAACCACTGCTCTCAATATTGGCTTAATGTACAACACTGGGCACTTTGACCAGAATCCAGGCTGGATTAGGTTTCACACAAGGCAGAATGTGGCCATCATTTAGATTTGTGTTGATATCACTAGAAGATGAATAAAAGTCTTTAGAGTTTTTGAGAAGTAGGTACCAGAAGAAAGCCAAGCAGCACTGGCTAATAGTATAGCACGTACCTTGACTAGAATTTCATTTTCTGTTATCATCTGTGTAGTTTCTATTTGGTCTGCTCCTTCAGCATAGAAAACATTTTGCATATCTATCTTAATTATTTTTTTCATTTTTTTCTAACACCGTCCTAACTAAAGTTTCCAAAAAAGATTTTTTCTTGGATTATTGTGAACCCTTCTAACTATGCACCTTAGTCTCAAGTCACTCCCTTTCTCCCACCTCACTTCTATTTGTCTTATACACAGCTTTAATCCCTAACTCCATTAGCTTTTCATGTTGCTACAGCCTCCAAACCTTCATAAGCTTCCCACTGTCCAATTGTCTTTCCAGAGATTCAAGGTTCTGTACAGTCCAAATCAAATCTACCCCTGTAGCTTTACACCTTACTTCTTTCCTGCTCTGATCTTTTGAGATTACTGTTGGTTCAATCCTGTCCCCAAATACCCATTGAACTTTCTTCTTTCTGCATTTTTGTACTTAACCCATTCTGCTTATTGAAAATAACCTTCTTTACCTCCTAAGCTTTCACAAATTGGATCCATCTCTTTCATAAAGACCTGTTCAACCACCTGAGCCTGAAGTGCTATCTTCCTCTAAGTGCCATAATAGTTACTGGCCATACAAATTATCTCACAGTTAATTATTTCCTGCCTTATTTAGTTTCTTCTTATCTTGATTTATGAAATTAATCTTTTAGTGTTATTTGGCTTTTCATATGTTTATTTTATCTTCCTAAGAAGTCCTACATCTTTCTGAGTACCAGTCACTATACTAGCTGCTAGAGATCTAGTGGGGAACAAATCCCTGCCCTTAAAGAGGTTCCTATTTCATAGGGAGATTATAGTACAGCAGAGCAACATGAATCAGTATGTTTAGCTTATTTGTTTTCTCTTATAATACTCAGCAAAGTACCTGTAAGGGACTTGGAAGATGCCAAGCCCTAAGATATGTTTATTTAAATAGCATCTAATGAATATTGTTTATTTTTATTAATTGAATTCTAAATGTTGATGCCAGAGGAACTTTTTAAAGCATATAGATGGCAAACTATCTGTAATTTTTTCTATATTGGTATCATTCTGTAAGTTAAGCAACTGAGACATAACAAAAAAATCTCTTCCTATTTAAAAGTGCTATCGGGAAGTTGAGGTTTGGTGATCTCTTTGGTTCTGATTGTCATAAATCTAAGCTGAAAGGATGAAATTTAAGTACTCTTGAGATTTGTGCTCAGATAAGTACAGTGTACACAGATATACCTATGTATCCTCATGCTCATTCAGTTTCTAATTTGGTTTTTTTTCTTTTGCAATAGGTCGTGGTGGCCGAGTTGGAACCCACGGGGGCACTCTCTCTTCCTATATTGTGAAGAACATTGCTTTGGACAAGACCGATGACAGTAATCCTCGGGAAGCCATTTTGCGTCATGCCAAAGCAGCAGAAGACAGCCCATATTGGGTTTCTCCAGCATATTCCAAGTGAGAATATAGCTTTTTAAAACAGGAAAATTGTTATGTTTAATGAATTGGGGAGAACATAACAATGTTGTTTTTGAGTTCTAACTTCTCTATTTCTTATTTCATACTTAGATATGAAAAATAGGCCAGGTACTCATGGTCTTTAAACCTAGGCATTTGTATGTATCATAAGACTCTAAAATCATGAATTTTAAAACTAGGCCCATTCCATCAGAGTTGTAGCATAGTGTAAACCATTATGTGAAGCCCATCCTGCCCATGATTAAAACAAACAACAAACAAATCACTGCTTATGTGCATTATCTTAGTTGACGAGGGTTAAAAGCAAATGAAGCAGTTTGTAGGTCTGTTATTATGAACTCACTTTTATTTATAGAGCTGTATATGTAAGTAACACTGCAGAGTAGATCCTGCCTGCTCGTATTCCCTCAGACAGCTTAGCATGGATGAATAGGGAGTGGTTCCTAAAGCTATCAAACCAGCTACATTTACATTAAAGATAGGTACTATTATAGAATTTTCCGTTTTTATTTTTATTTATTTATTTAGAGTCAGGATCTTGATCTGTTGCCCATGCTGGAGTACAGTGGCATGATCATAGCTCACCGTAACCTCAAACTCCTGGGCTCAAAGGATTCTCCTTCCTCAGCCTCCTGGGTAGCTAGCACGACAAGCATGCACTGCCACACCCAACTAATGTTTTAATTTTTTGTAGAGACAGTGTCTCACTCTGTTGCCCAGGCTGGTCTTGAACTTCTGGTCTCAAGCAGTCCTCCCACCTCAGACTCCCAAAGTGCTCGGATTACAGGCATGAGCCACTCCACCTGGCCAGAATTTTCAGTTTCTAAATTTTTAAACTTTTTAAATTTAATTTTAGATTTTTAGGAAAGTTGCAGAAATAGTACAGAGAGTACATATATACTACTCACCCAACTTCCTCCTAATTTAACACTTTACATAATCTTAGTACAATTAATTATCAAAACTATAAAACTAACATTAGTATAATACTATTAACTAGCCCAGGTGCATTAGCTCATGCTTATAATCCCGACACTTTGGGTGGCCGAGGCAGGCAGGTCACTTGAGATCAGGAGTTCAAGACCAGCCTGGCCAACATGGTGAAAGCCCATCACTACTAAAAACACAAAAATTAGCCAGGTGTGGTGGCATGCACCTGTAATCCCAGCTACTAAGGAGGCTGAGGCAGGAGAATTGCTTGAACCCGGGAGGTGGAGGTTGCAGTGAGCCAGGATCACACCACTGCACTCTAACCTAGGTGACAGAGTAAGACCTTGCCTCCAAAAAAAAAAAAAAACAAAAAAAAAAAACAAACTAAAACTATAGACCTTAGTTAGTTTTTGCCAGTTTTTCACTCATGTTCTTTCTCTGTTCCAGGATCCCACATTGTACTTAGTCTCCTCCCATCATAACAGTTACCTTTCCTATGTTTCATGATTTTGATGCTTTTAATGAATACTGGTCAGTTATTGTGTACACTTTCCCTCAGTTGGGGTTTGCTTGATATTTTCTTATATTTGGAATGAGACCATGCATGTTTGGCACAAATAACACAAGAGAGATGTTGTGTCCTTCTCAGTGGATGTCTTATTACTGGTGATGCTAACTTTGGCCACTTGCTTAAGGTTATATCTGCCAAGTTTCTCCACTGTAAAGATGCTTTCATTCTATTTTCAGTTGATAAACTTCTTGGGAGTGATATTTTAAGACTATGCAAATCCTGTTTCTCCTCAATTTTGCTGTCTAATTTTATCATCCGTGAATGAATTTGCCTATAACAGTTATTACTATGGTGTTTGCCTAAGGGTGATTTTCTGTTTCCCTCTTTTCTTCTGTGTTTATTAATTGGAATTCTACCTAGAGGAAAAGTTGTTCCTTCTCCCACATTTTTTTATTTTTCAAGTATTTTTAAAATATTGGTATGGTCTCTTACATTATTCTGTGAGATAAATTCCAATACTATCATTTAGTTTGTTGCTCAAATTGTTCCACCTTTGGCCAATAGAAGCTGGAATGGCTTCAGAATGGCTCCTGGCATCTTTCTCAAGCGCCTATATATTTTTTTAGTACTTCCTTACTTTCTGGCACCACAAGATGTTACAGACTCATCTTGGTTTTTCTTACCCCCATTCTGGAATCGACCACTTCTCCAAAGAGCCGTGGCTCCTTTTGTTGGAGAATGGTGATTAGAAACGAAAGGCTGTGTGCTGGATGTGCTCCTTGCTACTGCAGTGCCATTGCTTCTAGGTCCTTTCTGCTGACAAAGCTAGGAAATACATGTATGCATACTAAGCTACCCATCTACACACATCTGTGTTTCTGAATGTATCAATCTGTAGTTATATTTGTAAAACCATGAGTTTGAATTGATGTTTCTGATTTCAGTCCTGTATCACAGGTTCCCTAACTTTTCTCCTTTCTGTATTTGTAACTTCTTTCTCCGTTAATGAGAAACCCAGCTCTTATTTGTTCAGGTCTGGCATATACATTAACTAGTTTTAGAATTGCTAACTCATATCCCTGTAAGAATCACTTTTCCTATCTGCATGGCATAGTTTGTTTACAGTTCTTCTTGTCTTTAGCCTTAAAGTATACTTTCTTCACCACCCCAGTGATTGTGGCTGTGTTAGCCATTTGAAATGCAGTTAGGTTCATTTTTTAGTGTTTATTTCCCTTTTTTGGGTTTTCTTCACGTTCTGTTTATTTTTTGGAGTGTGTGAAATATTACTATGGTTCTAGGAGTCAGAGCTTTAAAAGAGATTTTCTTAGAGAACTGTCTCTTCCTCTTCATTCCTGCTCCCTTTTCCTATTCCCAGTCCCCCTTTTTTTCAGTCCCTTTCCTATCCACCCCTTGTAGCTAAATAATCTTTTTAGTTCCTGGTGTATCTTTCGGGTATTTCTTGAGCAGATACGTAAGTATCTTCTTACATCCCCGTATTTCCTATGTGAAGGGTAGCATAATGTAAATCATCTTTTTTTCTTTTTTGGTCTAAGTTCCACTTGAAAATCTTTGGTGAAGTGTAATTACAACATATGAACACATGTATAGAGTAAAATGTCACCGTTTTTAATATACAAATACTAACCACAACCAACTTTTATCACAAAATTATTGCTAATCTGTGATTATCCACAAAGTAGTTGGTTATCTAAATGTTTCTTCATTAACATTTTAGTATGAAATTTAACTTTAAATGAACTTTGGGAATACTATTTATAAATATGTCAGCAACTTTTTTTGTTATGCTATTTTTGAAATTTGAATTGATCAGTTTAGGATTTTAGCTTCTTTTCATCCCCCATCTTTATTGAGGTATGATTGATTTAAAGATTTGTATATATTTTGGTGTATAACTTGATATAAATTAAGTCATATTGATTTGCTTTTTTTTTGGCTTTGCTTCTTTTTCACATAGAACTCTGCCCTAGAAATCACTCTACATCAGTTCTTGGAGCTCACTGTCATTGATTTTCATAGTTGCATAGTACTCCGTTGTACGAATTTATCATAGTTAATTCAACCATTCTTCTATGTAAGGATATTTAGGTTGTTTCAGTATTTTGTAAGTACTAACAATGCTATAGTGAATAGACTTACAGACGTGTATTTTTGTATTACTGGAGGTATATTCAAGTTTTTTTCTTGATGTCTTTATGTATTCCTAAAGTTTTCTCTTTAATTGTGAGAAAACTGGATGCTGATTACTTTTTAAAACATTAATATGCTGGAAAAAGCCTTTTATTAACCAACTCAATCTTTATACTGCTACCAGTCCTCTACTCATTATTCGGCGCTATTTGCCTCAAATAAAAACACATCATCTTAGCATGCATTCCTTAGAAGCAGGCCCTGAGATAAAGATTTACATAAAGGTGAATTATTAGGGTATGTTCCCAGAGAAAATCAGTAGGGGAGTAGAGATGTGTCATGAAGCCATCAAGTGTGCAGTATCAAGCCAAGTCCCAGGGAGGGTCGCTTTGGCTTAATCCTGCAGGGTAACCCTGGAGACTGTGGTCAGAGTTGTCCTGGTCAGGGCCATGGCAACTAGAGTATTTATACTCCCTTATTTGTTGGTCATTGGTGATGGTTGGAGGTAGGGTTGGGAAAGACACTTCAGGCACTGTCAGCTCTCCAGCATTTTAGAGGTAGGTGCTCCTGCTGTGAGTGAAAGCACATTGCCCAGTAATGCTAAAAGGATTTGAGGCAATCGAGGGGAAGCACTGTGTCCTCTGCTGTTTGTACTGTAGCAGAACAGACTATGTAATGTCAATGTGGTTGTTCACAATTTATATTAATAAACAATACAGATGGAACATCTCTGAACAGTGAATTGGATAATATGATAACAACTAAGAGGTCATATCAAGGCTGGCCAGCGAAATAGCATGCTTTAGCCTTCATTTGAATAGTATTTATATGTGTATAAACTAATCCATGTCAACACATCATTGGCAGTCAGATAAACTTATAGATTATGGCTGTGTTGACACTTCTGTTTTTAATGGAGTATTTTCCATTATTATTAGGGATTTTTTTTATACTTCAGAAACCTTGTTTAGAAACATACTAAAGATTTGTCAAGAAAACAGTCATAGTTTAAATTTTGTTAAACATGGTGCATGTTATTTTAATGGCTAACTGCTCCAAATATTTGTGTCTATGTTTACACACAAATCACTGAGATGTCTTCAAAAATACTGATATAAATACTCTTTGCTGATTATTCATTGATATTAGCAACGTATAATATAGCAGTATTAGCAGTGTATAATTAGAAGGTGTCAGAGACCTAACTTATCACTGGAGAAAATGAAACATCCAGAAGATAACTTTTAAAACCTGCTGGATAACAAGTCATTTCTAGATTCCAGACCAGGAGCCTGGCCTTAGAATTTCCAGGTTATTGTTCTGACATCTAATAACGAGTTATTTTGATAAAGGAGTAACTTCAATTTAGTATGTGGTTTTCATGTCTGAGATTTAAAGTAGTACATACACACAGTAAAAACAAGCAAAAGAAATCCAGTGGTACTAAAGGTAGACAATGGAGATTTGAAAGCCTCTCTTTCACTTAACCCCCAGTTCCTTCATTCTACTGCTTAGAGATACCAACTGCCTCAATTTATTATATGTCCTCTGAGAGAGAGAGAGATATGTGTAGATACATGCATTGTTTAAAAATGCAGGTATATAGCATGTTTTACAAGCTGATTTGTGGTTTTGTTTTTTACTTAGTATACATTGGAAGATTGGGCCAGATCCATCCAGACATATTTAGCTCATTATTTTTACTTTATGTACCTATTCAATTGTATAGCTATATTGTACTTCTATAAAAAACTATACCCTCTTGAATGACAGTTATGTTGTTTTCAGCCTTTTTCTTTCATAAACAATACTGGAATTAGTATCTTTGGATGTAGGTATTTGCCCACACATGCAAAACTTCAAGAAATTTTTATCTTTGCCAATCTGATAGGTGAAAATGTATAATTTGTGGTTTTCACCTGCATTTTTATAATTTTTTAGCATCTGTTCTCGAGAAAAGATGCTAAAAGGAGCTTTCTTAAAGCCCTTAAAACCCTGTTTCTTGTGAACTATTTATGTCTTTTGCCCATTTGCCTATTTGGTTTTTTCTTACTGATTTGTAAGAGTTATTTATATTAAGGAGGTTAACCCCTTGTATATCATGTATGGCAAATATTTCTCCCAGTTAATCGTTTTTTATTTTACTTTGTTTATGGCGTTTTTCTCACGTAAAAAATTTATTTTAATGTGGTGAGATTTAGAAATGGGGTGAGGGGTGCACTTTTGGGGTTTTATTTAGGAAGGCATCTCCCGTCCAATATTAGTCTTGAAATTCCCTCATATTCCCACTCAATACTTTTATGGATTTTTTTTTAGAGTTAAGTCTTCAATTCACCTGGAATTATTTTAGTGAAATTGTTATATTAATTACTACAAATTTGATGTCTTAAAAAGTAGAAATTGATTCTGTCACAGTTCTGGAGGCCAGAAGTCTGAAATCAAGGTGTTGGCAGGATTGTACTTTCTACAGAGACTCCAGGGGAAAATTCATTCTATGCCTCTTCTAGCTTCTAGAGGTTGCCTGATGCCTTGGTTCATAGCCACATCCCTTTAATGTTGCCTAGTCTTCACATTGCCTTCTCCTTTGTCTTCTCCTTTACTCTCTTGTAAGGATACTTACAGTAGCATTTAGAGCCAATCCAAGATAATCCAGGAGTATCTCCTCATCTCAAGATACCCTTTTTCCAAATGAGAGAACATTCACAGGTTCCAAGGATCGAAAGTGGATATTTTTGAGAGAACCATTTTTCAACCTACCATAGTAGAGTTCTAATTTACTTATTTCAAGTTGGTTTAACCAGTTGCTGTAGAACTTTTTATTGTATAATTTAATTTTCCTCATTAAATTGAAATGATACCTTTATTATACCTAATGTACTCATGAATTTTAATCAATTTCTGGGTTCTCTGTTCTGTTCTGTCAATTGGTCTGGCTCTGCAAGTATCAATACCAGTCTTCATTGTTGTAGCGCTGCCTGTTCTCATTATTCTTATGAGAATGTGTCTATCTATTCTTGCAGGTCTCCATGACTTATTAAGTTATCTAGTAACCTCCCCCTCAAAAATTAATGATGCAGACTTGAGTTATATGTATATATTAATTTAGATAGAATTTATAATATTAGTTCTTTCAAACCGAGAACAGAGTTGTCTTTCTAGTCAACATCACTATATCCCTCAGTAGTACTTTTAAGTTTTCTTCACATAGACCTGTCATATTTCCTTTTAAGTTTATTTTTACTTACTTTATCTTTTTGTGCTGTTGTAAGTAGAGTCTTTTCTTACACTAAATTTATAACTTATTTGTGTATGGAAATACTGTGCAGCTACATATATGTGTGTTATTTATATATATTAGTTTTGTATCCAGCTGTTTATTGTGTTTTCTTATATATATTTTAAATAATTTTTATTCACTTAGCTTGGGGTGTATAGGTATAAAATTATATGCAAGTAGTAAGTGTACCTCCTCCTTTCCAATTTTTATACCTACTATTTCTTTTTATCTGATTGCACTGACTGCTGCCAGAACAATTTAAAATAACCATCAGTGATAGTGCACATCCTTTTTTCAATTTGAACTTTAAAAGGAATGATTCTATTACGTTAAACCTTACAAAATTTTCCTTTTTGTAGGTGAAAAAATCAAATATCAGCAGTTTTATATTATTCAATCTAATGGTATTTCCACATAAAATGTGATAATGTTTGAAAACACACAAGATGTTAAGAATCCAATTCTTTATTTATTCATGCAAAAGAGATTTACTGAACACCAACTATGTGTTAGATACTGTTCTAAGTTGTAGGGGTACAGCCATTTTATGGAGCTTATATGCTAGTAGAGACAGACACTAAATAAATATATAAATATTAAATGGTAATAATGCTAAGAAGAAAACTAAAAGAGGGATATATCCCTTTTATAAAAAGATAAAAGGGGGACATAGATAAAAGAGGGATAAAAGGGGGACATAGAGTAATCAGGCGGAGAAAAGGCGCTATTTTAGATACAGTGGTCAGGGAAGAACGTCTACAAAAGTTACCTTTGACCTGAGTGAAATGAGGGAGTGAGCCATGCAAATACCTAGGGGAAGAGCATCCCATGCAGCGAACACAAGAGGCCTTTACTGAATTCCTTCATCTCTATGAAAGTGATCATGGAATTTTTCTACTTCGATCTATGAATGGGATGAATTATATTACTAGATTTCCTAACACCGAGCCATCCTGGCATCTTTGATACGACCGTTATATGATTGTAGTTTATTCTTTCTAAGGTGTTAGACTGGCTTCCTAAAAATTTTGTGTATTTTTCTTTTCTATATGTACCCTCAAACTGTTTTGAATACATTTGAACTTATCCATTTTATAAAGATTTGATAGAATTCACCTGTAAAATGTGAAAGCTTTTGTGGAGTGGAGGGTGAGTAGTAATTCCTTAATTTTTCTCTCTTTTCCATCCCCTCCTGGCAAATAGTCTATTCTGAGTTTTCTGACTCTTCTGAGGCTGCTTGGTAATTAATATTTTCTTGGACAGTCATTCATTCAGATTTTCAACTTTCTTTAAATAAGAATTAATTGCAGCTGAAAGTGTTTTTGTTCACTTTCAAAATATCTAAAGATATTTTTCTGCATTAGAGATGATTCAGTTATGTTTACAAATGAATTCGTGCTAGCATAATAGCAGCTCTTGCAAGGTAGGTAGATCAGGCATTGTCATATCCTCACTTTACATGTGAGGAGGCTGTAGCTTAGAGATCTGCAATTAACAATGACTGAAACTAGAACTAGACATTAGTTCTCTTGATCCCTAACCTAATGAGCTTTGCAGAGGACTGCACTCTCTTCCTGATACACACCTTTCTGCCGCTGCATTTTGCTATCATCTCTTTGCTTCCACCCAATTTCGTCACCTTGCATTTGTTGCATACTAAGTTCATGGCACTGTCTGTCTGTGGCATGTAATTTGTTAGCTAGGATTGCAGTGCTATTTCTCCTGTGTTCACCTGCTAGAGTATACTGTTTACTGCCAAGTAGCAAAGTATTTGAAAGGAAGCTAATATTTAAAAGGATCTTTTCGTAAAGGTCACTGTAATTGAGAATGTGTGTCTGGTTGGTTTTTTTTCTTCACTGCAATTGACTTCTGTCAGTGATGAAATGAAGATTTATTTACCATATCTCGCTTTATCACAGAAAAGCACAATTAGACATTCCACAAATGTGCCTGCCTACACATGACATACACTCACCAATATCCACTGGTGATGATAACAAAGAGTCTTTAAAGAGTTTACATTTATAGATTATTTAAGTTTCATTCCTGGCCCTAGCAATGTAACAGCCATGAAAATTTTCAAACACAGCAGGATCACAGAGGACTCTTGTTCAGCTACACATAGGCAGATTCAGTTTCAGTTTCTTGTAAGAAGATGCTGCTGGAGGGAGAGAAAAGGAGCTGGCTGGGGAATGGGCAGGATGTAGATCCAGAAAGCTATTAGCTTACACATCAGACAAGGATAGATGTGTGTGGGAGCCTGGACCCTGGCCAGCAGCCTGACAGAATGACAGCTCTGTCAACCACGTCACTTTTCTTGCCAGATAGGCTGCCATTATTTGCTGGTTCGGTCAACTTAATTTTCAGTGTGCATATCTTGTCTGATATTGGATATATGAATATGTGTGTATGTATGTGTTAAAATATCATTCCCACCTATAAAGGATCCATTTAAAGTCATGTTGAGTTGTAGGCAATATTTAAAGAAGCCACTCTGTGAGCAAGTGAAGGTTTATGTGTTATTTGTGTCAGGAAGAATCATAAATGCACAGAGAGAAAATATATTTTTTCCAGAGTTATATTTAGGTGACTAATTGTCACTCTCCACTGTATTCCTGTGTAGAAGCCAATGTTTCTGAAAGTGGTTTTGTGAACTGCCTGCATCAGAGCGGTGTATGTAGTTTTTTTTTTTTTTCTTTTTTTTTTGCGGTGGGGGGGTTGTTTAAAAATGCAGATTTCTGGACTCCATCCTAAACCAACTCAAGGGGGCTTTGTGGGATTAGGGGTGGGAATCTGAATATTAAGAGGTGCCCTGGGTGATTGTTTTGCACACTTATGTTTGGTAATAGTAAAAAGTAATTATGGAAAACAACAAATTATTCTGTAATAGTACAAAAGTAATTATGAAAACAAGCAACAAATTATTCTTTAATAGTACAAAAGTAATTATGAAAACAAGCAACAAATTATTCTCCCTTAAGAAAATTCAAATTTACTGACTAGATTATTTCAATTATAGAAATTCATAGTGAAGAAATATTATTTGCTTAATAAAATTATTTCCTTTAAAAAGTAGCAAGCTGCTATATTGTGTTTAACATAAAAATTAATTTACCAAATATATTCTACATACTGCTTTTGGGAAATACATCTATTATATGAAGTGAGGAACACCTGATATCCAAAGCAAGGTATATAATAATAATGATACTTTTATTTTACTTATACTATGCCAGGCTTGTTTTAAAACTTTATATATATTATTAATTTAATCCTCACAGCAGCCCTGTGAGGCAAGTGTTATTATTGTCCCCATTTTACCGATAAGGAGATTGAGGCTTATAATTTGACCAAAGCCACAGAGGTAGCAGGTGGCAAAACTGGGATTTGAATGCAAGCATTCTGGCTTCAGAATCAAGCCTATAACTGTAACTAAGTACAGTGTACTGCTTTTCATCATAAAGCAACTGGTAGTAGTTATTAGAAAACTTGAGTAATAGTAAAGCTAAAAGATCATTGTATGAGCCAGCATGGTGTAACAGAGGGAACACTGGACTAAGAATCAGAAGTCCTGAGATTTAGCTTCAGCTCCGCCACCCCCTGGCGAGTTACCTTCACTGAGGCTGTTTTCCTGATCCATGAAGTTGGGCAGGGCTACACCAATGCCAAGCTTTCGTGCATGTTTTTTAATAGAAATTGTGGCACACAGTTATATATCTTATAAATGGGAACTTATTAAGAGAGTGCTTTGGTGATACCTGGGCTGTCTCAAGCCTGTGTGTTCTTCAAAGATTTTGTCTTTGTAACTTGTTTATCCATTTGGTGATAAGGTAGCTAATGGCAATTTTGTAGAATTCTGTTTCTCTTTTCCTGTCTCTTTCTTTGTTTCCTATTTTCACAGTTTCCGTAGGTCTCATGTATGTTCTTTTTTCCATCTTCACAGTCTTTGAACTCTCACACATAGCATAATGAGTCAGTATACCCTATTTATGAGCCTGAGATGTGTTTATTTTCTAAAATATTATATGTTCATTTCCTGAAGAAAATAGAAAATGCTTTATCTAGAAACATCTTGTTGCCTAGTGTGCCTAATATTTAAAAAAAAAAAAAACAAACAAAAAAACAACAACTTCGATTAGCTCTTCACCAAAAAAAGGAATCATTTCAAGTGGAATTTTTTGGTCAAGGCTTTTATTTAATCTTAATAATTCTGCAATTGTGATGACTGTGTCAGAGTTCATCTGGGCCATATTCATTCTAACAGGGTTAACAAGTGTGTCAGATTGAAAGTCATGGCTATAATTGACTTTGGCTTTGAGGTTTTCCTTCATAATAAACAATGGGCCCTGAGCCAAAAAAGCTTGTGGTTTATACTCATGTGCTGATGACTAAGTAATGCAAGTGATTTCGCCTCATACTTGCTCTGTTACCCTGGAGCTCACTTTATGCTTTTTGAAGGAATCATATCAGAGGAACATCCATAATTAAAAAGAATTTGACCTGTGGACTTTCCACTGCAGCTGAAAACATTTTGTTACAGTGAAGACGACTTCACTCTGGCCTGAGTGCTAGAGAAGGGCCGTGTAGAAGACATAGGTCAAAGCTTAATCAGAAGAGAAAGGACAGTCCTGTAATACTTTGAATCTCTCACACAAACAATGCACCCCAAAAATGCCCTTTTAGAAGATTGCAGAGGGACTCTTTATTCATTACTGGCTGCTCTACACAAAATTCCTCTGGATGGAAGCACTGAAGGTGGGACTTGCTTTCTGTTGAGTTTCTGTTATTTTTCTGTAGCATACAGTTGCTGGAAAAGACTCACTTTGTAAAAATAATCTTGAGAATCAGTTTTCCAAAAAGTATCAAGGGGAAATTTAATCAGCACAAAGTATCAGCTATCCAGAATTTATAGATTTGAGAAAGACATTTGCTTAAGCTTTTCTGTTTGCTTTATGAAATCATATTAACTATTAGCAAATGCAGAGTTACCGAAGCTAAAGCAAAATAAAACAAAAAACCTTTTAGCCTTCCCTTGTTTGCTTATTTAATGATTGGCAGCAATGACCACGTTGATGTCTAATCTGCTCTCCTTTTCTTGGTAACTCTAGTAAACAAGTTGACATTTATAATCAAGTGGAAAATGTTTACTCTTCCCCAGATGAGTTACTCAAACTGGAAAATGCAAGGTTCACATCAGCCCTCTGTAAGTTTAGGTTTTTAAATTAGTCGTCAGAAACATGGGTAAGTGTGGGCCATAAACCAGTATATGGAATAGTCTGGTTAAAGCTGACTTCGTTAAGGTAGATACTTCACTCATTCTCCAGTGAGGCTTGCTAGATCCCCATTAACCTGTTGTACACCCACAGTAATTATATATTTGGCTGAATGGAATGTTCCCCTTACCTACTTTTCCTTCGAGTCAATCCCTTTATAGGCTTTTGCTTTTGTTTTGGGCAAGGGAGATAATCTGCCATGAGGCAGTAAGCTTGAGTTGATAATTTCTTGTCTCTTGAGAAATGAGGTATAAAATTCTGAAAGAATTGTTAGCTAGAAGACACAGAATGGGTAGGTGACAGAATTGCTTTCTGGAAGTGGTGGAGTATATTTCTTGCAATTTGTTTGTGTATTTCTTATGTTGCTGTCATGTTTTTAGTGTCTATTTGATTTGTTGGGTTCTACTCTTCCTTGTGGAAGCACCCAACAGAATATTTCTTTTTCATATATATATATACTTTAAGTTCTGGGATACATGTGCAGAACATACAGGTTTGTTACATAGGTATACACGTGCCATGGTGGTTTGCTGTACCCATCAACCTGTCATCTACAATAGGTATTTCTCCTAATGCTATCCCTCCCCCAGCCCCCCATACCCCGACTGGCCCTGGTGTGTGATGTTCCCCTCCCTGTGTCCATGTGTTCTCATTCCAACAGAATATTTCTTAACATCAGTGTACAAATTCCATTTCTTCAAGCAGCCCAGAAAGGAAACCATTTTTGTGGCCAGTGACGATGTAAAATAGAGGGTTTGTTGGTTGTTATTGTTTTTATTTGTTTCCTGTTAGCTTTAAAAGTGGGAATTTGTGGACCAGCTTTTAAGTGTTTTCAAATCCATTAACATTTTATCTCTTTGTATCTGTCGTTTTACTTTTGCTTGATGTTGTTGATTTATTTTTATAGTAGTTTTCTGTGCCAAGGGCAAATTAGACCATCCCCCAGGGAAGAAATCTCCTGGTTCTAGTCCTAACATTGCTAGAGGTTGCCTAATCATCTGTTCCTCATTGTTTTGATAAAGTGGTGACTAAAGAAATCCATTTAAAATGTCCTAGATAGCTCTGAATTGAGTTTTTAAAATATTTCTCATATGTGGATTTCTAAACGTTTTCAAAAGAATAACTGCTGGAAATAAATTCAAAGATAAAAATTGCCAAAAAGAAAGAATAGCTACAATGTTTAAAGCTATGATTCTCTCACTATGCTCCTACAAAACACTGGTGTTCCTTAGGCTTGGTAGAGATGTTCAGTGTGCTAAAGTTGAATACTCTTTTTTTGAAGAACCTAGTCTTTATTCAGCAAACAACACACAGCTCTTATTAAAGGTTCTGAATTATGCTGTAAGAATGTTGGTTTTGAGGGCAGGATGGATTGGAATGAGAGAAAATTCCTTCTGTGGGCCATACTTTGCTTCACTTCCCCATGCCTAACTCCCCAAAATCAAAGACCACTCCTTTAAGGATGGGCCTGAGAGTGTAACCCCAAATTTTATTCTTTCACCCACTCTTCAGTAGCATCATACAGGGCCAATTTTTCCAGATATGAGAAATATTTTCCCATAGTTGGAGGAAGCTCATCATGTGTAAAAGTTTGTTAAAAATACAAATTCTTACTCCACAGACTTGTTTCAAAGCCCTGTTTTTCTCCCTTCTTTGCCAAGCTAGGGGAGGGATGGAGCTCTCAAGAGGTACTGCTCACTCTGGTCCACCAGCCAGTGCTGATGAGGTAAATGTAGAATTCAGAGTAACACTTTGGACATTTTATAGCAATTTGATGTATCTGTTGAATCTAATAAAAACCTAGATTTGTATTTTGTAGTCTTTAAATTTTATGTTTCTAGAAATAAAATATTTGTCTGCAGAGTCCTGGAAATTAGAAAACAAAGACTGGCCCTCCATCACAGATGGTTTGAGAAGCAGTACCCTAGGCACTGCTCTAGGTTGGAGGCTAAGGCCCTCTCCAAGGCACCTCCTTTTTGTCCCAGGAAGGGGATTTGTTCTTCCTTACTCCCAAGCCCAAGAGCCTAGTTCTTTTTTTTTTTTTTTTTTTTAATTTAAAAAGGTCTAATTTTGGTAGAATAAACATGAGATAAAACTTACTATCTTAACCATTTATAAGTATATAGTTCATTAGTGTTAAGTACATTCACATTGTTGTGCAAACTCTCCAGAACTCTTCATCTTGCCAAGCTAAAACTCTATGAAACCAGCTGTCTCCAACCTTTTTGGCACCAGGGACTAGTTTCGTGGAAGACAATTTTTCCATGGAATGGGAGTGGTGGGATATGGTTTTGGGATGAAACTGTTCCACCTCAGATCATCAGGCATTAGATTCTTATAAGGAGCTCACAACCTAGATCCGTCACATGTGCAGTTCACAATAGGGTTTGTGCTTCTTTGAGAATCTAATACTGTCACTGATCTTACAGGAGGTGGAGCTCAGGTGGTAATGCTCACTCGCCCACTGCTCATCTCATGCTGGGCAGCTCAGTTCCTAACAGGCCATGGACCAATAGCAGTCTGGGGGTTGGGGACCGCCTGCATTAAACAACTCTCCATTTCACCCTCCACCCAGTTTCTTGTAAGCACCATTCTACTTTTTAACTCTATGGATTTGACTACTGTAGGTACCTCATATAAGCGGAATCAAACAGTTTTTGTCTTTCTGTGACTGGCCAATTTCACTTAGCATACTGTCTTCAGGGTTCATCTGTATTACAGCATGTTATCAGAATTTCCTTCCTTTTTCAGGATGAATAATATTCCATTTATGTATATACCATATCTTGCTTAGCTATCAATGTATAGTTGAGTTGCTTCTACTCTTTGGCTCTTGTGAATAATGCTGCCATGAGCAAATATCTCTTTTATGTTTTCAGTTTTGGAGGGTATATACCCAGAAATGGAATTGCTGGATCACATGGCAGTTCTATTTTTAATTTTTTGAGGAACCACTACACTGTTTTCCATAGTGTCTGTGCCATTTTACATTACTATCTATAGCATGCAAGGGTTCCAGTTTCTCTGCATCCTGGCCAATACTTGTTATTATCTGTTGTTTTTTTTTTTTTTTTCAACAGTAGCCATTCTTGTGGTGAGGTGGTATCTCATTGTGGTTTAGGTCTGTACTTCCCTAATTATTAATGGCATTGAGCATCTTTTCATGCACTTTCTGGCTATTTGTATATCTTTGGAGAAGTGCCTATTCAAGTTCTTTGCCCATTTAAAAAATTTTTTTATTGTTGTTGTTGTAGGAGTTCTTTATATATTCTGGATATTAATCCTTTGTCAGGTATATGATTTGCAAATATTTTCTCCCATTCTGCCTTTTCACTCTGTCAGTTGTGTCCTTTGAAGCACAGAAGTTTTTAATTTTGATGTAGTCCAGTTTACCTACTTTATTCTTCTGTTGTCTGTGCTTTTGGAATCATATCCAAGAAATCATTGCCAAATCTAATGTCTGTGTTTTCTTCTATGAGTTATATAGTTTTATCTCTTATGGTTAGGTCTTTGATCCATTTTGAGGTAATTTTTGTGTATGGTATAAGTTGAGGTTCTAACTTTGTTGTATGTGGATATACACTTTTGCCAACACCAGGTGTTGATGGGAGCTGAGTTCTTATTCTCAATTATTCCCCTACCTGACCAACAGAATGAAAAAACAGGTGGTAAACAAGCATTGGGAAAATTGCCAGGAAAATCTAGAGTTTATTGCCTTGGTTTTTCCAATTTGGGGAAAGGGGACCATTACAACTTTCAAGTTAGATGTGATGCCTTGAAATATCACATGAAATATTACGGGCAGGGCCAAGATGGCCAATTCAAAGCAGCGGTGTTCAGAGGCTCCCATTGGAAAAAAACATAATAAGCATGTGAATCCTTCACCAGCAGCCAAGGCATCCAGGTTCTCTCATCAAAATTGACTAGAAGGCTGGTGTGTCCCACAGAAGGAAGGGCATGTGGCGCAGCAACCCACTTGAGAGCCACACGGGGAAGGGGAACCCCCCTCCCCCAAGCTAAGGGAGGCGGTGAGTGAACACGCTATCCAGCTGGGGAAACTGCTTTTCCCATGGAACTGTGCAACCCACGGATCAGAAGATCCCACTTGCAGACCCAGGCCAGTGGGGCCTAGCATCCTAACCCCGGAATGTGCAGATGTGCAGATTCTTACAGCCTCTCAGCTGGAATCTGCTTAAGCCTACCGAATTCCCAGGGGAAGGGGTGACCAGCACTGGCTATGGCTGCCTGCTATTTGGCTCCTTGTGGGAGGGGCAGCAGCTAGCACTGGGACTAGCAACTGCCTAACACGCTAAGCTCTCTGGGTAGGGGAAGGGCAGCACCCATTTCTATAACTCCAGGCTGCATTTTTCCCCTGCTGGAGCCAGGAAGGCTAGACGGCTTGGTCCCAAGACTTGTCCCCACAGCCCAACACACCGGCTGTGG
Organism: Homo sapiens; assembly: GCF_000001405.40. Taxonomy (NCBI): domain Eukaryota; kingdom Metazoa; phylum Chordata; class Mammalia; order Primates; family Hominidae; genus Homo; species Homo sapiens. The sequence continues at coordinate 37,743,649 of NC_000005.10, forward strand.
CAGTCTGTGGCCAGAGTGCCTCTTCAGGTCTAACCCTGACCTATTCTTCCTCAGTGGTCATGGCTTCCCTGCATGATCTCCAATAACTCCAGCCAGAGGCTCAGGGACAGAATTGGGATCTCCCTGGGCCTGAGCCCCTAGCAGGAGGGGTGGCCTTAGTCTTTGCAGACCAACAGACTTTGCCTTTTCTCCTGGTAGTTCTGAGGAATCCGGGCAGCCCAGACGAGTGGGTTTCCCCCCAGCAAAACACACCCTCTCCACCAAGGGACAAAGTGCTTCGTTAAATGGGTCCTGCTCCCCATGCCACCCAACTGGGTGAGACCCTCCAACAGAGATTGTCAGACGCCCTATACAAGAGCAATTCTACTGGCATCAGGTTGGTGCCCCTCGAGGTTAGAGGTCCCAGAAGAAGGAGGAGGCACCCACCTTGGCTGCCCTCCAGCCTCCTTGAGTGACATCTCCAGGCATGGGAGCGAATCAGATGAATGGAGCCTGAAGTGAACCCCCAGCAAACTGCAGCAGCTCTAGAGAAGAGTAGCCCTGATTATTGAAAGAAAAACAAGCAGAAAGTAACAACAACAGCATCAACAACAACAAAAAGGCCCCACAAAAACCCCATCCAAGGGTCAGTAGCCTCGAAGACCAAAACTAGACAAACTCATGAAGATGAAAAAGAGTCAACAAAAAAATGCTGAAAACCCACAAGGCCAGAGTGCCTCTTCTCCTCCAAATGATTGCATCGTCTCTCCATTAAGGGCACAGAACTGGATGGAGGATCAGAGGGACAAATTGACAGAGGTAGGCTTCAGAAAATGGGTAATAAAAAGCTATGATGAGCTAAAGGAGCGTGTCCTTACCCAATGCAAAGAAGCTAAGAAGCTTGATAAAATGTTGGAGGAGGAATTGCTAAACTAGAATAACCAGTTTAGAGAGGAACATAAATGACCTGATGGAGCTGAAAAACACAGCACAAGAACTTTGTGAAGCATACACAAGTATCAACAGCCAAATCAACCAAGCAGAAGAAAGGATATCAGAGTTTGAAGCCCACCTTACTGAAATAAGACATGCAGACAAGAATAGAGAAAAAAGAATGAAAAGGAATGAGCAAAGCCTCCAAGAAATATGGGACTTCATTAAAAAAACGAACCTATGATTGATTGGAGTACCAGAAGAAGATGGAGAGAATGGAAACAAGCTGGAAAACACACTTCAGGATATTTTCCAGGAGAACTTCCCCAACCTAGCAAGACAGGCCAACATGCAAATTCAGGAAATACAGAGAACACCACTAAGATATTCCAAGAGAAGATCAACCCCAAGACCCTTAATCATTGGATTCTCCAAGGTCGAACTGTTAAGGGCAGCCAGAGAGAAAGGCCAGGTCACCTACAAAGGGAAGCCCATCAGACCAACAGCAGACTTCTCAGCAGAACCTCTACAAGCCAGAAGAGATTGCGGGCCAATATCCAACATTCTTAAAGGAAAGAATTTTCAACCCAGAATTTCATATCCAGCCAAACTAATAAGCTTCATAAGCGAAGGAGAAATAAAATCCTTTCCAGACAAGCAAATGCTGAGGGATTTTGTTACCACGAGGCCTGCACTGCAAGAGCTCCTGAAAGAAGCACTAAATATGGAAAGGAAAAACCAATACCAGCCACTGCAAAAACACACCAAAATATAAAAACCACTGACACTACGAAGAAACTGCATCTAGTGTGCAAAGTAACCAAATAGCATCATGACAACAGGATTGAATTCACACATAACAATACTAACCTTAAATGTAAATGGGCTAAATGTCCCAATTAAAAGATAGACACAGACTGGCAAATTGGATAAGGAGTTAAGACCCATTGGTGTGCTGTATTCAGGAGCCCCATCTTATGTGCAAAGACACACACAGGCTCAAAATAAAGGGATGGAGGAAAATCTACCAAGTAAATGGAAAGCAAAAAAAAAATGGGAGTTGCAATTCTAGTCTCTGACAAAGCAGACTTTAAACCAACAAAGATCAAAAAAGGCAAAGAAGGGCATTGCATAATGGTAAAGGGAACAATTCAACAAGAAGAGCTAACTATTCTGAATATATATGTATCCAATACAGGAGCACCCACATTCATAAAACAAGTTCTTAGGGACCTACAAAGAGACTTAGACTCCCACACATTAATAGTGGGAGACTCTAACACTCCACTGTCAGTGTTAGATCAACGAGACAGAAAATTAACAAGGAAATTCAGGACTTGAACTCAGCTCTCGATCAAATGGACCTAGTAGACGTCTACAGAACTCTCTACCCCAAATCAGCAGAATATACATTCTTCTCATTTCCACATGGCACTTATTCTAAAATCGACCACATAATTGGAAGTAAAACGCTCCTCAGCAAATGCAAAATAACTGAAATAATAACAAACAGCCTCTCAGACCTCAGTGCGGTCAAATTAGAACTCACAATTAAGAAACTCACTCAAAAACCACACAATTTCATGGAAATTGAATAACCTGCTCCTTATTGACTCCTGGATAGATAGTGAAATTAAGGCAGAAATAAAGAAGTTCTTTGAAACCAATGAGAACAAAGAGACAATGTTCCAGAATTTCTGAGATATAGCTAAAGCAGTATTAAGAGGGAAATTTCTAGCACTAAATGCCCACATTAGAAAGCTAGAAAGATCTCAAAACGACACCCTAACATCACAATTAAAAGAGCTAGAGCGGCAAGAGCAGACTAATCCAAAAGCTAGCAGAAGACAAGAAATAACTAAGAGAAGAATTGAAGGAGATAGAGACATGAAAAACCCTCCAAAAAAATCAACAAATCCAGGAGCTGGTGTTTTGAAAACATTAACAAAATAGATAAACTGCTAGCTAGACTAATAAGAAGAGAGAGAAGAATCAAATAGATGCAATAAAAAATAATAAAAGGGATATCACCACTGACCCCACAGAAATACAAACTACCATCAGAGAATACTATGAACACCTCTGAGCAAATAAACTAGAAAATCTAGAAGAAATGGACAAATTCCTGGACACATACACCCTCCCAAGACTAACCCAGGAAAAAGTTGAATCCCTGAATAGACCAATAACAAGTTCTGAAATTGAGGCAGTAATTAATAGCCTATCAACTAGAAAAAGCCCACAACCAGATGATTCACAGCCAAATTCTACCGGAAGTACAAAGAGAAGCTGGTACCATTCCTTCTGAAACTATTCCAAACAATTGAAAAGGAGGGACTCCTCCCTAACTCATTTTATGAAGCCAGCATCATCTTGATACCAAAACCAGGAAGAGAAACACACACAAAAAAGAAAACTTCAGGCCAATGTCCCTGATGAACATTGATGCAAAAATCCTCAATAAAATACTGCCAAACCGAACCCAGCAGCACATCAAAAAACTTAATCCATGTCATCAAGTCAGCTTCATCCCTGGGATGCAAGGCTGGTTCAACATACGTAAATCAATAAACATAATCCATCACATAAACAGATCCAAAGACAAAAACCAAAAACATATTTACAAGAAAAAAACAAAAAAGTGGGCAAAACATATCAACAGACACTTCTCAAAAGAAGACATTTACGTGGCCAACAAACGTATGAAAAGAAGCTCAACATCACTGATCATCAGAGAAATGCAAATAAAACCACGAGATACCATCTCACACCAGTCAGAATGATGATTATTAAAAAGTCAGGAAGAATAAATGCTGGGAGGCTGTGGAAAAATAGGAACACTTTGATTATCTCAGTAGATGCAGAAAAGGCCTTAGATAAAATTCAACACCCCTTCATTTTAAAAACTGTCAATAAGCTAGGTATTGATGGAACATATCTCAAAATAATAAGAGCTATTTATGACAAACCCACAGCCAATATTACATTGAATGGGCAAAAGCTGAAAGCATTCCCTTTGAAAACTGATACAAGACAAGGATGCCCTCTCTCACCACTCCTATTCAACGTAGTATTGGAAATTCTGGCTGGGGCAATCAGGCAAGAGGTATTCAGATAGGAAGAGAGGAAGTCAAGTTGTCTCTGTTTGCAGATGACATGATTTTATATTTAGAAAACCTCATCATCTGAACCTAAAAACTTCTTGAACTGATAAGCAACTTCAGCAAAGTCTCAAGATACAAAATCATTGTGCAAAAATCACAAGTATTCCTTTACACCAACAGTAGACAAGCAGAGAGTCAAATCATGAATGAACTCCCATTCACAGTCACTACAAAGAGAATAAAATACCTAGGAATACAGCTAACAAGGGATGTGAAGAACCTCTTCAAGGAGAACTACAAACCACTGATCAAGGAAATATGAGAGGACACAAACAAATGGAAAAACATTCAATCCTCATGAATAGGAAGAATCAGTATGGTGAAAATGGCCATACTACCCAAAGTAATTTATAGATTCAATGCTATTGCCATCAAACTACTGTTGACATTCTTCACAGAATTAGAAAAAACTATTTTAAATTTCATATGGAATCAAAGAAGAACCCCGTATAGCCAAGACAATCCTAAGCAAAAAGAACAAAGCTAGAGGCATCACGTTACCTGACTTTAAACATACTACAAGGTTACAGTAACCAAAACAGCCATATAGACCAATGAAGCAGAACAGAGTCCTCAGAAACCTACACATCTACAACCATCTGATCTTCGACAAACCTGACAAAGACAAGCAATGGGGAAAGGATCTCCTATTCAGTAAATGGTGCTGGGAAAACTGGCTAGCCATATGCAGAAAGCTGAAACTGGACCCCTTCCTTATACCTTATACAAGAATTAACTCAAGATGGATTAAAGACTTAAATGTAAAATTCCAAACCATAAAAACCCTAGAAGAAAACCCAGGCAAGACCATTCCTAGGACATAGGCATGGGCAAAGACTTCATGACAAAAATGCCAAGAGCTATTGTAACAAAAGCTAAAATTGACAAATGGGATCTAATTAAACTTAGAGAGCTTCTGCACAGCAAAAGAAACTATCATCAGAGTGAACAGGCAACCTACAGAATGGGAGAAAATTTTTGCAATCTACCGATCTGACAAAGGTCTAATATCCAGAATTTACAAGGAACTTAAACATATTTACAAGAAGAAAACCCATCAAAAAGTGGGCAAAGGATATGAACAGACACTTCTAAAAAGAAGTCGTTTATGCGGCCAAGAAACATGAAAAAAAGCTCAACATCACTGATCACCAGAGAAATGCAAATCAAAACCACAATGAGATACCACCTCACGCCAGTGAGAATGGTGATTATTAAAAAGTCAGGAAACAATAGATGCTGGCAAGGCTGTGGAGAAATAGGAACACTTTTATACTGTTGGTGGGAATGTAAATTAGTTCAACCATTGAGGTAGACAGTATGGCGATTCCTCAAGGATCTAGAACCAGAAATACCATTTGACCCAGCAATCCCATTACTGGGTATATACCCAAAGGCATATAAATCATCCTGCTCTAAAGACACATGCACACGTATGTTTATTGCAGCACTGTTTACAGTAGCAAAGACATGGAACTAACCCAAATGCCCGTCAGTGATAGACTGGATAAAGAAGTATAGTATTCCATGTGGAATACTATACAGTCATAAAAAGGAATGAGATCTGTCCTTTGCAGGGACATGGATGAAGCTGGAAGCCATCATCCTCAGCAAACTACACAGTAACAGAAAACCAAACGCCTCATGTTCTCACTCATAAGTGGGAGTTGAACATTGAGAACACAGAGAGGGGAACACCACACACCAGGGCCTTTTGGACGTTGGGGTGTGAGGGAAAGGAACTTAGAGGACAGGTCATGCAGCAAACCACATGGCACATGTATACTGATGTAATGAACCTGCACATTCTGCACATGTATCCTGTTTTTTTTTAAGAAGAAAAAAAATATTATGCATACGTATAATGTGGCCATTTTGCTGGCAACATTATGATTAGTTCAAAAGTAGAAATTAAATGTCATGGAGTTTTGCAAAAAGGACTATGATGTTTAACTGTCTTACCTTCCAAACAACTTAATATTCCCTACATTTTAATTCCTAGTGGGGACCAAGGAAACTGTTGTGATCTAGTGATTAGAAATGACAGTTGAAGTGACCCTGATGCAAACATTTACTCAATGAATTAACTGAGTTCAATACTAGGTGAAAAAAAAAACCAAAAACGCAGTATCTCCTTTGAAAAACAAATATTTGTCCTTTTTCTTTTCTCATGGCTGCTAGGAAATTCAGTGCTAAGTTTAATGCTCAATTACCCTTTCATTCCTTGGTTCTTTATTTTCTACCAATTTGTTTTGTTTTTAGTTTCTTTACAAATCAACTTTATTGAGGTACAATTTACATACAATAAAATACAAAATGTACCCATTTCAAGTTTTGACAAATGCATACACCTGTTAATCACCATTTCTGTCAAGATTATAGAACATTTCCATCCCACCAAAACATCCTCTCATGCCTCTTTCTAGCTGTTGTTATGTAGTTTTGTTGATTCTGTGCCCTTTGATGTTAGCCATCAACCTCCTACGGATACTTTTGGAAGGTGGAATATTAAAAAGACTAATATCTTGGCTGGGCGTGGTGACTCATGCCTGTAATCCCAGCACTTTGGGAGGCCAGGATGGGTAGATTGCTTGAGGCCAGGCACTTGAGACCAGCCTGGGCAACATGAGCAAGACCATGTCTCTGCAAAAAAATAAAAAAATTAATCAGACATGGTGGTGCACATCTGCAGTCCTAGCTACTGGGGAGGCTGAGGCAGGAGGATCACTTGAGCCCGGAAGTTCAGTTACAGTGAGCTATGATTGTGCCACTGCACTCTAGCCTAGGTGACAGAGAAAGACCCTGTCTCTAAAAAAAGAGTGATATGGTTTGGCTGTGTCCCCACCCAAATCTCATCTTGAATTGTAGCTCCCATAATTGTCACATCATGGGAAGGACCTAGTGGGAAGTAATTTCCCATGCTGTTGTTGTGATACTGAATCTCACAAGATCTGATGGTTTTACAAAGGACAGTTCCCCTGCACACACTCTCTTGTCTGCTGCCATGTAAGACATAACTTTGCTTCTCATTTGCCTTACACCATGGTTGTTAGGCCTCCCCAGGCAGGTGTAACTGTGAGTCCATTAGACCTCTTTTATAAATTACCTAGTCTCAGATATGTCTTTATTAGCAGCGTGAGAACAGTCTAATACAGAGAATAACACCTTAAATGAAATAACCTTTTTGGACTCTACATTTCTTCCTGTAATTTGCCATTTAATTTCCTTTTTTATATACAAGAAACTAGCATTGCAATTTCTTAGTACTTAAATCTCATTACAACTAACATTGATGAGCTGGTGTCCTACGAAGCATTTTCAGATATCCTTGGAAGACCTTGTTCCTTTTTTTCCCCCTGAGAAGTTAAATATCTAATTCAAAGGATTTTTTAACCTGGACAAATTTGTTCTTGAACAGGTTTATCCATACCTAACTGGTCAGCATCTTTGCCAGAAGATGAAATATGTAATAAGCACCAATTGCCTTGTTGTAGCATGTTAGAAAGCCAGTTAGGAATTCAGCAACTTATGGCCTATCAAAACCTGTAGCTGCTTTTCGAAATTTAAGAGCTGTGACCTGTTTATAGATATCATAACAGTGTCTTAAAGTGACAACAAGAAGTTTAACCAACTGGGTTGTGTATGGGGACAGCTTAGGCTCTAGGTAGGTGTGTGAGGTAACTGGAGAGACAGGAATAATGATCAACTTATTCACGAGCAATTCTAGTACATGACTCATGTCAGACAACATCAGCATGAGTTGTGGATGGTTTATGCTTTTTCCCCAGGATAATAAAAAAGCAGCAAGAGGGAATATAAAGTTTATCCTGGTTTTCTTGCCAAATAAAAGGAATTATAGTTGTCATTATTTTTACCATTCTGGAATTACGTGGATATAATGATTCTAAATGAAAATACAAGCCGAAATATATAACCTGCAGATGTGCTTTAATGTTTCTTCATAATGCGATAGAGCTGTTTTTTAAAATAAAATCAGAGTAGCATGACCAAAAGGGGCAGACATTATAACCACTTGACATTTTCTTGGAGATATTTCTTATGTGAGTAGTGTGAAAAGGGATGTCATTGAACCGGTATGTTTACGAAGCACAGAAAGTCTTTGTGCAGATTGCTTGAGGTGTGTGGCAGTATTACAGCCATGTATCAGTGATGTATCCTAAAATGCTTGGCATTTCCATGCATTGGGCTGAGTGTAGGAATGCGGGGGATATTCGTTTTCTTTGGTTTTTATTTTTGCAGGCTCAAATTCATTAGATAAGAAAACAAACTCATATTTTCCCATTTATGTGTACTATAAACACATATTTACACTACTGAAGCCTAGGGACAACCCAGAGAGCTTAATAAATGGTCTTAATAAAGATCATGTAGATTCTTGCTTGGTGACTGTAGTTCGTTCTTCCATACGGTCCCAGTTACCCAGAGTTTCAGGTGGAGGGTGGTTAGGATGGGTGAAGTTCCACTGAATTTGATGCATTTTCATTTTATTTAAGGAAAGAACAGTGTGTATGTACAGTCTGCCACAGAGGGTAAATCTTTAAAAGAATCTTTTGCTCTTTTCCTGAACATAATTAAATTTCCATTATCTTTTTCTTTGCCAGAAGTTTAATGATTTATATTTAATAATTGAGTTGTAATTTATTCCCCACATTTGCTCCCACTTGATGAAGGAAGCAAAATCTAATGTAACAAATACTTTCTGACTAAATTTTTCCTTCTCTTCTTTAACTTTTCTTTTAGGACTCAGCCCAAAACCATGTTTGCCCAAGTTGAATCTGATGATGAGGAAGCAAAGAATGAGCCAGAATGGAAAAAACGTAAAATTTGAAGAATCTCATTTGAGAGCTGTTTGCATGAGTGGGAGGGGTATGGGACAGGTTTGGGTTTTTTTTTTATGCTCATGAAATTAAAAATTCATTTTTATGAACAGGTTTTGTCCTTTGCATTATTGAACTGGTCAAAAGTTTGGTGGCTAGGCTTCACTAAAATTGTGCTTAAATTTTCTTACCTGCAACTATTAAACTGATTACAGATAAACAAGAAACAGATTCTTAGTCTATTACCAAGTACTTTAGGTATTTGGAAACTTTATTCAACAATTATTGGTCTTGTCCAGATTCTCATAACCTTAGAGAGGAAAATGTACATTAAGATGTGCATCTGTCTCTAGCAATTCTAGGAACATAATATAGAAATAGAGATCAAAAAGTTTAATGTTTCTGTATAATTTCACAACAGTTGTTTACATGACTGTAATTAATTAGGCTGAGTTCAAACCAAATACATTGCCATACTGGGAAAGAGCATTATCTCATTATCCTTCAATAGCAGAATACAGTGGTTAAGAGTTAGGAGTGGGCTTTGAAGTCAGACTCATGTGGATTCAAGTCCTGGCTTTGCTCTTTACTTCTGGGTCATCTTAAGAGAGTTATTTAACTTTTCTTTTCTAGCCTCAGATGATGAAATAGTACGTACTTTGCAGGTTCGTCAGAAGAATTAAATGGGACATGCCTCACAGAGCATTTAGTACAGTACCTGGAACACAGTAAATGTATACCAAATATTTGCTATTTTAAAATAGGGCTAATATTTACTTTGCTTGGTTTTTATCAGTATTAAATTAGAAAGGTATAGAATTGCTTTGTAAATGTAAAGACTAAACAGAAGACATTAAAAATTATTCTAAAAAATCATTGTGCTTTAGTGACTAAAAAACTAAAACAAAAGTTGGCAGTTTGTCCAAAATAATAATGCATCAATAGAATAAATTCTGTGCATTGGTTTCACACAGACATGGGGTAGTTTTTGCATGTTAAATAGTCCCCTCTAGACAGGTTTTTTAGGACTTGCCTTCTCCCCTCCTGCTCTCATTTGTTCTAGTGATTTCAATAATTATAAAAATGCATGATGATCCCAAAAGTATATCAGAAAACTCCTGGTTTTACAGGCTTCACGTACCCACACCTGCTTCCCAAAAAATATTTTTAAAGAATCACTTGTACTCACACAGCTCCCTTGTCTCTACAGATTCTGAGGTGGCAGTGGGCATTCTTTTATAGATAAATCCTTAAAACTTCATTCTCATACACTTTCTCAGTCCTTCCTTCCTACCCCCATCCTCATCCTATTCCCCTTCTCTTGTGACTCAGACTATAGGTAATAGGTAAAAAGAAAAGAACTAACATTTGCTGAGTGTCTGCTACATAATGAGTACTATCCCAAGCCCTTTACTTGTGTTAGCTGATTTAATCCTCACAAAAACCCTATGAGTAGGTAAAATTGCTAAACCCATTTTCCAGATGAGGCAAAAGAGATTCAACATGTCAAATCATATGTCTGAGGTCACAGCCAGAGAGGGCTGCATGACAGCACCCAAGATCTCTAAACATCAGTAATTAACAAATAGCCCCAAGTTTTCTGTTCCTTTTGAAAAACACTTCATTCAGAATCAATTACAGACCAATATTTTGTTCCAGCTGCTTAGAATGTATAAATTTATTACTTCTTGAATAAAATTTACTGAAAGCATCTCACATTTTCCCCCATCTTAACATAAACATTGCACCATATGGAAGTATTCGTCTTGTACAGCCAAAAGTTGCAGTGGAGGGTTGGAGGAGGAATAAAAACTTGATCATAGTGGTCTTGGCGGAGTCAGCTATGATGTAAGGGAAGAGAAAGGCAAATTTCGCACGAAGATGATTTTCTCATCGTTACCCACAACACAAGTGGGCCTTTTCATATTTAAGAGGATCTGTCTCACTGTAGAGAGTTTTATAAAGAATTATTTTTTCCACAGAAGATTGGCAACATGCACATACGGATTTCAATTTCAAATTTGGTAAGGGAGGAGTTTAGAACCAGGAATGGACAAATAGTGTGTGTTCATTTGACCTGCAGTCCTGTCACCAGAGTGGGCATCAACAGTTATTTATCTTACAGTCCCTCACACTCCCCATGTCCCTCAGGCCTCGTTATCTTCCCCCATGCAACCTTGTATTTGGTCGCCTTCATTTCTAGTTGCTCGAAGGAACTGGCAGTCATCCTAATGACTCCTCCCTCACCCCCCACTCCCACCCATTTAATTATTTGCCAGTTTCTTCCCATGCTGTCTTCTGAATCTCTCATATTTGCCCTTCCTCTCTTTCCCTACCACCCCTCTAGAATTTAGACCCTCTTTTAGCCTTCACCAGCACCACTCAGGAGCCTCCTGCCCAAATGATCTTCCTGTTTTTCATTAGGTCCTCATCTAACCCATCTTTCATTCTGTCATCAGAGTTGGCCTTCTAAAGTCAAAATCTGTCATTTCATTCTTTTGCCTAGAGCCTTCCAGAAGCTCTATGTCAGTACTCATGCGTTTATGTGGCAATTGAGGACATCCAGGATTCGGCCTTTCCCTGTGTTTCATGCTGTAACTCCTGCTGATCTGGCACATGCTTCTGAGGCTCAGCCACTACTATGTTCTTTGGCACCTGAATGGCTTTGCACATGTTGTCCCCTCTTCCACCCTTGTCTGCTTGGAAAATTCCTATTTGATTTTGGAAACAGGAATCAATTTCACCTTCCCAGGCAGACAGTCTCCGCTTCGATAGTTGCTTACATATCTCTCAATTATAGCCTCCTTTTATGTTGCGTTATGATTGTATACACATGAATGGCTTGTGGGCCAGTGGTGTGTGCCCATGTGTGTACATGCATGTTTCCTCACTAGGGTGTAGATTGTAAAAACTAAAGAGCATTGGGTTCAGTAAATATTCAGTAAGTTTGTTTAATAAATTAGAGGAGCCATGTTCTATTCACATTTGTATTCCTAGACCCTAGCCCTGAGAAAGGGTTTAAAAAGAGGCGTATTCAATCTTTGGCAGAGGGAGGGAATGAAACAGGCAAGGATGAAGAATGGATGGGAAAAGAATGAGGTGTGAGAAGTGCTTCTGCCTCGCAGATGGAAAGGAGGATCGTTAGTACTGAAGGTTGGTCTGCATCCAGGCTGCTTTACCTCTTCTCTGTGGGGATTTATTCACAGCTAACTGTGATGGCTCAAGGAGGAGGCAGGATTATCTGTGCTATTCCTGGCAGGGCACAGCAAGTTCTAAGCCACCATGACATCCTCAGGTACTTGCCTCCTGTCCTGTTGGACTTGATACTGGGAAGGTCATGTGACCCTGACTTACCAAAGATCTGAGAGATGTCTAGCATGGGGATTCTTAACCTAGGCGGGATGTCTGTGAACTCCCTCAAATTTTATGCAGCATGCTTTGCTTATACTCGTACATTTTTCTGTGGAGAGAATCCATAAATTAGACTCAATTCGAGGATACTGGGTACAGCTAGTAATTCCTTCATCTCCCAGGATAACTGTCTAAAATTGGGCCATTCATACTTGAAAACCAGGACATAACTCTCACACATTCACACACACACAGTACCAAATAAAACCAACCCAACTAAAACCTTTCATACACTGTCTACCATTTAATCTTAGGCAATCAGTCATATTGCTTTGTAGTCAGACCTTAGTATTTATTCTTTGAAAGATTATGGCTTTCTGTCCCATTAAAAAAACAAGAGGTCAGCTTCACAGCCATATGAAGGCAGAAAAAAAAGTGTGAGCATTTTTCTTAATGTGATCTAAGAACAAATATGAGACTTGAGCCAACTTGAGACAAGCTTTAAAGAATCAACATGACTATCTCAGGCATGAGATAGTGTTTAATAATCAGTGAGTCAGATGGGGCAGGAGAAAGGCAAGGTGTACAGGTACACAAACAGCCTGGGTCAGTAGCCCCCCAGAGGTGATATGCCTCATTCATTTGTGAGACTTATTGTGAAGAGATCAAGAAGTTGGAGAGGGTTGTTTACAGACACATTTTGAAAACCATCTTTCTGGAATAAGGCACATGTAACTTTAATTTTTGATTAATACCCTCACCAAAGAAGAGAGAGGAGGACCAGGCCATGGGAGAAGTGCCTGAAGACAGGAGATCTTTGTGTGTGGGGTGTGCGTGTGTTGAAGTATGTAGCTGCAGGAGGAACTTTCAGGGCAAAGAGTGGAGAAACTGCCATTCTAAGTAGTTTTCTGAATTATCAGTTTATACTACTGTCTTCACATTTTTTAATAAAAGCATTTTAAAAGATACTTCACCTGCCCCCAGTAGTAATAATACTCTAATGAAACTTTTGGAAATGCTTATTTTTAATGGTAGATTAAAAATAGCCACCGGGCGCGGTGGCTCACGCCTGTAATCCCAGCACTTTGGGAGGCCGAGGCGGGTGGATCACGAGGTCAGGAGATCGAGACCATCCTGGCTAACACGGTGAAACCCCGTCTCTAATAAAAATACAAAAAATTAGCCGGACGTCGTGGCGGGTGCCTGTAGTCCCAGCTACTCGGGAGGCTGAGGCAGGAGAATGGCGTGAACCCGGGAGGCGGAGCTTGCAGTGAGCCAAGATCGCGCCACTGCACTCCAGCCTGGGCAACAGAGCGAGACTCCGTCTCAAAAAAAAAAAAAAAAAAAAAATAGCCACAAGCTCATTGACACTTCTCTCCCCTTAAATCTGAGCAGGCTTGGTGACATCTAGACCAACAGAACATGGCAGAAATGATGTTTTTCAAGTCACCAGGCCCAGACCTTAAGAGAATTGCACCTCCTTTCTTTCTCTTGGGACACTTGTTCTTGAATCCTGGCTGCCATGCTATGAGGAAGCCCAAGCAGCCCCATGGAGAGGCCCACTTGGAGAGGAATTAAGGCCCCTAGCCAACAACCCCAAAAGAGCTCCCACAGCTGTCAGCTGGAAGCAACATGTTATTGAGCCATCTTGGAAAACAGATCCTTCAGTTACAGTTGAGTCACATCAGCTCTTGTCACATGAAGCAGAGATGAGCCAATCCCAACAGTGCCCTGCCCAAACTGTGGATTAATGAACAAAATAAATGATTATTGTCATTTGAAGCTACTAAGTTGTGGGATTGTTTATTATACAGAAATGTGTAACTGCAACAACTTAAAAGATAAAATTATTCAACCATTCAATTTGTGCTAATTCAAATATTAGCACAAACAGTACTAATATTTTGATGAATTACCTTCAATTTTTTTCTTTTTTATATAGTTTTCAGATTTATTTTCTCTTCTCAAAAATAGAATTATTATATTTATGAACAATGTGTATTTTTCACTTATAAAATAAGCATGCAAATTTTCCATAATATAAACCTCATATATAATCTTAGTAGCTACATAGTAGCTCATTATATACATATATATTCTAAACTATTATCCTATTGGAAATACAGATTATTTTCAAATTTGCTATTATAAGCAATGCTGCTTTGGATAGTTTATGTTGAATTCTTTTCTTAGAATTGGTAAGTAACCCAAAATGGAATTATGCGGGGTCAAAAAGTATGACTCATTTGTTAGATAGGGCCATTGCAATCCTGATTATCAGTAGGTGCCCAATTGGAGAGGACAAAGATGATTCTGGGAAATATTTCTAGTTTACTGGGTTGAACAGTGTTCCCTTAAATTCATGTCCACTGTTAAAAAGCTTAGCTGAATTAAAAGAGTTTAATTGAGCAAAGAATGATTCATTAATCGTGCAGCCTCCCAAGCCAGAGTAGGCTTAGGAACTCCAGCGCAGCCATGTGGTAGAAGATTTATAGACAGGAAAAGGAAAGTAATGCACAGAAAATGGAAATGTACAGAAACAGCCGGATTGGTTATAGCTTGGTGAATGCCCTATTTGAACACAGGTTGAAGAGTTGGACATCTTTGGCCAAAACTTGGTGATTTGTACAAGAGTAGGCTACAGTCTGTATACAACTCCATATAGGTTATAGTTCATGATGTACAGAGAAATCTTTAGGCTGAACTTAAAATACGTAAGGAGGCAGCTTTAGGCTAAACTGGATTTAACCATTCCCTCCATTTGGTAACCCTCTCAATTTTGAGAGATTCACCAAAACTTTAGTCATTGATGTCCCTATCACCATTGTAAATGTACTTATTTGGTCTTGAAACCCACTGAGAAATAGCACAACAGTAGGTTGTGTAAGGCGAAAACAAAGACCTGAGGTTATTATTATTTTTTTTTTGTAAGGGTTAAAGTAGAGGGTACCTCCTTATGCTGGAACTTTCTGTTTACAGGAGAAAAACAAAACCCACCTGTTCTAGGATCTATGTGTTTCCTGAAGTCTTAGTTTGATTATGTCACATTTGGCATGAGTGACTCCATTTTAGTTTGGTCTGGTCTGTTGGGGCTTAGAGCATGAGCCCAGTCCAAAACAATGGCCTCCCATAACTTTGTTTAAAAATTACCCCCTTCTGGTCAGGTTCTCATATAAGAGTGTGACCCAAATTTAAGGCCTTAATGTCACTCTCAGTTATTTTTTTTTAATTTTTATTTTTTTTAGGCTGGGCGTGGTGGCTCACGCCTGTAATCCCAGCACTTTGGGAGGCCGAGGCGGGCGGATCACGAGGTCAGGAGTTCGAGACCAGCAGCCTGGCCAACATAGTGAAATCTTGTCTCTACTAAAAATTAGTCAGGCGTGGTGGCAGGCGCCTCTAGTCGCAGCTGCCTGGGAGGCTGAGGCAGGAGAATTGCTTGAACCCGGGAGGCAGAAGGTGCGGTGAGCTGCCGAGATCACGCCACTGCACTCCAGCCTGGGCAACAAGAGTGAAACTCCATCTCAAAAAAAAAAAAAATTATTTTTTGAGACGAAGTCTCACTCTGTCACCCAGGCTGGAGTGCAGTGGCATGATCTCGGCTCACTGCAACCTCTGGCTCCCGGGTTCAAGCAATTCCCTGCCTCAGTCTCCCATGTAGCTGGGATTACAGGCGCCTGCCACCATGCCTAGCTAATTTTTGTA
Source organism: Homo sapiens (assembly GCF_000001405.40). NCBI lineage: Eukaryota > Metazoa > Chordata > Mammalia > Primates > Hominidae > Homo > Homo sapiens. The sequence continues at coordinate 37,759,616 of NC_000005.10, forward strand.
CTTTTAGTAACGATGGGGTTTCACCATCTTGGCCAGGCTGGTCTTGAACTCCTGACCTCATGATCCACCTGCCTCGGCCTCCTAAAGTGCTGGGATTACAGGTGTGAGCCACCGCGCCCAGCCCACTCTCAGTTATTGTACCATCATTTTGGGTTTCCTGTCTCAGCACGTAATTCATAGTTTATGATGTCCTCATGGTCACACATTTCTTTTAGCTCTTATCCAGTTGAAGAAAGATCATTTGACATTCTAAAGATGTCTGCATGCAAACATTTAGAACTGTTGAGAGAATACAGCACACCAGGGAGACTATTATGACTATGAGGAGGACAATACCAAGAGTTTGCAGTATGCGCCTTAGCCAGTGTCCCCATAAAGCAAACCACCTAAAATCAAATAAAGAAGGAGCTAGATAAATAATCTACTCACTTTAAGCAGTCTCTTTGTTAATCCCCTACCACTGAACTTCTATAATACCTGATGTGATGTGTTTCTCCATGGGCAACAAGAAGTGCCAGCAGCTGCACAGATATTTCTCTGTTTAGCCAATAAGTAATGTAGAGCAATTATATTATTTAGCATAACTTTCACAAGATAACCTAAAGTCCATTGTGTAACCACAGCCTTTACAGTAGAATCTGCCATAGAGCCTATCATGAGGGCTAAATTTCTAGTTATTGCCCCATTTACTCCAAACCATGAAAAAAACCACCTAACAAATGATGTCTTTCTAGAGCAGTGAAGACCTCCTGGCAATGTTCTCTTTAACCTATGATGTAGGTTAAGAGGAGTGGACCAATGTTCTGTTTCTGACTGATTATGAGGCAATGTCTGTACCCTTAAAATTTCTCACCTACATTGGACCTTCCATCTGTCTAGACATAAGGTTATCCATATAGAAGGCTGGCTGCAAAATCCTTCCCAAGAAAAATTATGCCCCACGAGTGCACACAACAGACCCCCTTTTCACTTCTATTGTTTGCAGAGGCCTAAGCAAGAGGGAAAAACGGAAAGATAAGAGTCTCATGATAGTAGAGAAATCTTGATCTGTGATCTTGGGAAAAAGCTGTCTACATAAAGGATGCCATCTTCTTCTGGGGAGAAACTTCCCTGGTTAGCTTTACTTTAAGGATTCCAGTGGGTGTATAGTTCCAAGAGTGTAGAGGGACCCCTCTGACTTGTGAGATTGTGAACCCAAGGTTCAAGGTCCTGAAGTTTTGCTACTGTGTGGATGGCAAGGGCAGTCTTTCTCTGATGTTCTCAGGAGATCCAATCTTTGCATTCTAGATTGTGAAGGTGTTGATTGTCTTCAGTCAGTGAAGCATGAAAAGATTTCTTTACCTGGTGAAAATACACTGTTGCATAATGAGCTAGTGTATAACATCAACCCTCTTGCATGGGAAAGCTTTTATACAACCAGAAAACATGCATTGAAAATGACAATTGAATGAAATCCCTCTATAAATGTTTAAATGGCCCATCAGGGAGCAGAATGTACCTGAAGTTTTGAATGTCTTCCTAGGAATATGGGTTTGACAATCAGGTAGCAAAATATATCTGAAGTTTTGATTGTCTTCCCAGGAATGTGGGTTTGACAAACCAAACACTGGTCATAAACTATTTTGACAATTTAGAAATCATCACACCGATACATATATTTAATTTGGATTACTTTATCTTTTCCATGATGAGTCATGGAATGCAGAATTTTTAATGACAAAAGCTTTAAGGACTCAGGAAGGATAAGGCAGTCATCCTGGTTCTCCATGAGTCCATCCTTAACATTGAACTTATGTCTTCTTGAATACCAGTTGTTTCTCCAATTTAGGTGCATAGCACTGATAACCGATGGGTTATCATGAGTAATTTGACTTAGACCATGGAGTTCATTCAAAATGTATATCTAAACATTTTCAGTATTGGCTGATTTAGCATGAAAATCTGGCAAAGTATTTCCTTGGTATTCAATTAATTTTTGTTCTGCTTGGGTTAGCGGTTTTATAAACCAGTCAGTCTTTTCATTGAAGTTCTAGGAATTCTTACCCAGTCCAAAAGATATCATTCTAAAGTTATCAAAGCTTGTTTTCAAGAGTGCTTTTCAGGGTCCTTTCCGTCCTTTCATGAACCTCCTTAAATACATCATATTCTAGGATTTTGCATGCTTGTGAAGTTTTTAGAAACTGCATCAAAATTAAGCAATTAACTGTGGAAATGACTTCAGTCAGTTAAAAAAAAATTGACAAAGAAATTTGACTATTTCTGTGGCCTATAATAACTTAACCATGTTATGATCTATAGCATATACTCAGACATATTAGAATTTTAGAAATCCCATACAATTTTGGAACATATATTTATAACATTCATTAAAATATAACCTGAAGAAGGCTAATCATTATTTCTTATTTGACAGTGCTTCCCATGTAACTTAACATGTCAAATAATCCTGTTTAGCTCTCTTTTGGATGCCTCAGGGACCAAAGTTAGAGATCAAAAAAATACTTAATTTTGAGGCCAAAGTTTGGTTTTGGGAAGCTTGACAAATATGTCAAAAGTTTAAAATACTTGACCAAAATAGGATCACAGATCATCGTAGAACAATATCATTCACTTAACCAAAGTCATAATTAAAAGATTTTTAAAAACAAAAACTTGTACTCTTTGATAAAGGAGACTCAGTTTTCTAAACAAGCAAAAGACCTAAGACAGCATGAGACAGAATCCATTTCTTCTTCTTTACTGTCTCCTTGTTTCCTTTTTGCAGTTTACTCAAAAGGTGAATGAAAATATATTGCTGTGTCTTATTAATACTACACAAAATTTTTGTTTAAAAGAGAACACCAAATTTTACTTTTGTTTTAGTATAGTAATACTAAAACTAATTTGAATAAAACCTCATAAATAAATTTATCAAATCCGTCATCTTTTAACCACAAGGTTTCCATAAACCTTTCCATTTTACATTTCCCCCAGCTTGCTGTACTATCTTGTTTTATCTTTTTTTTACTCCTTCAATTTGAAAACTTTAGTTTTAAACCAGGCAATTTTTTTAACATACATTTTTATGCCTTTATAACTTTCCTCACGAAATGCATATTTTGCTTTTGCTTACATACTCTGTATACAGAATTGTTTCTCTCATATCTAGTAGTTTTTAACTCTTAGTAGCTGTAATTTCTAGTGAAAACCCTAGAAAGTAATTTTGAGCTGTTTTATATCAGTATTTGTAGATAAAAAAATTTTTAAATTTTGTAGAAAAGTAGTTCTTCGAGGCCGGGCACAGTGGCTCATGCCTGTAATCTCAGCACTTTGGGAGGCTGAGGTGGGCGGATCACCTGAGGTCAGGAGTTCAAGACCAGCCTGACCAACATGGAGAAACCCCGTCTCTACTAAAAATACAAAATGATCCGGGCATGGTGGCAAATGCCTGTAATCCCAGCTACTCAGGAGGCTAAGGCAGGAGAATCGCTTGAACCCAGGAGGCAGAGGTTGCGGTGAGCTGAGATCGTGCCATTGTACTCCAGCCTGGGCAACAAGAGCAAAACTATCTCAAAAAAAAAAAATCTTCTAATTATTGTTTATTAATATATCTAAGTATATTTAGCTTTTCTATACCATATAAAAATAACCTATCAAGGTGTATAACTCATGTTTAATAACATTTCAGTATCTTAACTTACAGATGATTCAGACATTATATGATTATATATTACTTAATTTAACATAACATGACTCTAAGATTTTAAATTACTGAAAAGAATTTTGACACCGGTAGCTTCCCTAATGTCTTCACCCAGCCATTCTAGGTCCCAAGTAGCCACGTGGCACCCAGGAGGACTCTGAAGATCAGGGCCTGTCTGAGTCCATCAGGACAGAAGACAGAGCTGTGAAGACTTTACCTGGACGACCGAATCCCTCCCAAAATAGCCAGGAGGCAAAACAGGAAAAGCAGAGGAAGAAGGGGCCATATTGGGCTTGATTCTGGCGTGTGGCTGCTGGTCTAGGCTCTAAGAACATGTCTCCAGACCTCATCATGGCCACCTATCCAGACCCCTGAATTCAGAGACTCTACACCAAAGACATAAGCTCACGGTCAAATCAAGCAAGTATCAAATTATATTTAACTGATAATTTTGAAACCATTTATATTTTGCCAACAATTTAAAAACTAGTTTCATTTACCAAATATCACATATACATAACACATATAGACATAGAAACACATAGAAGAAGATCTTATAGCTCTCGTAAAGGATTTTCATTTGCTGGCTTTTAAATAGTTTTTATTTTCCTTATCTATCAGTCTTCCAATAACCAGTTTCATTGCCCTAAGGAATTGTTAACTAGGCAATAAATTTGCATTTCTATAGGTACAACTCTTAGGTGGAACAAAAAAAATTATAATTCATAAGCGCAGACCTAAGATTTTAGGCCTAAATATTTTATCATCACTTAAACCAAGGGGAGAAAAAACCTGCTGAAGTAAAAGTTCACTTAAGATGTGAAAAGCAGAAAAGCACCTTAAACAAAGGTATGATTTTTTTTTTTTCTTTTTTGAGACGGAGTTTCGCTCTTGTCGCCCAGGCTTGAGTGCAATGGCGCCATCTTGGCTCACTGCAATCTCTGCCTCCCAGATTCAAGCAATTCTCCTGCCTCAGCCTCCTGTGTAACTGGGATTACAGGCATGCGCCACCACGCCTGGCTAATTTTGTATTTTTAGTAGAGATGGGGTTTCTCCATTTCTTATGTAAATTTAAAAGAATGGTAAGAGTTTGTAATGTACATAGGCAGACATCCTTAAAAATGGAGATTTTTGTTTATAAATTTATTTTACAAAAGAGTTTCAAGGCCGGGCATGGTGGCTCATGCCTGTAATCCCAGCACTTTGGGAGGCAGAGGTGGGTGGCTCACCTGAGGCCAGGAGTTCAAGACCAGCCTGACCAACATGGGGAAACCCCATCTTTACCAAAAATACAAAATTTAGCCAGATGTCATGGTGCACACCTGTAATCTCAGCTACTTGGGGGGTTGAGACAGGAGAATCGCTTGAACCCAGAAGGTAGAGGTTGCAGTGAGCTGAGATCATACCACTGCACTCCAGCCTGGGTGACAGAGTGAGACTGTCTCAAAAAAATAAATAAATAAATAAAAGAGTTTCAAGATAGCCAATTAAATTCCAGAAAGATGTATTTTAGTTTCATAGGGTGTTCTTTTTAACGTAGCTACTGTTTTTTTTTAGCTAAAATGACTTAGTTCAGGGTAACAGGTGGAGCACATTAAGGAATATGGCCAATCCAGTATGCCTGGATTCAGCATGGATAGATCTGAAAAGGAAGCAAGCCTATTTTACCAGAGGGGGTCTACCTTTTACAAACACCCTATGTAGGATAGCTATCTTTCCACCTTTGGGGTGGGATAGTAACGAAGCCAAAACGTTAGCAGATTTAATTTTTTAAATCAATTATCACTTAAGCTTTTTATAAAGTCTTTAAATAAAAACACTGATATCTTTTTAGGAGCCTCTGCATATTAATAGGCATTCCTACATAAGACTAATTTGGAAGCCCTCATTTTCAAATGCACTTCAGTGCAGTGTTGTTCATTTGGAATGTTCCACTGTAACTTATCTTTAGTAAGATTTCACCATTTCTGTAAGACTTTGCTGCTTGTGGGGCCTAATACTTAAGCATATATAAGCCAGAAGGAACTCAATTTTTCATAAATTAAGGATTCCATTTTTACCTCAAATATTGGCTTTGGCTTTCAGGTTCCCTTGATCAACTTAGCCGATGACTTTTTCCTTACCTAAGCACGCAAGAAAACTGAAACAAAGGGGTAGAACACAAAAATCCCTGCAAATTTCCAAAGCCTAATTTTATACCTCCTGCAATATTGCCATTTATTTCTGACCCAGTCAGATGGAGGAAGCCTCTAATTTGATCCAAGCCAGTTAATAATTAGATCCCATCCGATCCTGGATCCAGTCCAGTTTCTGTTGCTACTTCCCAAACCCAGTTTGGATCAGAAATTTGCTCAAAGAAATTCAGAGAGCTCAAAACACAAATCTGTGGAGCTTCGGAATCCGAGACAGAATTTACCACCATCCTCAGTTGCTGCAAGAGGGCAATGGACACAATGTGCCTGGTGGGTACCTCTCTTGGTCACCCAGCACTCCCAGGAGTCACTGGAAGCTTTACTTCGGATCCCACTTCTTATGCCATCTGTTAAAAGGAAAACTTTGGCTGAATTAAATTTGAAAGGGCTTAATTGAGCAAAGAACGATTCACAAATCGGGCAGCCTCCCAAGCCATAGTAGGCTCAGAGACCCCAGATCAGCCATGTGGTGGAAGATTTATGGACAGAAAAAAGAAAGTGACACACAGAACAGAAGTGAGGTACAGAAACAGCCGGATTGGTTACAGCTCAGCATTTGCCTTAATTGTACACGGTTTGAACAGTTGGCCACCTTTGATTGGCCAAAACTTGGTGATTGGCACAAGAGTAGACTGCAGTCTGTTTACAACTCCCTTTAAATTATAGTTCACAATGCACAGAGAAACCTTTAGGCTGAACTTAATATATGTTAGGGATGGAGCTTTAGGCTAAATTTGATTTGACACCACCCAGAGCCTCAGAATGTGACCTTATTTGGAAACAAGGTCTTTGCGGATACAATTAGTTAAATTAAGATGAGGTTATACTAGATTAAGGTGGGTCCTAAATCCAATGGCTGGGATCCTTATAAGAAGGCCAGGTGAAGACACTGAGACACAGAGAGAAACACACACAGAGGGGAAAAGACCACGTAAAGATAAAGGCAGAAATTGGAGTGATATTGCTGCAAGTCAAGGGCTCCAAGAATTGCCTACAACCACTGGAAGCTAGGGAGAATCAAGGAAGGATTCTTCTTTCCTAGAGTTTCTTGAGGGAGCTTAGCTTTTCCAGCACCTTGATTTCAGACTTCTAGCCTCCAGAACTCCGAGAGAATAAACTGCTATTGTTTTAAGCCACCCAGTTCCTTGTAATTTGTTAAGGAAGCCCTAGGAAACTAACACATCTAACAACAAGATGCGAGGAACACTTGAATCCAGATGGAGCTTTTTAAGGTTGCATATCCCCACAGTTCACGAAGGGCTGAGAAAAAGAGAAAATCACAAGAAGATCCTCAAGTTTCAACATCAAAGTCTACAATTCTCCCCTCTCTCCCTCGGTATGGACTTGAGTTATGATTGCTGTTGTAAGCCACTACGTTCTGGAGTAATTTGCTACACAGCAATAGAAAACTAATACAATTTCTAATGCAGCTAATTCATTTTACACTTTGAGTGTCCAGAGTGTCTTTCTATTCCATCTTCTGAGGATGAACGAATTAAGAACTTGTCTTAAGGCCATGTGTTCACTTTGTTTTTCTTGATGGATTAGGGGTGAGAGGACAGATTTTATTCTGTAGGATGGGAAGACTGTCATGAACTACTTGGGTCAACCAGAGATTATAGCTACAGGAAAAAATTAATATTCTTTCTTTTGGTTCTGTTGAGTCAGTAGAGTTGCTGCCCGCCTCCCCTTGGTCAACTCGCCTGGCAGTGGTTACCCAGGCTGCTGTGGCTTCCAAACTTAGTCTAATCTGCCCACCCCACATCCTCAGGACAGACAGACGTCCAGTATTGTAGCTTTCTAATTCAAAGTCTCCTTGAGGCTACAAGCCTGTAAGTCTTCCTCACAGCTTTTTTTTTTTTTTTTAAACTCTGAGATGTCTATGGCTGAATAACTGATGACAGTTTTGCTTTTATAAAGTAACTTTGAAGCGTGGGTGGCTGGTAACAACTGGCCTCTCTCCTCATATCTGCCTGACAGTACTGATGTGACCAGATATCTGGTGCTGCTCGTCAGATCTGTCAAGTTCATCAGGCAAAAAAGAAACAGATGAGGGAGTAATATTTGCTACATTAACCAAGAAGTCTTACTTAGTGTATGGCTGATATCTTGGAAGTAGCATGAAATATGAAGTCAGAAGTTTTGGGTTCATGTTTCTGCATTGATATTTGGTAATTTTGTGGGTAAAGTCACATGAACCCTGAACCTCAGTTTCTTTATCTGTGTAATGAGGGCAGTGTTAACATACCAATCAGCCTACATCCAGAAGGGTGTTTTATGTTTCAAATAAGAGAGTGTATATGTGAAAGGACTTAGCAAACCATGAAACAACTATATGTTAACATAGTTGTTGCCCCCTGAGATTATTTATTACTATTTCAATGAATGTATGTGAAGGGCACATTCTTAGAAAACAAGCTCAAGTCTGCATCGGCCCTATTATTGAGAATCATTGTGGAAGCAGAGAAGATGCTCCAATAGGGAGAATTTGGTTCTGTGCGTTTGAGAGGTTGCCATCCAATGTGGAAGTAGGTTATCCAAGACTTGGCTAAGGTTGTCTTGGGTGGGGGGCTCTGGTCCTGGTTGATTCAGCTTCTCATGAAGCCAACTGGGACCCTGCTCTAGCTGCTGTTGGCCTCACTGTTGGCCATCATGTTCAACACAATGGTTCTTATGGTGCTGACTGTGACAGCATCTGAAATCTTTCCAAATTTAGAACAATGGGAAAGTTGTCTTCTGTATTTCTCATAGGCTATTTTGATATATTTTTTTTCTTTTTTGTCCTTGTTTCTCCCCAGTATTATAACGTATTGTGTTCACTTTGTTGGGTACCGAATGGTCTTTCCCTTTGACTCGATTGCCTCTTGTTTATAAAAATAGCAAGTCAACCATGACAAATGACCAGCAGTAATCTTGCCTCCCAAGTACAGAGACTGTTTTCTTCCCCTTATTTTGTTTGAAAAATAAGAAAGCTTTTTTTCCTTTGGGGAAACTAGTCTTGTTATTCAGAGATACATAGTATAGAGAAAAACTCTAGAGTCAGGAGACCTGGGTTCAAATTCCAGGTTGGGCAAGTTACATAATCTCTTTGGAGGCCAGTGACTCTGGGGGTTGCTATGAGGGTCACAGTGTAAAAGCACCTTGTGAGCAATAAAATAAATGTTCTTATGACTTCATGTCTTTTCAGAGGACTGTGCAAATGCAGTAGTAGGCAGGCATTTCAGAAATTCTGGTTCAGGATATTTCTTTCTTTCTTTCTTTCTTTTTTTTTTTTTTTGAGATGGAGTCTTACTTTGTCACCCAGGCTGGAGTACAGTGTTGCAATCTCAGCTCACTGCAACTTCTGCCTCCCAGGTTCAAGCAATTCTTCTGCCTCAGCCTCCCGAGTAACTGGGATTACAGGTGCACATCACCGTGCCCTGCTAATTTTTGTATTTTTAGTAGAGACGGGGTTTCACCATATTGGCCAGGCTGGCCTCGAACTCCTGACCTCAGGTGATCCACCTGCCTCGGCCTCCCAAAGTGCTGGGATTACAGGTGTGAGCCACTGTGCCTGGCCTGTTCAGGATATTTCTTAGAAATGCTACATTGTAGCATAATGTGTGCTTGATCTGAAACACCTGAGTCCTGAAGAACATGTTGCAGATCTATTTATTCACTTTAAAAATTTGCAACCCTATCTGCTCAGTGTCCACCAACAGTTACAGCTCCTCCTGGAAGCCTGTGCCCTGTAGCCTATGCCCTGAGCCTTTCTCCTGCTGGTCTACCCCAGGTACCATGTCCTTTCTTTTATCCAGCTCCAGGCTGGCTGAACCTCACGAGGATCACACATGTTGACTTTCTCTTTCGCCTGCCAGTGTGGCCTGGAGGTGAGACTTGTGAATCTGCTTCAGGGCCAGATGTGAGGTCCCAACTAGCTGTGACTGAATTTCCTTGCATCTTCCAAGATGTTTTTTATTGTAAACGGTCAACAACAATCAACGTTATTCCTTTAATTTATGTGCAGTCAGCTTTCAGTTCTCCTTTACTGAGGATCACAGAGCTGTAAATAATGAGAAGACAAAACAGCACAAAAAGCAAATGTTATTCCTTTTATCTCTGGAGATGTCTGACAAGAAGTCTCTCACCTTTGTCTCCACATGCCTTGGAAACTATGTCATAAAGTGTGCTGTGTCAAATAAGACACTTGTCAAGCAGATTCTATTTTACCTATAGGAACAATGTTGCAAATGGGATGCCAAGGAAGTCAAGAACTAAGCATCCTGTAAGTCATAGCTATGATCAAGCATGTATCATGAAATATAGAGAAAGCAGTGGAGTTATGTGAAAGAACAAAGCTATAATTAGAGACTGTTAGACATGGAGAGCATGCAGAAGATCAACTAGTCTGAGTCCTGTGTTTTACAGATGAGAAAATGGGGGCCCTGAGGGTCAGCCACTTGTGCCAGGATGCACTGTTAGTTAATAGTAGAGTTGGGACCATAACCAAGGTCATTGACACTGGCCCAATGCTCCGTTAACTCTGTTGTACTTGGGGTCAGTGTCCTATGATCACTGATTGGGAAAGAGACAGGTCTAGGCTGGGATCCCAGCTCTGCCCTGTATTGTGTGACCTTGGGCAAGTTGTTCCACTGCTCTGAGCCTCAGTGTTCCTGTAAAGGGCTGAATTGTGTCCCCTTCAATTTTACATATTGAAGCCCTAACCCCAATACCTTAGAATGTGACTATATTTGGAGACAGAGCCTTTAAAGAGGTGATTTTGTTAAAATGAGACTGTTAGTGGCCCCTCATCTAATCTGACCGGTGTCTTTATAAGAAGAGGAAATTTGGACACAAGAAAAGACACCAGGTGTGGGTATGCACATAGAGGAAAGAACACGTAAAGACACGGTAGGAACGTGGCCGTCTGCAAGCCAAGGAGAGAGGCCTCAGGAGAAACCAGACCTGCTGATACCTTGATCTTGGATTTCTAGTCTCCAGAACTGTGAGGAAATTAATTTCTGTTGTTTAAGCCCCCCAGTCTGTGGTATTTTGTCATGGCAGCCTGAGCTGACCAACACAGTCCCCATCTATAAAGCTGAGATACGAATATTTAACTCTTGGGGGCTGTTGTCCAGGTTAAATGAGATAATTCATCTAAAAAAAAAAAACTTAACCAATGGCCGAGACACAGTAAATGCTCAGCAAGAGACAGTTATTATGGTTATGCAAAGGGCCAATAAAATATACATAAATCACTCCACTGTAACATAAATTTGACCTCACTACAATGAATTTGCCAGCAGTTCTAGACTAAGCCCCTAGTCCTCTCAGTTTGGTTTGCCTTCTGCTGATGTTTGAATGACTCCTGAAGGTAGACCTGGATTGTCTACCCATAGGTTTTTCAAAGACAATCCAGGGAAACTGAAATCAGTGTCTTCATTTTATCTTGATAACTTTTCCAGCTATAGTTAGTCATATTGGAGTCTTTCCATTAAGCTGAGACATCTATTTAAGATTCAGATTGTTCTTTTAAAAATAGACATTGGAGAATGCAAATATTTAGAGGCCTTACTAAAGAGTTCAGATTTTTAAGGATTTTGAGTAGAGAGAGATCACTCTTGAATGTACTCTCTCTGTTCTCTTTTTAAACTGCCAACAATTTCAAGACTGCTTTGCAAAGAGTAAACATCAAATGAAGAAATCTCCCAGGACCGCCTGAGAGGGAAGTGCAGAAGGCAGGAGAAGGGGCTTGCCCCCAACACCTAGGTGGCAGCATACAAAATCTGGTGTGTCCCAACAGTGATTGCTGAAGCCACTTCCTTCCCCCATGCTCTCCTGCTGTATAGTGTTGGCAGTGGCCACCCCAGACTAAAGGTACTGACTGTGCAGGGACATGGGGCTGTGCTGAGGGAGTAGAGCGTGCAAGTCCAAGTGCTGAAATGCTGGAAGTTCTTGTGTCAGTTTAGAAGGGGCAGCTGGCTCCCTGTCAGTTCTATTCTCTGGGAGTGCCTCGGCAGGCAGAATGCATGTTGATTTTCACCTAAATCCCAGATTGCATAATTCGCACAAGGGCATCTGATGTGGGTTGAGATTTCTCCCCTGCACCACTTAACTTTCTGCAAATCCTGCCTCTTTATCCTGGCCACTCCTTTCAGACAGGACAGCCAGAGAGTGTCTGTTTTGTTTCTAAAGAAACCGAGGCACTGGGACTTAAACTAGCAGGTGCAGCTAAGCTGACCCTGAAGCCAAGAGTTTCTGTACTCCCAAGGCAGTGTTTTATGGGCATTGTTCATAAATATCTTGTTAACCCTCAAATACAGGATCAGGGAAAGTGATCTGGTCTTGGAAGAATGCAGGCCAGAGACCCTGCAAAAGGCAAAGCCATGACTGGGGCGTAAGTCATGCACAGGGGCAGCATCTGTCTGGGTGGAACATAGTTGTGGTCATGGCTACATTACTAACCTCTCACTCAGTCATTTGTTGAAGCAGTCTTTCTTTGGGAAATGGGAGTTGGACCCTTCCCCCTTCTGAAATCCAAAATGCCATCAGTGATATCCTTCTCCATTCAGCCCATTCTGATGGCTTGTGGTGTCTTACAAGTTGCTGAAAGAATGTTGCCTGGAGGGAAGCTCTCTGGATAAAGACACGCTATGGATTCAGTCTTCCAGTGTAGAGTCTCTACATAAAAGGGCGATCAGATATGAGGCAAAGCAGATTCTAAAATGTTAGCTTGCATCGGTCATCTGGGGGGAATGATTAGAAATATGGAATCCGGGGCCCCATCCCCAGTCTTTCAGAGAGTTCCTGGATCTGTGTTTGCAACAATTGTCCTGGTTGACTCTGAAACAGGAGGTCATGGATGCTGCTCTGTGAAATACTGCTCAAGACAATACAGAGTATTCGTGTTTCTTCTGATTCTGAGCTTCAATGCATTTGGGACCCTTGGTGCCTCAGGTGCCCTCCAGACCTTGATGGCAGTGTGGCTGATCTAGGAAGACTGAAACACTCTTGGCCCCACTGCGACCTCTTGATCCTCTGGTTTTCTGCCTATAAGATGAAACACCCCCATGCTTTCAGTTTTAAGGGAAAATATACAGTATGATAATAGAGGTAATGTTGATTTTAAAAAGTGTGCTATCTTAAACTTAGATATAATTTAACAATAGCTTTCACTTTAACTTTTGATTTTCACAATAACCTCAATATCATTTCACAGTAAATCATTTCATTCATGAAGAAACTGAGGCACAGAGATATGTTCCAGAGCCAACAGCAACAACATTATCCCATTGACTGGATAGCTGAACTTAAGTTTGGGGTCCTGGTCTTTAAACTGGCCATTGGAGAAGGGTGCTTGAAGGCCTCACCAAGGAGTTTTGTTGTGGTCTTTTGTTATGAGGGGTCTCTTGAACTTGGTCCTGACATTTTCCTTTTTTGGCTCTCTTCTCTGTCCAAACTCTTACAGCACTAGAACTGGGACTGGAACACCATCCAATCACCAGGTTGGCAGTCTTCCTGGCAGGCTGTCCTGCCTTTCTGTATAAAATCCGTAGAGTACCATGTGGCTGCTGGTGCTGATTAGTGGATATAGGGGTTGTACTATTACCTTAATCCAGAGATTTACCAAAATGACATTAAAATCACCAAGAAAAACTTTTAAGACTTTTATGTGACCAGAGTCCCCTTCCTGAATTGGACCAGCTATAGCTGGATAGTCTGCCTTCCTTCTCTTAATGAGGGTATCTCATGTGTGGCATAGATTATGGTAGGAGTCAGGACACCTGAGTTCTGGTCCAGGCTTGGCCAATAATTTGCTGTGAGCTTGTGAGATTGTACTAATCTCTTGGAGTCTCAGTTCCCTCATCTATAACATGAATAATCTTACTCTGCACTTTCTGGGTCTAATATCATTCAATCTAACTCCTACAAAGCCACTGGGAATGCTAGGGATATATGAATGAATGCCTTCTCTAGGATCCAGTCATCTGGGGATGAGACATTTCCAGGGGTACAGAAACTACAGGCCTCATGGCTTGTAAAAAAATATTGGGAGTGGGTTATGTTTATTTTCTTACTCATTTGGCATATACAGATGCCCACTGCCTCCACCATTCATTTTGCTTTCAGCTTTTGTTTTGCTACCTGAAGAAAGCCCAAAACCTCTTGTAGTCACAGCAAGGCATGGCAAGGAAAAAGCTAATATGGTGACACTGGGTGCTTTAGTGCCTGGAAGTGAATAAGAAAGGATGGGCATGTCTAGCTACAAGCAGTCTTGGGGTTCCCATGTGGCCTGTTCATGATCTTATGACCAGGCATAGGAAAGTTGCTAAGGACTGATGAATTATAGAGAGCCTGGGCCTTAGCAGGCACCTACTCTGCTTCGAACTCCAAGTATATTGGAAGTATATTTACTAGAATCTGGATTTAGAGTAAGTCAAGGACAGGTATTGTATTTTAATGATATTTTCAGAGCCTCAGGAGTAGGCATTCAATCAATACCTACTGAATAAATGAACATGCCTGCAGAATGAGATCATAAAACTAGAGAGAAACAAATTATCCCCAAAGCTGTTATCAAGACTAGACCATGGAATGCCAGGACCAAGGATGTGGGTCTCATTTCAAATTTTTTTTGTTCTACTTTATCTTGTTTTGGTGCCAGCTTTCTTCATTACAGGTTATAAGGAGCTCTGAAGACAAAGGGTGGCTGAGGACCATTTCTCTGTTTTAAATATATATTTTAATGTATATAATTATATATTAATTTTATTTATATAATATATAATTTACATAATGTATAATTTTAATATATATAATATATAACACAATTTTCTATTGTGTTAAAAAACACATAAAATTTGCCATTGTAATATTTTAAAGCATATATAGTTTGGCAGTAGTACATACACCACTCATATTATTGTGAAACAAAGGCCATATATATTTATTTTTTGAGACAGAGTTTCACTCTTGTTGCCCAGGCTGGAGTGCAATGGCATGATCTTGGCTCACTGCAACCTCTGCCTCCTGGGTTCAAGTGATCATCCTGCCTCGGACTCCCATGTAGCTGGGATTACAGGCATGCACCATCACGCCTGGCTAATTTTGTATTTTTCATAGAGATGGGGTTTCTTGATGTTGGTCAGGCTAGTCTCGAACTCCCAACCTCAGGTGCTCCACCCGCCTCAGCCTCCCAAAGTGCTGGGATTACAGGCATGAGCCACTACACCCAGCCAAGGGCCATATCTTTTTAAGAGCTACTCCTGAGACCTAAAAAATACACAGATTTTCAGAAGTAAAATGTTATAGGAGATATTGCCTACAGACCTGCTTTCTAAAATTTAAATTCTATTTTCTAAAAAATTATTAAAGAATTAGAGCTATGTTCTTATAATTTTTAAAAACCCCTTCAGTAGTTTGAGTTGAAAAGAAAGAGTTAATATGGTGGCCATGACTATTACAGATGCCTTTGCTACATCTTCCAATGTGGGGCTTTCTCCTATGATATGAAATCTGTAGATTTTACATTTTTATTTATTTCCCCTTTGGTTAAGTCAGCATGTTTCAAGTCAAATAAAGCTGGGTTGCAGTACCACATACCACCATTAGGTGCCACTGTTTGACAGGATAGTAAAGGGACTGAAAGTAACTGAATAAAACTTTTCTTCCTTCTTTCTGTTTTTGTGCCTACTGGGTGCCAAGCTCTATGCGAGGCCCTGCAGATAGGGCAATGAGCAAGACAAGCCTCTGAGTGAGGTAGACAAATTATTACGATAGGAGGCGTATGTTTAAAAGAACAGTATATCCATGATGCTGTGAGAGCACTTGTTTAGAGTCTACTGCAGCAAATCAGGTGAAGCATGAGGTGAGTTGAACCATGGCAGGAGCTGTGAGGGTGGAAAGAAATTTGGGGTTTTGGGGCCGGGCGTGGTGGCTCACGCCTGTAATCCCCAGCACTTTGGGAGGCCGAGGCGGGTGGATCATGAGGTCAGGAGATCGAGACCATCCTGGCTAACACCGTGAAACCCCGTCTCTACTAAAAATGTGAAAAATTAGCCAGGCGTGGTGGCACGTGCCTCTAGTCCCAGCTATTTGGGAGGCTGAGCCAGGATAATCACTTGAACCTGGGAGGCGGAGGTTGCAGTGAGCCAAGATCACACCACTGCACTCTAGCCTGGGTGACAGAGCGAGACTCCGTCTCAAAAAAAAAAAAAAAAAAAAAAAAAAAAAGAAATTTGGGCTTTTGGAACACCTTGATGGGTTCATATTTTTGTGGTGGCCATGGATACAGATGGCCCTGACCCTCTTGATCACTGATCTTGCACTATGCCCCAGTTTGTAACATGGCCATGGGCAAACCTTTGGCTTATATGGTATTTTCTTTTAATGTGCATTATCTGCCAAATAAAATACAGATTTTTAACTTCTCATGAGAAATCAGAAGGTCTAGCAGCAATTGATTAAAACCACATCATGGCTGCCCTCTTAGTAGACCATCAGTTCTTCAGCCAGCTTGTTTCTCTCACCTTGGTTCTTGTCTGGTCCCTTTCAGCAGGGCCAATATTTAGTGGGTGTGTACTGGGGTGAAATATGTCTGTTCTGATTGGTGACTAGTTTCCCTGAGCTTCCTTAGTGTCTCCTATGCTGGAGGCCATTCCGCAATAGCATCTCCCCAATGCAGTTCCTTACAAACTAGCTATAAAAAGGTTGCATTTGGCACTGTAGGGCCTCCCGGCTCCTTGCTGTAGTGCTAGGTCCAACATCCATTTTCTGATTAGACCTTGTCCTGGGCCAAAAGGATTGTTCAATATTTTGAATATCACCCTCACCTTTAGGGATGAAGTCTGCATGTGACCTCTGGACTGGACGATTCTTGTCTTCAGGGGAAGGAAAATACAGGATAGACCCCAAGGCAGGGGATGTGTTCAATCACAGATGGCTTTGGGGTTGGGGTTTTTGTTTTGTTTTGTTTTTACAAACTTTTAATTATAAAAGCTGTTTTATTTTCAGAAATGTTTACATTTCCATAGCATGCTGCTGAATGCATCAATGTGGAGAGGATTATGTAAATTTTTACAACCTAAGGGAGACAGGAAATTATTTTTTTATTTTTTGCAGCTCCAACACATGAAAATAATGGGATTTCTTTTTTCATCTATGGAATGCCATTCCAGAGGCAAAGTTAATTTCTTTGTGGTCAGCCTCAGGTAGCAGGACAGCTAAAATGATAATAGTAATAATTAATAATTATAATAAAATATATTTGTACTTTTGGAAACCAGCAACCAGCCTGTATGCCTGTATGTCCTTCATGGACAGCTTATCTATGTGAGACCTGCAGGCCAACCTTAGAGGAACCCGTTGTTTCTCCTCCAAGAACTCGTTCTGTGTCTAGAGAAACACTTGTTGGGTTTTAATTAGAAACTGGTGGGGCTGTGGGCTGGCTGGCTGGCTGGCTGTGCCGCGCTGTGAACAGGGAGGGCTGAGTGGAGGCCAGGGAGTCTGAGCATATCTTCAGGGTGAGATATTTGATTACACAAGGGAGAGGAGATGATTGCCAGTCCTCCCATCTGGAGAAAAGTTTCTGGGCGGCAGGAGCTAAGGATAGGGTGAAAAAGTGACACAGTGAGGAGAGTGGCGAGAGGCAAGGAGAGGGGCTGGGCTGGTGTGTGTCAGCTCCAGGAGGCTGGCCCTGCCTCTGCCCTGTGTCCATCTGACACAGAATGGAATATGACCCAATGCTTGCGGGGCTCATTCGGAGCTCTTTCTACTGCTCTGCAGCTCATTCTCCTCATGCTCACCTGGACAAACCCACTTCTAGCCACACTGGCTGGAGTGTTAACCTATGGGTCTTCCTCAGATGATGGAGTTGAGGGAAAGGCAGGCTTTTCTTCTGAAGTCAAGGCGGGAGCTCCCTCCATCTTTTCCTTCACAGCTGGAATTTTCTGTTTGTACAGCTCTTAATGCCTTGACTCCTAAGCGGGGCTTACAGGCCTCTCTCTCCCACTGAAATGTGAACCCTGCGATGGGAATGACCACACCCTCCATTTTTTTGTTGAGCATCCAGTGCAATGTCTGAAAGATTCTCCCCAGGGCTTGAAAGCTTAAGGGAATGAATAACTCTTCCCTCCTGAGGCCCAGTCCCAAGGCGCAAGGCCTCTTGCGCCAGCAGCGTGCGTCAGCAAGACAGCAGAAGCAGGAAGAGAGCTGGCCGGCAGACACATACCCCCTGAAGACCGAGAGAGCGGCCGTCTGGGTACCGCATAGCAGTTACATCAGACTGAGACACTTCCTGTTTACAGGAGACTATAAAACCCCTGCCCCATCCTCATTTGGTGCTGATGCCATTTTAGGCCTCAGCCCGCCTGCACCCAGGCACTCATTAAAACAGTGTGTTGCTCCACACTACCTTATGCTGTTTGTTGGCGTGCTCTCGGGGTTTGAATCGACACAGGAGCCTTGCAGTGTCTGGCACAAATAAATGTAGCAAAAGCCAGGAGAGGTCTGAAATTTCTATAAGCCAAAATAAGATTCTAAGTCCCCCTCCTGGCCAAGGGGATTCCAAAGAAAGCTGAAAAAAACAGTTCAGGTTGTAGCAGGACAAGCCACAGAAAAAAACCCTCAGACACCAAGTTAAAGAAGGAAGGGCTTTATTTGGTCAGGAGCTTCGGCAAGACTCACATCTCCAACAACCGAGCTGCCCGAGTGAGCAATTCCTGTCCCTTTTAAGGCTTACAACTCTAAGGGGGTCCATGTGAGAGGGTTGTGATCAATTGAGCAAGCAGCGGGTACACGACTGGGGTCTGCATGCACCGGTAATCAGAACGGAACAGAACAGGACAGGGATTTTCACAATGCTTTTCCATACAATGTCTGGAATCTATAGATAACATAATTGGTTAGGTCAGGGGTCGATCTTTAACCAGGCCTGGGGTGTGGCACCGGGCTGTCTGCCTCTGGATTTCATTTCTGCCTTTTAGTTTTTACTTCTTTCTTTGAAGGCAGAAATCGGGCATAAGACAATATGAGGGGTGGTCTCCTCTCTTATTCCCCTCCTTTGAGAATCTCACTCAATAGTGGGAGTTCTCACTTTCATTCTCACTACCCATGTCTTCTTGCAAGACATATCGATAGTGATTCATATAGTACATGTGTGCTGAAGCATTTTGGTGAACTAAGGTAGTGATGAAGCTTTTTATCATTTGAAGAAGTACAGGTAGCAAACAAGGGAGCAGTAAGCAGGTTTCTATTGCTATTATGACTCCTATTATAAGAGTTTTAAATCTTTTGGCACTGGGAACCATTTTCCAAACATGGTCCTAGGATCAAATCCATGGCACACTTGCACATTTGGCACATAACAAATTTATGTGCCAGTTTTGTCATATTTCCAACTATGTCTTCAACTACTTGCCCTTGATCATCTATGTGTAGACAGCAATTAGTAAGGTTAAATTTTCTACAGACCCCCTCCTTCAGCTGCTAGCAAGTAGTCGAGAGCCAATCTATTTTGATAGATAGCATTTCTCATCTGAGTTTCTTGCCAGGCCAGAATAGTCAAGGCTCTGCCGGTCTTATTAGTGATTATTTCTAAGACAGCTTGTAACCGTATGATTTGGTTGAGCATGTAAATGGGGGTCCAGTATCCCCACAAGCTGTTTTGTGCCCATGTACCAGGCCTATAATATTGTATGATTCTCTCAGGGGACCATTCATCATCTTTCCAATTTCCTATAGCTATGCTTCTCTTTTTGCGGGAAGCCCAGGAGTTCGCCTGTCTTTATGGGCAGTAGGAAGAAAGATGGTTTAATAGTGCCAATAACAAAACTATCTGCCCACTGGTCGGGTAATTTGGCATAAGGTCTATGCCCACATATACAGTATAGTCCAGTGGGGGCTGTCCAGTCCCGGTGGGACTCCAGGTTGGTCTACGCGGTTTGCAACTTTGGGAATTTACTAAATGGATTTTTCTTAGTATGGTTTGAACTCCACTAGGTGGCTGTTTTTGTAGTACTATTATACAGTTTTTGCTCAAGGCAGCTGAGTCTTCCCATAGGAAGGGTGAAGTCCTCCCCCACTCTTGCTATACAGTATTGTCTAACAATTAAGGCTTTTAGGACCTAGAAGTTATCAGGGTGATTCTTTTGAATCGGGAATTTATCAGGAACTGGGTCTGTAGGTATTAATTCTCGGGCTTCCCATGGCCATTGATCTCCCAGTACAGTTCCTCCACATACATAACATGAAGTGACATTGAGAGACTGGGCTACATGCTCAGCTAATTGCAAAAACAAATTTCTTGTTTTTCCTGGAATTTCTAGTACTGGTACATTCAGTTCATCATAGAAGGTTTGAAATACTGGCTCAGGAGAGCGTTTATAAACTTCTCCTCAAACCACAATATTTACTTGAGGATCCAGTCCGGCCCTATCAATTCCTAGGGTTACAAGCTCCCCTTTTTTTCCAGTGAGGATCAAGGGAGTTGGTTATTACTAGTTCTAAGGGATTACACTGACCACTGGTACAGGAAGGGCCACTTTTCCCTTTCTGAAGGTGGACAGGATCCTTTTCATTTTTTTATCCAAGTAGCTAAATGACACAAGACCAGTATCCATATTTATTTCCACACAGTCCTAATTCATGACAAATGTACTTATTTTCTGCCATATAGCCTCTTTCCTAATTAACAGAACCACATCCTATTCCTAACTTATTATTATTAATGACAGCATAGGCATCAAACTTCAAAACGACTTGTTTGGGCACCGCTTTTTATTTTGTTTTGGCTAACACTTTACTCATATAGTTTATGAGCCCCCACCAGTCCTCAGTCCTTAATCTTGTTTCAAAAACTGTGGTCATGGGAGGCTCAGATGGGTCATAACACACATCAGGTTGGTCATGTCCTGGGCTACATACCTTGTATAGAATAGCATTATATAAACAAGTTCTTTTTAGAGTCCCGGTACACTTATAATAACCATAAAGTAATAGGACTGTAGCAACTTTTTGTCCTACCTCAGTGACTTGACGTATACACTGGGAACTGTCCTCAGTCTGAGGAAGGTCAGTTGAAGTCCTTACTGTACAAGTTCAAATTTTATAAAATGAATCCTGTGATGAGTTTTCTCATGCTTTGGCTGAGCGTGGACCAGTCAGCTTCTGGGTGTGACTGGAGCAGGGCTTGTTGTCTCTTTCAGAGTCACTTTGCAGGGGTTGGCAAAGCTGCTCACATCCACATACAGCTCCTAGTCTACTGATGTTCAAGGATGGTCTTGGAGGTTGGCCCCACTAGAATAAACTGAGTCCAATACCTCTACTGAGTCCAATACCTCTACACAGTTACGTTCAACTGGGCTCTCTGATACCAGGAGCAAGGTGGCGGGGTTTAGGGTGTTGCAGACTTCATTGGTTATGCGGGGATTTTCACATAGCAAGCTTTGGTACTTGGTTAATCTAGCATTTGTTAGCCAATGATGTCCTTTGGTATTCATCAAAGTTACCACAGCATGGGGAGCCTTTATATTCAGGTTTTTCCCAAGGGTTAGTTTATCTGCTTCTTGTGCTAACAGGGCCATTGCTGCCAGGGCCCTTAGACATGGGGGCCAGGCTTTGGAAACCCCATCTAGTTGTTTTGAGAGATAGGCCACTGGCCTTGGCCAGGACCTCACAGTCTGGGTTAAAACTCCAACTGCCATTTTTTTTTTTCTTTCTGACACGTAAAGTGTAAAGGGTTTTGTGAGGTCAGGTGGCCCAAGGGCCGAGGCCGACATGAGGTTTTCTTTTAACTTATGAAAAGCTCATTGCTGTTGGTTGCAATAGATGTAGTTTATCCAATTAACATTTTTATTAACTGTCACACACCAAAATATTGACTTAAATCCTGCAGCTATTTGATTTCAAGCTTTAAATTGATCTGGTATTCCCCATGGGACTCCAACTGCGTCTAAATAAATGTGAGAGTCGAAAGACCCATAAGGGACTTCTCTCTATTTACAATGTCTTATTTTTCCTCTTTCTGGTAGATAAAATGCCAGGGTGAAAGGGATAGCCAATTGGACTAAAGTACAAGTGCCACTCCAGTTATTTGGCAGAGTGCCCAGTAAAGGTCCACCACAATACCACCACACATCCGCGCAGGGATGAACAAGGGCTGACTGATTGATAAGCTCTTGAAAATTCTTAAGCTCATTGCATCCCTTCAGGTCTCCAATGAACACTAAGTTTCCTCCCAGTCGTGAGAGATATGAAGTGAACTTAGTGTTGGGAGACGGAAGCTGGATGGCCCTCGGGGGCTGACCTGCAGGGTGCCGGACTTTGGTATATAGTAGAGAGAGCTTGGCACGACTTATTACTCCAGGCTGTAGAATCCTGGAAAAGAGCTACCATGCAGCCCACGCCTGGTCAATTGGAGGACCACCTTAGTGGAAAGGGGACAGTCTGGGCCTCTGGCCTGCCATGTGCACAAGCATAACAATTGCTTTTGTTTAATGTGCAGATGGAATATTTGATCCATTTTAACCAGGCATTTGCATCTTGGTATCCTGTCTTAATTGCTAAAGTTTGTTTTAAGACTTTAACTTTTATGATCCTCTAGTAAAATGAATGTATGATTTTAGGAAATTACAAAAAATGGTTGGGGCAGTCCATCCTTGCTCTTTAGTGGTATGCAGAACGTTGGACCAACTATGGCATAAAAGCTCTACACTGGGGGGCAAGAATCCTGGTTAACACTGGAGTCTTTATTGAAATCTCCCTGGATTAAATGGTGCTAATTTACTAATGCCCAGTATGAGGAGAGTCAGGAGGGATGGAGGTAATTTTCTGACATAGAGATCTGTCTTTGACTTAGCAAGTCCTCACAGGGTATAACAAGGCAAGCATTAAATGCAATAGTTTGAGGCAAAATTGACTTGGTTATGTTAATAACTAGATGGTCAGCAATAGAGCAAGGAAAGAAGAAAGAGTAATAGAATAGATGAAAGAGTTAAATTTTTCTTAGCTTTAGTTTGGTAGGGTTTTCACCTGGGACTATGGCCCATGACTCTGGAGGGGGTGGCGCTTTGACTCAGGTGTGATGAGTCCATCCTTTTTCCACTGTACGAATGGCAGTCTCAGTGGTTAGCAGCACAAGGTAGGGTCCTTCCTAGGCTGGCTTGAGTTTTTCTTCTTTCCACCCTTTGATAAGAAGGTGATCTTCAGGCTGGTGCTGGTTTACTGGAAATTCTAGGGGTGGTACCTGTGCTAAAAGACTTTTAGTTTTGAGGGAAAGGAAAGTGGAAGATAAACCAAGTATGTAATTTCTAAGAAATTGACTTTTTGTTTTAAATGTGGGGACATCAACAGTGGACTTTATACTCTTTGGTGCCTTCTTACTGAGAAATTTCCTTTAGCACCTATTTTTATTAGTTTTTAGACCAAAGAAAGCCAAACACCATTTTATATTTAATAATGCTTCTTGTATAATTTTTATACCAGATAAGCTAAATTTCACCTTTATATTAGTGTGTTATTAATGTTAAACTTAATTTTAATAAAACCTTGTAGACATATTTATCCAATTTTTAATATTGGACCATAAGATTTTCATAGACTCTTTTTAACCTTTTATAATTTTTGTTAAAGAGTAGGTTAGTGCTTTAAGAAAAACCCGTTGTGTTTTTACTTTAATGTCCAGTTCACAGAAAAACTGGTTGACACCCCTTTAACTTTAGCTAATATGTTTATACACAGAATTTTCTTTACAAATAACATTTTAAAACTTGCTTAAACCTTCAAAACAATATATATATATATATTTAACCTTTTAGTGTAGGTAAAAATTTACAGTCTTATGCCTCCTTATAATCCTTTTACCAAAGGTATATTTTACTTTCCTTATACACCTTGCACATAAACGGTTTTTTTAATAGTTTTACATTCAGGAGGCCTAGTTACTTTTAAATTATACAACATTTCTTGCATAAATTCCTTTTTTATAACTTTTTTTTTCTCTTTCACGGCTTTCACAGACAATTCTTTGACCTGCTTCAACTTTCAGACTTTTTACAGACATTTCTTTATTTAAACAGCCAGTTGATTTATTTCAGGAGAAGAATTTACCACGCAACATTCTTTTTACATAAATTCTGTCCCCCTTTTTTTCTCTTTTTTTTCTTTTTGAAGCTAACCATTCTTTTCCAAAGTGAACTTCCTTTATGTCTGTGGACTAGACTGTCTAAGGCCACAAGATTAGAAGTTATAATACATGTTACACTGTTAACTTTTAGCAAACTTTGCGTTTGTTGAAAACCTTGTAAGTTCGGGATTTCAATTATCCTTTGCTATTAATAAGACCTTGTTTAGTCCACATTAACTTAGAATTTGGTATAGATGGCTTTTTTTTTCCCTTCAATTACCCAGGAGGAACCATAGATCGTCCTCTCCTGAAGGGAGTTCCTCCTAGGTCTGATCAGACCTTTGTATGGTGATTAAGATTTAGATCCCCTGTTAGGAAACCTGCTGGGTTGCGGGAATTTTCAGTGGTTAATGTTAAATCATCCTTTTTTTTTTTTTTTTTTTTTTTTTTTTTAAGGATACTTCTGAACTGGTGAGGTGTACTCACAATGAGGTTTCCTCTAAAAGTTATTTATTTTTTTTTTTTACTTTCTTCTGTTAGCAAAGCAGTTGCTGCTACAGATTGAATGTATCTGGGCCATCCGCGGGTTACTGGGTTAAGGATTTTTGATAGGAAGGTCTCAGTGCTTTCAGGATACGCACTTGTTTACAGTGACAACAAAGTGGTATTAGAGTGTTATAGGGTTATGGAGAATGCCTTTAATTATCAATTATAGGTTTTAAATTTACCTTGGCCTTTTTTTTTCTTTTGAGTTGGAGTCTCACTCTGTTTCCCAGGCTGGAGTGCAGTGGCATGATCTCGGCTCACTGCAATCTCCACCTCCCTGGTTCAGGCCATTCTCCTGCCTCAGCCTCCTGAGTAGCTGGGACTATAGGCACTGGTTTTTTAAAGGAATAGGGTACACTGTTTTTTTTCTTAACTACTTGTATATCTTTTCCTTTCTTTCTCTCTTTGATTTTCTGTCTCTTTTTCTCTTTGACTTTCCTTTTGCCTCTGTCTCTTTCTCTCTCTCTGCCTCTGTCTTTCTCTCTCTTTCTCTTCTTGACTCCCTCTTTGTCTCTCTGTCTCTTCCTCTCTGTCTTTCCTCTGTCTCTTTCTCTCTCTCTGCCTCTGTCTTTCTCTCTCTTTCTCTTCTTGACTCCCTCTTTGTCTCTCTGTCTCTTCCTCTCTGTCTTTTCCTCTGTCTCTTTGTCTCTTTTTCTCTCTGTCTCTTTCCTCTCTCTCTCTCTGCTGGTCTTTCCTTGCCTCTGCCAGCCGCTTATGCTGCTATTCTCTCAGCCACTGTTGGGGGGGTGTCTAAAACCAGCTGTAACCAAGTGTCTATGTATGGGAACTGGCCTGGGTGCACTGGCTTACAGGTTACCTTGTGCCATACCTTTGAAACAAGGGACCTGTCCAGGCTTCCTTCTGATGGCCAACCCACCTCTAATGCTGACCAGTCTATTTCACACAAATTTCTAAGTTTTCCTGGTGTCATAGTAACACCGTAATCTCCCTTAAATCCTTTCTTGAAATTTTTCATCATAGTTCCTAGTGGGATAGGCTTACTTTGTGCCTGACCCATGCTTCTTCAAGACAAAACACCACACTCACACCACATGCACACCACAAAACAAAGAACGGGTAAAAAGGGCACACACAGTTTTACAGTTTACACCAAACCAGAATCAAAACCAAAATCAGAGTGTCCAGAAATCCAAGCCAGGTCAAAGCCAAAACCAAAGTATCAAGCAATCCAAGTCAAGTCAAAAACAAAAACCAAAGTGCCAGTACAGTCACGCTATGGGTGATCAGGCCACGCTTCCTCTCAAATGCAATGGGCAAGCTCCAAAGACTTGTCTTACCAAGTTTCAGATGTCCAGACTCCAAGTGGCAGTTCCTTCCCAGTGTTCAGCCACTGCGTTGATCCTCCACAGGGGCCTGCCACGTGCTGCTCTGGTGAGGCATTCCACTGGGGCAATTGCCTACCTGGGAGCGCTCTCAGGATCTGCATTGCTCAAGCTGGCCAGAGTCCCCCGTAGGGATGCGCCACAGGGCAGGACTAAGCCACCTAAGGGGCTGCCTCGACTGTCCGTTAATCACCTCACTTCCCAGTCAGGCAACCAAGAAATGTAGCAGGACAAGCCACACAAAAAAACCCCTCAGACACCAAGTTAAAGAAGGAGGGGCTTTATTCAGCCAGGAGCTTTGGCGAGACTCACGTCTCCAACAACCGAGCTCCCTGAGTGAGCAACTCCTGTCTCTTTTAAGGGCTTACAACTCTAAGGGTGTCCATATGAGAGGGATGTGATCGATTGAGCAAGCAGGGGATACATGACTGGGGGCTGCATGCACTGGTAATCAGAACGGAACAGAACAGGACAGGGATTTTCACAGTGCTTTTCCATACAATGTCTGGAATCTATAGATGACATAACTGGTTAGGTCAGGGGTCGATCTTTAACCAGGCCCAGGGTGCAGCGCCGGGCTGTCTGCCTGTGGATTTCATTTCTGCCTTTTAGTTTTTACTTCTTTCTTTGGAGGCAGAAATTGGGCATAAGACAATATGAGGGGTGGTCTACTCCCTTAAGGTCATAACAGGAAAGGAGTGGTCAGACATGTGTCTTTACACCCTCTCTCTTAAGGAGTTCAGGCACAGCTAACCAGCAATGACACTAAAACAGGTATCTTAAGACTGATGAGACAGTCTTTTTAGCAATAAGATACCAAATTCCATCCTGATTCTCTGACTCTAGTATAATATCACATGACAGATAAAGAAGGAAATCAAAATATTTTACCCCAAAATATGTTTCTTTGCCATATTTTGAAATGTCCCTGCAATTTTATGGAGGTAAACTGTGTGGGGAAAATTTACATCTGTAAAGAATCTCTGTTAACATAACTAGATCTTACTTTTCCAGGCCCTTTGAATCCAGAAAAGATTAACTGAGAATCTAGCACCTTTTAAAGTCTAAGTAGGAAACATTTGCCATCTATATTCTGCAGGGGGACCACCCAAGAGACTTCATCTACATAATAACAGCCTTAGTTTGCACAACCGCTTATCTTAACTCAGACACTCTTTCTGTTGATTCCAGGTCTTTAGATAATAACTTAACTCTTTCAACCAATTGCGAATCAGGTAACTCAAAGCTTCCTCTTCCAGTTGTCCTGCTTTTCCTTACCAAACCAATGTATACCTCATATGTATTGATTGATGTCTTCTGTCTTCCTAAAACCCATAAAACCAAGCTATAGCCCAACCACCTCAGGCACATATTCCCAGGATCTCCTGGGCCTATGCCATGAGCCATTGGCCACTTATATTTGGCTCAGAATAAACCTTTTAAAATATTTTACAGAGTTTGACTTTTTTTCATCAATACAGCCTTGGCATGATTGCTGGCATTTTCCACAATGACACTGCTTTCAAGGACCCAAAGCATAGCAAGATCTTCAAGTACTTGGGGAATCATGAACAAAGAATGAGTCATACAGGGAGAGCAGAGTGAAGCAAGTATGACTAGTAAAATTTCAGTCATTGAATTGTTTAAGAGCTTTGGAAATTGGCTATTGCTTTATGTTAAATTATAGTTCAAATGTATGCGTGACCCTCAAATATGTCTCAGTCATTCTGAATAAATCAGAATATACTATTTATAACATCTTATATTCATTTTAATTCAAGTTGGAAGTTTTCACAAACGCCATTGCATTGGCCACATGTTGAACTCTCACCGTGAGCCAAACTGCATGCGAGAACCGTCTTGAGACACTGTAGTGACCACCAGAGCAGCCCTGTGAGGCAGACTGTTCTCATTGTGCAGATGAGGAACCTGAGGCTCAGACTGGCTGTCAGGCAGCATGGAACTGTGGAAGAGCCTGGCCCAGAGCTTGGGGAGACTCAGTTTCCAAACTTTGACTCTTGTAATTATGGGACTTTAGGGAAATTACTCAACTAAAGTCATTGGAACCAGAATATTTGGAAAGAAATCTATGTTCATCTTGGCAAATCATGCTGGCTTAGTGCATTCAGAGGAGCACTGGTGCATGAATGTCTTGTTTCCTATCAGATACACACATATTTATGTGAACTTTGTGACCTCCTTGTACCCTTTCTTCAGGACCTGGGGAGAGAAAGTGCTAAAGTGTACTTTTAATTGTGTTAGTTCTGGAGTTTGGAAGAGCCTTTCCAAGGAATAAGCTGGAAATGAATAACGTATGACCTGTTCAGCCAAAAGCCCCACCACAAAAACCTCATGGAGCTTGCTACACATTATTTTCCAAATATCAACTCCAATTAAAAGGACCATCTGGCCCACTGACAATTATTCATTGGCTTCTGTACAGCGTATTATCATATGGCGCTTCCTCGGGAACTATAATTAGGTGATTGTGTAAGGAGTCCACAGTGCACGTTTGAATAGTGACTCTGTTTGGATCATGATGTCGCTCACTCACTCTGGTCCCCTCTCATCATATGGCTGTGAATGTGGTGTGGTTGAATTCAATACATGTGAAATCAGACCTTCATTGAGTTTTCTGTGAAGTAATGGTAGCACTTAGGATGAATCACTTGGGACATACCTGGAATAATTATGGCCTAAATGTCAGGAGTTCTGGGAATCCCTCTTTTCAGCTGTTCGACCTGGACAAGTCACTCAGCCTTTCAGAGATCTTGTTCATCTGGAAATTGGGGTTCATGGCACCAGCAACCCTGGTGGTTATAATATATAATGTGTGAATTACCTCCCTCTTCTTCCCCTCCACACCTAATCAATGCCATGGTTATGAAGTATAAAGTGAGAATTGCTTCCTTCTTCTTCCCCTCCACACCCAATCAATGCCGTGGTTATGATATATAATGTGTGAATTACCTCCCTGTATTTCCCCTCCACAACCAATCAATGCTGCATCCCGAGCATGCCCCATCTTAAGCATCTCTCAACTCTCCCCACTTTTCTCTGGTTGCATGGCCACTTCTCTGTTCCCAGCCTTAGGCAGGGCTCACTGCACCTGCCCCTGCAGCCTCTAACAGACTGGCTGCTTCCATGATTGTCTTTCTGGGTGATCACATGGGACATGTTCTCTAGCTTAAACCCCTCCAGTGGCATCTCTGGAAATTTTCAGCTGTACTGCTACCTGATGCTGTGCTCTTATAAGTCAAATTCCTAATCTTGACCTGTATGCCCCTGTATGATTTGTCCCCATTTATATGTAGAAACTCATGTCTTGCTACTATTCCCCTCACTACCAGCATTCCAGGCGAAGCAGCTTATTTTTAGCAACTGAAATACATAAAGAAACTCTCCTTTTTAAAGACTTTTGCACTGGATGTTCCTTCCACCTAGAACCTTCTTCATCCTCTCCTCAGCCCCCTTGCATGCCCTGCAAATCTAGATCAGCCTTCAAGAACAAGCTTGAAGTGTCCTTTCCTTGGGAAATTCTCATAAGGACCACCCCTCTGCCATTGTATAAACTCCCAGTAAACAGTCTTACTCTTTCATAGAACATATCACAACTCCAGTGAAATAATTACCTGGATAAAGATTTCTTTAAAATCTGTCTCCTCCTCTGAACTGTTTCTTGAATCTTGTCTTATTCCCAGCACATCATGTGGCTTTGTCAATACACATAGTAGAAGGAATAAAGTTACTATTCCTCTGTGAGCTTAATTCTGTCATGTTTTGCATTTGAACATCCTTGAGGGACACCTTTGCTCTTTGATCTTCAACCTCCTCTTGGTTGAGAAGAGCCATGGCTCTGTGTGAGGGAACTCCATCCCTGGGCTTTCTTAGCCACCAAGGCCTGGCTGGAAACCACAGTAGGAGTCAGGAAGGGTCATTGATCTACTGAATGGCAGAGCTGGAAAGAAGCATAGGAGTCCATGAGCCCTATGGCCACATTTTACAGATGGGGAAGCTGGGGCCAAGAGAAATCAAACATTATGTCAAAAAGCAGAAGTAAGAAATAACTTCAATGAATGAAATATTATTTTAGCAGGGATACATAGAAAAATATATATATTTATACATGACATGATTTCTGGACAATTTTGTAATTTTCTTTTTCTGAGACAAAGTCTCACTCTGTTGCCCAGGCTGGAGTGCAGTGACACTATCTCAGCTCACTGCAACCTCCGCCTCCCTGGCTCAAGTGATTCTCCTGCCTCAGCCTCCTGAGTAACTGGGATTACAGGTGCCCAGCACCACACCTGGCTAATTTTTGTATTTTTTGTAGAGATGGGGTTTCACCATGTTGGCCAGGCTGGTCTTGAATTCCTGACCTCAAGCGATCTGACTGCCTTGGCCTCCCAAAATGCTGGGATTACAGGCATGAGCCACCACACCCGGCCAAATTTTGTAAATTTCATTTCTATTGCTTCATTGACCTCCATAGCAGCCTTGAGAAAAAGACATTGTTTATCCTCATTTTATAGATGAGAAATAACAGAGAACATGGGTAACAAATGCAGTCAACTCATCTAAGAAGTTCCAAAGCCTGAGTCCCTGCATTTCTGGTTGCTGGGTGACTGTTTTCCCCACAATACTGCTCTGCACCTCTTACAAATAAATACTTGGGCAACTCCACTTCCGGTAAGAAATACTTGGCCAGGGAGCCATAGCTGTGAGCAAAAATATGTTCTGCTTCATTCTCTTCTTTGCTTATTTATGGCTGTGACTTCTGTAACCTGTCCTGCCATCTGTTAAATGAAGCATCCTCGAGTCACAGGATGTGATGGGAAGAGAGTATAGGCACCTTGGAGTCAGGCTTCCTGGAGTTTAAATCCTGGCTGTGCCACTTACAGCTGGGTGACCCCAGATAGGTCATAGAAATGGGAGACAGAGTGAGGCCCTGTCTCAAAAAAGAAAAGAAAAGAAAAGAAAAAAAAAAAAGTCATACCTGAGACAGGATAATTTATCCAGAGTGAGACAGGGTCTCTCTCTGTTGCCTTGCTGAGCCTTGGGCTTCCCTTTGTAAAATGTGGGGACTAATTGCCTTCCCCTAGGTTTGTTCAGGATTAAATGGGGGTAGTGCTTATGAGACACAGAGAAAACAGAAGGCACCATAAACATTATCTTGACAACAGCAGCATGGAGCAACCCAGTTGGGAAGATGTCAGGAAAGGCCATCCATTGGGTAGAAAAAGTACAGGGATTTGTCAGAAGGGCAAAGTGAACCCCAGGGGTACACCTAAAGGGGAGCAGGCTTGCAACTGATGTGGATTTTCCTTTAGCTGCAGGTCTTATTGGCTGTCTCCTAATTTCAAATCTATGACCCCATCTGTTCTGCCCATTGCATTCATTCGGGTGCACGTGCATTCGTTTGCGTGCGTATACGTGCTTGTGCATGTGTGCACACTTACTCATGGAGTGGCTGGGAGCAGGGGCCAGGCAACCTCCCAACAGCTCCCCAACCCCCAGCAGCATCAGCACATTTCTACACATATTACATATCCCAGTTCCGTATTTGAATGGGAAAGGTGAAAAAAGTGAGAAAATGTTTATAAATTAATTTTATTGCCAATCTGAAAATGGTTTCATTCCCAAAGCCATTTGGAAGGTTTTGTTTTTCTAAGCTGTGACTCTGCAACATTTACCCAGAAAGGGTCCTTTAAGGAACTCACACAAATGGGCTGTGAATACTATCATTTTATGAGCACCCTTTCCACAATCTAGAAGTCAAAGTCTGAAAACACC
The DNA here is from genome assembly GCF_000001405.40 of Homo sapiens. Classification (NCBI taxonomy): domain Eukaryota; kingdom Metazoa; phylum Chordata; class Mammalia; order Primates; family Hominidae; genus Homo; species Homo sapiens. Next base: position 37,791,272 of record NC_000005.10, read on the forward strand.
ATCCCTAAATGTTAAACTAGAAAATATTAATTTAGAATGATTTTTTGTTACTGATATTTAAATTACAATTTCATGGCAGACTCTGAAGAAAGGAGGAGGGGTTGGAGAAAGAGGTGGCAGGTGATCCAAGTAGAACGAACCAGTTGAAAAAAAGAAGAGCCCAAGTCATTCCTGAAGAATATAAAGAAAGCCAGAGCCTGCCAGCTTCTCAGGCAGATGGAAATCATGCCCTGGGGGATTTACCAGGTCCACATGCTGTGCCTCAGCCTGCAGGCTCTGTCATTGCATTTTGCCTACAGATCAAAAGCAGGTCCGGGGCAGACCCATCCTCTTCAACTTCCCAAGACTGAGATGAAAGCAGGAGTTAGATTAGTTCATTTTCAGTGAGAAATCAAAATCACCATGGCAAGGCCTGGAATCTCACATTAGCATAGCAAGCTTTTTTTCTCTGTACATTGAGCCATCTTAGAGGAATCTCCAATGTCTAATGGTGGGTTGGGGGAAGGGTTAGAGGAGAGCATCAGAGTAGACCATGCCCTTGGGGCCCAAAGGCAGGAAGTCCCCAAGCCAAAGCTCTGGTTCCTTGGTAAGTGATATGGTTTGACTCTCTGTCCCCATCCAAATCTCATGTTGAATTGTAATCCCCAGTGTTGGGGGAGGGACCTGGTAGGAGGTGATTGGATCATTGCGGCGGATTTCCCACTTGGTGTTCTTGTGATAGTGAGTTCTCATGAGATCTGGTTGTTTGAAAGTGTGTAGCATCTCCCCTTTTGCTCTCTCTCTCTCTCCTGCTGTCATGTGAAGATGTGCTTACTTCCCTTTCTTCCTTCTGCCATGACTGTAAGTTTCCTGAAGCCTCTCTAGAAAAATTATCCAGTCTCAGTATGTCTTTTTTTTTTCTTTTTTTTTTTTTTTGAGACAGGGTCTCACTCTGTTGCCCAGGCTGGAGTTCAGTGGCATGATCTTGGTTCACTGCAACCTCCATCTCCCGGGTTCAAGAGATTCTCCCATGTCAGCCTCTGAGGTAGCTGGGATTACAGGCATTTGCCACCATGCCTGGCAAATTTTTGTATTTTTAGTAGAGACGGGGTTTCACCATGTTGGCCAGGCTGGTCTCGAATTCCTGACCTCAGGTGATCCACCTACCTTGGCCTCCCAGGTATGTCTTTATAGCAGTGTGAGAACAGACTAATACAGGAGGCCACTGTCCGGACCTGCATCTGTGAGAACTCTCTCTCATCTCATTGCCAGCCAGCCCCATTTGGAGGGGAACCTTCTTTCTAAGGAGAAGACAAAGCTTTCTCTGTGAGGTCATAGATTCCCCAAAGATTGAAAATAATGAATTCAAGGTAATAAACCAGATATTCAGGATGGCAAAGAAATGGAGGCATTTACATATTCCTTAAAATTTCTTGTGTGTGTAAAGGAAAATAAAGCAAATGATGATGTTACCATGTGTGGGGGTGGAGAGGGAGGAAGATGGCCTCTGACCTGGCACATTAAATTCTGACTAGCTTTGGTGAGGTCAGTTGTTGAGAAAAGGGAACCAAGCAGTGTCTTAGTGGATTGTGAAAGGCACAGTGCCGGTCAGGATTCCACTTTCCCAGGCTCTGTCTCCAGGCCCCTGTTCTCCTTCTCCTGACATCTCTGGAATCTCATTCACTCTTATGTCTGTGATCACTTGGGTGCTGGTGACCCTGAATTCTCTCTCACCCTCCCTTCTCTCCTGGACTTGGGACTGGACTGTCTGCTGTCCATTTTCACCTTCATGTCCCTGGGGCAGCTTGAATGAGCCACGTTCACCATGAAGAATGCATCAGTGAGCAGCAGCACCTGCTGGGCCCATGAGTGGCTGGCCACTCCATTGATGCTATCATCCATGCATAAATCTGGGGATGAGTCACAACTCCCCCTTCTCCTTCTGCCCTCAAGTCTAACCTATTGCCTAATTTGGTGGATTACTTCTGTACATTTATTGTACTGGTCTTCTCCTCTGCTTCCCACCCCAACTATTTTTGCCTTGGTTCAGATCTTGTGATGGTTAATACTGAGTATCAACTTGATTGGATTGAAGGATGCAACATATTGATCCTGTCTGTGAGGGTGTTGCCAAAAGAGATTAACATTTGAGTCACTGGGCTGGGAAAGGCAGACTCACCCTCAATCTAAGCAGGCACCATCTAATCAGCTGCCAGTGCAGCTAGAATATAAAGCATGCAGAAAAGCCTGAAAAGGCTAGACTGGCCTAGCCTCCCAGCCTACATCTTTCTCCCATGCTGGATGCTTCCTGCCCTTGAACATCAGACTCCAAATTCTTAAGTTTTGGGACTCGGACTGGCTCTTCTTGCTCCTCAGCTTGCAGACAGCCTATTGTGGGACCTTGTAATCATGTGAGTTAATACTTAATAAACTCCCCTATATATATTCTATTAGTTCTAGAGAACCCTAATACAGATTTTGGTACCAGGAGTGGTTCTAGAGGAACAGAATATTATGGATAGAGTTCTTTTGTTGGATTTGGGATTTCTGGAGTTGGCTGCTTAATATGATTAGACCCCAAAATGCTAAGGACTCTACTTCTAATAGTGTGGAGAACACTTGATAGTCCTTGGCATGAATTGTTTAGAGTTATGCAAAATAAATGCATTTGACACTCCTGATTCACCACTCCTGAGAGGCAAGGAGTTTAGTGACTCTATACATAACACCTTTGACCATATGTGTAGAACCAAGGAACATAATGAAGCTGGTTGGTTGCTCCTAAGTTCAATGGACAAAGTGATGAAAGAAAATGATGAATTCAGGGATTCTAACTCCTGACTTCAGAAGCAGATACTGAGCCTCAAATCTACTAAGATTGTCCTGAGTGAGAGTCTTATCTCCTGTAGAGAGAGAGCAGAAATTGTGGAAAAACAGAGACAAGCTCTGATCATGTGAGTGGCTGACCTGCAATGAAACGTGCCTGCACAGCCTCACCAGGTGTCTACTGTTAAAGTGAGGGCATTTATTGGAAAAGAATGGGACACTGTGACTTGGAATGGGGATGTGTGGGAGGACCCTGACAAAGCTGGGAACACTGAGTTTGTAAACTCTGATGAAACTTTTTTGCCAGAAGAAACAGCTTCCCCATCCCCAGTAGTGGCAACCACCACTCCCTGACCCTTGCTGCCATCAGCCTTTCCACCTTTGTCTGAGGAGATAAACCCTGCACTACCTGAGGCAAAAGTGATGGCCTGCCTTGAGGCAGTTGCCAGGCAAGATAATGTTGATTCTCCTCAGGAGCTACCCCCAACACCCCTGTTTGCTTCTAGACCTATAACTAGACTGAAGTCCTGGTGGGCCCCTGGAGGTGAAGTTGAGAGTGGGACCCACAAGAAGGTGTGCTACACTCGAAAAGAACTGCTTGAGTTTTCTAATTTATATAAGCAGAAATCTAGAGAGCAGGCATGGGAATGGATATTAAGGTTGTGGGATAATGGTGGAAGGAACATAGAGTTGAATCAGGCTGAACTTACTGATTTGAGCCCACTAAATAGGGACTCTGCATTTAATGTTGCAGCTTGGAGAGTTGAAAAAGGTTCTAATGGTTTATTTGCTTGGTTAGCTGAAATATGGATTGAAAGATTGCCCACTGTGGGTGAGCTGAAATGCCTGATCTCCCTTGGTTTAACGTAGAGGGAAGGATCTAAAGGCTTAGGGAGATTGTGATGGTGGAGTGGATTAGTGACTTTAGACCTACTCATCCCAGCTGGGAGGGTCCAGAAGATATACCCTTGACCAATGCCTCATGAAATAGGTCTGTGAGGGTAGCACCTGCATCTTTGAAGGGCCCTGTAGGCCAGAGGCAGTGGCTCACACCTATAATCCCAGCACTTTGGGAGGCTGAGGCAGGCAGATCACAAGGTCAGGAGATCGAGACCATCCTGGCTAACACGGTGAAACCCTGTCTCTACTAAAAATACAAAAAATTAGCCAGGCATGGTGGCACACAACTGTAATCCCAGCTACTTGGGAGGCTGAGGCAGGAGAATCACTTGAATCCAGGAGGTGGAGGTTGCAGTGAGCAGAGATTGCACCACTGCACTCCAGCCTGGGTGACAGAGCAACTCCATCTCAAAAAAAAAAAAAAAAAAAAAAAAAAAAAAGGCCCTGTAATTGTTCTTCTCTGTATGTCAGATCTAACAGTGGGAACCACAGTCACTCAACTACAAAATTTAAATACAATGGGAATAATTGAATCCCAAGGTGGCAGGGTCCAAGTGGTGGCACGGGCCAAGTGGTGCACTCAACCATCAAAGGCAAGGTGGGCATAGCTACCATAATGGACAGCAGAGACAAAGCAGCAATGAGAATAGTCTGACTCGTGTAGAGCTGTGGCATTGGCTAATTAATCACAGTGTTCTTTGAATGAAATTGACAGGAAGCCTACTGAATTTTTTGTTAATTTATATAAGCAGATAACTTCTAGGTCGAATGGGCAAAAGACTAATTTGAATTATAAAAGCAGAGAATTATGGCCCCTCAATCAAATTCCAGACTTGAGCCACTTTACAGACCCAGAAATGAATGAAGGGGACACCAGGTCCCCTTGAGGAAGGATCCCATTACACTACTGAAAATTTATGCAGTGAATCTTTCTCCCATCCTTCCCCAAGGAGACTTCTGGCCTTTCATCAGGGTAACTGTGCACTGGGGAAAGGAAAATGATCAGACATTTGGGGGAATACTGGATACTGGCTCTGAGCTGACATTGATTCCAGGGGACCCAAAACATCATTGTGGTCCTCTAGTTAAAGTAGGGGGTCATAGAGGTCAGATAATTAATGGAGTTTTAGCTCAGGTTCAACTTACAGCGGGTCCAGTGGGTCCCTGGACTCATCTCATGGTCATTTCCCCAGTGCCAGAATGCATAATTGGCATAGATGTACTTAGCCGCTGGCAGAACCCTCACATTGGCTGGCTCCCTGACTGGTAGGGTAAAGGCTACTATGATGAGAAAGGCCAAATGGAAGCCATCAGAGCTGCCTTTACCTAGAAAAATAGTAAATAAAAAACAGTATCACATTCCTGGAAGGATTGCAGAGATTAGTGCTACCATCAAGGACTTGAAAGACCCAGGGGTGGAGATTCCTATCACATCCCCATTCAACTCTCCTATTTGGCCTGTGCAGAAGACAGATAGATCTTGGAGAATGACAGTGGATTATCATAAGCTTAAGCAAGTGGTGACTCCAATTGCAACTGCCGAAACAGATGTGGTTTCATTGCTTGAGCAAATTAACATGTCTCCTGGTACCTGGTATGCAGCCATTGACTTGGCAGATGCCTTTTTCTCCAGGAGCAATTTGCCTTCAGCTGGCAAGGCCAGCAATATACCTTCACTGTCCTACCTCAGGGGTATATTAGCTCTCCAGCTTTGTGTCATAATCTTATTTGAAGAGATTTTGGTAGCCATTTGCTTTGGTAAGATATCACACTGGTCCATTACATTGATGATGTTATGCTGATTGGATCCAGTGAGGAAGAAGTAGCAAACACACTGGACTTATTGGTGAGACACTTGTGTGCTAGAGGATGGGAAATAAATCTGACTAAAATTCAGGGACCTTCTACCTCAGTAAAATTTCTAGGGGTCCAGTAGTGTGGGGCCTGTTGAGATATTCCTTCTAAGGTGAAGGATAAATTGCTGCATTTGGCCCCTCCTACAACCAAGAAAGAGGCACAATGCCTAGTGGGCCTATTTGGATTTTGGAGGCAACACACTCCTCATCTGGGTGTGTCACTCTGGCCCATTTATTAAGTTCCCCAAAAGGCTGCCAGTTTTGAATGGGGACCAGAACAGGAAAAGGCTCTGCAACAGGTCCAGATTGCTGTGCAAGCTACTCTGCCACTTGGGCCATATGACCCAGCAGATCCAATAGTGCTTTAGGTGTCAGTGGCAGATAGGGATGCTGTTTGGAGCCTTTGGCAGGCCCCCATAAGTGAATCACAGTGGAGACCTTGGATTTTGGAGCAAGGCCCTGCCATCTTCTGCAGATAACTACTCACCTTTTGAGAGACAGCTTTTGGAATGTTACTAGGTTTGGTGGAAACTGAACGTTTGACTATGGGTCATCAAGTCACCATGCAACCTGAACTGCTTATCATGAACTGGGTGCTTTCTGAGCTATCTAGCCATAAAGTTGGTCATGCACAGCAGCATTCCATCATCAAATGGAAGAGGTATATACATGATAAGGCTCGAGCAGGTCTTGAAGGCACAAGTAAGTTACATGAGGAAATGGCCCAAATGCCCATGGTCTCCACTCCTGCCACCCTGCCTTCTCGCCCCCAGCCTGCACCAAGGGCCTCATGGGGAGTTGCTATGATCAGTTGACAGGGGAAGAGGAGACTAGGGTCTGGTTCACAGATGGTCTGCATGATATGCAGGCACCACCTGAAAGTGGACAGCTGCAGCACTACAGCCCCTTTCTAGGATATCCCTGAAGGATAGTGGTGAAGGGAAAGAGAAATCTTTCCAGTGGGCAGAACTTCAAGCAGTGCACCTGGTTGTGCACTTCGCATGGAAAGAGAAATGACCAGATGTGCGATTATATACTGATTCAGGGGCTGTAGCCAATGGTTTGGCTGGATGGTCAGGGACTTGGAAGAAGCATGATTGGAAAATTGGTGACAAAGGAATTTGGGGAAGAGGTATGTGGATGAACCTCTCTGAGTGGTCAAAAACTGTGAAGATATTTGTATCCCATGTGGGTGCTCACCAACGGGTGGTCTCAGCAGGCGGGGATTTTAATAATCAAGTGGCTAGGGTGACCCATTCTGTGGAAACTACTCAGCCTCTTTCCCTAGCCACCCCTGTCATTGCCCAGTGGGCCCATGAACAAAATGGCCATAGTGGCAGGGATGGAGGTTATGCATGGGCTCAGCAAAATGGTTGCTTTCAAACACTGTGCCTGGCCCAGTTAATATGAGCTGTTGTAATAATGGTAATGGTGATGGTAATAAGAAAGAGTAAAATGGTGCAGCTGTTGGGGAAAACAGCTTGGTAGTTCCTCAAAAAGTTAAAATTACCACATGACTCAGGAATTCTACTCCAAGATATTTACCAGGAGAAATGAAAACATATGTCCACACAGAAACTTGTACACAATTGTTTGCAGTAGTATTATTTGTAATAGCCAAAAAATGGAAACAAGCAACATGTCCATCAATAGATGAATGAATAAACAAATTGTGGTATATCTATATAAAGGAATGTTACTTGGCCATAAAAAGAAACAAAGTCTTGATACATGCTACAATATGGATGAACCTCAAAAACATTATATTAAGTGAAAGAAGCCAGACACAAAAAGTCACATGTATGATTCTTTTTATATGAAACATCAGAATAGGCAAATCTGTAGAGACAGAAAGCAGATTTTTTTTTTTTTTTTTTGAGACAGAGTCTCACTCTGTTGCCCAGGCTGGAGTGCAGTGGCGCCATCTCGGCTCACTGCAACCTACGCCTCCTGGGTTCAAGTGATTCTCCTGCCTCAGCCTCCCAAGTAGCTGGGATTACAGGCATGCACCACCATGCCCAGCTAATTTTTAAATTTTCAGTAGAGATGGGGTTTCACCATGTTGGTCAGGCTGGTCTCAAAATCCTGACCTCATGATCCACCCACCTCAACCTCCCAAAGTGTTGGGATTACAGGCTTGAGCCACTGTGCCCAGCTGCAGATTTGTTTTTAACAGAGAAGATGGAGGGCAGAGGGGCTAGAGGGAATAATTACTTACTGGATTAGGGGTATTTTTCTGCAACGATGAAAGAGTTTTAAAACTAGAGAGAAGTGGTGGTTGCACAACATTGTGATTGCACTAGATGCTGTTAAATCTCACACTTTAAAATGGCTAATTGTATGTTATGTGAATTTCACCACAATTAAAAAAAAACAATAAAAGGAGATGAGAATTTGAAAGAATGTAACAAAGCTCAAATTTTGTCTCTTTAGAATTTGTTTGAATTTCTTTATTATTACATTTTCCCAAAAGTAAGTTATTGAATTGAATAAAAAGTCTAATGATTTATTGACTTACCCTGTATATATGTATGCAATGATTATTATGGGCACTGCAGAATCAAAGTTTCTGTTCTCAGGGAGTTTATATTGAGGTGAGAAAAGAGCAATAAAGAAATGTATACATTATTTTAGCTAGTGCTCAGATTGCTCAGATTAGGAAAGAAAAATAAAGCAGGGTAACAGGATAGGGAGTGATGGGCTAAGGGGGGTTTTAGTTAGCAGGGTCAAAGGAAGCCCCTTTAATGAGGTGACATTTGGGCAGAGAAAGAAGGAAGTGAGGGAGAGAGCCATGTGGAACTCAAGGGACAGAATTCCAGGTGGAGTCCGTGGTGAATGCCCAGGTCCTGAGGCAGGAGCACACTCAGCTCACTCAAGGAAGAGATAGTGGGCCCTGGACTTCTACACTCACAGCATCCCATACTTGATTTAATATTCTGCTGCTACAGAAATCCTGAATGTGTTTTTGAACAAGGGGTCCTGCATTTTCATTTTGCACTGGGCTCTGCAAATTATGTAGCTGGTTATAGTGATAGGGGAGGGAGGCAGAGGAAGCTCCCTGTTAAATTAATACAGCAGGAGGGCACTGGCTTGAGGTTGTCTCTATACTTTGAGTTCCTGTGTAAGGAACTGCAACATAACTTAGTACGTAAACAAACTGAAAACCTAGCTTGGGAGTATAACAAACAGTGGAGTCTCAGCCAATCACAGCCAGCCAACTGATCAGACCATGTCCATATAAAGCAATTGCAGTCCTGTAACCAATAAAGCTGTTTTTGTACTTTACCCCCAGTTTCTGTCTATAAATACTCACTGCCCACTTTGCAGAGGAGAGCTGTCTAAACCTCTCCTGGTTCTGAGTGTTGCCCAATTCATGAATCTTTCTTTGCTCAAATAAACTCTGCTAAATTTAGTATGTTGAAAAATTTTCTAACAGCCCTGAACACAGCCCTGATAGCTGATTTGCATTTGTCACCTTAGGATTTTGTCTATGTCTTGATGCTGGCACCTCTATCAGAAACCTAGGGATGCGTTTGGGCTTGTAGAAAACAATCTTCTAACAGTTTATCTCCAAAGCTATGTCAGTGAACACAGGCCTGAAATACTAGGATTTGGATAGGAAAGGGGAAAAGTGTTCCCAAGCAATACTCAGTATGAGCAGGTGAAGCAAATACCAGGAAGATGGAGATGGCAGGTGGGGTGGAAATTGGGGGATTCTTGTCTTCCTTGCTCAGAAAGGGGTAGAGTGGAGAGGAAGGAGGAGGAGTGGACAAGGTTCTGTGGCTGCCAGGGTGTGTGATCCATGATCAAGGGATGGCCCTGAAGCCAGGGTAGGGAGTGAACAGTAAGACTCAGAGCAAAGGGCCTCAGGAGAAAAAACATGGGTTTGGAGGATTTTACAGCCGTGATTTAGAAATAGTCAGTTGTAAGAAAAAGGCACCAACCATGGGGAACCACAAGACAGTGTGCCCTATGACACCGAAATGAATTGGTCTGTAGGATCCAGTATAGAGTTTCCACCTAAAAGTGGGGGAGCTCCACCAGCCATGGTGTTGCCAGCCCATAGGGAGATGGCAGATGCTAAGGGTGTGTTATACCAGATGCTGGGCTGAGGAGGGGGCTGCCAGACTCCCTTATTCAGGGTGAATCTCTCCAACTTCTACTACAACTCCTACTCCCAAAGGATTCTAACTGGAAATGTTGATGGAGTCCGCAGGACATTATCTCCTTGGAGTTCCTTCAGTCTTTGGTATCTGCTTCAGTTTTACCTTGTATTTGAATAATCAGCCATGCATTCTTCGCATCTTGAGGGCAAAGGCTGTGTCTTGGTCATCACATGGTACAGGCAGGAAGAATCCACTCTGCTCATTTGGGAGAATAAAATCTGATCATGTAGGGAAAAGGCCTGCCTTCCAGATACAACAGAAAATGAGAATATCTTCCCGGTGGATTTCTAGAAATGGCATTCCTGACTTTTCTAGTGGAGAAAGAAAGAAGAACTAACATCCGTCTTCTAGAGGAGGAGGGACTTAGTCACTAAGAGAGGTCAAAGGGTCTTCTCATTTTTTCTTTCCCTTTAGCTCCTGCATTTTGCACACATTTTGATGTGAGTATTTTTTTGGCATTTTGATGTATCTTGGTGTGAAGCTTGGAAGATCTTTTCTTGAATAACAGGTATGTTTGAGTTAGAAATAAAGGAGACCTGCTATGTGATAACAGGTGAAAAGAACTGGGAAGAGCTCAGCTTGCATGAACTTGCAGTGTAAATGGGCCAGGCCAAAGGCAGTTTTGGCGGTAAGATTGTGATCAGGGAACCCTTACTTAGTGTTACAGACACAAGGCAGTGTCACCTCTGGATTATCTATTCCCAGAGGGCAGCTATTGTCTGCTCTTCTAACCAGTTTTACTTGCCCAATAGGGCTTTGCATACAAAGTATTTAGCCTTCAGTGTTGACTCTGTGCTTGACTATTTAGCCTCATGCTCAGGCCAGGAAGGTATTTGGAACCAGTGCCACCTTATTAAACATGTATCTGGATGACGGTTCTTCTATTGCTTTCACTGTCTTCCCTCTGTTCAAACATCTCCAATGGACTGCCTCCTTACTACCCAAATCATGGTTTAAGGACCAGCAGCACAAGCATCATCTGGGAACTTGTTAGAAATGCAGAATCTGAGGCTCCATCTCAGACTTGCTGAAACAGAATCTGCATTTTAACAAGTTCCCTGGGTGCTTTGTATGCACATTGAAGTTGAAGGAGGTCTGCTTGGCATTATCAACTGAGAAAAGCACAACTTCTTAGCTGACCCTATATGACTCATTACACCTCCAAATTAATATTCACTCCAGGGTATTATGGTCTACATAAGCTTGGTGCCCTTAAAAGCTGTCTCCTAATGTGTGTGCTCCGGCTTTTAGTTTCAGACTTCATTCATATTTTTGTGTCTTTCTGAACACAAATATTTATCTAGTACTTATTCTTCCATAACCTATTTCTTCCGAGATGCTGCCTTTATTTCCCCATATTTCATGTCCCACAGCCAATCCCTTGCCTTTTCTACTTCCACAGCAAGTCTGAAATTCCAGAATTCTAGACCAGCTCAGAGCCCAGAGTCCTTCTTACTGACTGGGAAAGAAGTTTGGACAACTTTCAGAACATGCCATGATCAGTCATTCACATTTCTGTATCTTTGCTCAGTTGGGGTCCCCTATGGAGTAGGGAACTAGCTGAAGTTCTAGCTGTAGCCACATCACTTGGCCTGAACTTCTTCCCAGAGACATCAAAGTTACCAAGGCCACACTACTCCCTTCTTCCTCTAAATTCCAAAAACATTTGTCTGCACCTATGATCCAGGCACTAAATCCTAGGAACCTTTGATTTGTGGTGGCAATACAATGGTTCATAACTAACTAAGGACCTACATAATGGTTTTATGTTTTAAGTTTTAATTTTGAAATAATTTTAGACTGAGAGAAAAGTTGTAAAATTAATGAGAAGAGTTTCCATACACCTTTCACGCAGCTTCCTCTGTTAACATCTTTCATAATGATGGTACAATGAATACAACCAGGAAATTAACTTTGGATCAATGCTATTAACTAAACTACAGACTTAATTACAATTTTACCATTTTTTGGCCAGGCACGGTGACTCACGCCTGTAATCCTAGCACTTTGGGAGCCGAGGTAGGTGGATCACTTGAGGACAGGAGTTTGAGACCAGCCTGGCCAAAATGGTGAAACCCTGTCTCTAGTAAAAATACAAAAAATTAGCCAGGCAGGGTGGTGGTAATCCCAGCTACTCAAGAGGCTGAGGCAGGAGAATCACTTGAATCTGGGAGGCGGAGGTTGCAGTGAGCAGAGATTGCGCCACTGCACTCCAGCCTGGGCTGCAGAGCAAGACTCTATCTCAAATTAAAAAAAAGAGAGAGAGAGATTTCACTCATTTTTCCACTAATATTTGCTATGGTCTGAATGTTTGTGTCCTCCCAAATTCATATGTTAAAATCCCAGCCCCCAAATTGATGGTATTAGGAGGGAGCCCTTTTGGGAGGTGGTTAGATCATGAGGGTAGAGTCCTCATGAATGGGATTAGTGCCCTTATAAAAGAGACCCCAGGGAGCTGCCTTGCCCCTTCCATCAAGTGAGGACATAATGAAAAGGCACCATTCTATTCTGTGAACCAAAAAGTGAGTCCTCACTGGACACTGAATCTTCCAGTGCCATGATCTTAGACTTCCCAGCCTCCAGAACTGTGAGAAATACATTTTTGTTGTTTATAAGCCACCTAGTGTATTTTGCTAGAGTAGCCCAAGGATTAATGCATGTTATTTTCCTCCTCTGGGATCCAATCCAAGATCCCACATTGATTTAATTGTCGTGTTTCTGTAGTTTCCCCCAATCTAGGAACATTTCTTTTGTCTTGTCTTGTCTCTCATATACTTCAGTGCTGGTCAGTTATTTTGCAGAATGTCTCTCAATTTGAGTTTGTCTGATGTTTTCTCAAGACTAGTTTGAGGTTTTGCATTTTGGGTAAACATAACACAGGAGTGATGTTATGCCCTTCTCAGTGCATCACTATATCAGGGAACATGATATCAACATATCTTATTACTGGTGATCTTAGCAATGATCACTTGGTTAAGGTGGTGCCTGTTGGGTTTCTCCACAATAAAGTTATTATTTTTCCCTTTGTGATTAATAAGTATCTTAGGGGAGTTATTTTGAGATTATGCAAATATCCTCTTCTCCTTAAATATTTGCCCACTAATTTTAACACCCAGTGGTAGGTCTACCTGCAAAAATTATTTCTGTGACATATAACAGGTGTATGTTAGTAAATGTTTATTTATGTGAAAAAAGTAAACCCTCATTAAGCCACTGCAGTAGGATTTCCTATTAATTGAGCCTTCTTTGAACTGTCTTTATAATGCAGTCCATTGTAACAGGATTTTAATCTAAATATAATGGCAAAATTAAATAAATAGAACACTGCTTCATTCATCCATCTCTCCAATCATCCATCCAGACATCCATCCACCCATTCATCCAATGCTTCTTTTCTTTGTAAAATGAAACTGAAATGCCAATATTCATATTTCTCCCAATTATGCCTAACCATGCTACCTACTCCCTACTGCTCTGTTTGAACGTTATGTGAACTTGCTGTTATGGCCAAATAAGTCAGCCAAGATGGGAACATTAATTTCTTTGAGCAGATGGTTGTAAAGGTTGACCTGTAAAAAGAGGTGCCAATTTGTTTTGCTGTAGTGTGCTGTCACAGAAAAAGGACTCTGTTAGGGACATCTGTTGTTCTTGCTTGCCTGGCATCCCTCATCCCTTCTTTAGGTCACGGCACCTAAATTTCCTTTTCAGTATCTCACCTTTCATGTTCTTAGTCCATGCAGTTTGGATGAGGTCATTCCACCTGCTGGCATCAGAGGTGGGCATGTGCCTAGGACAGAATTATCCATCCCCTACACCATAGTGATTGGTCAAGAAATTGGCATTTGGCTTTAGTTGACCAATCAGAGTTCCCAAAAGATTTTTGCTGGAATTGTCAAGTAAGGAACACAGTTCTTCTTGAGAGTGGGTTCTAAGCCTGTAGCTTCCACTGCACATCTTTGCTACCATGTGGGGAAAGACAGTCTGAGAATGAAGCCAACAACAGAGGCAAACAGGAAAGTGGGAGTGAGGAAGAGGTGGCTGTTCTTCATAACATCAACTGGTAATTGGCATCTAGCTTTTTCTGAAGCCAGATCCACCCCAGGACTTTTCCATTACACAAACCAATCAATTTCCTTTCATTGTCTCAGGCACTTTGAGTTGAGTTTCTGTTACCTGTAAGCCAGGGATTCCCAGTGGTCAGGCCGCAGACCAGTACTGGTCCATGGAAAAATTGTCTTCCATGAAACCAGTCCCTGGTGCTAAAAAGTTTGGAGACTGCTGCTGTAAGCCAAAGTCCTGACAAATACAGATGCTTTCTGAGCATCTGCTACCTAATTCTTCCATTAGAGATTCATTCCTTTGGCTCTAGAATAGCATTTTCCACATTTTGTCCAGCAGAACACTTCCGTTAGATGCCAACAGGCGCTCCTTGGTCAAATGAGGAGGCAGGTGCTCAGGGCTCTTCAGGATTTAAAGGTGAGCCAGACATGGCTCCTGCTCCTGCACTCAAGGAGCCCCTCAACTTAGCAGAGATCATAAGATCGGTGCATAACTTATTTACATATCTACAAAAAAAATCTAAAAGAAAAAGTTCTCATGTCATCAGCCTGACCCACACATAAAGCACTTTGGCTATAGAATCACAGTTAAGTGAGTGATAAATACCGCCACGGGAGTATTTGGAGCATTGAAGATGTGAGGGACAGTATTTCCAGCAGAGAAAATGGCTGGGGCAAGGGTACAACACTGAGAAATTGCCACAAGCTCAACATGTATTTTGAAGTTCTGTAGGACATCCACAGTGACTGAAGGGTTGAGTTTTGGTGTAAAAGGAAGATTTCGGGGACAAAAACCAAACAAGAACTAGAGAAAAGTTTTGTTTGGAACAGATTGTGGAGGTTCTGATTGGCAGTCTGAGTGATTTGATTGGCAGCAAGATCAGGTAACCCTGTGAGGAGGCCAATGCCGTGGTCTGGTCAAACCTTACTGCAGGACTGGGAAGGACTGGGTGGAAAAAGAAGGCTGGAGGTGGTTGGAATCCCAGCCTCCGAGAACATTCTGCAGAGAAACTTTGGCCATATTTGCTCAAGAATCTTCCTCGTGGTATCATTTGAAAGCCATACTTTTTATTTCATGCTAAACATTGTCAGAGGGAGCGGTGGCAGATTCATCCCGGAATGTGAGCCAACGCACCGGGCATGCACTTTAAATGGCATTCCAGACCTCGGGCTGGCAGGCTCCCTCAGATCCTCGCCCTGCACTGGTTCCTGCCTTACCCTGAGTTAGGATGTCAGGAGAGAGGGTCTGTTTTCTTACCTTCCCAGCAGAGAACATCCAGAATGAGACACCAACCCTCCCTATTTCACCTCGTAGAGATATCACTGCACGGGCGTCAGCCTCGGTGCTGTTCTGATGATGCATTTTCTCTTCTTCTCTCCTGTCCTCCTTATGCCTGATCTTTGGGTACACTGTGTCAGCACTGCTATCGCTACACCCCAGTCCAAGTTACCGTTATCACCCACATGGATTCTCACTTGGGCCTCCTAGCTAGTCTCCATGCTTCTGCTTTTGCCCCTGTACAGTCTGTCCTCAACAAAGCAGCTAGAATAATCCTTTAAAAACACACCCAGATCCTGTCTCCCTTTGTCTTAAAACCTTCGGATGGCTTCCTGTCTGATTCAGAATGAAATCCTAAATTGCCACCACGGCCGGAAAGACTCTACGTGATCTTGGCTGCCTTTTCAGCTTTATTTCTTCCCGCTCCCCCATCATTTTGGGCCTCTCTGCTTGCTTTTTTCCCCATCTCTACGGGACTGCTCTCTTCATGGCCCATAATGCACCTCTTCACAATAGAAGCTTGTGCCTGTCAGAATAGGCTAATATAGGCTGCAGTAACAAACAACCTCCAAATCTCAGTGGCTCAAAATAACAAAGGTTTATTCCTCAATTACCACGTTGTGCTGTGCCTGTTGTGGGTTGGCAGAGGGGCTCTGTTTACCATCAGCACTTGAAGTAGACAGAACTGCCGCCATCTTGAATATTGCCAGCTGCTGTCTCAGAGGAAAAGAAAGAGGCTTTGGAGGATCTCATAATGTCCACTAAACACAAGGCTCAGAATGTCACATTTCACTGGTCACTTCTGCTCATGCTCTTTGGCCAATCATTGGCCTCAGTCAACCACAAGGGAACTGAAACATACAATCTTACTATGTGCCGAGAAATGGACAGGATCTGTAATTGTGAAGTGAACTGCACTAATGATGACCACAACTGTGCCATGGCAGGGTCAGCCAGGTGGAGTGAGGGTAGAGGATGGTGGAGAGTGAGGCTGAGGGAGGAGGGTTGGTCATCTCAGCTCAAGCTCAGGGGGAAATGAGAACATGGTGGGAGAGATGTGGAGATGGTTAATGGGTATGAAAAGTAGTTAGAAAGGATGAATAAGACCTAGTATTTGATAGCACAATAGGGTGATTATAGTCAATAATAATTTAATTGTACATTTAAAAATAACTGAAAGAGTATAATTAGAATGTTTGTAACACAAAGGATAAATGCTTGAGGGGATGGATACCCTATGATGTGATTATTACACATCGTGTGCCTGTATCAAAGAATCTCTACCTTATAAATATATACACTTACTATATACCCACAAAAATTAAGAATTAAAAAATGTTTAAAAAAAAGAAATGTGAACATGCCTGTGTTTAATGCTCACTGGCCCAGTCTGATGTGCCATGTGTGAAAGAAATGATGTGTGAAAGAGAACTTGGCCATTTGTCGAGTCCTTCTGGCCAAGTGTGCCTTTCCACAAATGGTGGGTTGGGAAGATCCCCCTGGCCAGAAAGAATTCTGATGTGTGTAATTGTTCCGTTACAGATTCATTCCTTTGGCTCTAGAATAGCATTTTCCACATTTTGTCCAGCAGAACACTTCTGTTAGATGCCAACAGGTGCTCCTTGGTCAAATAAGATTGGGAGATGCTGGGTTAGACAAGATTAAACAGGGCTTCCCTCCACAGGCCTTCTCAGATCCTTGCTTCATATGGAATGTGTGATGTCGTTGCTGCTCCGTGAGAGGGGACTGAAGTATGTGACATTTCTCCCATGTTTAAGATCAAGGAATTCCAGCCTACACAGATGCTTCCTAGGGTTCCACCGGGCAGCTTGGGAAACGCTTGCAGCTTGGGAAACAGCCTTGCAGTCCTACTGAGTCTCCTGTGGGAAGCAAATGTTCCTGGTAGGCCAGTCTGTAGGAGAATGAGATCAGTGCAGACAAGGCCTTGAAAGCATGGGCTCGAGAGGGGCTGCAGAGGCGGTGGGTCTGAAAGGGGGGGGTGGATGTGAAGATCCAAAGTGATCCTTTTCCCAAGGAGCTTGGAGCCTGGCAGAGCAGAGCTCCCTGGTCCCCCACCTCATGGCTGCCTTTCTCCATGGGAGGCCTCTCTCCCCTCTCATTCCTCCCAGTGAAGCTTAGCCGCCCTGCCATCCAGAGCTCTGTCCTCTCCCCATCTCCACCTTCCCAAGCCAACAGCACCCCAGGCTGTGTCTGGGTGTCACGGCTGAGCTCTCAGTGTCCCTTCAGCCTGGAATGCCTTCCCCTCCCTCAAGCCCTCTCTGGGAAATTCCTACTCATCCTTTAATAGTTTAGGCAGCCACTTCCAGGAGGTAGTCCCTGATAGCATCACCCCGCCCCGACCTCCCCACCCGCCTCCCCTGCTCCCCAGGGTCAGCAGGATTCCTTGTCCCTCCCGGGAGCTCCATGACACCCTTCACTGCACGTCTTCATCGCTGCCCCTCCCCACGTTCTTATGCTCCATTTCTGTCCCTCTAATCTGGGAGCCCCTTGCAGCATTGTCTCTGTATCTTTACATTCTCCCCTGGCAGGAGATAGCTTCTCAGAAATTAATTAAATGAATGAGACCCAGACCCGGAGCAGGTGAGCAGGGAGTGGGTTAAAATCCCCTACATGTACCACTTTAAAGAGTTTCCCAAGTTAAAACAATCGATTCCACATGTTCTGAAACCTCATCCTTCTTCACCATTGCTCAGCTCTATGGTTCTCTGGTTTCCTGGAGGCTGAAGTCTTCTCTCCATCCCTCTCACGGTCTGCCCACCCCGTCCACTTTCCATCTGACGTGCTCTTCCCTCTGTTGCCATGCCCTTGGGCCACTGATTCATATTGTCGCTTCTCAGAAATCATGAATGAGCATTGGAATATCAATGGCATGGCCTTAAGTTTATGCTTCCCTAAGTAGAAAGTAAATGCAAATATCTTGAGAAAACAATCTAACTTGAAGAATGGAAAGAAGGGTTGTTTTTCCATCTCACTCTGTCACCCAGGCTGGAGTGCGGTAGCACTATCTCGGCTCACTGCAACCTCCGCCTCCTGGGTTCAAGCGATTCTTGTGCCTCAGCCTCCTGAGTGGCTGGGACTACAGATGTGCGCCACTATGCCTGGCTAATTTTTGTATTTTTAGTAGAGATGAGGTTTCACCATGTTGGCCAGGCTGGTCTTAAACTCCTGACCTCAGGTGATCCATCTGCCTCGGTCTCCCAAAGTGCTGGGATTTTTTTTTTTTAAGGACAAAGTTGGCTTTAATAATTCATGAAAAAGAGAAAACTAGAAGGAAACTGGAAGCAGAGGACACAGAAAATTTGCTGTTAGCAGTGCACCCAGGGCTGCATGATGACTCTTCATGGGCTCTGGGCTTTTTTGCCTCTGTGGGCCCCTTCTCCATTAAAATATATAACTGCATTGCTATAGACAAGTACAATCTAAGCTGGGTTAATTATTATATATGCATTATTGTTATATTTATTTTTCTTTTGATTTGAAAAATGTTTAAAAAGTTTTTGGGCCCCTAGGCACTGTGTTTGCTGTGTCTAATAGCTTAGCCCACTCTGAGCCCACCACCCTGCCCTTTTGACACTTTGGGTCGCACTGTTCCTCCTGCTTGGAGTGTCTGTCGTCCATCCCAGCCTGTGTTGACCTGGCCCACGTGACAGATTCCTACTCACTTGCAAGGTCCAGCTCCAATGTAACTTTCACCAAATTTAGCAAATTAAAATACAGCATGCCCACTTGGATTTGAACTTCAGACAAATTACAAATATATATTATTTGTTATAACAGGCATGAGTATGTTCCACATGTCTCATGTCCCACATGTTGCATGAGACATGCTTGTACTAAGAAATTGTGCGTGCTTATCTGAAATTCAGATTTAACTAGGTGTCCTGTATTTTCTCTGGCAACACTAATCTGTAGCTGTTTCTGATTTGTTTTCCTTCCGGCTCTTTATCCCACCTGCGGCTCTCTCTGAGGCATTTTAGCGCTCTCTCCACACCTCTCCCTGCACGTCTCGCTTTCGGGGTATCACGGACTCCTCCCTGCAGCTGCAGTCCCATCTTCATCCCACTCAGCTGCCGTGGCCAGGGACGTGACAGTGTATTCCTTGTCTTAGATGAGTAAATATGAGTAAATGTGTGCTTGCCCTTCGTTTCCCCAACTGTCTGTTTTCAGGGATGACTTGGCAGCATTTGGTTTTCATTTCATTCAGGATGTTGTGAGGCTGAGACTAAAGATGAGTTAACTATTGCCTGGGATTCCAGCAGCGCTTCCGTTAACAAACGTGTGTCCCAAGAAGACCCTTGGGGCTTTTTCATTACCTGATGGAAAAAAGCCATAGACCCTCGGCTAAAACCCACGCCCCCTCCTTGGGTGGACTATGAGTGGAGGCAACAGGATTCCCCCTCCCAAGGGATTCTGGTGTCAGCTAGTACATCAGCCGTGGCCAACGGAGGATCTTGTGTTCGAAGGGAAGGTCTTTGTTTTTCAGACGTAGGTTCAGGAAATTCTGATTTTCCACCTCTATCTCGGGAATGGATTGATTCTTTTAAAAGTTCACTTTAACCTACTTCACTCCACACTCACGGTCCCCCAGAGTGCCTCCTTAACACAGCAGAAAGTTGGCCTGAGATGATCTCATGGGCACAAGCCACATAAGGCGGTCGGGACCAGTATCCAAGCTCCTCACCCAGTGCTCTTCCACCCTTCTCTGCAGCGCGGATTTCAGAGCTGGAGGCCAACAGCATGGCCTTCCCTCTGGGGATCGCAGTGAGGGGTGGCGCGCACTCAGGGCTGCAGACCAGCAAAGCACCAGCCCAAGAAGGACGGGGGAGCAAGGTGCAGGCGCCCCCAGGCTGCTGGGGACTTCCCAGCTCTCAGCACATTCTCCTTTTCTTGGTTAAGGAAGTTTCTAAAGTTGACCACTGGTTAATCGTTTTGTTATTCATGCTGAGCAAGAAACCAGGGTCCAAATACCGTGTGTGTGTGTGTGTGTGTGTGTGTGTGTGTGTGTGTGTGTGTGTGTTGTGTGTTTGGGGAGGGGTGCCCTCCCAGTAGGGAGCTGCCCAGTAGTTTCTGCCTCTTATTAATCTCTAGTACAGCTCGTGACTCACCATGAAACTCACAGGAACACGCAAGATGGCCCAAAATAGTTTCCAGGGTGGTCACCAGGTGTGATGAGAAAGAAGACAAAACAATGAACCCATGGATCCATGGTCACGTCTACATGGGGAATTCTGCACACGACACCCTCCCCTGGACTGTGAAACAATCATTGGCCCAATAAAGGCTCTGATAAGCTCTACAGTTATATTTTAAACCTTAAAGCATGGGTTGATGCTATTTAACTCAGTATTTTCCAAAGTTATTTGATCAGAGAACCATCCTGTCCTCCTCCCTTTTTTTTTTTTTAAATTTGAGGAGCATCTCACTGGGTAAGTAATCCTGGACACACTTTGGGAAAATAGCTCTAAAAAGGGAGAGGAGGTAAGCAGGAGTTTTACCATCTTATGTTCCCGCTCCAAGTCACTGACTTTGGACTGGAATTTTGGCTTGGAGAAAACGCAGCTGGCCTCAGCACCACCCTGGAGCCTCTTCCAGCCAGTCCTGGCAGAAGGACTCTGAATGCCTGAACCCACAGGTTGGTACCCGTGACTCCACCAAGTCTCCACGCAGGGACGGCGTGCATCGGGAAGAGGGGGCATTTCAGGCAAAGGCTAGTGCAGCACAAATGCCATCCATGGGGCAGCCTAGGCTGGGGCCATGCAGAAGAGCCATAGAGCACCATGCAAGGCCGCCTTTTGATAGTCACAAGGCAGTCTGTGACGTGACTCAGTTTCATACAAGCTGCTTCTTCTGCCTGGGACGCTCCTGATCTGTTGGCACTGTTTCTTAACTTCGGTCTTAAAGTCATTTCTAATTAAAGCAAGCTCCCCTGTTAGTGTCTATATTATAGGATCCTGTTTGTATTCTTTTAGCGTTTCTCAACACAGGGATCACTACATATTTTACTTTTTTGAATGTTGTCTGTCTCCCCGCAAATAAAATAACTCCAGGAGGACAGCGGTTTTTGCTTTGGTCACCATTAGAGCCCTGGTGCCAGGAACAGTGCCTGGCACAGTGTAGGCACACCATAAGGGTTTGTTGAATGAATAAGAACAATTTTGCAAGTTTTGTCCCTCCTGAGTGGGTGATTGGTTGCTGGGAGTTGATAGGCAAGGCCACTGACCATCCAGTGGGCTGTGTGGTAAGAAGGGGGTGATTCCTAAGAAATACTTGTGGATGGCTGCCTGGCCCAGTGCATGCAAGGAAGTACAGAAGTACAGAGAGCAATAGAAATGAGTTTTTATTTGTAAAAAGTTACAAAATGATATTGTACAAAAATAAAGTCTGTAGAGAACTTTGGTTTTATAACACAAACGACCAAGACAGATCAGAGAAGTCAGAACTTCCAAACAAGTGCACTCCTTACGGTATCAGATGGTGATCGCAATGATAAAGAAAAATCACAAACTTTACCCTTTTGTGGATTTGGTGGAGCAACTTGCTTCCATTAAAACCTGCTTGTGGTGTGTAGGTGATGCCGGGAACGAGCTATTGACACCCCTTGGATCCTACAGCTTTTTTGGGCAGGGACTCTCCATGGGGAGTTGTTGGGGGGGGTCACTGAGGTTGAAGCCTGGGAACAGTGGCCATCGCACTGCCAAGGTTCTCTGAATGGGACAGATGCCCCTGGGGCCACATCCAAATTGTGCTCCACGAATGACTGGATGGCTGGGGTTTGTCACTGTTTCGAGCAGTCTGAATTCTCAGCAAGATCCCAAGACAGTGTGAGAGGGAAGGCCTTTCCTCCATTTCCCAGGCGAGCAAGGGGAGCAGAAAGGACAGAGAAGGGCAGAACCATGAAGAATTTGGGTATTTTGGGGGAAGGGGATCAGATGTCTGGTAACTGCTGCTTCTTGTTACTATGATTATTTGATGGAGGCCAGTATTTCATTTAATTGCTAAATCTGTCATAGTTTTATACTAGTAGCCACTAAGGTAGGTAGTAATAGATTATCTCCTTAATGAAAATCCCTTTTATGAAATGCGTAACAAGCTGTAATACAGGGCCTAGTGTGTCATACATGTGTTGGCTGCCCGATAAATTCACAATCTAGGGCATGGAGGAGGTGGCTGTTCCCGCCCCTATGCTTCCTCCTGCTCCAACCTCTTTTTTTTTTTTTTTTTTTTTTTGAGACAGGGTACCGCACTGTCACTTAGGCTGGAGTGCAGTGGCATGATCACAGCTCACTGCAGCCTCGACCTTCTGGACTCAAGTGATCCTCCTTCAGCCTCTTGAGTAGCTGGGACCACAGGTGTGCACCATCATGCCTGCCTAATTTTTAAAGTTTCTGTAGAGACAGGGTCTCCCTATGTTGCCCAAGCTGGTCTCAAACTCCTGGGTTCAAGAGATCCTCCCACCTTGGCTTTCCAAAGTGTTGGGATTATGGGTGTGAGCCGCTGCACTGGCCCCGACCACCTTCATTTAAAGGCAGCACGCTCCTAAGTATGAGGCTCCATGTGTGTGGCTGTGGCTGGTCCCAATATGGCTTCCTCAGCACCCTTCTCAGCCATCTGCTCCCCAGGGAGCTGTCAGGTGTTTGGGTATATAGGAGCAGCAGCTGTTGACCCCCGGTGACAGCCCAGGGGTTGTACAGGACCTGGTAGACCCTACCTCTGGAAGGCCCCTGTGTCTCCCGGGCTGCACTGGGCAGCCAGCATATTCTCGGGAGGGCAGTGGGTGGGCAGGGATGGAGGGAGTCGGTAGAACGGCAGCTACCTGACAGCATTGTCGACATTACTTTTAGGTCAGCATTAAATCCAGGACTACCTACTAAAAGGAACTGAACCTTTTCTACATATGGTTATGCATAGTACAGATAGGTATACGTGGAGGGGACTAAGAGCTTAAAGACAACAGGAAGTGGAGCCCACGACATTTCTGTTCAGCAATGGAGCAAGGAAGAAATAAAGTCAAGTGCCAGTGGTCTCTGCACGCTGCTCCAGGAAAGGGGGCTTGCCTGAGATGCTCCACAAATAAAAATTGGGAAAAATGCTGAAATCTGGGGAAAATTAATGACAAATTTTCTTAAAAAGGTAAAGTAAGTGATTTTTGCCTGGCAAAAAACTTTTTAATACTTTGAAAAGCATGGACCCTTGTTCCCAATTCAAATTTCCTTTTGTCACCTTTCTTTGCATTTTGCGAGCACATATACTTTGGCACCTTTGAAAAGAAACTTTAATAAATAAGGGAAAAAAGAGAAATTCATTAGTGAACGGTAATAAATAACAATAACTTAAATTTCAATAAATATCTTCTCTATATTTCTGTATCTGAAACAGATGCATTGCATCGAGTAGCTTCTCTGGTCACTGGTGACCACGCATCAACGGAGCTGGTTATGTAACATCTGTCTCTCTGTAAACCAACAGGCCTGAGGGGCTCTCCCTGCCCGGGGGCAGTTCGGGGCCTTCCCCGATTCTCTCCTACAAGAATGCTGGCGAAAACCACAACTCGTTTCCTGTTTCCAAGGACATAAAGGAAATACCTTCAGGTTTGTGTTTAATCATGAGCACAGCCTTTTTGGTTCCTAGCCAACTTCTTCCCACCCCACACACCGTGATGGAAATCAATCACCAACCGTTGGCAAAAATGCTGGTTGTAGTAAACCTCGGGCCTCAACTTTCAAATGCAAAGGTGATTATCTCTTGTATCTTTGCTTTTTTTTTCCCCTCTCCTTTCCAGGGTATGTCTCCACTGAGTGACAGAAAAATAAACCTCTTACTTTCAGCAGTAAAACGTAATAACAAGGAACAACACCAGGATCTCTGTTTCCCTGGTGTCTTCGGACACATGAAAACAAATCACAGGAGATACACTGGTTTGGTTCAAGTGCATCCACCGCAACCGCGCCGGTAATCAGTGATGGTGGACTGTATCAGCTGAAATGGTGGCAATAGCCAACCAGGAACATCAGCCCTGAGCTTCTAGTGACATCGGCTGCCATCCTGGAGAATCCAGAGGGCTGTTTTCTCTCTCTCCTGTCCAGTTGTCTGTAGCTGGATCTCCCTCTACCAGGCTCCCATGATGGCTGCCTTCCTCCTCCTCCTCCTCCTCCTCCTCCTCCTCCTCTTCTTCTTCCTCCTCCTCCGCCTCCTTGGTCCTCATCTTCCATTCTGGGCAAACATTTCCTGGGAACCTTGGTCCCTTTCTTTGCACTGTAGCAGGAATGCAATACACAGCAGTCTCTGGAGCCGGAGTCAGATACATCCACACCTTTTAGCGGAATGCTTTCTTAGAATATGGTAAACCAGGTTATCATCTAAAAACGACAGGTCATCATCAAAGGCGATGGGTCTGCAACATGCCTGCCCTACTTTGTCACTCACCAGCCTTCTATTTCTGGATAAGTTTTTCAATATTTTGTCGTACGTTGTCTCAGCTGCATCGCAAGAGCCGCTGCAGTACCTAAAAATCAGTTCCTCCTTGGTTTCATAGCCCAGACCCAAGTCAGTGACATTTAAATGTATTGCAGTTAAGACACAACCCCGGTTTTTGCCCCTCTGGCCTCTCCGACCTTTTCCTCTGGAATTCTCTGGGTTGGCAGCTGCAGCCTGCCGATTCCGCTCTCTTCTAGGAAGCACTGCCATTTGTTTATCTGGTGACCTTTTCAGTCTTTTAATGGTGGCTTGAATAAAATCCATGACATCATCGAACTGATCAGGATAATCCTCTGGCATATTTGCTGTTCAAAAAGAAAAGAGAAAATGGCACATGAGACAAAATGATCATTTCAAGCCGTCTTCAAGATCAAAGTGCCCCCCTAAAGTCAGCAAAAATTGGACCCACAGCAAAACTATCAGCCGATTAAGCTATAGGACCACTGTAATCCCCAAAAACAGAGGCAAAAATGCACAGAAGAAAGATGATTTAGTTGGAAGAGGAGACTAATGTGGTGGTGACATACTTTCTCGAAGAAAACAAATCCTTAGAAGCATAGTTTTCATTTGAATAACATTCACCATTTTTAACAAGTCCATGCAGAGCTTGCTGTGAGCTGGCCAATCTTCTAGGGGCATTTTTCTTGCCTAGTCACACAACCTAGAGTAGTGGTTCTCAAATGTGAATATGCAGGAAAATACCCTGGATATTGACTACCATGCAGATTCTTGGCCCTACCCTTGGAGACAATGAGTCATTTGGTCTGGGGAGGGACCAAGGAATCTGCATTTCTAACAAGCCTCAAGGAATTCTAATGTAAAAGATCCACACACCAAAGATCCACGCACTAAACTTTGAGAGACACCGTCTTAGAGGGTGAAAAAACTGAGGCCTTCCACTATGGCTACCTTCATCTGGAATACTGAGTGCTCTTCCCTGAAACTTGCTTTGATTCTGTGTGGCTGAGTGGGACAAGAACCATTCTGACAGAACAAATGAAGAGCTCAGGAATGCAACTATAGTTTAAAATTTCCTTAAAAATCATAAAGGAACAGGAAAACAGTTTATATTTTACTAACAAAAAGACTAATTTACCGCTTCCTTTGAACAGCATGACTTTAACAAAAAAGTCCAGTGATAGAGTAAAATGGCATTTATGTATCACAGCAATAAATGAAATGAGATGCTGTTCGTGCATAGAAGCAGCCCTGCCCCCAAGGGTGAGGTCCAGCCTCAGCTGCAAGCTGTCACATGGCTCCCACTGTCTGGCTGCAAGCAGGACAAGAGGCTCATTAGGGAGATCACATGGAGGAAGGATGCAGGGACACTAAGATGTCTGAGACCTTTGGTGAAAGTATAAATCAGCAGTCTCTTAGTGCTTTCTGCCGGATTTCAGTGTTTGCTTTGGCCAATCAAGTCAGCAGAGAAAAATAACTAATGGAACAATGTAATAAATTTCTAAACGGGGGGAAAAACAATCCAAACACCTGTTTCTTGGGTAGTAGGCCTCTTATGCCCCCCTCACCTCATTTTTCAGGTCATTTAGTATGTTTAGGATTCTAAGTGGCTTAGAGAAATAAACCAAAGAAGAGTTGTCAGCAAGAGTAAATGTTTTTTGCCAAGATTGTATTAAAGCATAGAAAGATTACATTATGTCTAACCCATGTCAAATTGTTTTGTCATAAACCTAACCTATTTAATTGTTAAAATATATCAGGTATCCCTCCTATAGAACAAAATCTAGCAAAAGCAACTTAACCACGTGTGTGTAGAGTGTGTGTGTGTGTGTGTGTGTGTGTAATATATAAAACATATGATATATAATAATGAAAAGACTGGTGATTGGAATCCGTAGAATGCCTAGTTGCTATCTGAAATTTAGCATTGGCAGGATCAGCTGCACGGAAATCACAAAGCTGTTTCCACACTGGCTGAAGCCCTGTCACCTCTTGCCTGGATAACCACAGTGGCCCCTGAACTGGGCTTCCTCATTCTACCCTTACCCACCTTCGATCTATTTTCTACCCAGCACCCAGAGGGATACTTTAAACGCAGAACATAACCTCCTCTGCTCAAAACCTTCCAATAGCTCTCTGTTACTCTTAGAGAAAAAGCCCAAATCCACACTGGCCCTAAAGGCCCTACCTGACCTGGCTGCCCCTCTCCTCCAGCCTTTATTACCTCTGACCTCCTCTCTTGTTTCTCTTCTTGTTCCCTCCCGTCTAGCTACCCTGGCTTCCTTACCATTCCTCAAACACGGGGCTCAGTGTCAGCACCACTGACCTTTTCGGCTGGGTCATTCTTCATTGTGGGAGGCTGTCCTGTGCACTGTAGGATGTTTGGCAGCATCCCTGGCTTCCATCCAGGAGAGGCCTGATATGGTATGGCTGTGTCCCCACCCAAATATCATCTTGAATTTTAGCTGCCATAATCCCCACATGTTGTGGGAGGGGGCCCAGTGAGAGGTAATTGAATCGCAGGGGCAGGTTTTTCCTGTGCTATTCTGGTAATAATGAATAAGTCTCATGAGACCTGATTGTTTTATAAAGTGCAGTTCCCCTGCCTGCCTATGCCCTCTTGCCTGCCGCCATGTAAGATGTGACTTTGCTCCTCCTTTGCCTTCTGCCATGATTGTGAGGCCTCTCCAGCCATGTGGAACTGTGAGTCCATGAAACCTCTTTCCTTTATAAATTACCCAGTCTCAGGTATTTCTTCATAGCAGTAAGAAAACAGACTAATACAAGGCCCATAGCATCCCCCATCCTAGTCATGACAGATCAAGGTATCTCTGGATATTGCAAATGTCCCCTAGGGGCAACACCATCCCTTGAGAACTATAGCTTAAACAGTCAAGAACTCAGGGCCTTTGTGCTGGCTGTCCCCTCTCTGCCTGGACCCTTGGCCTATAGAGCAATTTGCATTTTACCTGCAATATAGGTAGGCAAAGAATACCAGATTAAATGTCTCCCACCCTGTGGCTAGTCCCACATCTCCTTCAAGTCTTTGCTCAAATGTCACTATCCACAAGTCCCACCTGACCTCCCTATTTAAAACAAGATTCCTCCCCAGCCCCTAATCCAGATACCCCTGCCCTGCGCCTCCCCCTCCACCATAATTCTTGCTACATTCTAACACACCATCTAACTGATTTCTTAGGGTTGTTATTTATAGTCTGTCTTCTCTAAAAGAATGTCAACTCCAAGAGGCAGGAACTCTGTCCTGCTTGTTCACTGATGGATCTCCAAGTGCTTGAGTAGGCTGTGGAGGCCTACGGTAACTGCTGGCTGAATGAGTCGGGTCATTTTACTAGGCGGAAAGAGAGTTCTTAATTTTTCAAGGGGACTCTGGGACTTTAGCTGAAAACTGCATCGTTATGAAATGAAATGCTCCAAAGTAAACAGCCCACATTACTCAGAAAAGCCACTCTGCCCTGAGTGGCACAGTCATTGCCCACCAGAGAGCTGAAGGACTGTCTCCAAACCACCTTTCCTCCTCAGCTTTCTGCAGCTTTGCAGCAGCATTAACTCTCAGTGCCCACCTCCCCTGGGTCTCCTAAAGCTCTCTGGTCCCTGAGTAATGCTTTCTTAAGGGGGCCCAGGGAAGTGCTCTTTTCTTTTTTTTTTTTTTTTTTTGTTTTTGAGACGGAGTTTCACTCTTGTCGCCCAGGCTGGAGTGCAATGGCATGGTCTCGGCTCACTGCAACCTCCAATTCCCGGGTTCAAGTGATTCTCCTGCCTCAGCCTCCCAAGTAGCTGCAATTACAGGTGCCCGCCATCACACCCGGCTAATTTTTGTATTTTTAGTAGAGATGGGATTTCACCATGTTGGCCAGGCTGGTCTTGAACTCCTGATCTCAGGTGATCCGTCCGCCTCAGCCTCCCAAAATGCTGGGATTACAGGAGTGAGCCACTGTGCCTGGCCAAGAGTGCTCTTAATTTGTCCTTTCCTTTGTACTGCTTTCTCACTGAACTTTCTTTAGGAAGTTTTCTTTCAAAACAAAACAAAACAACAACATTAAATCACTTTGGTTGACAGAAACAATTGACTTAAAAAAAAATGAGCTGCTTTAGCTATTGGTGATTTCTTTCAATAATAAGCTATTAAAGAGGAAATAAATACAGATGTGCCCAGTTTCAAAAAAAAACATGCTTGTATATAAATCGGAACTTATGAAACAGATCTATTAGGAGTGATTAATCAAAATACAGAAGAGTCTTCAAATTAAAAAACAGAGACTCTGTTTTACAAAAGGACTCACATCATAGGCTCTATTCAAGAATTCTAAATAAGTCATTAATTTAGGAACCTGGGCATATAGAAAGTTAAGTTCAATTAACAATCAACTGAAGATTAATCAGAAATGAGGGTAAAACATTACTAAAATTTTAATATAAGCTAATAGGAAAACATTAGAGTCACAGAAGTTTAAATCATGCTGGTTTAGAGACTCATTAATCTATATGATATATAACTTTTTATTACTAGAGTTACAATCATAAGGATTTGAATCAGCACTTATAGTGTTCTTTTTTAGCCCTTGATACTTGGAAGAACTTGAAAAACATTTTTCTCCCCTTTTTAAGACATTTTGACCACATGGCTTTGTCACAGGCTTTGTTTGCCAGGTAAAATACAGAAAGCCTGGTTGTATTTGAATTTCAGGTAAATAGTGAATACACGTCATAGCAAATTTGTCCAAACCCATGGGATGTATAGCACCAAGAGTGAACCCCAATGTCAACTGTGGACTTTGAGTGATAATGATGTGTCAATGTAGGTTCATCAACTATAATAAATGTAGCATTCTGGTGGGGGATGTTGACAATGGAGGAGGCTATGCATGTGTAGGGGTAGGGAGTATATGGGAACTCTCTGCCTTCCTTTCAATTTTGCTGTGAACCTAAAACTGCTCTAAAAAATAAAGTCTATTATTATTATTATTTTTTAAAGTCTTCCTGGCATGTGGCTTTTGAAAATTCCTTCCTTTGATGGGAAATCTCCTTCACATTTTGTTGCTAATGTGGAAATATTATTTAAACCCCAAGTTCAGGCCATAGGCAACTCTTATTAAGCTGAAGGCTTTTTTTTCCTTCATAGTCATGAAAAATAGAAGAAACAACAAAATTTTTGCTGAAAAATTTACATGGATATGAATTCTGGAAGCCAGGAAAGGGCAACATTGTATTTTTCAAACCACAGGGCAAATAGGCCTGCATGTTCCGACTAAATGAGTTCATTCTTAGAGCCAGCCTCAATTTATCGATGCGAGGCACCTGGGGGCATTAGGCGCCATACTCCTCTGCAGAGGATGCTGGGCAGCCTCACTGAGCCTGTCCTTAATTCTTCTGCAGAGGCCTCTCACCCAGCCCAGACAAGAAACTCCTGGTGATGAGCTGAAATGCCCACAGCTGCCTCCATTTTCCAGGAATTCACTGAGCTGAGGGAAAAGAAGAGGGGTCTGGGTTTGGATTCGTTCCCTAAATTAAGACTTACTGGCGCATCTCTGTCTTCATCCTTTAAAAGGCTTGGCAGAATGTCAGATATGCAAATGACCCTCATTTATTAACTTTAATAGTGAAATACTTGCAAACCACAAAAGAGGAGCATCATTAAAAAAATAATAGGTCATATCTTTGCTCATTTCCCAGACCTGCTTGGAGGATATATCTTGGAAAACATGTCCATCTAAAATATAAAGTTTTTGGAAATCCAAAGTGCTCAAATGCATTTAAGCTATCCTTCAGAGTGCAACCAAATGTTTTGGTG
This sequence comes from Homo sapiens, assembly GCF_000001405.40. Classification (NCBI taxonomy): domain Eukaryota; kingdom Metazoa; phylum Chordata; class Mammalia; order Primates; family Hominidae; genus Homo; species Homo sapiens. The sequence goes on from NC_000005.10 coordinate 37,821,598, forward strand.
TTATTCTATTTAAAATATTTTAACTTTGATGTGTTCTTTGTATAAATAGTGTTACTTAAAGAAATGAAACCTTGTACCGGGGCACAACTCTGGGAACAAACAGTTCACCGCAAAGACTTTGCTGCCCTCGATTATGGGGAAAAAAAATAGTAATGTCATCCCAGGAACAAAGGACTGAGATAGTGACTATTTTGTAAAGTCAACTGAGTTTTAATAGGAACAATGGTGAGGGCTCCAAGTCCTCCCTGTAATAGCTGAACTCAAAATTACATAATCCAAAACATTACATTGGTTAAGCTGGCAAGAGTGGACAAAGTCTTTTCGTAAAATGCCAGATTTGTCTTAAAACAGTACAGGTTAACTATATTTTAATCAAAGGGTCATTTTTCTACTTGTAGCTGGTTGTCCCCTCCTCAGCCTGGCCAGGCAGGGAGTCTAAGCTGACTTTCATTCTAAGTCATCCTAAGTCCCCAACCTGTGGGCCTGAGAGGGAGATGGCACAAAGTTGTCTATGAGGGACAAAGTGGTGAGGACACAACTCCTTATCCAGAAGGTGGAAGGAAGGTCTTTGAGGCTCAGAGGGACCCAGGAGAGAGGGGGCCTGACCTCAGTACACACAGTGGTCCTGTTCAGGAGATGTCTTCCAGGCCAGGCTTGAGATCTGCATGAGCCGGGCTTGGCTGATGCAGGGGCCCCAGAGAGAAGGCTCAGGGGTTTCTTGCTGTGGGGAGAACAGCCTTGCTACTTCACTATAGTGTCCAGCTTCTGTGCCTGGAAGGGTGAGGGCTAATGGGACCCATAGGGGTGAGCTGCTGCCTGAGCCAAGGCCACACAAGTGAGAGATACATCAGGAACCAGTGGCCAGATGGTGGGGCTCAGTTTTGGGATGGGGCAGGATGCTGAGGATGAGGCCACAGGATGCTGCACCTGCGGCTGCCGAGGTGCGGTGCCATCCATCCTGACATGTAGCGGTTCCTATGAAAGGCTGTCTTCAGACAGGAGGAAAATGGAAAACCCCCTAATGGTGGGAGACATTTAATCTGGTATTCTTTGCCTACCTATATTGCAGGTAAAATGCAAATTGCTCTACAGGCCAAGTATCTGAAAAATATAGAGATCTCTCTCGATCTATAAACACATACACATACACATGCGTGCATACATATGCGTCTACACACAGAGACACACATATACATACTTATATGAAAAGAAAAGATCAACTTAAAATTGATACAACTTCTCAAGAAGAGTCCCAATGAATGTCATTGTTTTGGAATAAGTTATTTTTATCTTTCTATATGTTACAAACATGATTTTCTTTCACTAATATTGGAATATCATTACAAGAACTACATGGCTGAGTTTAACCTGTAAAACTTCTTGCATTACAAAATTTCATCAGGCTATAACTTAGATAAGAGCTTCCTTGAAGCACTTAAAAAACATTACCAGTGTAAAGGTGGAATACTGCCTACTTTCACACAACATTAACTTTAAACCTGACAACCTCCCTTCAAGGCTAAATTGAATACTATCTCCATTTTACAGCTCAGGAAGCTGAGGCTCAGAGAAGACAAATATTTGGTGAAGTCCATAGGACTAATAAATGTGGACCTGGTGGTTCAGTTTCAAAGCTCAAACTTGTTGTCTTTTTGTTTTAAAGTAAAAACTCTACTACCACTGAGCTCTTCAAGTCTTGCAGCAGATGGGAATTTACTCTGAGACGAGAGCAAGACATGCTGGTTTCACCTGTACACATTTACCAAAGTCAGCACAGGAGGTGAGAAACATACTTTCTGTTGAAAAATTCAGTACGAACTCAGGTACGCTAAGTAGATCCTAAAGTTAGGCTGCCATGGGCCACAGAATACAGTAAATTGTCTCCCAAAAAGGAAAAGCCATGCTACTCAGGGGCATTTCTCCTGTGTCCTGGTTCTTGCATATCACGCTAAGACAGCTCTGGCGATTTCCCAGTTAAAACCGGAAAAGCCGCAGCCAGCACAGCAGCAGATCCAGACAGAGAGGCCCCATCTCCGGAAGCTCCTCCAACTCATGCTGGCACCAAATGACCAGGCTCTTGCTGCAGAGTTGGAGACAAGAGAGGCCCGGATTCCAGTCTTGGGTCAGTCCCTGATCAGCTGCGTGACCTTGGAAGTAGTCACTTAACCCTTCTGAGGTCAACTCAGTGCTCTCTGGGGCCTTTTCCAGCTCCAAAATGCTAAAGTGTGGAGAGTCTAAGTCTTGGCTGGAAAGTGTGGCCAGACACGGGTTTTTCAGTCACCTCTGCAAGGGAGTAGACCACCTCTGGCTGACGCCCCAGCAGCATTCAGCTCAGCCAGTACCATCAGGGGCCCCATAAAACCCCACAGGAGGTATTTTAGAACTCTGCAGTGCTTGACCTCTTCAGTTTACCTCTTGGCTGAATGTCTCGGCTACATTTGAAATGACCGTCATCAATCTTCTCTTAAATCATCAAGTCATCTTCCTGTGCCCTATTTAAGAGAGGTAAAAGATGTGTAGAAAGGGCCCTGTATCTGCATATGAAAGCATCCAGATTCTACTGTAAGGCATTCTTAAACTTCAGTTTCCATCTGTAAAAATAGAGATGGGCCCCATGACCCCTGAGAGGACACACTACAGCCTCACGCTACAATTCCTTCAGTCTCCATCACCCAAAAGTCAAACACTCAATTTACCATTTTCTTCGAATCTCAATTTTATTCATTTCTGTTTTTGCTGCTTCAAGTATGCTTAGGTCATACCCAGCTTATGACTCCAAGGCTAGAATTGCCCACTGCAAGTGGTACAAAATGGATCAGGAGAGCCAAGCAGCTTGTCCTTGAAGCCAATCTCTGGGCTGTCAACTCTTGTTCTTATTTGACCTTCAGGAACCTCTAAAATGTGCAGTCCATGAGAATGGACTCTAAATGTGAGTTTATGAGAATGTTCTAGTTCTCTGAAAAACTTCTGTAAAGTTTTGTTATCTGCTCCTATTTCAAAGTGATGACTTTGACACTTATTTGAACTACTTTTTAAAAAAGGCCCATAGATCAGTAAGCACTGAATGCTGATGCATCTTACATTATGTAATGACCTTCCGTGCTTTCCTATTTTGGACACAGAATTCATCTAGTGTTTGGTAGACCGTCCTGATCATAGGCTGCTGTTGGGTTAACTTTCAGAAGTGTCCACAGCATCTATTTTCCTAAAAACAATTACCAGCTGAGGCAATTTACTAAGTCATTGTGACCATTTCCAGAGCTACCAGTGCATTCTCTTCAGGACCAGTGGTTTGTTGACAGTAAGGCATGACATCGATTTATTTGAAAAGTATTTGCGTTGTAAAAACACCACTGTTTTGTTGTTTTAAAAAAGCATTTCTGGATTCTCTCAAGGCAGAAGAAAAAGACCAACCAGAATGCAAATCACTTTAGAATATAGAAAAAGAAGCTATGGGTGTACTTAGAAAAGCCACTTTGCCCATCAAAATGCCATCTTATTTACCATCTCCACCCACTCTGAATGACATTGCACATACTAGTTGTACTATATCCTAAACTGTTATCCTACAACTCAACTAAGCAAATTTGTAATAAATGGACTGAAAATTACTCCATCAATACAAACAGCCAGAAAACCCCACTCAGGGAGAGACAGACAGTAAATTCCTTTGTTACTCAGGTTCTGATCACCTTGCTCTGATTTCTATGTATGTGGTCCATGCTTTTATTACAGTTATGCTAATAATTTTACAGTAATACAGCACAGTCCCCCTGGGTGGAAAGTGTCCATTCTTCAGCTTTTAAGTCAGGAAAACACCCAACAGGGTGTTCATTTGTTAGCTAATCCATGAACACCTGGTGTGAGCTAAAAGCACTCCAGAGTCGGTAATAAACACCACAAGCTAATGAGCACACACCAGGAGGTCTGCTACTGCCCTTATAAAAAACTTAACAGGGAAGGGTGAGAAAGTTACCCAGTAAAATTAAGTGCACAAAAAGCCACTAGGGCAAATCATCCCTGTGGTGTTATCAGAGGCAGGTGGTTGTGGGGGTGGTGGAGTCTCTCCTTTCTTCTTTCAGCGAAGCCCTGCCCCCAGCCTGAGAGGCTGCAGGACCCTGCAGGATTCTGCACTCAGCATCCCTCAGCTCTTCCCAGGGGACCCACTGAGCAGTAGGTAAAAGGCATGTAAGGGTCTCAGTGATTTGAACAAGAAGGAGGGACTAAGAGAAGATGAAAGAAATCTTCTTTATCATTTGAATTTGTTTGGTAGATTCTTGTGGTCAGATATGAGGAGGGAATTTCTACCCCCAGTGAGTGAATTTACGGGAATCTCAAAGACTCTTCAGGTAATGAGATACGGTTATCATTCTAAAACAACTTTACCTGCCAAACCCATTCCCTGATTTTTTTTCCTTGATGACTTTTTGATGCAGTCAGAAGAGTGACATCTGAGTGTCATGGGCTGGCAGGAAGTGATCTTGTGCAGTAGTGACAAGTGTGAGTGCTGGACTCAGGCTGCCCTGTGTCCAGACCCTGGCTAAGCTGCTAACCCTGTAAGCCTCAATTTCCCCATCTTTCAAATGGGGCTAGTCACACCTTTACCTTCAGGTCAAAATTAATATGATAACATAAGAAAAGATTTCAGCTCAGTTCCTGGTCCACAGAAAGTATTTCACAAATGGTGCCTAATGTAGGCCAATATGGTTATCACATCTGGGATCCTCCTTCAGCAATATTTGCACAGAAGGCAGCAGTGTAAAGCCAACTCTACAGTCTCTAGACAAAGCAAGATTGCCCAAAAGGGGATCCAGACACTGGTCCCTACTTAGTCTAGCATGTTCTACAGAGGAGAGACCTCTGTGCAGGGCCTGGAGCCCCTGGCATGGTGGGTTGTGGGCAGAAGCCACAGGCCCGTCTTGGGAGGCTGTGTGAGCTCTTCCGTGTTCCTCAAAATGCCTGACAACTAAACATGCAAATGTCAGCAGACCCCAGAGCCCATGAGGGTTATCTTTGTGTCCACTATGGCTTAGAGCAGTGTCTTCAGACTGAGGCACCTGGCCCTCTGGGGGCACAGGAAGACTTTCTGCAGTGCCTATGGGTGGTTGAAAGGGAATCCATGTCCATTTCCTCAATTTCCACATGTGCCATGTCCTAAAATGTCTGGTCTGCCTGCGGATGCTCCTGCTGTGGTTCTCCTTGCCCATGTCCCCTTTTCCAATCCCTCTTTATCCTTACTGAGAGACGGTGTGCTTCTCACCTATCTAGCCATTCTATTGTGGGGCCTGTCCCAGGGATAAACACCTTCAGGCGCCATACAAAGGCATTCATGCATGAATGGCTCCTTGGAACAAACTGATATTGGGCGCTTCCTGATGTGAGGACATAGTGCCATGAATATGATATTCCAAGGATGTTTCCCTACATCTAATCATGTGGAAATAATCAGACAGATCTAAACTGAAGGGTAGTCTGGGAAACAGCTAGCAAAAGAGCCCAGAGTTTTCACAAATGTCAATGTCATGCGGGAAAAAAAGACTTGGGAATCATTTTAGATTAAGGAAGTATAAAGATACCAGACAGTCAAATGCAATTTATGGTCCTGGGTTTTAAAAAAAAAAAAACAAAACATAAAGGACATAATTGCTACAACTGGGGACATATGAACACAGACTATCTATTGGATAACAGTATTATATCCATGTTAAATTTCCTGAGACTGATAACTGAATTGTGGCTATATAAGACATTGTCCTTGTTCTTAGAAGGTACATACTGAAATATTTAACATTCTGATGTTTGCAACAAATTCTCAAATGGTTCAGAAAAAAACGAGGCAAAATGCTAAAAAAGAGGTTAATCTTAGTGAAGGATGTATGGGTGTTCACTGTGCTACAAACACTTGCAAAGGGAGATAACTTTGTGAATAAACCAAGAAATCCTGAAGCCAGTTGCTCCATATTTCCTCCTGGCCAGGCCCCTTGGGAAGCCTCAGTGCTTTCTTTGCTTATCTGACTGTTCACCTATCCATCTCTCTACCTTACAATTAGGATCCAGAATTGTGACAGTTGTCATGGGGTGTATATTAACATGTACATTTGAATTGAAAATGAAGTCAGACCTTTTCTGACCAAAAAGCCAATTGATTTGGGCTGATTAGTTTGATCATTTTCCATGAACTAAATAAACTACATAGGCAGGTGCAAAGTTTTGCCAAAAGAATATTTAAAGCATATATACAGTTCCTGAAAGGGCTAGAAATGACATCTGGTGTAACTATTTAAACCTATGATGAAAAATTTTAGAAAGCTTCAAAGTAGGTAATCGTTTTTCAACATTCTTATTTGCAGGTTTGCAGGCAAAAAAATTGGAAGGCCATATTGTTTTAAAACCATGCTTCTCTACTTCAATTTTGTTATTAAAGTTATGCAAAAGTGGGTTTTGCCTCTACTGAGCTAACCAGTTGTTTCCCAGTGGTGACCCAAGTCTGCTTACGCATACTCCTATTCCCACTGAGGCCATCGCTCTGGCACTCGTGCAGTCACACTAGGTTCCTATGTGGATGCCATCCCCTCGCTGGGCAGAATGGGAGAGATCTGAGAACCAGAGTCTCCCACAAGGCCTCCCGAATGCTGTCTGCCTACCAAGCACTTGAGGAGACCTTGCTTTGTTGCAAAGAGTTAGGGAGCCTTCTCTCATTGCAAAAAGCATCAATATTATAGGAATACTTAGAGAAATTCATGTTTCTCTTCTTAAAAACATCCTGATCTGGACTTTGAAGTAGTCATTAGTAATACTGGCTTAAGCCTACCGCAGCCCAAATGGAGATTTTAAAAGGGCCAAAAGGAAATTTGATAGTCTCTGCTTCTCTTTTCTCTTTGCTTGCTTAATTTTCCTGGAAATCTGTGTTTCAGGGTTAGTGAGTGCATTTTTAAGCAAGCCAAAGTCTATATTTTCTTAATTCACTAATATGCACACACAGTCTGTGTAAAGTCAAGAAATATTGGCTTTCGGACCAACATGCTGAGGTTTAAATTCTGGCTTCACCACTTACTAGGTTTGTGACCCGGAACAACTCTCTAGGTCTCCTTTCTTCACCTGTAAAATGGGGATAATAATATCTCCTCTTCTATTGTAGAGCTCAGACTTACTTGATTTCAGGACAAGAACTGTGTTCATCATGTGGATAGTTAAAAGGTGCTAGGTCATTAACTTTAATATTAAGTGTTTATTTGCAGATATTCACTTACTTGGGGCTAATAGTTTGGTTCAATTGTGCCTATGTCTAGAAGATTTTTAAAAATAAAAGCACAACACCTCAAAATAAAAGACATGCTTACGGCATAGGCCCCACTCAAAAGCAGTCTGGGTATTTAGGTAACTTCTCCTGCAAGACAGCTTTGAAGCAAGATCCCGCCTTGTAGTCACCTGCCTGCTCCATGGGTGCCCCACTGCTATCAAAAACAGAGCAAACACCTTTCCTGAATTTTATAGTATCACACAATCTGGTATCACCTGTCAAGACATCTTCAATTTCCCACCACTTCTTAGCACCTCTTTCTAGAACTTGGAGACTGGTCTGTCCTCCTCTTTGTTCCACTGTCCCTTCCCCACATCATGGTCACAAATTTTCCCATGCTACTCCCTAGTATGTCCCCCTTTCCTTTTCCCTTCCCTTCCAAACACCCATCTTTCAAGTACCAGGTCAAATCCTCCCTCTTCCCTGAAGTCGTCCCTGCTATGATACCCAAATCCCAGTGAGCTCACTGCTAGGAATTTTTACCACACATGCGTACAGCTCACCTAAACCCTACACAATAGACATATCTATCTGACTGACATTCTATTCATCCATCCAGCCATCCGCCCATCCACCTAGCAATAGTTTACAGCTAGATCACAAGCAACTTTATTTACAAATTTAGCCTTTTTGAGGCCGCATGGCACCCAGTACATGAAAGATATTTAATATTTGTTTCCTGATTAAGCTTAAGTAATTAACTAAAAAACAAGTATTTTAATCAAATGAAGGTGCTATGGTCCATGAGTGTTAAATAAACAAAGATCAAAGAGATATTAGGAGGGGAAAATATCAGGGAGCTTTAATTTTTATATCTGTTGAAGAAGAACCTGTTGAGTACATTGCTCACGCCCTGGGTCAGCCTAAGGTCCTGACTGGCCAAATCAATTTAAGCCTTAAATAGATTTCTCTAAGCAGTAACAGTTTGAAATGGTTTTCCAGACTGGGGCCAGAATGAGAATATTGGTCTCAGATCTCAAGTAAAGAATCAGTGCCTCCTACAAGAGTCTGATGTGCAGTTTCTTGATTCCAAGAGACCCATCCCAAGTGGCAGAGCTCCTTTCCAGCTTAGGTAGTTACTTTGTTAAAGTATTGTTCATTCATACAGTCCCTAAGCGATAAGACACAACAGATAGATGGTGTTTGTTCATTCTAAATTCTGTATTTCATAACATTAGATTTGAAAGCTTAACATTTACCCAGCTTGTTGCACTAGAAGCTTCCTTAGCTCTATAGAGGTGGTCTCACAGTTTACTAAGTATTTTTTGCTAGGGTTATGAAACTTCTTAAATTAAATGTCCAGCTGGGATGGATCATTTACAAAGATACGCTCCATCTCCATACAGGTAGCCTCCAACTCACAACCCTCTTGTCACTTCCATAGAAAGATCCTACCCTGCCTTGGTTCCCTCCTTCCCATGACGGAAGAGGTCTCCCTAACATAACCATAGGAGTTTGGTGAGAAAAAAATTCCACTGGAAATATATGGGCTTGGAAACTGGGGAAGGGTCGGAGCTGTGAAACCTGGGAAGAGCCAGGGGCAGCTGACCCAGGGGCAGAATCCCAGGCAAGCCTGGACTGCCTACGTGCTGACCAACCAACAGTGGGGCCCAAAATAGCCTGCCCACAAGGCCTGCATTTCTCTCACTCGCTGTACTCTGTTGTGCTGCTGAAATCCCACTATTTAGAGCAGCATCCTGGCAGATGTCGTAGCGGAAGAAGTGAATTCACTGGGTGCCCAGGGAGGGGCCATTGCAAGCAGGAGGGTGGCAAATGACAACTATGATCCCTATTTATGGAGCAGAGGCTTTACAAAGCAATATCTAAGTTAACCCTCACATCAACCCATGAGACAGATTTACTCTTATGCCTATTTTACAGGGAAGAAAAAACAAAGCTTAAGGGATGTTAAGTAACAGCTCAACATCTCAGTTAAGTGGCAAGGCTGGGGTCCAAATCCTAGTCTGGTCTGAATGTGTTACCTTGAGCTCTTGCTTGCTGAAACCTCCCTGATTTCTTGTTCTGTGCCCTCCTTTTGCAGATTATGGGATGTGCCCCCCAGGGCAGAGACTCTCACTTAGTAATATTGTGAATGACAGTTCAGTTATATCGTGGTTTACATAGGTTTTTGTGGGCTAGCCTGAAAACTTGATAGCTTAATTTAAAAAATTGTTTCCATAGGAAATTTTGTGAACTGCTACCAAACTGGTAGAATATAATCCCATTATATTATACTAAATTAGGAATTACTTGTAATTACAACTTAACGATGCTCAATGTCATTTTAGTTGGTTTCCAGTTGCACAAAAAATTCAGCCCACCTTACTGGACTGAGGTTCTTTCACGTTGATTTTTTCATACCACCACACATGTGCATTTACTAGAAGCTATGTTCCATGAGGGCAGCGACTTTTGTTTATTAGGTGTATCAAGGTATCCCTAGCACTTAGGACAGTGCCTGGCACAGACAGGCATACATGTAACTATTTGGTGAATGTATATGTGCATTTAGATGCAAATTTTTAAAACCACATGCATTTTATGCTTTTACTTATTAAATACATTTAGAGTTGAGATAAGGAATATGACTATGATGAACTAACCTTCAATAAATTCAGACAACCTTGTGCACCATGGTCTAAATCATTAGTTCAAGACCTTCCTCCCATATAAAGTATCCTCCCCTTCCCATATAAAGTACATTTCAGTAGTTTGGGGGAAACTCTGGTCCCAGCTTCAGACCTGCCTCCTGTGATCATGGAACTGTGGTGCATTATAGACAAGTTGCTTTGCCTCTTTAGGTTTCAGGACTAGAGGGGTTTCCTTTCAGCTCGAAAATGCTATGACATTTGCAAGTTTCAACTTGCAGATTCCTCATGCCTGCTCTAATTGCCCTTTGGAAACTGGCAAAAAGCAAAATACTGGCAAAATACTGGCAAAAAGCAAAATAAACAAATAAAGATAGCAAAAGAGAAAAGTCTTGGGTACCCCAAAAGTCAAATCACAAGTCCTTGAGTTTAGACAGGCTAGAAGTTGCTACAGGAGGCAGTCCTGAGCCATTTACTTTACAGCCAGCCTCTAGGCAAGCCCGTTGGCCAATTATGAATTCCATTTGGTTATCTCACACTGAGGGCATACTAGTAATAGAATTCTGGATGTTTTATTTACATTGGAACCAGCGGAACACATGCAATCTTAAAGGTGAGTGTGCAAACTGTGTATATTCTGGTCCTCCTGTGAAAAGCGCAGAATGACGTTAATGTGGCATGAAAGCTCTTTTGCTCAATCATTAAGTTACAAGTATTTGGATGGAACTAGAGGAATCAGAATTTATGATACTTTCTATTTTTAAATGAAATGTGGTGACTTAATGTTTTTCTACATAAGCCTTAACCAGTTGCACCATGTACAGTGCAGGATATAAATGTCAGCACTGTGACAGAGGCGTGTTGACACTGGTTGAGTGTTCAAAGTCTGCATACTGTCATTATTTTGCCTTCCCTGCACTTGACAGCTTGCTACCGAATCAAACATATCTGGAAAGAAGTCAATTTGGCTTAGAATGCAGCTCAGTTTCTCTTTGGGAACGTTTCTTTTTCAGGTTTCCTCTGGGATCTATTGGGTCTTCCCACAGACAAAACACAATGGGGTGTGTTTTGCTGTTCAAATGTAAATAGAGTAGTGAGAATCTTGTTCACTGATGACACAGCATCAATTTTGGAAAAGGGAAGCAATCCCTCTTCCCTACAACATGCCCTTGTCCCTGCAATCTGTGTTAACTCGCTTGCTTTGTGACTACTTGTACCTTATATGAGCCAAAGATTTTCTTGGGTGTTATCAAGCCATGGTGATTCAAGTCTGGTTGCACATTAGACTCATCTGGGGAACACCTAAAAACTCAGATGCCTGGGCCACACCCCAAACCAACTAAATCAGAATCTCCTGGGGTGAGACCTAGCATCAGTAGTCTTTAAAGTTCCCCAGGTGACTCCAATCTCTTCTTAGGAGATTCTTCCCAAAGGACTTTAGGACAAACATAAAGGCCAAGGGGCAAATCTCATAGCCACTGGGATTGTGGAGTAGAAAGGCTTCTCTTTATGGTACAGTTCATTGAGCTCTAAAGTAACTTGCCTGAAAGTCACAGAGTTAGTTGAAAGCAGAGCCAGGAGCCTGAGCCAGAATTAAATGAATCTAGTTGAACAGGGCACTAATACAGCAATTAAACCTCCATGAATTAATCAGCTTTGTAATCAGGCACAGTCATTTTTCTCTTGGCAACGTCTGGGTTAGAGAACTATTATCTGCCACTGTGTTCCTGTCCCTCTTGTCTAGACCGTTTGAGTGAATGAATAGCCAGTTTTGGAAGACCCGGCACTAAGGGGCATTTTAAAGTTTCTGTTGGAGAAACGTTTATATACATTAAATTTGTGATGGAAATAAAAGCCTTTAAAGTAGGTTTATACAGTTAATTGACAGACACTCTTGGAACAGGTACTTTAGTTTCAAAGGATTAACCATGTTCCCTAACTTCCTTTTGAAGTCTTAATTTGCCTTATAAAAAAATCCACTTTCTATCTTTCTTGGGACTTGTGGAAGAAGGTGCTTTTGTTGCTATAATTAAGCATAAAATAAGCACATTGCATTTACTGGGTTGTTTCCTAGCCAAGGCCATTGGGTTTGGGGGACTCAGCGCACAGCTGACTACTGCAGGACTACTACTGTGGTTATGACCATAGTAAGTTTCAAGCGCAAAGTTACTAGAGGGATAATTCTGGGGGTGGCGTTAGGGAGGGAAGAGTAGCCAGGGTGGTATCCTAGTTACACACAGCTCATTCCTGCTTTATTTTGGGGTTGTGTGAAATTTTCTATTGCTATCTTTGTTGACATTATGCCTCTGCAACAGCCTCTATCACATGTAATGTAGCCTCTCTCACTTCATGCAACAAGCTTCTGAGGAGTGGAGGGAAAACGAGATCACATCACAGCTGATATGCCCTAATTGACTTGCTTCTAAAACATGTTAATTTTTGAGAGGTAAATCACAGACTTATTTTCTAATAAGAATAACCTGGGTTTTTTTCTCAAGAGTTAGCATTGTCTCACGTGGAGTGAGCTACAGTCTTTGTCCCTAGTCCCAGCCAGCACTATTTATGGTTAAGTCTTTCTAGAACCGGAACTTTTCTGAACAGAGGAACTTTTCTGAACAGATTTGACATTACCCAGACGCTTGTTCTGGAAATGGAGGCCCTTCTGTGTTTTCTCTGCCTCTGGCTTGCTTTTGTGAAAAGCCGGCCTCTCGCCTTGCAGGCGCAGTTTAGGATGAAAGTGCAATAGTTCTCAGAATTAAGCACAGCCAGGCACAGACACACAGATAAAGGGCTTTGGAAGCAAAGAAAAACTGGGAGTGTGTATAGGTGAGGAAACAGAAAAGGGGACAGCTGTGTGTGTGTTTCTGAGGTGGTGGTGCTGGTGGGGAGGATATTTGTTCATCAGAATGCTAAAGGAGCAGCATAAAAATTCCATCCCCTCTGTGCTGGGCAAACCAGCGCGTGTCACTTTCAGGCCAGGCGTGCGGGCAGCAGTGGGCAGCCAGGCACCCCTGGGGGCTTCAGCACCCGCACCCCTTGCCCACGGGTCGGTAGGCCACACAGCCATCAGGCTGGCTTGGGGTACGTGCGGGGCTGGCTGCGGGTGGGGGTGCGAGGGGGTCCGCCGGCGGCCCCCCCGCGGGGAGGGAACGGTTCTTACAGTCACTGCTCAGCGCGAAGGGCGCGCGGCGGCGGCCGAGGGAGCGGTCTTCGGCGGGCGCCTCGGGAGGCCTCTTACCGGCGGGCAGCGGGAAGGCGGACGCGGTGTGGAGCAGCACCAGGCAGACAGCCACGACATCCCATAACTTCATCTTAAAGTCCCGTCCGGCGGCGGCACCTGCGCGGGCAGGCGGGAGGTGGGGGAGAGAACCGCAGAATGCACGTTAAGCCTGGGCTCCCTGCGGGTCCCTGCGCCCCTCTCCAACCTCGTCACCGCCCTCCTCCGGCACCGCTGCAGGCCAGCGGCTCCTCGGGCACTCCTGCCCTCCTTGCAAGTCCCCAGTTCGCTTCTCCCTCCTCAGCGCGCCCCAGGAGCAGCTCGCACTCCTGGTTCAGGTTGCAGCTGCCCTTCTCCACCACACGGTCTTAGGGGTCAGAGTTTCAAGCAGGGCTGCTGTCCCCTCCAGTTAACCCCCCACCCCCACCACCACGATTCCTGTCCAGTCCCCTCTACTGGTGCGCAACATCCCCCATTCCTGGGGGGCAATCGGGTAGTTCCCACCCTTCGTCCTCCACCCCAACCAGAGACCTCCCCTTCTTGTCCCGGTAGCTCCTATAGGCCCCTGAACGAGCCCTCGGCCCAAGCAAGGACGGTGTTTCTCTTTGGAAATAAAATCAAGCGCATTCCCCTGCCTCGGGTCCCAACCGGGCTTCTGGCTAGTCGAGGGCAGGCTCGGGGGCACCACTCACCCAGCCTGCCGCCCACACCTCATTCTTCCCACCTAAATAGGTATTCTGTTGCGAGAGCAAGAAGTTAGCAGGGACTTGGAGACTTTTGGCCTGTATGGGATATCTGGTTTAAGTTACTTAACTTCCCAAAGCACTGATTCGATTTAAAATACTCCTCCCACCTCTTAAAGTTATGAACATTAAATCACGCATGACAAGCTCTAGCGGAACATGTAGTAAGAGCTCAGTAAATGCTTTACCATTGCTGTTAGGCAAAGACTGCATTTGTCTTGAAAGTTTTAATCCTCCGTGGTATACCCGAAAACCCTCTCTTGACTGGATTTTTGCACCTTTGAGAGATTCTGGCCCTAATCCCTTCCCCTCCCAGAGGAGTCACTGGCTCCCCGCGCCCCCGTCACGCCTGGACGACTGTACCCAGTCTCGGACGCTTTGGAGGTGCTCTGGCACTGGAAGGCCTAGACCGTGGTACGGCGCAGAGTAGGGGGTTCAGCTCTTTTCAGCCCGAGGTGGGCTCTGTTTGGCTTCTCAATCCTCACACCCCTACAAAGGAGGGCCACGCAGCTGGGGGTGGGTTAGAAAAAGGGGCTGTAAATTTGGGGGCGAGTTCCAACCAATGAGGAGACGGGGAAGAACCGAGGCATCTTGGGGTGCAGTGTTATCCAGTGCCTTCCTAATCCCAGGGTTCGTCTCCAGGGCACTAGTGACCTAGAGAGAATCTCCTCAAGCGGAATCTGCGAGATTCGTGCAGTCGATTATCCTATCCCCTCGACCGGCTCCATAAAACGGTTCTTAGGAAAAACTCGATTTTTTTTTTCCCATGCGGGAGGGAAATGCAAAACCCAGGTTAATGCAAAAACCTCAGTGCCTTTCCTAGCCATTAGTTCACAGGCACCCCCGCCTCCATTCCAGGGTTCCAGTCCTCATCTCTACCCGGAACCCCACTCCCTGTCCCGGTGCAGGCAACCCGGGGAAGCCTTTAATTCGGCCGCCACCTCCCACCTCTGCAGAGACTAATGCATTTTACATCTCCTGAGCGTCTGTTTGTTCGCTATGCAGCTGTTGGGCTCGAGAGGGTGTAGGGACTAGAAACTCCTAGTGACCTGCAGCACCGAGCGCCTCTTGCCTCGCGGGCTGGTTTGCAAACTCGGGAAAAAGCTAGGTTCTGGGTCGCGATGTGCAGACACAGGAAAACTGCACCAGGCCATGCAAAATGAGCCCAGAAAGGTACTTTGGCAGCTAGGACCTGGGGAACGCGAGCTTCCCCCCTCAAGCCCCCCGCCGGTGCCAGCTCCCGGGTGCGTGCGAAATGGCTGGCGGTCCGACCGGAGGAGCATGGAGGCGCGGGGTTAATGCGCCATTCCAAATCGCGGTGCCCGCCAGCAGGAAGCCACAGAGGCACTAGATTTCCCTTCCGTCTTAAGAGGGTTTTCCCTTTTTTCCTGCTTGGCCGACGGAGGGCTTTTTAAATTGGACGTGGAGATCCTCAATTAGAAGTGTGGCGAAGCTGGCAAAAGACTACACAGTGGAAAACTCCCCGCGTCGCCAGAGGAGGCTCCCGGCTGCGGTTCCCGCCCTCGGCCGAGCGCCGCCAGCGCCCGGATCGAGCTCCCCTCTTCCCCCGGGACAGGGAGGGCGCATTCTTCCCTCTGAGCGCCGCCGGGACCGGCTCCAGTCCGAGGGGCTCTTTCGTTCTCGGTATTTGCTGGGCGGGGGAAAAGGGGGGAGGTTGGGGGACTCGGCACACACAGCGTCTACTAGGACGTTTTTCTTAGAGTCCGTGTGGGCTCCACCCCTCGGCTTCTCAGTTTGTCTCTCTATCGCTTTCCCAAAACACATCTACATCTGCCCGACGCGCTTCTCCTCAACCATGGGCCTTTGCCCGCGGTGCAAACTGCTTTACGCGCCGCCACGTGCGAGAACCAAGCTCTGCTCCTCAAGTGACGGGGGCTCTGCTCTGCCAGGTGACCGCGCACCATTTCTCGTGCCTGGCAAGCTGGTCCCCTTCTGGGTCCGGGACCACCACGTCCCGGCAGGGCAAAAGCAGCAGGCCGTGGGCGCCGGCACCTGTGGGTCCCCAGGCCTGGGGAGGCAAGGACGCCCAGGAAAGCCACAGAAGTGCTCGCAGAAGCAGCCGCTCGCCGCGAGGCACTTCTGAGTTCCCGGCAGCAGGGGGCACCAGAAACCGTCTGAGCCGTGTCGCGCCCACGCGGCCCGGAGGCTGTGTTATCATTTTAGTTATAAAACCGGAGAACCACCACTCCCTCTACGAGCCTCCCGAAATCCCATTAGCCCGGGAACCTGTGGAGGTCCTTACTGGCATCTCTGCTTTTCAGGCTCCCACCCCTCCATTCTCGCTGGTTTTCCTCTCCCCACTTCACCTGAGCGGGTTTCTTGGCAACCTGCTTTCAGACCATCCCTCACCCCTTCCACGCGTCACCGTGACAGATTCGCAGGAGGCAGCGCTCCCGCCGTCAGTGCCCCCGCACCTTCTTGTGCCTGGCAGGCTGGGAGGTTTGTTTGGGCTTTGCCTTCAAGATCCAGGTCTCAGAGAGAGAAAAAGGAGGCGGTGGGGCGGGGAGACGGGTTTGCTATAAACTCGGTTTTTTTTTTTTTTTTTTTGGCGGGGGGAGGTAGAGACAGAAATTGCTGGAAGATCTATTGCTTTTCTTAACTATGCTTCGTGTCCTTGACTGACAGAGGACTTATTCTCCCCTCAACCCCCCATAACTGCGGGGCCCAAGATGAGGGAAGGAAAAAGAATTTGGGACACTTCTCGCAGGCAAACTGGGAAAGCGGTCTGTTTAAAGGGCCAGGTTCCAGGCCCGAGAGCACCCGAATTGCTAGCGGGAAAGGGCTAGGGACACGGCGGACTTCCCAGAGATCGGACACTTGTTACTTGTTGAAAAGGCGCCACCTTCCCTGACAAAGCGAAGGCGCAGCGAAACAGTACGAGTTTGGTCGAGGCCGGCTTTGACGGCTTTGCGGGACTGGGTGCGTGAATGAGGTTGGAAGAAACATCTCTTCCTTGAAATACCTAAGCATATATTCCAAACACTGAGCAAGAGTCGAGCGCGTTCTAACATCTCCGCAGCAGGGGCCGGAAGAGTTGCCTTTGTCCCCGCCTATGAGCAGAAGGGTCGCGAGCTCTGGGATGGGTAAGCCCCCCGGGGGCGCGCACATGGGTCCTGGCGGCGGATTCTACCAAAGCCGAAACTAGCTGGGCCCCAGGAAGCTGGCGGGAACCCGCGAAAGTCCGTTTCCAGCCCGAAGAGGGTTCGTTTTTCTTCGTTGGGGCAGGAAACAAACCACCAGTGCGGAATTAGCCTCGAGGTGGTGTAAAGTAGTGGCAGTGGTGGTGGGGTGTTTTTGGAAGGCGGCACAGAGTACAGGAGAAAAAGGGGTCATTAAAATAATAACCTCAATGGCCTAGTGGAGTCTCAAGAATACGTTCGAGACAGAGATTTGAATCCAGGACTGGCAAGAAAGCCCCTCTCCTAACCTCGACGGGGATGGTTAGTTGGGGTGGAGGGCGTTAGGAACGTGCAGGCAACCGGGTGAGGAATGTAGCTTTGCCAGACCTCGCCCGGAGGAGGTGAGCCCTCCATTTTTAGGTTCTCAGCACCTTTGCAGCAGCCCCTCCCCCGGCCTGCGCTTTTCCTTGGCACAGATCAAAACAAGCTCAATAGTAAGTTGCACTCTTGGCAATGATAGTATCTCTGCACGTCCAGAGAGGACACATTTCGACGGCGGTGGGTTCGAAGATGACCCAAGCCCTGAATCGTTCTGTGACTTGACGGAAGAGCACCTGGCCGAGTCGGGGAAGGAAACTGCCCCTCTTGGGCATTCCGGGTCCAGGCGCATCTGGGGCTCCACAGATCTTTGCCCACGTGGAAAAGGCAACATGCCCCTCCGAAAGGCCGGCCTCTCTCCGGTTCTACTTTTCTCTCTCCTCGCATAGCTTAGGTTCCCTCTAGTCTTTCCACTTTCTACTCTCACCGTTTGCTCTGGGGTCCAGACGCACCCCTCTGACTAGGGCGCCCTTCAGCCGGCCGCACCCACCCGCGACGCAGGCACCACCCGCTCCCTGCTCCCCGGCCCGCTCCCTCACTTACCTCGGATCGGGTCTCCGCAGACCCTAGGTTGGACATTAACTCCAGGTGCCCCAAGTCCCAGCCAGGAGACCCATCCGGGCTGATGGCTGGAGCGCGGAGCCCCGCCCAACAGGTCAGGGGCAAGAGTTCGCAATCCTGGGGTCGCGCGGGGCAGCAAGGGCGCGCTGGAGGCGGCGGCCAAGACTCCCGCCGCCGCCGCCGCCAACAGGGCGAGGGCTGCCGGCAACTCTCCCGCCGGGCCCCCGCACCCCCAGAAGCCGAGGTCCGAGCAGCCGCCGCTGCTTTGGGTGGGGGGCTGACAGGGCTGCGCGCGTCGCGCTCTTGGCTGGGGCTGCGCGGGCCCGGGGCGCTGCGGGCGGCTCAGCGGCAGCTGCCGCGCTCTGCGCCTCCTCTGGGCGCACTGCCTGGGAGCACGAGACTGGTTTGTCTGATGCTGCTGCCGGAGCTGAGGTCTTGCCTGGAGATCCGAACGAGACACCACGTCAACCGGCGCGGGGAGTCCCGTGAAGACATGAGGGCGCCAGGAGCGCAGGCTGGTCTTCTAGAGCCCGGGCTGGGGGTCCGGGGTCCGGGGTGGGGGAGGGGAGGCGCGGGGCCCCGGGAGGGAGGGGTCGGGAGGCGTCGGCTGGGCCTGGCGGTGGGGGAGGAGAGGAGAGCAGCGAGGAGGCCCTGGAGTTCCCGAGGCGGGGGGCCGGGGTGCGAGTGGGCGACGCGAGGCGCCCCTCCCTGGGCTGCAGGGAGAGCGCTGAGAGCGCGGAGACGCCGCGGGGCTAGCGCCTTCTCCTCTCCGGGTGGATCAAAAATCGAGAGGAATGTGCGGCGCTCTGCGCGGGCCAGCCGAAAGGGGCAATCCGAACTTGACCGCGGCGCCCGCGCCGGGCTTTGCCCCCGCGCGCCGCACTGGGAGGGTGGCGCTCTGCCGGTGCAGGGCAGCGCCGGGCTTTCCTCGCGCCTGTCGAAGGCCGGCCTTCCCGCTCGGGTGTCTCGCCCTCTCGCTTCTCCGCAGGGCAGGAGGCAGTGGCGAGAAAAGGAGCTGCCGGCCGGAGTTCTAGCACCGAGAAGGAGAGGTGCGGAGCGGCCGGGTGAGGGAAGCCGAGTATTTGCCAGGGGACGCTGCGAGTGGGGATGAATTTATAGGGCTCTCACTCCGTGACGTGCCCTCCAGTGGCTTTTCTGATTCGCTTTCTGACCTAAACACACATTAGTTTAGTCCCCATGCTAAGGCCAACACGGTCTCCAAATATCTGCTGGCTGAAGTCAGAGGCTTTGCATATCATGTATTACATGGCAGGCAATGAAGAAGGCTTCTGAGGCTGGCCGGCTCCTCAGTCCTAGGCTCCATTTTCATGCTGTTGTAATCTAATACCAGACATGGGGCAGGCACATACATTCAAAATCCCAATTCCAGAGGCGTAAGATCACTTTATCAGGAACGGGTTAGGGGAGGTTGAGCTAAACCTGCTTTTATCCAGATTTTCGAAAATGCAGATGGGAAACTTCAGCAAGCGCCCACTTGGATGCTGAGTTTCCAGCGATCAGGGGCCCGGCCCCCATTCCAGAGCTCTGTGGATGGGAGAGGTGAGACCTTCTGGGCATTCCTTTTGTTGGTTAGTTCACCACCAGAAGCTGCCTGAGCCTTCTTTTGTAGAGGACAGGAGGAGGGCAAGTCCTTACACACCCTGTGCATGGCTATAACCATAAATACATTTCATTCACATGGGGCATGGAATTGGCTGTACCTCTAAAATAATGTACTAAATAGGGCATGTCTTTGCTAAGCAGAAACCTGTTTTCCGGAAGCCATTGGACCTGAATTCAGTGGGACCTCTTTTATTTTATTAGCTGGGGCCAGGGAAAGTGTAAACAGGCTCAGTTTACGTCCATGTACCTCTTATTTTATGACTCATCCGGTTGTTGGGGAGTATGTGTTCTTCAAGTAGCTGATACAGACAATAGGCAGGGGAAATGCGTGTGGCAGTGTGGGGGGAAGATCATGTATTATTAAACTTCTTAAAAGTCAAAGATCAGCTACTTTGCAGGTTTGTCAGTGAAGCGAGTGTGGGAGGAAAATTGTTCTTACTAACGTTGCTGTGATTTAAGATTAAGCGAAGTGAAAATCGAGTCATCAAAACATACCTTAGCTGAAATTAGGATGCTCTCTGGAGTTCTGCAGAAAATGACATTTCCCTCTTTGATAGATTTATGGTAGAAATGTAGTTAGATTCAGAAATTAGAGGGCAGAATAAGCTTAATATATTTATTGCCGTTTAGCATTGTTTTTGGAATTTGAAGACGACCCTCATCAATGTTCTTACTCTGAATGATTTCTTTATTTTTAGAGGGCTTTTTGCTGGGGATGATCAGCCCGTCCAAGCACCTGCAAATATCTAGCACTTGCTGTGTGCCAGGCAAAGTGCTAGGCCCTGGGCATTGTGCTGATTGGGCTTTTTTTTTGGGCGGGGGGCGGGGGTTGCAAGGAACAGATACCACTGAGGTTTACCCTCAGTAATGGGAATTTACTGTGGAAGGAAGGCTGACCGGAATCTCCACCATTCCGCCACGTGTCTCCGAAAAGCCTTCCGGAAAGGCCACCCAGCCAGGCCTCATGAAAACTGGATTGAAGTTCAGGAACTGGAAGGTCATTCAGGATACAGCTCTGTGACTGGGTTATCTCGCTGCCCCCTCAGCAGCAGGCATCTGCCGATCCCCACTAACGGCTTAGCCGCCAAGGTGATTCAGCTCCTCTCTCGCTGTTTTCCCCTGGGTGTCCTTTGGCTTCTGCTCCTGCTACCAACTGCTCAGCTCTCAGTTGATCTCACATTTAAACTCCTTTAGTGAAAGGATCTAGTTTGTCCTGCTAGGGATTCACCAGGGGTGAGAGTTGGACTGAGCCTTTGTATCAGTCTCCTTACAGGTTGCAAAACACCCTGTATATCCGCAGACCTGGGGGCAGGTGCCTATCCTGGGCCAATCATTCATGTCCAGGTTGTTGGCATCACAGAGTACACAGCCTGGCCACCTTTGCTTGAGATACTTCCTAGAGTTCCTCCCCACATTCCCTCCACAGAGGATGGTCCCTCAGAAGGAGGTGGGTTAATGGTAGGCACTTTGGGTTTTGACAGTCCTCTCCCAGCCCTTCAGAAACTACCACTACAGAGAGGGAGATATGCTCATGAGTATTGATGGTATAAAGTGATAAATACTCCAACAGAAGTATATATGAGACTCATGTCCTGGAGTCTGATTTTCACATGGCCAGTGAAACACTGGGGAGATTTCAAAAAATACCCAGACCTGTAGGCTGGAAGTGGTGGTGGCTCACACCCGTAATCCCAGCACTTTGGGAGGCTGAGGTGGGTGGATCACTTGGGGTCAGGAGTTTGAGATCAGCCTGGCCAACATGGCGAAACCCAGTCTCTACTAAAAATAGAAAAATTAGCTGGTTGTGGTGGTGGGCACCTGTAATCCCAGCTACTTGGGAGGTTGAGGCATGAGAATTGCTTGAACTTGAGAGGTGGAGATTACAGTGAGTAGTGATTGCACCACTGTACTCCAGCCTGGGTGACACAGTGGGACTCTGTCTCAAAAAAAAAAAAAAAAAAAAGTCCCAGACCTAGGCCTTGTTCAGGGCAATTAAATCAGAATCTCTTGAAGGGTGGAGCTCAGGAGTTGATTTTTCAGATGCTCCCAGGTTAGTGAATTGGCTTTATCTTTTCCCAGTGGTTGCAATCATCTTATGATTCTTTTTGAAAGCAAAATGAAGAAGCCCTATTTTGATAGGTTCTAAGACTAAGACTCTTCCAAAACATTAAATTCCTTTCAAAATACAAAGTATCTTAAAACAGTAATATAAAGGAAAATGTTAAATTTAATTTAGAATTAAAGCAAATATTTCTAATTTTGAAAGAACATTTATTTACATGGCTACAGCATACAGATGAATTCAGCAAAAGTTCCTTCTGAAGTGACTGCCTTGAATAGAGTTAAGATGGGAAGCAAACATTTGGTGTCTTGGGAACAAGGGGATGGCCTGATGTCACAGTCTCACGCCCCCATAAGCTGAAAGTAGGGAGCCCCACAGCTCCGAGGCTCCAGCTTCTCTGTTCTCAAGGAAACGGAATAGTTTGATTTGAAGCTGTTCCTCAGCGAAGTCCAGAAGGGAAGAATTTGCAGCACCGACTCTGCTCTCAATAGGCAGAACATCCTCTGATAAAGCAACAACAGCAACATACTGCTAAGGATTCTCACATTGTCCCCAGATCTCAGCTTTTTATCTAGGAAGCCCTGCCTGAGAATCAGAGAGAACAAACATTGTTCAAGCCTCCCATCTCCTCTTTGAGAAAAAAGGTTCGAAGCCCTGCTAATTTCCTATTTCATCGCTATCGTCCTCTTCACTGGGATTTCTTGTGAGTCTCTAACTGAAAGTTGTCTAAATGATCGGTGCAATTTGTGCCCAAGGATCTTACAGTCCTTGGGAAGAGAAAACACAACCATAAAATGATGAAAAATAATACAGGGTATTATAAGGTTATGGAACTCAAACTAGCCCTTGATTGGAGTAAGTAAGCAGAGAGGAGGTGGGGGTGAGGGGACATTCCAGGCTGGCTGAAAGGGTCGCTGGAGGAGACTGGATGCTAGGTACTGCCACATTCTTGCTCAGCCTCTGTGGCCCTGTAGGGCTGCAGCCTGTAGACGTGATGGGGTGGGTGGGTCAGCTTTTGGCCATTCACAGAGTCCTTGGCGAGCTCCCAGTGGGGCTTTGCAGCTGCTTTGACTATGAGGGCCAGGACCCCGGTCCCTGGACTGCCTCATAACTTGGGTCGTGAGGACTGAAACAGAATCCATCACTTAAGCAGAGCAATTTCCTTTTCAAAGTCACAGCTTTATTGGACTGCGATTTGTTCCATGCTTGCTTGCTTTTTAACAGCCATTTTCACGAATGATCCTATTACTCATGAAGGAAAGATAGATTTGCCTTCAGACCACTTAAAAAAAAGTGAAAAGAAAAAAAGAAAGGGGAAAAATTCACTGTAATGGCCTTTTTGCAAGTAGTGGGAAGTGACAAATTCTTTGGAGTAAATCGTTTCTCATAAGAAATCAATCCTGACATTGGCAAGGGAGATTTATCAGTGATTTCCAGCAGTTTCTTTCATTAGGATCAAATTGTCTCATTGTCCACTAATTTTGTTTTTGGCTCTTGAAATTACTTTGTGAAATTTCTCTTTTCCAGAGATAAAACTTCAATCAGGTGAGAGTGTTGCGGCAGACTTTCTTACTATGCAAATGGTCTGATGGCTTAGGTCTGGGGTTAGCAAACATTTTCTGTAAAGATAGTAAATATTTTAGGCTTTGCAGGCATACTGTCTCTGTTGCAACTTCTCAACTCTAGCCTTGTGTTGCAAGAGCACCCATAGATGATATGTAAATGATAATATAATTTTTTCCATGTTATGAAATACTTTTTTGATTTTTAAATGTAAAAACCATTCTTAGCTCATGGACCATACAAAAGCAGGCAGTGGACAAGATTTGACGCAAGGGCTATGATTTGCCGACTCCAGTATAGGTTAAAGTTATCACTTTGATGAGACTTATCAGTTCCAGAATTGGAAGGGACCTGAGACTTCTAGTCCAAGCTCCTCATCTTACAAGGGGAGAAAATGGAGGCAGAGAGTGGTTAAGTGACTTACCCAAGGCCACTCTGACAGTCTTACCATCCAAGTAAGTGTGCTATACAATTATTTCACTGGTTTTATATGTGTGTGTGTGTGTGTGTATGGAAGGGGGCACACGGGGAGTGTTCTGTCACCTTTCAAATTGTGATTTAGTATATTTTATTGAGGCAAGAAATGAGTCAAAATTCAGATAAATCAACTGGGATCTCTATTGGGGGCAGAGGTTAATGTCAGGCTGAATGGGGAGCAGAAATTTGAACAGAAGTTGATTGCTGCCTTTTGGAACAGCAAAACTCCCAGGCAGAGAGCAGAGCACTAAATACATTTTTTCCCCTTAAAAGGCCATGATGCTTCTGTAATTGGCTTTTAGACAGCCATCACAAAGGCACAGAGATAGATGGGGGTTGGGGGGAAGAGAGAGATTTGAGTGGGGAGTCAAGATACCAGTATCCTAATTCTTTTGTGGACCACCTAGTTCCTGTTGCACACTTTTGGAACCTTCCTAAAGAATGGGAATTCACAGTGGTCAGTTGACTCTGACAAGGATTCAGTATTTGGACCTTTATTTATTTATTTATTTATTTATTTATTTACTTATTTTTATAAAGAAAATAGGCTGGGCGTGGTGGCTCATGCCTGTAATCCCAGCACCTTGGGAGGCTGAGGCAGGCAGATTGCCTGAGGTCAAGAGTTTGAGACCAGCCTGGCCAACATGGTGAAACCCCATCTCTACTAAAAATACAAAAAAATTAGCTGCATGTGATGGCGTGCGGCTGTAATCCCAGCTATTCAGGAGGCTGAGGCAGGGGAATCGCTTGAATCAGGAAGGTGGAGGTTGCAGTGAGCTGAGATCATGCCACTGCACTCCAGCCTGGGCAACAGAGTGAGACTACGTCTCAAAAAAAAAAAAAAAAAGCAAAAAGAAAATAGAGATGGAATCTCCCTATATTGCCTAGGCTGGTCTGGAACTCCTGGGCTCAAGCTATCTTTCCACCTCACCTCCCAAAGTGCTGGGATAACAGATGTGAGCCACCGCCTCTGGCCAGTATTTGGATCTTTAAGCCAAAATATTCCAAGAGACCTCTATGCCATATATTAATTACGTAATAAACAGACTTCAATCTAGTCTCTTCTGCTCTTACCTAAAATACATGAATTGTTTGACTGTTTCCAAGAATGGCAACAGAGCAACATGACATCCACTCCTCTTTACTGTTACACTACCTCCTCCATTGCCTTCTCCATTTTTCCTCCATATGGGAACGCTAATTGATCAATTCATGAATCCTCAACAATTATTTATGGGTTTAATAGAAGCAAGCGGTGAATGCGAGTGTGGATTTTATGGTCCCTTGAGTGTTTCAAGCTAATACATATCTCACTGATGTAGCAGCAGGGCCAGGACTCAGGTGAAGACACTGAGTCACCTCTCTCACCTCATCCTAGTCCTGGCCCTGATTAGCAGAAACTTCAGGTTGACAGCCCCAAGTCCCACAGCCTCAAGTTGAGAGGAAGGCATGCCAGTGATCAGACAACTCAAGTTGGAGCTCTGCCCCTGAGAAGCTGTGGGAGCTTGGGAAACTTGTAGCCTCACCTATTTTTCTACCTATTTTTCTCTTCTTGCTCCTTCTCTCCCTCCCTGGGAATCTGTGTGAATAGATGAGATAATAAACCAGATTTTCTGAGTTCATAAGTTACTCCCTGGGAATAATTTATATTGCACAAATACTTTCCGGTCACTGGTGTATTATTTGGTAAATTACTGCCCTCCTGCAATGCTGTAAGTGGAACCCTAGTGACCTGAAAGAGTTAATGCCTCCCTGCAAGCAATTAACTTACTCCTGGGGCATAATTTACACTCTAAGAGGATCTGGCGGACCATATGTGAAGCGCTTGGAATTCTTTGAGAGAAAGGCAGCTCTAGAAATGTAAAGAATTAATATTACACCAGGTGAATTTGCAGACCTTTCTTCGAGCAGTCTATCATGTAACTTCCCAGAAAAGTCCTGTAAGGTAGGTCATTGTTATCCTTTCCAGAGGCATTCTCTAGCCAATGGTAAGTCAGCAGATAATATACCCAGCATGAGGTTAGGCAATACCTATTTGTAGAATGACTTCACTATTTGAAAAATAATGGGTGAAAGATTGGGAGGTACATTTTAGAAATCTGAGTAAAAAACAAAAGCTAAAGTTAAGATAATTGTAATAAGTATCTACTTTACAATCTTGAATAGTAGGAATGTGACCTAAATATAATGGGTCAATTTTCTATACTAACTCAGGGACACCAACATATTAGAATGTGGCATCTGTTTCAAAGTGGTCATCTGAGAAGACTATCTATATATCCTAATATGCACCTGTCACTTGAAACACTTTTATAACCTGCAAACACAATTGTCATCCATCCAACAAATATCATTTAGCCATCTCCCTTCATAAGGCCCTGTGTTGGCAGTTGCTGAGGGACAAAGAAAAAGTCATGAGACAGCATCTCTGTATTCAGGGATGGCAGTTCTCTGGGTTTTGAGGGTGGGGTGAATTTTGAGCAAAGATCAAACCGTCTGAAATCAATCCTAGTGAAAGAGGAGGGTTAAAACCAAGAGAAGATAATTTAGAGACTGCTCATGGCTCAGTGGTAAATTGCAACGATGGCCTCAGTTCTTCACTCTTCTCTGTATCTATGCTCTTTGCTATGTGATTCTGCAGTTCCTCTTGCTAAAGTGATGGTGTCTGTTTCCCCATCCTCTGAATCTGAAGGGGCATTGTGACTTGTCTTGGGCAGTAGAATGCAATGGTAGTGAGAGAGTGCCAGTTTTGAGCCAAGACTCACAAGGTAAACATGTGTCTGCTTCCTCTTTCAAAGCTATGCCATTGCCAGGAGAACATGCCTGGGCTAGCCTGCTGGAGGATGAGAGGCGTGTGGAACAGAGCAGTATTGCTCCATTTGTCACAGGCAAGGTCAGTTTAGATGAGCTGAGAGCCAACTGATTTCCCCTCCACTCTTCATCCCCAGACATGTAAATGAGCCTGTAAAGATCAACAGCGCTGCCTCTTCAACCAGTCTGGAATAAGCAAGGAAGGCTTATTGTATACCCGTGGGATTTTGTGGTTGTTATGCAGCAACATTATGGCAGTAGATCACTCACACAGCTTGTAAACTGATTCCAAAAGAGGAACTCTCAATGCTAAACAATCACAACATTTCTGGACTAAGTGACTGGTGTCTCCAGGTGACTACCAGGAGGCTGTAACATATGTTTGGAGAATAAATGTCCCAATGTTTATTGGGCATCCTTTCTCTGTTCTACTGCACTTCATACTTATTGTATGAAATTGCTTGTATGCATAGCCATGGCTACATTAGACCAAATGTTCTGTAAGGGAAGGAACAACATTTTAAATGTTCACCTCCTTAGTATCTGGCATATAACTACTTGTTAAATGAATGAAAAAATGAAGACTCTTATTAGAAGTCACACCTTGCATTGTGTGCTTTTAGTAACTTTGGTCTACTCATGATATGCGTTGGGTGTGTAATATGTAATCTTAAAAACTTAATTAATGCAATTACTTGACAAGATTATATATGCACATTACACCTTTCAAAAGGTGCAAAGGTATTTTCAGTGATAAGTGATTGTTTCTCTCATGCCATCTTCAAGCCATCCACTTCTCTGGTAACACAATTACCAGTTTCTTATCAATTCTCCCAGAGAATGTGTAATCATTAAAATGAAGCTATTGTCTAGGAAAGAAATAACATTTTCAGCCATTACTTTTTTATAAGTTGGCACATTTTACTATTCGTTTTCTTTTGGAGGCTGGACCAATTGGATGTAGCCCTTATGTTCTTTGCTAAAATGTTTTGAAAGCTGTTTCCCCAAGTTTGTTCCTTTAACATTTTTTTTAACTTTTAATTGACAAATGATAATTGTATGTATCTGTGGGGTATAACATGATGTTTTGATACATGTATACATTGTAGAATGATCAAATTAGGCTAAATAACATGCCCATCACCTCAGATACTTAACATTTCTTTGTGATGACAGCATTTAAAATAGTTCTTTTAGCTATTTTGAAATCTACAATACATCATTATTATTAATGGTAGTCACCATGCTGTGTAATAGATCACCAACTCCTTAGCTCCAGCCAAAACTTTGAATGCTTTGACCAACGTCTCCCCTTTCCCTCCTTTTTCCTCCCTCCCGCCGCCACTCCTCCTCCCCTGGCCTCTGGTAACCACCATTCTAGAAATTCAACTTCTATGAGTTTGACTTTTTTAGATTCCATTTTTGATTCAGCAACTTTCCTCAGGTTGTTTAAGGTTTAAATGCCGCTGGAATTCATGCAGCTGTTTGTTTCTTTGCCTGTGTACTTCTATCACATGAGCTGTTAGGCCAGCCCTGGGAGCCTGGTAATTACCACAGAGCGAGGCGGCAGAGGGAGCAGATAAACTTGAAACATTGGGCTCTCCAGGTGACAAGGATCAGGAGTTCTGAACCCCTAGAAAGAACCTCTATCATGGAGAACCCAGGCTCTCTATTCGATGACTATAGTGGGGTGAGTATAACTTGAATTTAAGACTCGTGAAAGAATCTTTGCAGACTGGCATGTTGTTTCTGTTTTACAACAATGCAAAGATTTATAAACTGGTGAAACCATGTTGGCCTGCTCTGGAATAAAGCTGGCATTGTATCTTTTAAGGCATGTTTTGGGGGTTCTATGAAGTGGCTTAAACCAAAGCCACAAGAACAAGAAAAAATTTATTTTGAGATAAATCTTCGTAGACTGCCGACTCCTAGAATTTATGTGCTAAAGATGCATACTTTATTCTTTTCTACAATTAAGTGGTTTAAAAATATTCTTCCTCATGGTTCACTGAATTTCAGGTTCAACTAATTTTTAACAAGCACAAAATATGTACTAGGTACTCTATTAAATATTCACATATATATTTTCTTATCTAGTGAAATGTAGTGTTCATTCAATATTATGTTAACAAAGATCAAAGCAAGAAAATGATTAAGAAATAAAATGACTTGTTTTATATCTGCTACATGGTTTGCATAATCTTAGTTTGTGTAACATGGTTGCTCATAATCTCCCTAGAGTGTCTTTTGTGGGTTTGATACCAGATTTAGCATGATTCATTTACATTCAGATGATGGCAAATCTCAGAGAAGAAAAACTGCAGCAGAGCATACATGGGATGTGAGTTTTTTTCTTTTTGATTGAGGGACTGTTTCATCAAAACATTGTTTCAAACAGATGTGTTCTAGTGTTTACTGAAAGGAGAATTCAAGCCAGACTGATTAATTAGCAGTTAGTCAAGCCATTTCCCTGCTCCTATCTGGGTAGTCTAGGGATTATGAAGCTGTCAGTAGGTTATAGTCAGACAATGGAAAAAAATGACAAACAGCAACTAAACCTCAGATCACCATGCTAGGGTGTAAAATACGGTGTTCTAACCACTCTGCATTGTTTTTTATTGGAGCATAAGTTTTTACGAGTGGGTGTAATAGGACTAAGGCAGAGGTTGGCAAACTTTTTCTGCAAAGGGCCTAATAGTAGATATTTTAGGCTTTGTGGGCCATACAGTAGTTTACAACTACTGACTGCTTTAATGCTGTAATTGCAGCACCTATGTAGGTGGGTCTCATTTTCAGAAAGGTCGGATTAAAAATCTAGACTTGCAAAACACAGATTAGAGGTCAAATAGTGCTGTAATTGCAGCACTAAAGCAGTCATAGACAATATGTTAACAAATGAGCATAGCTGTATTCCAATGTATCTTTACTTATGGACACTAAAATTTGAATTTCACATTTTTATGTGTCATGAAATAGTGCTCTTTTAATTTTTTTAGCTATTTAAAAAATGCAAAAAATGTTCTTAGTTCGCCAGTTGCACATTTGGACCATAGTTTGCCAACTCCTGGACTAAAGCAAAGAGTCTTGAATCAGTGTTAGGTCTGGTTCTTTTGATTTTTTTTTACATGAGATTCATTCTTTCTAAATCTGTTTCTGTATTTGTAAAAATGATGGATAATAATAGTTGCACTTATCTCTTCCCAGGATTGTTGGCAGGATTAAATAAAATAATGGCTTTAAAAGTATTTTGAAGAATGTGAAGTGCCATGCTGACATAAGATATTGATTATATTATTATTTGTGTCAGGAATGTGTTTGGTATAAGTAGCCCAGAGCTCGATTAACAACTGCTTAAGCTATAAAGACATTTGTAGTTCACTTACCTGGATGTACCAGTTCCCAGGGTTGGTGTAGTGGCTTGATGATGTCATTAAAGACCTGATGCTGCTGATGTCCCTGTGTTGGTGATGCCTCTTTTCATGGTGCAAGATGGATGTCATAACTCTCAAGAGTCATGTGCTTACAGGACAATGTCCCAAACAAGAAGGAAGCGGGGAATGGAGTGAAAAGAAATCTCCTTCTAGGCTTCTCTTTTTTTTTTTTTTTTTGAGACGGTGTCTTGCTCTGTCGCCCAGGCTGGAGTGCGGTGGTGCGATCTCGGCTCACTGCAAGCTCCGCCTCTCGGGTTTACCCCATTCTCCTGCCTCAGCCTCCCGAGTAACTGGGACTATAGGCACCGGCCGCCACGCCCGGCTAATTTTTTTTGTATTTTTAGTAGAGACAGGGTTTCACCGTGTTAGCCAGGATGGTCTCGGTCTCCTGACCTCGTGATCCGCCCGCCTCGGCCTCTCAAAGTGCTGGGATTACAGGCGTGAGCCACCGCGCCCAGCCTAGTCCTCTCCGATTAAGAGAGGAAAATCCTTCCTAGCATCCCCCTAGTAGGCTTCCCTTCACATACCATTGGTCAAAACTGGTTCACGTGCCTGTCCTAGACCAATCACTGGTGAAAGGAAGGAGGATTGATGTGCCTGGCTTGTAGACTAACCATGAATCAGCTTCTGGGACTGGGCACAATGCTGCCTGGACAGTTGGGGTTCTGCTAGCGAGGAAGAGGGAGGAGAAACTAATGATGTCATCACATTATTATTTTTTCCACCTATTACAAGTTGTGTGTCTGGCATCAGGTTGGGTGAAGAGTTGATGAGCTAATTTCCTGTGAATACTCTAGGTGCCATACAAGCTGTCCACATGGGCACATAACAGGCAAAGACCATGGTAGTCGGCTGGCAGGGTCAGGCTGCGAGTTGAGGCTGCATCAGGATGGAATCGACAATCAACCAGTACCCATCTCAGAAGGAAGCAGAAGAAGGGAGGAATCTGAAGGTCATCTGCATGTGGCTTCTGGAACATACTAGAGAGAACCAGTTTAATCCTCAAATATTCCACATGATAATAACATGCTCCACAGTCATTTTTCTGGGGAATCTCGTCATTGTAAAATCCAGAACTGTAGGTGCCTATATAGGTGGGTCTCATTTTCAGAAAGGTCGGATTAAAAATCTAGACCTGCAAAACACAGATTAGAGGTCAAATAGTCTGAAGTTTAAACTATTCTTCATTTTATGGAATAATTTATCTTAACATTTGTTTAGTGACATGATTGGTGCACTTTAAATGATTTTGTTGATGAATATATGATTTCCACATAGTTTATATAGTGTGTGTATACACACACATGCACACACCTATTGCATTGTATTGAGTTAGGTAGACCTATAAATTGATTAATTGAAAAATCATGAATAAAATCATCCTTTAGAATAAAATGTGCACTAATATGAACTTAATTAAACATCTCAGAGTTTTAGGGTACCATAGCAAATGACATTTCCCAAATAATTAAATACCTATTCCAAAAATGAAGTTATACACAAATTATACACTCTGTTCATACAGGTCAAATATTCAATGCATATATTCCCACATTGTGTAGGATATTGAACCAAAGGTCCCTCAAAACTCTAAGATTCTTTTATTATATAAGTGCCATTTGACCTTGAAGTTTTCTGTTTTCCTTAAATACTGCAACTTTATGATTACGGTAGAATTATCTTTATATCCAAGTTCCAAGCTCATAGCTCACAGTTCATTCATTCACCTATTCATTTATTTGTTCATTCATTTTTTAAGCTCGTATGTGGTCCCACTCTCATGGAATTTATGGCCTAGAAGAGATGAACGTTAAACATGTGTGTAATCATACTGATGAATACATAACCCCATGTAGCTTAGTGATCTGAAGAAAGGAACACTACACTATGTAAGGACATAATGAAGGAACCTGATCTTGACTGGCGATCAGAGAAAGCTTCTCTGAGGAAGCAATGCTTGAGCCGAGAACCAACATGTGAATAGGAGTTAATTAGATGAAAGACTATAAGTGAATTGGAAAGAGCATTCCTAAGAGAGGTACAGTGCGTGTGTTAGCCTACTCATCTGTCCGTCTGTCCATCCATGCATCCAAGCATCTGTGCATCCATCCATCCATCCATCCATCCATCCATCCATCCATCCATCCATCCATCCATCTAGTTTTACAAAACAGTACAGTACCAAGTGATCACAGAGATGCAAACAAGTAGAAATCATCTGTGTTTTCTAAGTCTGTAAGTCCATTTGGAAAGACTAGAGAAGTACACTGGTAAAAAAAAAATTCTTAGAAAATGTTCAGAGGCTATTTTAAGTAACAGTAGATGTGAGGCAATTTCAGCAGTTGCTCTCATTCTTATGGGAATGGGATTTGCAGCTCTCCTGGGTATCGACCTCACTCTACTTTTTCCCCATGAGAAGGGTGCAGAGTGTAGAGGATAAGACTCAGGTGCTAGCAGCATAACCATGCTTCCATGGGAACTGCAATTTGCCATTAAACAAATGAAGAAAAATCTTGCATTAACAAAGGAATTTGTTTAATTTGACAATGAATTACTTTTTTTCTAGTGCTTTTAGGATTAACCAAAAAGCAAAATTCTTTTTTTTAAAAAATGGGATTTAAATTAGTATCTATTCTACATAGACTTAATCATCTCATTGTGACTTCCCTGAATATGGTTGCTTATATCGAAATCGGGGTAGTTTGGGGCTCACTTGTAGCGATTAGCAAATTATCCATTTGCATTTCTTATCAGGTTAATGGTAAATGTTCCACTGAGTTCACAGAATCTTGGCATTAAATTTATAAGTGGAATTGAGCTTAGAGGTCAATCAATCTAGTATAACTCTCATTTTACACAAGAAGAAATTGAAAGCCAAATAGGTTAAGTGACTTGTTCAAGCCACTTAAAAATTTATGTCCCAATTCACTCCATAGACTTTTGTGATGGCTGTATAAGTAAACACTGGATCTAGGATCTTCTAACTCTAGGTTCAGTATAAGGGGCTTTGGAGTGTAATTCTCTGCACTCAAATCCCTGCCATTTACTAGTCTTGTGACTTTGGAAAAATTATTTACAGTCTTATCATCTATAAAAGAGGATAATAATTGTACCCCTGTCACTGTATTGTGAAGACTAAAATGCGTGAGAAGAGCCACGCTTGCAGTAAATGCTCAGTAAGTGCTTTGCCATGTGTCTTGCTTTGGTCAATAGGAAGGACGGAAGTGACTGTGTGTCAGTTTTGAGTGAGACTTCAATAGGCATGGCAAGTTTCTTCTGCCCTTTTGTGCTCCTGGACTCAACCATGTCCTGGGAAGTCACTCATCTTAGAGAAAAGAGACATGAAACAAATCTGAACTATTATGACTGATGTCACCATGAACATTCTTGAACAAGTCTTTTTTTTGTGGACATATACATTCATTTTCTTCAAGTATTAACCTAGGAGTGGAATTACATTAAAAGGGGCCAAACAGTTTTCCA
Organism: Homo sapiens; assembly: GCF_000001405.40. Classification (NCBI taxonomy): domain Eukaryota; kingdom Metazoa; phylum Chordata; class Mammalia; order Primates; family Hominidae; genus Homo; species Homo sapiens. The sequence continues at coordinate 37,854,975 of NC_000005.10, forward strand.
AAGTGGTTGTACCATTCTGTACTCTCACCAGCAATGTATGAGGGGCCCAGTTGCTCTACATCCTCACCAGTGCTTAATATTGTCAGTCTTTTTAATTTTATCCACTGTGGTGGGTGTTTGATTGTATCTCATTGTTGGTAGCCTACTGAGTTGAAAAAAGTTTCTTGTTTATTTGAAGATTTCTAATACTAGCTTCTAGGTCCTCCGTTTCACCCTCAAGGAGGGCTGCATGAAGTTTGACTAAGCCCAGACCCAGTCTTGTCACTCAGCCTTCCTGGTCTATGCTACCAATTGAAATTAGCCAGGCCAAGTAGCACATAGCCCAGAAACACCCAGCCAGTTCACTGGGTATTTATTGAACCTCCCAGGTGGCTTAGAGGCCACTGCTTAGAGGCCAAAGCTCAGCTCTCCTAAGTGGCAAATGTATCTGTGAATGTGATGTAGAGGTATTGAAGATCTTTCCTATACTTTCCATGTATTTAATGAACAGCAAAAATTCTTACATTTTGGTAGACTAAAATCACATTGTTCTTTTGTAGCTCACAGAGGAAAAGCCTACTCAGGACTTTGCCTGGGATGGACAGCGTGGAGATGTTATGGTAGTTGCTACAATAAACTTTCTAAATCTTTTGTCTTTCTGGTCCCCTTTCTACTTTCTATTTCTACTTTCCCCTTCTTCCTGTTTTCTCTCTTCTTTTTCTCCTCCCCTCCCTTTTTATTTCTTCTTCCTGGTTCTTCTTTCATCAGCTGAACAAGAGTTTAACAAACATCTGAACACATACAAAATCATCAGAAAAACGCAAGTTTCTGGAACATCGATATCTGCCCTAATCTTTTCTGAATTTAATGTAGAACTGATTTATATCATATGGAATTTTAATATGTATATTACTGATTTCTACTTTGTCTTGTTATTATTACTTCCTATAGTTCTTTCCACATTTCTAGATAACCCTAATAATTGTGATTCTTAATGGCAATAGAGTAGTTCATTGCATTATCACACCAGCCTGCTGAGCCATTTCACCAAACCAATATGCAATATTCTGTTGTATGAATGTAGCCATATTTATTTGACCCATTCCCTTTTATTAGACATTTATGTTACTTTCAGTTTGTAGTATTAATAATAATGCTACAGAAAACATCTATAAAACATAAAAACACTTTAGGCTGGAGATGGTGGCTCACACCTGTAATCCCTGTACTTTGGGAGGCTGAGGCAGGAGGATTATTGGAGCCCAGGAGTTTGGGACTATCCTGGGTCAACATGGCAAAACCCCATCTCTACAAAAAAAATACAAAAATTAGCCAGGTGTGGTGGTGGGCACCCATAGCCCCAGCTACTTGAGAGGCTGAAGTGGGCTATGTTTGACCCTAGGAGGTTGAGGCTGTCGAGGCCTCAATGGCACTGGCACTCCAGCTTGGCCTACAGAGCGAGACGCTGTCTTAAAAAAAAAAGAGGAAGACAATATGCTTTTACATAAACCTTTATTTGCATTTCTGCTTATTTTCTTAGGATTGATTTCTAGATGTAGAATTTCTGAGTCAAAGTGTGATAAACCTTTTAAATGTTCTTTGCCACCTAGCCAATAATATTTCAGGAAAGCCCAATGAACTTTGTTCTTAAAATTAATATATGAGAATGCCTACTTCATGGGAAATGAAAACATTTTGAAAATATTGTATAATTAACAAAATCTTTATTTTTTAAAATTACAAAGCAACACCTATCACCTCTCTGCTGTCAAAATTCAATCTTAATAGAAATGCATGATTATTTCTTTAGATGTTGGGATGAAAGCTGGATTATGTTTTGGGACTTGCCCTCTACTTTGCAGGTTTTACAGGCAGTGGTAGATGCTGTTGAGTCAGGATCTGAGGACAGTCAGTGACAGTAGTAGGATTTTTCAGTGTGTCTTTTTCAGCAGCAGTCAATTGGTAGGTCTTCTCCCGTCCTCCCTTCTTGGTGGTCATTAGCACTGTTCTTCAAATCTTTCTGGATCTTTGACTTTCAGGCACAGAGTAGGATTTCACTTCCTGGCCCCCTTGTCATTGGGTGACTGGTGGCTGGGCCATGTGACCAGTTCTGGGCAATAAGATATGAGTGGAGATGCTGTGTGTCACCATTAGATCAAACATTTAATTGCTGGTTCAAGGCTGTGCAGAGCTTTCTTTCCCTCCCCTATATGCCCAGCAATGTAGGAATTGGTGGCCACTTCCTCAGCCTGAGTTTTGGAGTAAGGAGTAAGGAGTGGTCCCACCCTCCATCTCCCCCCGACCCCCCCACCCTGCACTGACCTGAGATGGACATGTAGTAGAGTGAGAAAGATGCCTTTTTTTTTTGTTTGTTTGTTTGCCATTGAGATTTTGGGGAATGGTTATTACCCCAGTACAAGCCAACCTGTTCTGACTGTTATTCCTTCTCCTGTTTCCCTTCCTTCCAACATGTATGGCTAACACACCCCTATCTATCCTATAGTCATAAAGCCTTTGCCATGAGCCTGATGGTTGAGAGTCAACAGAAATAGACTTGAAGCTCATATGTTACATAGCTGATATAAAATGCTTATTATCTACAGTTACCACTTAATTTTATAAACTACATATGACATTAAACAAAAAAGAAGTACTTTTGTTTATTCAGAAAGGTACAAAAGCAATTAGACTGTTGGTTGCAGGACAGGAAGGCAGGGTGCAGGGAGTAGGTGATGCTGGCCAGCTCACAGAGAAACCAATGTCTCACCAGGCTGGGCTGTAGCTGCTCTAGCCTGTAGCTTCAAGCTTCCCAAAGTAGTACAAAAAGGCTTAGGCCTTTATAACTTGAAAACCATTGAAAGAGTTTTCCTCCATGTGCACAGATAGGCAGGGTGTGTGTGTGTCTCTGTGTGTGTGGGTGTGAGAGAGAGAGAGAGAGAAAGAAAGAGAGAGAGAAAGAGAGAGAGAGAGATTGTGAAGAAACTATTTGCCAGTGGAAAATTATGCCCCCTTTTAAACAAGCTGAAAATATCTTGATATAAGGCAGTGTGGTCTTGCTCCCATGTTTACAGAGGAATCCTTTCATGCAGCCATGATGTATGGAGGATTTAAACCATCGAGATCCTTTATGCTAACAGACCATTTGTCTTGGATTTTCCAGGTTTCCAGATTGTCTTCAAGGAGTACATCATTGACTCTGAAATTAGCTGTTGTGTGGACAGATATATTACAAGTCTCTAAATTATCATGTTGCAGGAACTTGTCATTCTAACACTTTAATGGAGTCTAGCTCTGTGTCAGCCCTCCCTCTGTCCTGAGACTTTGTCACATGGTTAATTCAGATGTCAGTGTCTCTGCCCCACTTCCTTGCTTTTCATTAGGATCAACATTTCCAACTCCTGTTTTCTAGTTATCTTTCTTTTTGTTTCTGTGATATTTTCAAACCTGGGATTTTCCCTTAAGGGAAAAGTGGGTCTTTTGCTTGGGAAGCATGCTTGTCTTCCCCAGTTGCACTCCAGGGCCCTTTATTAGTGCACTTTTAGACTTTTGGGGAACTAAAACCTTTTGGTTGCTGAATTGTGTGTGTCCCCTACCATCACAGAAAAGAAAGAATGTGTGTTCTTTCTCTTTTAAAGTCAGTTAAAGTCTTGTCTAGAGAATGCTTGAGGACTTCCCTGAAGGATGCCTCAGGATGGCACTAACTCACCAGATGTAGGCACGCTGGGATGAACATCTTTCTCCTTCCGGAAGGCTTTCCTTCTAGTCCAGTGGCTCTAGTAGTTTATCATCTGCATCAGAATCACCAGGGTGGTTGTTATTGTGCAGATTCTTGGGTTATATCCTAGACCCACTGAGTGTGAGCCTTTTAGGGCTGGGACCCAGGAATCAGCATTGTAACAGGCAACCCAGGTTTTGGAGCCCTGCCTCCTGGCAGATCTCTCACTGTCTGCAGAGCATCTCCTAAATAAGCATCTCACTTCACCTACAACAAAGCCACTGACTCCACTGTCTCCACAAGGCCTGGAGGGAAGGAAGATGGCTCCCTGTCTCTTCTTCCAAAACTTTCCTTTGGAGCTGGGCCTGGTGTCCTCGAATGAGAGGGACTTGCAGGAAAGCCAGTGAACAAGACTTAGGAAATGCACAAGGAATGAAACATGGAGATATCAGAGCCTCTTCTGGCCAGGGATGGTGGAACACCATGTAGTTTTTTCTACAAGCACCACGTAGTTTTTTCACGCATTAGTCCTCAAATATTTATTATGTGCTTACCATGTGCCAGGCACCACTCTAGGCGCATTCTGTCCAACCTTGCATTTCCCATCGTTTTGTCAGATAGGAGAAATGAAGCTGAAATTTAAGTCCCAAATTATCACCAAATAGGCAGGACCAGCAAAATAATTAGGAGACAAATTTCTGCCTTTTTCTGTGTGTGTGTGTGTGTGTGTGTGTGTGTGTGTGTGTTGTATGTGTGCCTCTGTGTGCTTTTGTGTCACACATACTCATGTGGGTTAGATTTTACTAAATAGCTTGTGTTTTCCAAGCATATGTATATACTTTATTCATTTTATTACTTCATATGAGCATTTGTTTATTCATTTAGTAAATAGCCATTCATTCATTCATTCATCTAATATCTATAGTAGGTCTTCTGTGTGCCAGTCTAATTAGTAGGTACTAGGGATACAATGATGAGCCAGACCAAGTTCTTGCCCTCATGGAGCTTTTATGTCAGAGTAGACGATGCTCTTGTATGCCTTATTGAATACCTAGATTTCCTTTTCTGTAGGGATCATCGTTTCAACAGATTGCCAAGTAGAGCCCAGGAGCCCTGCCCCGTGCTTTCCTCCTTCCTGGTTTCACAATGTCCTTTTCAGCAAAGATGCCTTTCCAGACATTTCTTTACATGTCTGAAATATTTATATACAAAACTGGGGAAGATGAATTAAAAGTGTGAACTCTACATGGCACTGAAGTCTAAAGAGGAAGTGAAGCTGTTCAGCTGTGGGTTTTGACTGGTTATCACTGGGAAACCCCTTTCAAGCAAAACCTTCATGGGGCAACACACTTCAAAGAGGTTCCCGGTCATGCTGTGTTTAAAACTTGTTAATTGGACCTAATTGCGAACAGCTGCTCAGTTTAGCCACTGTTTGGGTTGGCATTCACCTACGATAGATCTAGGTCATCTTTTTGTTACATTATATTCATATTGGTATCGTAATATATTTGTTATAATCTTAGAATTTGTCACCATCCAAAGGATTGTGAGATAATAAATAAAAACACGGAGACAACATGTTTGTCAAGCCCTGAGGTCACAGCCAAGTACAAAAGCACTTGGGAGCAGATGCCTATTTGATACACTGTGTGTAGTCATGGCACTTCACTCACACACATGGGAAGATTTCCAACAACAACAACAAATCCGTGGTGTTTACTGGAAGCACTGAATGATCTTTTATTGTCCATTTCTTGTTCATTTAACTATTGCCTTTTAGTGCCATACATCGCAGGAACAAGGGGGACACTAATAAATAGTAGTTTATTAGGTGAAATTGCTATTGGATCTAGTCTGATATAATATTCATGTTTCCTAAGAATCACTTGGGGGAACAACTTATTGGTTAAATGTGAAGGGGTGATTTGGAAAATATTTAACAAGTGATAAGGCACGAGCACTGAGCAATTAGAAGGAATACTGGCTGTAGTAACTGGCATGGCCATACTCAGGCATACTTGTTGTGTAGCAACCAAAGTGTCTATTATCAAGCAAGTTATCACTAAGGGTAACTAGAACATGATCCTGCTGGGATTCAGTGTAGAACATGCCCCTCATAGTTATCTTACTCTAGGAGTAAGAGAGCCAGGGTTTTCTACCAGCTCCTGCCCATCATTGGTTGAAGGCAGTCCTGCCATGCAAGTGGCTTAGTGGGCTCTGGAGGTCTGAGGATGCCTTTATGCAAAGAAATGCTGGTTTGGCAACTGGAAGTCAGACTACTGAGTACTGAAGTGATGAGTGCCTAGGGGTATGGGTGGGCACCAGCAGCACCTGCTATGGTGGTAGGGGGGCATTTGAGGATGTTGGTGGGGCTGATCATGAAATATTTCTCTCTCTGCATTAGCCATGTCAGTAGAAATAGCCTCCTTGAGGTTATTTGAAACAAATTGATACTCACATTACATCTTATAAATTAAATGGGATTGAGGGAGTGGAGCATTTAATGAAAATGGTGATGGTCTTGAGAACAGTGTAAGCAGTTAATACTAATTTGTTCTCCTATGTGATAAGCGTGGCTTCTCCTTTTTCCAGATGAGGACATTGAGGATCAGAGATGTTGAAAAACTTGCCCAAGGATGCACAAGTGGAATGGTAAAGACAGGATTTGAATTCTGACCTCTCTGACTCCGTGTCACAAACTCCTGAAAGTGTGAAAGGTTTAACACAAATTCCTTCCCCGCTCTTTCTCTCTCTCCCTCCCCCCTCCAACTTTTCCCTTTCAACAAATATTTGAAAACTTACTATGTACTGGGCACTATTTTAAGCACCACATAGCAAAGAAACAATTTTGGTCCTTTTTGATCCTGATGATCCCCCATCCCTCCCTTAAATGTTTTTCCTTCCCCAGGTCCTTCCCTAACTTTTGTGGGGCCCTGCAAGTGTAAAAACAGAGGCTCATATACCATACCTAAATATTTAAAAGTGATAAATCAAGCTGGCAAAGTGTTAAATAAAAGATGCTCCATCCTCCTGCCTTGATAAAGACACTTGTGCACAAGGGCTGCTGTGCACTGAGCATCTGTGGGTTTTGGAGCACCATGGAGGAATGTGGTGGCTCAGAGGGTGTGGACATTTAGCCCATGGCCTGTGGCCTGTCCCTCATTTCTTCCCACCCTGGCAGTCCACATAAGGGGGTGGTACACATATGTGTGTGGACATCCTAGCCTACACATCCAAGCTGTATCCCACAAACAGCACCTCATGGCTTAGGGGTGTGTGCACTGGCGGTGTGACCTGCCGTGGAGAGAAAAGGCCTGGGGAAAGCTCTGGAAGTGGACTTAAGACCACTTGGACAGGGGATTCAAGGTCTCTCGTAGCCAAGACATAGTCTGAAAGAGGAGAGGCAGGCTGCAGCCTCCAGGTGGGTACATCTCTGTGCCCCTCAACTCTTCACTCCATAGGAAAGGGCACAACCAGAGGAGTACTGTGGGTGCCCCTTTCCTGGGCCTAAGAGTAACAGCGCTCCTCCCCGTTCTATTTTGTCTTCCAAATCCCACGTTCACATGTGGATATTTTTTGAGATTTGGCCATCTGAGGATTTTTATAAAGGAAAATGTGGAATTCAAACACTCTACTTGTTTAACAGAGAGCAGGTCCATTGAGGTGGGCAGATGTTAGATGTTACTGGAAGTGGAGGAATGGGATTTTGGAGAGACCCGCTGGCCTCTCTGGAGCTACATGGACTTCCCTGCATTCAGCAGCCCTAGTCTACAGAGGGAGAAGCTAGGCTACCCCGGCCTTCTGTCTTGAGACCTTGATGGGTTCATCCCAAACCTCGGGAAGTGGATGCAGTTTAGCAGGATCAGCTCTGCGCCCTGTTCACTTCTCCAGCCATGAGGACTGCAGCTCTGGATAGACTCCTAAAGCACACACGAAAGCAGTGCTTCCTTTACTGGGCCAGATTCTCCCCGGGGGAGCAGACAGAAGCCCTCTAACCTGAGCAGTATGTGCTCATGCCAGTGTGCATTTTCCTGTCTCCCCTGGGGAAGGTTTAAATCCTTTATTTATTAAGAATTTAATTTCTTTATTTATTGGTTTAAATTCTTTATTTATTAAGCCTGCACAATGTGATAGAACACTATAGCAGACAGTCCTCGATGTTTAATTCTTAAGAAAATAGGAAACTATGTATACATTTCCCTCCATTTAAATTCTATTCACTTCTCTCTTTGTGTTAGGGGAGGTACTGAGGAACGCTGTTTTCATTTGCTTTTACTTTTAATATGGTGTTACTCAGAACCAGTAGGGTATATCTATTAATATATCTGTATCTATATCTATATCACCTATATCTCTATCTATCTATCTATCTATCTATCTATCTATCTATCTATCTATCTATCCATCTATCTACCTACCTATTATCTACCCATCTATATTATCTATCTGTCTGTCTGTCTGTCTGTCTATCTATCTATCTATCTATCTATCTATCTATCTATCTATCTATCTATATCTGTCTATAGATAGATACATGAGAGGGGATTTTTTTAAGGTTTTAATTTTGATACAGGATCTCCCTCTGTCACCCAGGCTGGAGTACAGTGGCACAATCATAGCTCACTGCAAGCCTCAAACTCCTGGGCTCAAACGATCCTCCAGCCTCAGCCTCCTGAGTAGTTGGAACTATAGATACACACCACTGTGACTGGCTAATTTGTTTAATTTTTATTTTGTAGAGATGGGTGGAGTCTTGCTATACCTCCCAGGCTGATATCAAACTGCTGGCCTCAAGCGATCTTTCTGCATCAGCCTCTCAAAGTGTTGGGATTACAGGCGTGAGCCACCGCAACCAGCTGGAAGCTGGATTTTTAATGTTTCAAAGTAGAGCAAGTGGGGTCGCCCATTAGGGAACACATCCCAACACCTTTTCTCCTCTGGGTGGCTCCCATGTTCATATCTCACAAGGTGCTCTGTGCTTCAGGATGTCTCTGCAGTTGCTCTTCAGCCTCCTCTCACTACACGGGCCAAGGGCACTGTTTGATGTTTGCAGCGTGTCCTCTTGCCTCCCTTCAACCCTTCAACTTATCTCTTTCCATTTGCATTATCCCTGGCCAGATATATGCTGGGGGTCACTCATACGGACTCACAAAGGCCAATGTTAAAGTTTCAGGAATGTTGTGAACCACTTATTAAATACAGCCATTATAAAAGTGAAATGGCCTAAACTTACATTTAAATATATTTCATTAAAAACAAAGGTAGTAATAATAATAATAAAAATTCATTACTTACAAATTATTTTACTATATGTTACTATTATCTATGCTGTTGGGGTTATTTCAGTCTATTTTAACTGCAGGGTGGAAATATTGTATAACAGTGTGCTCTGCTATGCCCTTTTCCCAACTGTGTGTTTCAAAATGATGTCTCGTTGGAGCTTGAAATCAGCCATGGTTGTAGTATTTATTTCATGTAAATTGGTAAACATTATGAATCAGGAGTCCCTCCCTTATCCAGAGAGCCTGTTGTTAACATTTACCAGCACACCATGATCTGTAGCTCTCAAATCCTTAGATCAGAGTTTCTCAGTTCTAGCACTATTGACATTTTAGGCCAAATAATTCTTTGTTTTTTTGGGGGTGTCACTTGCATTGTAGAATGTTGAGCAGCATTTCTGGATGCCAGTAGCTTCCCCTCCCCAGTTGTGACAACCAAAAATGTCTCCAGATGTTGCCGAATGTTTTCTGGGGGATAAAGTTATCTCCACTTAAGAACCACTGGCCTAGACAACATTATCCTTTAATGTAAGTGACTTGCTATTCTTCCCTTTTAAACTTTAACATGCATCTGACAAATATTCAGTGCCCATTATGCATGTAAATACAATGATGAACAAGATAAGCATTGTCCCTGTCTTCATAGAACTCCAGTCTAAAATCATGGACTAAGCTGGAAATATACTGAGTATCCACTAGGACTAGAACATGCTATCTGCATGCTAATGTGCTCAGTAGGTGATCTTGATCTTTATTAATTCCATTAACACTAATTGCAACATTGTATAATGTTTGCATTTCCCCTTCAGGTGACTGTTGTCTCTTGGGCACAGGTAGCTGCCAACAGGTGAGCCTCTCAGCGGATCCCTGATAGAGGTAGGATGGCAAATAGCTTCTTTAATATGACAGCCTCAGTGTAGTGGCTGGCAAGGAGCTGCGATTGGGAGGAACTGGAAGTGACACCCAAGCTCATTGAGCAAGCATGCTGTGAGTGCCATGAGTAAGTAGTCCCAGCTGATGAGCTTATCAGGGGGTTGCCAGCGGGGGTACTGCCCAGGGTGGAGATGGAATGGGAGACATAGCCATACCTCAGAAGGATATGCAGCTCCTACGAGGACCTAAGTGGAGCTGGGTCAGCATGGCCCCAGTAAGCACACAGCAGGCAGATCAGCCACAGACTTCAGCATCAAGGCCTTCCAGGGTGGGAACTAGATGAACTGGAGGACAGGCCAGGAACCTGCACATATGAATCATGTGGGCCAAGGACCTTCCTCCCCTTTCCTACCACCATGAAGCAGACCCTTCCCCCAGGAGTCATCTTGGAGAAAAATGGGAAAGTGGAGCAGTGGTAGGGGGCAGGGGGTGCTGCAATACCAAAATATCCAGAAGGCATTTAAAATTATTGGACTAGATGACATTTAATTCTCCTTCTTTACTCAGTAAAGTGAAGAGCTCAGGAGAAAGATTGGATCAATTATAGAAAATAATGAAGGTACATTTTCTTTGCATAACTAAATGTAGGGTAAGTACATTTTGAATTTGCTAAAATTGTCTTTGCTCTGCCTCTGCACACGTGTGCACACGTGCACACACACAAATGGCACTTCTGGGAGTTTTTCCTTGCTACCACCTCCTCTCAATAATCAATGCTCACGAAAGCATTTGTGAGAAATGTGGAGTTTACTGTGGAGATTCAAAGGGAAGATGATGGAGGTTTCACTGTAACCCCCACAACAGATTCATATTCCACTTTGATACTGTGTTCATCATTTCCAATATATACCTTTTTCCTAGTTGAGTATTTGAAATCTTGGAAACCAGACTCTGTCTTGCTGTGTTGGTGTGTCATAGTATAATTGGCAGCATGTTTCCTTTGGTAGCAATACATAAGACAATGGTGTGTCTTATGTTGATGTCTTCTTATATTTGATAAAATCTTTTAAGTCTACTGCTTTGCAGTCCTTCCTCAACTGCAAGCAGAGGCTTCCCCACTGAGGCCATTGAGTAAAGTGGTTCAAAGTACAGTCTGGAGTCAGACCATCACTTACTATCTCCACCATTCACAAGCCAGGTAACCTTGGGCAAGTTACTGAAGGGTTCAGGGGCTTTGTTTCCCTACCTGTGCAATGGGGATAATATTATTAACTACTTCATCGGATTGTAGTAAGAATTAAATGAGTTGATATATATAGAGAAATTGGAACAGTGTCAGGTGGTGGTGACTTCTAGAAAAGTAGTTGTTCTTATACGTATTACCTCTTTAGTCCCCTCCCACATAGGCCCTGCCTCCTGTTACCTATTGCTTTTTCTTTCCTCCCTTATTTTATAAATAATACTTCAGTGACCGCTGTTTGCTATTTGAACACAACCTTGAGATCTCTCCTCTCCTTCCCAAATGGCTTACCTAAGTATTTACTCCAAACAAATATGTTGTCTTTTAGAGATACTCTGATAAGTAAAGATTGCTGTATGTAGTAACATATTTTTATCATTATTTCTGATGCATCTATGGTAGATGCAAGAGATAGTAAGATATGAGCTTGACTGGAGCTGAGCTAGCTTGTTGGGGAGCATTAGGAAATAGGATGGAAAAAAGATAGGTTGGAGACAGATGGCACTTGAAGAATCTCCCCTTTGAAATCTTTGGTAAAGTCTACAATATGATACCTCTCCATACATCTCTAAGGAGGCTTTGTATTTTGATGACAGCCTTGAATGCTAGGGACACCCAGCCACACGGGCTAACTCATACAGGGCAGAGAGGACTTTCACCCTCTTTAATTCACCGTGTATGAGTGGCAATGTTTCTTCCCAAATATATGGCTGGCCCTAGGAGACAAGTCAGGGCATGTGAGCTGTGGATGTGAACTGAGAGAACAGTTGGGGCTTAGGTGAAAAGTGGAGATTCAGGAACTCTTCAGATATAGTGGCCTTAGGGAAAGATAGATGTATTAGGCCATTCTTACATTGCTATAAAGAAATACCTGAGACTGGGTAATTTATAAAGAAAAGAGGTTATATTGGCTCATAGTTCTGCAGGCTATACAGGAGGCATAGTGCTGGCATCTGCTCAGCTTCTGGTGAAACCTCAGGTAGCTTTTAATCGTGGCAGAACGGGAAGCGGGAACAGGCATGCCACAAGTTGAAAGCAGGAGCAAGCGAGAGAGATTGGGGATGGTGGTGGGGGGTGTTACAGACTTTTAAATGAGCAGGTCTCATAACAACTCACTCACTATTGTGAAGATGGCACCAAGCCATGAGGGATCTGCCCCCATGATCCAAACACCTCCCACCAGGCCCCTCCTCCAGCATTAGGGATTACGATTCAACATGAGATCTGGGTGGGGACAAATATCCAAACTATATTACTAGGCAGTAACAAAGAGACACCCGGCCCTTCTGGGTTCAAGGTGTGCCACAGGCCTGCATGTCCTCCTAAGCTTTTCTTAGGTGGTGCCAGAGTTTGAATGGCTGCAGTCCTGGCATATTCCTCAGTGAGGCTGGAAAAAATAATCCACTCCTGCAAATGGAAAATTTCTTCTGTGTAGGGTGAGCACTTCCAGCTCCAGAAATGAAACATGCTAAAGGCAGCGTGTGACTTGGCATGGGGTGACCAGTAACCCAACTGATCGGTCCTCTAACCTGTTAGTTCATTTTGCTGGTGATCTTGTCCATAAGGGCAAACAACTTTCTAGCTGGTCACCTTTGGAACAAAGTAAGAGTTTTTGAAAGAGGATTTAAAAAAATTCTTTTTTGGTTTGTTTTGGGTTTAATGAGTCAATGCTTTATTTTACTATGAGTGTTTATAACCAGACCTAAATGTATGTAGGATCTTGAACCTCCCCCACAACTATTTCCTATTTGTTCCCAGAAAAATTCCAATGCCAGATTTTGCCATAGCAACCAGAGGCAAATATCAAGACAGCAATAAAGAGCAAGCTGGAAAAGGGTTTCCCTACAATGTGGCTTGAGTTTCTGTAGGGCATTCCATCCTCCGTGTGGAGCTCTGGAAGGCAAGAGGGGGCCCTGCGGTTCCTCGTGGGGGGGTCTGGTAGAGTCCAGATTTGCCAGCATCCAGGACCCACTAGGAAATGTGTCTGTCAGGCAGCTGGGCTGGAGCGGAAGGATCAGCTTGCCTGCTCCTCGGGCTTGGCACCTGTTGTGTGTTGATCTTTATTTTTGTACGTCAATTTTTCAAAATTAAAGGTATTGAATTATTATTTTTCCATTATGCTTTTCCTCTGAGCAGTTTAGTAAACAAGCCTGTTCTGTATTTCCTAATTGTCCCCTCAAGTGCTCTTTGGAAGAAGGCAGTGCATATTTAAAAGTAAGCAAATGAAACCAAAGAACAGGAGATTCTTCCAATATCTGCCCACGATGTCCCTCATTCTGTGTCCTTCCTTTTTGTCATGGTTGTTAGGTAATGTTAGGAAGTCCCACTTCTTTCCCATAGGTAAAGTCATCTCACTACAGTATAGCCTTCTTGCTGAAAGAACTTTGGGCTTCCGAGTTACTTCAGGTGCTGGTTTGGATTAGCGGTGTGTTGATAAATGTTTAACAACTCGCTCGCAGACATAAAATTGCCTTGATTTGTAGAGCTGATTTGCTGATTTCTGTGGTGTAAATCCTCCCACCATGGCAGATTTCATCTTACCAGAGTGACCTCATGAACATGGAACTGGAAAGAGATGCACACATTTAACTCTCATGCACTGGTAAGAGCTGGCTGCCCCACACTGCTGGTTCTACCGATCTAGGCCTGGGTTTCTCAACCTCAGCACTATTGACATTTTGGGCAGAATGGCTGTTGGTTATTGGTGGCTGTCCTGTGCATTGTAGGATGTTTAGCAGCACCTGTGGTTTCTACTCACTAGATGCCAGGAGCAACCCTTCCCCACTAAGTTGCAACAACCAAAAATGTCTCCAGATTTTGCCAGATGTCTCCTGAGGGGCAAAATCTCCCTTAGTTCTGGGCTATTCTGCACTGATAGTGCTTAGAAGGTCCATTCAGCAGGCAGTAGGCCTGCACTGTTAGCTTTTCCATGAACCACTCTGAATATGCACCCAAAGAAGTTCTCTCTTGGCATTTTGGATGTGGTGCATTAGTCTGTTCTCATGCTGCTAATAAAGGCATACCCGAGACTGGGTAATTTATAAAGGAAAGAGGTTTAATGGACTCACAGTTCCAGATGGCTGGGGAGGTCTCATGATCATGGCAGAATATGAAGGAAGAGCAAAGAGATGTTTTACATGGCAGCAGGCAACAGAGCCTGTGCAGGAGAACTCCCCTTTATAAAATCATCAGATCTCATGAGACTTATTCACTATCATGAGAGCAACATGGGAAAGTCCTGCCCCCATGATTCAGTCACCTCCCACCGGGTCCCTCCCACGACATGTAGGAATTATGGGAGCTACAATTCAAGATGAGATTTGGGTGGGGATACAGCCAAACCATAACATGTGGTATTGCAAAACACTGAAAGTGTGCTTCCTTGGGTAGTCTTGAGAAGAGTCATGCTGTAAGGACTTAAGGCACCAAAAAATTAAGACACAGCAGGGCCAGTAGGAGAGCATCAGGGTAATTCCACTATAGGATATATCCTATATCCATTATAGGATAGTTTTGACAGACTGCAGAGGTCCCTTAGGCAAACCTTTCCTTTGTATGGGTGAGAAATTAGACTCAGGGACAAGGTGTGACTTGTCCAAGGGCAAGGTGTGGATGTGCTTGGACAGTCACAGGGGTGTTGTGGTGAATGCTGTGAGACGCCTGTGTGACATACTGGGAATTAGAACTGACTCCAACTTGTAGCTAAATGTGTTTTGCGGGCTTTTCAATGTTGGGTTTGGATGGATATATTCTGACATCTCCCTGTCCCCTACCTCTCTGTCCCTTTGGAAATATCTGCTTATGAAAACCATATTATAATGAGGGATTTCTGTTTCAGATAGAATTATTCCCTTCAGCTTCAGGAGTGAGTTGATTATTCACATGTTCTTTTTAGGGGGTTTAAGCTGCTAGTCCTTAAAGAATAGATGCTGAAGGTTGTCATTGATTCCTCTTTCCTTCCTCCCACGTCTGCTCTGGGCCTTCTCATTGATGTAGTATCTTAGGTTACTTCCAAAATAATTTGAGAAATGGATTTATAGAAGAAGCTAGCTTTCCAGTAGAAAAGTTTAGATGACAAGATTAATGTGATAAGAACTAAGAAAGCCCTTCCTAGTTTTCATTGAAAATGTGTTTTTAATGCCCAGAGGTGCCCAGTCAAAAAGGAAATATTACAGAAGGATTATTTTCATCAGCAGAGTTCTTGGGCATTGCAAGTTCCAGTGTAATTAGGGAAATCACATGCGAGTACATCAATACACTTCAGATGCCAATACATTGGGCTTAATGAGGACAACAAGCCTGCTTTTATTAGGGGATTGAATAAAAGTGAAAGGAGTTCTTGAAAAGAATTGGTAATTTTGGATGGGATAATTCATCACTTCACTCCAGATCAGTTTTTCACAGTAAGAAGTGCTGGCTCTTCAGAAAATTTGGCATAACCAAAGTTTATTGTCACTATCTCCTCCTTCTCACATTGTCCTTTGTCGCACCCCCAGCAGGTCCACAGTGATCCTGCGGGCCACCCCCATGGACCCTGCCCGTTTTCTTCCATCGGGGGCTATCTTACGTCAGTCTTTCAAGGTCTCCTCAGTAATGCAGGCCAGTTGGATTTTTGCTTTCTTTTCCCAGAGGACAATTCAGCCTCAGCGTCTTAGTCTAAAAGGATTCATGCAAGCGTGTCAGATGTTTTATTAGGCTAAGGGGGAGGTATTTTGGGTTGTGGGGAGCACTTACTGCAACCCTGTATGAAATTCCCTACTCAGTGATGTTCAGGCTGCACGGGCCAACATGGAAAGGGCTTAAGGGAGATGACAAAAACAAAATCTCTTCTTCCACAAAGATTTTCAGTTGATCAATTTTGTTACTTTTTTGTGATGAAACTATCTGCACTGCAGCTAATGATTTTTTTCTGAAGGTGGAAAAGGTAGGAGCAACAGCTTTCAGTTCTAAGGATACATTCTGTTGACCTTCATAAGCCCTAGGAACTAGAGGGGCAAGATTGAGGAGGAAATAGAGAAAATAATTTGCTCTATAGTATTTTCCCCCTGAGCTGCCATCTGGGGCTTTCAGAGCTTAGCACTGCACTCTTGCAATGTTGCACACACCACAGGAGCAATATCAAGAGATGTCAAACATGAGTGGTATTGGTCACTGGAAACAGCAGATTCCAAATAGCTGTCTCACCAGACTATTCTTTCAGAAGATTCATTTGTGCCAACTACTTCTTTGTCATGGATCCTTCCTGGTTCTGCAACACAGATGTGGAAAGTGAAGAGAACACGTCATGGAATTCCATTTCTAAGAGTGGAAAATATACAATTTACCATGGGATGTTTAAGATATTAATATATTGTTCACCATGTGTATCCAGAGCTTTAGTAGAAGTAGGTTAAAAGAGCCGTGCATGTATACACGGTGCTCCTCATTGTCAAACGCTGAAGCCTGTTACAGGCTGGGTTTGGGGGCTGGGGGTACTTACGGGACAAAGTCTGACTCTCGGTCTGTAGGCTGAGTGCCTTCTTAGTGTGTTGGGACTCAGCATGTATTCACCCCATCTGTACTCACAAGCCTAATTCATTAATCAGGATGACTTACTGGGCTGTGAGCCCTTTGAGGACAGGACCTTGTACCTTTATCTTGTGCCTCTCATGCCTAGCATAGCACCAGGCATGTAACACGTTCTTTTTAAAAAAGTGTTTTACAGCTTTATCAAGGCATACATGATGTCAGATCAACTGCATGTGTTTAAAGTTTTACACTTGATGAGTTTTGATATATGTCTATACCCGTGAAACCATCACTGCAATCAAGATAATAAACGCATTCATCCACCCTAAAGTTTCTCGTGTCCCTTTGCAAGCCACCCCCCTTCCTCCCATTGTTCCCAGACAACCACTATTCTGCTTTCTGTCACTGCAGATGAGTTTGTGTTTTCTGGAATTTTATATAAGTGGAATCATACAACATGTACTCTGTTTTTCTGGCTGTTTTCACTCAGCATAATTTTCTCAAGATTCATTGAAGTTTTATATATTAATAGTTTGCTACATTTCATTGCTGAATAGTATTCCATTGTATAAATCATAATAGGCACCTAACAAGTGTTTGTGGCTTTACACTGACTTGAAAATTAATTTTTAAGAATATAATTGGGCAAAAAGTGGACAATGGGATACCACTCTATTCTTGGTGAGTGGGTTCACTCAGGAAGTGGAAATAAGAATCAGGAGATAATTTGGCATGGTAGAGACTTTTGTTGTCATCCAATATCTATTTTTCCTTCTTTCTTAGTACTGGAATACCTGAGTTTTGGCTGGGCACAGAACTGTCTGGAATACAGACTGCAATTCCCAGCCTTCTGTGCAGTTCTGTGTGGCCATGTGACTAAGTTGTGGTCAATATGAGGTAAGCAGAAGGGGTCTGTGAAACTTCTTACAAGTCTCCTTGAAGGAAGAGGGATTTCCTCTTCTTCTTCCTGCTCTCTGTTGTCTGGAAGGTGGCTGTAATGTCTGGAGCTCTGGCAGCCATTTTGGACTAGAAGAGACCTTGAGAATGGCGGCCGCTCATGACAGAGCAATAAAGTAGAGCAGGCCTGGGCCCCTGATACCATAGAGTGCCATGGCCGACCTGGACTACCTCCTGCCAGGCTTCTCAACTGAGAAATATATAACTTTCGATCTTGGCCGGGAGTGGTGGCTCACGCCTGTAATCCCAGCACTTTGGGAGGTCGAGGCAGGTGGATCACTTAAGGTCAGGAGTTCAAGACCAGCCTGGCCAGTACGGTGAAACCCTGTCTTTACTAAAAATACAAAAATTAGCTGGGCGTGGTGGCACACGCCTCTAATCCCAGCTACTTGGGAGGCTGAAGTAGGAGAATTGCTTGAACCCGGGAGGCAGAGGTTGCAGTAAGCTGAGATCGTGCCACTGCACTCCAGCCTGGGATACAGAGCGAGACTCTGTCTCAAAAAACAAACAAACAAACAAACAAACAAACAAATAACTAACTAACTGAATAAATTTTGATCTTATTTAAACCACACTGTTTTTGTGGGGGTTTTTGTTTGTTTCTTGCAGACAAAACAATTCTAACTCATACAGTTAGTAAGATGGAGTTAGTTAGAACAAGAGGGAGCTTAATGTTGCTGGAAGATCGTTTCCATCATGCTAATATGTCCATCTCCAGTGTATGGATGTTTCTGACTAGAAACCTGTGTCAACTGTTAGAATCTCTTTTCATGAGTTCTGGAAAAACCCTGAAACTATTCTTAAAATTCCCCTTTTCCCAATCATGTAACTCAAGCCCTGTCTATTTGTAGCCATCATTAACATTTTAGACTTCTTAAAATTATACTTATTTTATATTTATTGACTTTTAACATGGTGGCTCTGTGGTGGGATGTGGGGTTAACCTAACATCATTACAAAATTTACAAATCATAGTTATGGTGGTTTATTTGGAAATGTTTTCTGTGGATGCCCTGTCTCATTTATTGTATATGAATTTTTGTTATGTTTAATCTCTAGGGTTGGTTTGGCTTGTGACTCTCATTTTTTATTTGAAATATTTCAAACATACATAAAAGAGTGTATGTCCAGATGTCATTTATCTAGCAAACACATGACTCTGTAGAACAGTAGTTGCCAACTTTATTTATTAATGTAGTAGCGGAACCCTTTTTGCAAATGGCATGCTATGCAGAAGCCCATTATATAAAACATCTCAGAGCTTCTCTGGTTGAAGCAAAATGGAGGGCTTGGAGCCTTCCTAGATTAAACCCCACCTTGGCCACCCCTTTCTACACCACGGTAGCCCCTTGAATCTGCTCACCCAGCCTGAAGGTCTTGTGAGCACATCTGAAAAGCACAGATTAAGAACCAGAAAGCAAGCTAAACACAGTGATCAGATTAGCCATAGCAGGTGATCCAGTGTCCAAACAGTAAAGCCCATCCGTTTTCTTCATAGAGGAGCCTCTGAGATTCTCATTCGGAACTCTGGGCTCTTATGTTAGCCACAATTCTAACAAGCTTTGCAATCTGGTTTCTCAGTCACGGAAGAATAGAAGAACAACTCAGAGGAGGAAGAAGTCAGACATAGCCAGACACGGCTGCTAGCAGTTCCACCAATGAAAGAGGAGACCAGGATGTTTAAAACAGGCAAACACAAGGTGCGAAAAACCAGAAGCGAAAACTTCTGAGGTCATTTAAGGTAAATGTAGTTCCCTAATATATTCCAGTGGGTTATGAGGGCATGATTTTATATATTTACGTCTAGAGAGAGAGTGTGTGTGTGTGTGTGTATATATATATATATATTTATATATGCATGTATAGATGCATACATATATATGTATGTGTATATATTTAGTGAGTGTGTGGTTGTATAAAGTATGTGTATACATAAATACATAAAATATTTGTATACTTATACATATATATTATATATGTAAACAATATGCATATATACACATGCAATATTTTGCTTAGTGGTTATAATGATGACTCTGAGAAGAAAAGCCTCCTGTTTTCTATTAGTCATTCTGTTTATAGTAATAACAATAATACTTACTGAAACAATTTTTATGTGCTAGGTACTGTTCTGTTTTGTATGGTTAATTTATTTACTCTTTCTACTTTCTGAAGCAAGGACTATCGTTATCCCCGGAAGCAGAGAGAAGTTCCCTTTGCCCAACATCACACTGCAAGCACGTGTTGGAGCTGAGATTCAAACCCAGGCATCCAGGGTCCAGGGCCCATGCTTTTAATATATTCCATATCTTAGGAGAATTTCCCCTATTTAAACAATAAAAGTGCAAAAATCTTGTGGCTAGCCAAAATTTTCAGTTGTTTGGAAAACTTATTTATCCAATAAGTGGAAAACTCACTTGTCCTCCAACAATTCTGGATAAATGAAAGAACGAATTGAACTGAGACTGGAATCCGGGTCTCCCAGTACTTTGTAGTTCCTATCCATATGGCTTGTCAGGAAGGCCACAGGGAGGTTAACTAACTCTGCGTAACCAGAAACAATCCCACATCAGACTGTTGGCAGTGGGAGTGGAACACTCAGAGCTGAACCGCATGCAAGATGGTTGCATTTTCATTTGCAATGTCGTCATCTTCCTCATGGCTAAAGAGGTATTTTGGAGTTGACATGAAGGCTACTGTAATTTTTAGAGGCATTTTCTTTCTGGCCTGTATTTACATATTGTGGTAGAAGAGTCAGAAGACTTCAAGCTTCAAAAGTGAATCTTGTTGCGAGTTACAAAAGCACCACCCGGTGGGGTGCAGCTCTCAGCATGTGTCACCACAGGCACTGTGATTTCCCTGTCTTCATCCAACTTTGGTTGCTGTTCTTCATGCTCAGGAATTCTGCAACTGCTGTAGCTTTTGCTGTTGTTATGTCTGTAGGTATGGACTCATTTCTACCATTCTGGAATGAAACATTATTTCAAGGGAAGCTTCTCATTGTAAAAGGTCCACACATTCAGAAGGAAACTGGGAGTACATTTTCTCATAGGCCTGGAGCATTAACTGACTATGCATCTTTCCCCTCAGTGTTGTCATCATGTTGTAAGGGGATGAGTCATGGACAACATTTTCACACACATACGTGAGGTCCATTGACCAGTCTTTAGGACAACTAGAAATCTTTTCTTTCTTTGTTTTAAAAAGGAAGACAAGTCAAGATACAGCAAATAAAAATGCTCAGCACATTTGCTGAAATCTTAGCAAAATCAAATTACTAGTAATTTGTTAATCACACTATACCTGTTTTGAGCCAATCCTACTTAACCCACCCTCCATCTTCCTCATGCTTGCCTCCCTGGTGAACTCCTATTTATGTTACAAAGCTCAGTGTTTATGTTACTACTTTTGTGCTATTTCTGAACGTTAAATGTACCTCTATTATAGAACATATCTCATGGAATAGTTATTATTGCATATCCACTGCCCTTGTTAGGCTGTGAGTGAGCTTTCTTTCTTTCTTTTTCTTTCCTTCCCTCCTTCCTTCCCTACTTCCTCCCTCCCTCCCTCTCTCCCTCCCTCCCTCTCTCCCTCCCTCCCTTCCTTCCTTTGCTCCTTCTCTCTTTCTCTCTTTTTCATTTCTTTTCTTTTTTTTTAAATTTGAGACAGGGTGTCACAAATATGAATGGGACCTGTGAATATGATGGCTGTCACTCTCTGATTAGATTACATTATATGGCTAAGGTGAAGGAATTCTGCAGATGTAATTAAGGTCCCAGATGAGTTGATATTGAGTTACTCACAAAGGAGATTATACTGGATGGCCCTACCTTAATCAGGGAAAAGCCCTTAAAAGAGGACTGGGCCTTTCCTGAAGGAGGACAGTCCACTGCTGGCTTTGAAGCAGTAAGCAGCTGTGTTTTAAGGGGGCCTATGGAGGGGCCCATGTGGCAAGGTCCTGAGGGTGGCCTCTAGGAGTTGGCAGCAGTTCCCAGCCACTGGCTAGCAAGAAAACAGGTGGTTCAGCCACATAGCCACAAGGAAATGAATTCTACCAACAATCCAAATGAGCTTGGAAGTGGATATTTTCCATGGTCAAGCCTCCAGACGAACACCTTAACTGTAACATATGAACAGCTGAGCAGAGGACCTGCTTCAGCCATGCCTGGACTCCTGACTTGTGGAAACTGAGATAACAAATGTATATTATTTTAAGCTGGTAAGGTTGTGGTAATTTGTTATGCAACAATGCCGAATACAGTAGGCATCTTAAATGTTTGTTGAACTTAATTTAATCAGGGAAATATAATATTTAAAAGGAATCTTTTCTAAAGTTTTAGCCAATTTAATGAATGTAGATATCTTAAAGAATTGCCATCTTCCTTTGGATCTTCTAGCCATGCAATCGACTTCACAAACTTCCAAGTTTTCATAAATACCAGCTTCTGATTGTCTGGAAACAGGAAGTGAGATTCTCTCCAG
Organism: Homo sapiens; assembly: GCF_000001405.40. Lineage (NCBI taxonomy): Eukaryota > Metazoa > Chordata > Mammalia > Primates > Hominidae > Homo > Homo sapiens. Next base: position 37,877,008 of record NC_000005.10, read on the forward strand.
CCATCATTTGGCATTCTTGGGAGATAGAATGGATAAAAATTGATGTTGAAATGAGACCACCATCATTTTTCAGTCTGCTCACCACGTACAGAGCTCAGGATGATTAGAAAATGTAAAACACATGTGAGTGGCTCAAACCCCTTTAGTTAAATCACATTTACATAGATCAGTTTTCCCAAGGGATATAAGTTAGCTGAACTTAAGCAATTAAAAAAAATAAAACTAAACTAAAACCTTTTGCTAAAGCCAAAAAACATGGATGAGTTAAACTGTATCAGATGGAATGGTTTGTTTTGAAAAGTGTTTGGTTTGTTGTCTATATACGTGCGTGCTTTTTTAAAAGGCAGATAGAAAAGCAGAACTTACAAGACCTTTAGCTGCTGAGGTGGAAAGCCAGTATTACTTCTACCACAGCAGTTGATATCATCGGTCTCACCAGCAGGTCACGGATTTGTTGCTTGCTCCCTGTGACAATCTTGAACCATTGTAGGGACCTTGGCATATAGAGGGACGGTGAACAGGGCTGAAAACAAAATTGAACTCAATCTTGAGCTTGGTATTCCACCGAGAGCAGGTTTTCTGGGCTTTGAAATACCGCCTCAGAGAGACCTTCCTTGATATTCTGCCATGTTGAGAACAAGAACAAACTTTTTGGCCCTGGAACCTCTTCCCTCCCAGTGCCAACATGTTCAATTTCATTTGCCCTTGGCTAAATGTAGCTTCCTGTTTCTAAGAAAAGAAGCAGAAAGGGGCTTTTGAAGGCCTCACAGACAGTCTCAGAAGGCTTCATGGGCAGCAGACAACTCTTAGCAAACAACAATTTGATGAGTTAAGTGTAAACGGCTCAGAGACATATGGATTACATTTTTTGGGAAATACACATGGGCTTACAATGTAAAACTGGGTAGTGTGGGGTGGGGTGGAGAAGGGAATGCTTGGAAAAGTGTGGTTTGGGTCTTGCTAATTGCAAAATATTTGAAACAAATAATTTGAGATGTTTTGCTCAACGTACAGCGCGGTTGGATTTGCCCTTTCCATCTATTTACGTGTCATTTTCAGATTCGGCTCACATACCAATACTGGTTTGGGTCTTGAGTTGATTTTTAAAAATGCAGTTATTTTGAAAGGTCATGCCATGTGATTTCTGTGTAGCCTCTGAGCATAAAGGGTGGGGTGGTATAGGGGAAGAACTGGGCATTTAGAAACCTCTCTGCCTGTAGGTCAAACTGCTGCTCAGCTCTTCTGGTATATTCTACTTATGGAGGTTCCAAATCCAGGCTGTGTTAGTAAGATGCAGCAGCCTCAGTCTCCCCACCTGTAAAATGGGGACAGTAATACTTATCCCAGAACCCATGGCGATTGGGATGCTGTGTGGTGTGGAGTTAAAGTGTGGACCCTGGAGGCATATACCTGTGCATATCCCAGCTCTGCTGCTGATGTGAGCTTGGGCAAGTTCTTCAGCTTCCCTGGGCTTTTGTTTCTTCATCTGTGTAATGAGGAATATCTTAGCATCCACCACATAGGGTTACCTTGAGAATTAAAAGATTTAACCCAGTCCCCGGCACACAATAAGTGTTCAGCAAATGCTAACAGTGGCTCTTGTTGTTTATAATTTATCTTGTTCTATTAAGTATATGAATACAGTAGATAATAAGGCAAATTCACCTCCAGGCTGGGGAGAGGAATAGCCCCTTACCAAACAGTGAGGGTCTCCTTCAGCTTACCTTCTTTTTCTTATTGTTTCAACCTATGGATTAATTACCTAGTTTTGTGACCCCAAAATAAAAGGGTAGATTCCTTGATCTAAAATTAGACTCATCTTTTCCCTATCCTAGGAAGGATCCGTTTCTCTCTTCTATTTTACCACTGTCTAGCACCTGGAGACACTTGGTTTAAGAGCCCAGCTAGTTTATACTAGAGTGTGAGGGAATTCTGAGGGCTCAGGTGGAAGGAAAGCATGATTCCAGAGTGTTGTTGGGTTAATGCATTGCTTCTCAACCCTTCCTGCACATTAGAATGAATTGAGAAGCATTTCAAAAATAATAGAAATGTTAGTGTGGGGCTTCGGTATTAGTACATTTTTTAACTCCCCAGCTGCTTCTATTGCGCAGCCAGGACTGAGAACCACCCTGGCTAAGGCATTCAGTGGCATTGTAGGTGCTTCCCTGGGTCGTTTCTGACTCGCCCCTTTTAACTCACTGGCCCCTCGGACTCTGATTTCTGCCCTTCATGCAGTGGGAGAGCTTTCCTCTGGGGCTTGCCTTGAGGTCTGCAGGAGCAAGGCCACTTCCTCTCTGAATCCTAGACACAGGCTTTGGGTCAGTACTCCCACCCACGTGGAGCCCCCTTCTGCCCCTCTGCTCTGGGGGATCTTGTCTGAATCCATCCCTTCTTTGCCTGCCTTATGCCTTCTAGCTACTATTCCTCTGCCCTTCCTTTCTTGATCAGCACAATTCTGCTGCTTTAAGTCCTTTTTTCCATTAACCATTGACTGCCCTTTGCTCTGTCAAACATAGTTTTGGAGGCTGTGTAGTGTAGTGAAAGAACAGGGAATTTGAGGTTGGACCTGGGTTTAACTCTCTCCTTGATTGCTGACAAGTTACTTAACCTCTACTCATTTGTAAACTAGGAATAATCTGACCTGGATGAGACTGCTGTGAAGATGAAAAGAGGTAAAGGAGGGGTGATGGTGTGGTAGTGGTGGCCTGGTGAGAATGACGGTGGTGGAGTGATGGTGATAATGAGAATGATGATAATGGTAATGGCGGTGTTGCGGTGAGGGTGTTGATGTGGTGGTAGTGCTGATTTTCGTGGCAGGTGATGGCTATAGTGATAGGGGTGGTGGTGATGATGGTGGTGGTAGTTGTAATGGTGACTGTGATGGTGGTGTTGATGATACTGGTGATAGCAGTAATGGTAGTGATGATGGTAATGATGGTGTTAATGATGGTGGTTTGATGGTGGTGAACATGACAGTGGAGGTGGTTGTAGTAATGATGATAATGATTTGGTGGTGGTGGTAGTTGTGGTGGTGGTGGTGATGGTGGCAGTGGTTTAGTGGTAAAAGTTCAGTCAAGAAAGAAGAAAGCTGGAGGAACCAACAGTATTCTGATCAGAGGAACCACATGGGAAGCATTGACAGAGGGTCTTTGCATTTGCTAAGGCCATGGGAGTAGCTGGTTGTATCAGTTAGCATTTGATCAGGAAATCAGAGCTACTCTGTATGACACGGAATAAGGGATTAATCATAGGGATTAAACTTACCCATTATGAAAACTAGTAAAAAAGTCTAGGCAAGGCTGTTGCCTCTGTATCTGGTGTTGGGCTTGACGTTTCTTTGGGTCAGCAGGGCTTACAGATGGGACAGAAAGTGGATGGAAAGGGGAGAGCAAGAACAAACTGGACCATGTCTCTGACTCTCACCACCTGCAGTGGTAACACAGTGACCTGCAGGAAAAGCCAATGCCTCTCATCTCAGGCCTGGACATGCACCTGGGTCAGGACTCTGGGCTGGAGGAGACCCAGGGAGCCGGAGGTACTGGAGCCCTGCTCCATCAAGGTGAGGCAGCAGGTCTGAGATATATGTGAGCTGCTGCTGCGCCGGGTCCCTAATTAAACCTCCTGAGTGGAATGGCTACTGCTTCCCTTCTGCCTTCCAATCTTCTCACAGATTTCTCTTGTTGCCAGCTTTAATCTGGAACCATAGAGGAAGGAACTTTGGGAAATGTGGTTCCTGCTTAGTTCTGGTGGCACAGCACAAGTCACTGCCGAGGGGTCCCCATGTGGATTGGATGGGTTAAAAGCTTCAGCACCTGTAGTGGCCTGTGCAGTCTACTTGCTCTGACATTTCAAGCCTGGAGAGGCAAGGGGGACAAGAGCTGAGCTGAGGGCCATGCCAGGGAACTGGACAAGGAAGGCCTTGGCACTCTCAAGTCAGGGAATAGCCTCGCCATTTCATCTCATCCCCAGATGCTGGAGTGCGTTGGTCTCCCTTCTAACCTCTAACCACTGAAAGGGACCCTCTGTACAACCAATCCTTGACTTTGGAATCATGGGCTGAGTAAGGCTGAAACATTTAGCCGTCTTTGGGACCCCAGTATTTCCCTAGTCTCACTCTAGTGTCTCTTGAAGTGGCTGTCTTTCAAGGTGTTGACCCTACTCCCTGTTTCTAACATCTGCCTGCTACATAATCCAGCTGGACTTCTCAGGTATCCCTGGTGGCTGAACTCCTTAGACCAGGGAGCTCCCCTAGTGCCTCTAGTGCTGACAAAGTGCCACTTTGCAACAGTTTCTGCCCTTTTCCCGGTTCTCTGGCTTCTAAAGCCTTCATTTATCCACAGATAGAAATACAATCAATCCCATCCTTACTCTTTCTTTTGACAATTTTCTTCATCAGATATACACTTAGAATTTAACTCAACTGTGTTCTCTCCTATTTTGTCGGTCACTGCTGTAACTTACATGGAATCATGGTTGGGTGGCAGGGACTGAAGTAGTTAGTTCTCACTTATTTACTGTGAAATGAATAGTTTGAGATTCGGTCAGTAGTCAGAATGGTATTCTTCACTTCCTCCTTTTCTTTATTTACTATGCTACCTGGTTTGTGAACATTTTCTCCAGCTGCAAGCAATTTACACAAACTGTAAACTCTTTATCCATTATAATCCCTGTAACTATGCCTAGAGACTGGAAAATGACCAGTTGTCATTACATTCGGAAAAGCATAGAAAGGATCTCCTTACTTGTGGCCCTACACCTGGTACTTTTCAGATAGTAGATGAGTTATTAGGATGATTTGCACCTCAGTTTTCTTATCTGTAAAATGGGAGGGTTGCCTTGCATTTCATGCTGTGTTCTTTGATGCCCTGGGGGATTGCCGGATTGCCAGAGGACTCATTGGGAATTTGGGGATGGGGAAGAGCATGTGTCTAGAGGGCCTTCATCCCTCATTCAACTAGCAAAAAGCCACTTATTCTGTGTTATATATTTGGTTTCTATGAGAGATTGGATTATTGGTCAGCAATAAAAATCACTCCCTTCCTTCTTCCTCTTGGAGCAGACCGTAACTCCCCTGTTCTACTGACTTTGGGCTTGGCTATATGACTAACTTTGGCCAATGAAATGTGGGAGGATGTGATGTGAATAGAGGCTTTAAATGTACTTGCATGGTTTGGCTTACCTCTTGTACTCTTCTGTTTGCTGTGAGAATATGCTGCAGGGAGCCACTGGTCCAAGGAGAAGAAGAGGGGTGTAGAACAGACCTAAACCCAACCTGTAGCCTGAAACAGAGCCGAGTCCAGCCTAGATCCACTTATAGTCAACCTGTTGATCTGTTAGCACAAAAACACATGCTGCCATAAGCTGTTGTGTTTTGTTACACAGCTATAGCTGTCTAATTCAGCTTACAAATAAGTTTTGTCCATAATCATATTTTTTGGTTTAAAAAAGTTTGAAAACCACTGGGTTTGCTGAGTTTTCAGCTTTCCCATCCACTTCTACTGTCCTGTTTCTTTCTCTTTGTGTATTTAGGAAAGAGAGGGAGAAAGAAAGGGTTTTGGAAACAACACAGTCTGGTAGAAAGAAAGAAAGGATAATTTTTTTCTTTTGAGGAAAGAGGGACTTAGGGAGCTGGGAGGAGAGATAGGCACATTCATAGTTAAAGTATGTTTTGTTTCTTTTTTGAACCCTCAAGTAAACATTTCTCCACTGACATTGTTTTGCACTGTTACATTATTTTGTTCACTTTAGTGTTCCATTTGTACAACCTCTGAAATTCCAGGAAGAAGGTGAAAGAATAACATTGCACATAGCCCTGGGTTGTGCTGTGTTTACTTCATGATGGACCGTTCACTTGGGCTTAACCTTAAACTGACCTTTCTGATTCCAGACGAGACAGCAAAGCTTTGCTCACAGATTCAAAATCAGGGAACAGAAACAGCTGACTTCCCTGGCCAAGGATGTTTTCCATTCTCATTATTTTTGTCCGTGGTCACAAATGAGATGCTAGGGAAGTAATTTTTAGGAATTCCTGGAGTACTTTACTTCTGATGTGCATGCACAGATACCCTGGGGTCTTATGCAATTGGTACCCCACCCCAAAGTCTGGATATATTCGTTGTAGGATGAAGAGAGGGAGGAAGGAAGGAGGACTGAGGAAGGTCTTAGGCTATTTTCAAGCTCTTTTTTGCTCCGCACTTTGCAACATGGTTTTATTTTATTCTTATAAGTTTTGAGATCATCTCAAATATAAATACAAAACCATTGATCAAAGGCCAAGAATAAGAAATATTTAGATGCCCTCTATTGCAGTGAAAAAGCAAATGGTTGCTATATCATGCGTAAAGGTAATCTCTTCAAGGATTAGCACTTTAGGTCAGATCATGGAAGCCTGGTTTTGTTTCTCAGAAAGAGTGTCTTTCTGGGGCTTGGGAGGCCAACACGAGGCAGGCTGAGCTTTGTCTATGGCAGGAGCTGAGTTTGAGTCTATCTCTGCCATTAGCCTGTGCTCAGGTTGTGTCCCTACACTGATGGCCATCAGAATTTGGGTATCAAGTGATTCGCTTGCTTGTACTAGATTGAGCTCCTTTGAGGACAACAGGAGCCATTAATATTTTAGAGCCAGAGGCCAGGCATGGTGGCTCACGCCTGTAATCCCAGCACTTTGGGAGGCTGAGGCGGGCGGATCACAAGGTCAGGAGATCGAGACCATCCTGGCTAACATGGTGAAACCCCATTTCTATGAAAAATACAAAAAATTAACTGGGTGTGGTGGTGTGCACCTGTAATCCCAGCTACTTGGGGGGCTGAGGTGGGAGAATCACTTGAATCCGGGAGACAGAGGTTGTAGTGAGCTGAGATCACACCATTGCATTCCAGCCTGGGCGACAGAGCGAGATTCCATCTCAAAAAAAAAAGAACTTAGAATCTGGACTGGTATAAGCCTTAATTCAAATGCCATCTTTGCCCTGTACAAACTGTGTGACCTTGGGCAAATAACCAGTTCTTTGTTTCTTCACCTGTAAAATGGGGATAATTAGTACTTTTCTCATAGGGATGCTGTGAAGAGTCAAAGATATAATGGTTGTAGAGTGCTCATCACAGAGCCTGGCATGTTGTATCTGCTCATATATGTTAGCTATCACCATCATTGCTGCTGCTGCTGTTTTTATTAATCTAGTCCTGGGAATTTATATCATGGAAAAAAGCCAAAAAAGTTATATGCTTAAAAATGTGTATTGCATCTTGTCTATAGCAATGAGAAATTAGAAACAATCTAAGTGCCTCATTCATTCAGTCAATTTAACAAATATTTTTTGAAGTCCTATTATATGCCAGGCACTGTATCCCACTGTTTGGGGTACATCACTGAATAAGAGAGACAAAGATCCCTGCTTTTGTGATGGAGAATGGGTAGCTAAACTATGGGACAATAATTCAATGGAATGTTATACAGCTATTAAAGCAATAGCAATGAAGACATGGGAAGTTGTTTGTCGTGTCATGTAAAATCAAAAAGCAGAAGAGGAAAACATAGATGCCTTAAAATATATGTGTGGGTGGACAGAGACTAGAATGGAGCATTTAAAAATGCAAGTGGTTGTTAGAGTGATGGAATCATGTTTTTTGTTTTTCAGTAATGTTTGAAGTGGTTTTACAACATTATGGAAAAAATACATATATATGCATAAATAATTGAGAAAAATGAACTGGCCCTAAGAGAAGTTTCTTATGGTTTAGGAATCAAAGTAAGGCTTATAGGCAGAAGAGGAAATTGCCTAGGTAGCAAGGAAGGAAAAATTGCTATTTCAAACCAAAAATGACTGTTGCAGTTCCACTGTGCACTGGAAGCATGGAATTCATGCCAAGGATGTTAGTTCTTTGTTAAGGAAAACCTGTTAAGCAGATGAGTAAAAGAGGCCCTGAAGCCTCTGGAGAGAGGAGAGTTCAGACTTAAACGTCTTTGTATAATAAAGTAACAGAAGATTTCCATTTTCCCTCAGCAGTTTGGGGATGGAAGGGAGAAATAGAGATTCAGAGGCTGGAGAACTGGGAGAAGATGAGTAAAGGAAAGAGCCAGCTAAAGAGGTTGGAAGAGATGAGGCCACAATAGCAACTTGAAGAACACTGATAACTAATACTCAATTTTAAGAGATTCCCTGTCCCAGGAGACCATATGTCTCCCCACTCTTACCTTCCCTCAGGAGTCTCCAAGAGGGCACTGTACCCCCATGGGATAGGGGTTGTTATGGTTTGGATGTCCCCACCCTAATCTCCTGTTGAATGTAATCCCTAATGTTGGAGGTGGGACCTGGTGGAAGGTGTTGGGATCAGGGGGGTGGATCCCTCATGAATGGCTTGGGCCATCCCCTTGGTGATAAGTGAGCTCTGGCTCTGAGTTCACAGAAGATCTGGCCATTTAATAGTGTGTGACACCTGCCCCCACCCCTCTCTGTCTTGCTCCTGGTTTCACCATGTGATGTGCAAGCTCCCACTTTGCCTTCTGCCATGAGTAAAAGCTCCCTGAGGGCTCCCTAGAAGCCAAGCAGATGCTGGCACCATGCTTCCTGTACAGCTTGCAGCACTGTGAGCCTGAAACTTTTCTTTATAAATTACTGACTTTCAGGTATTTATAGCAATGCAAGAATGACCTAACACAGGGGCTTGGGTCATTTTGTTTGGTTATTAAAAGAAGGCTGATGTCATAGAATATTCAGGGTTCACCTACACAGGGGGGATCTGAGGGGTCAGAAGCTACCTGTTTCAAATTGACTGCTTTTGGGGCCTGAAATGGCTTCATTGCCACCACTAGCAATATGATCTTTTGCAAATAGACAATCTAGGATCCCTGATTTTTTAGGTGCAGCAAGGTCTGGGAGAAGTGTTGCTCTTCCATGAAGACCTTAAGGAGAATGATTCTGACAGATCATTGATCTTCTGAGGCAGGAGGCTGAGCAGGTTTTTATTAATGGGTGGAGAAGGGAACAGTGAGCACACAGGAGAGTGATACTGGGGCTTGGAGACTGGGAGGCGGGAGGCAGGTGGTGGGAGGAAGCCTTCTGCAGCCCAAAGTCTCTTAGGACAACTGGGGAGTGGTCTCTAGACTCTGAATCCTGCTCCCAGGAGACCCTGTGGCTATGCCCCTTTTGGGAATGGTACTTAACTTAAAGGCCTGTAGAATAACAACCTTGTATGGCCTTGGAAAACCAAGGTGGGGGTGGGGAGGAGCTGTCTGCCCCAGGTGCAGGCTACATTTAAAAATGCTAATAAAATAAAGTAAAACAAACTGCTTTTTATTATCACCATGTGCCAACAGTCAGTGATAAACTACCCCTCCCTCCTGGGGCAGATGGTTTGGGCCGTCCGCATCCCCTAGTCTGGCCAGGCTGTGGGATGGCAAACAGCCAAAGTAGGGGATCCAGAAGGAGCACGTGCAGGAAGAAAACCCAGATTCCTCACACTGGTAAATAAGAGGCTTCTCAGGACTGAACTTGAAAAACATGAGCCCCACCAAGGGCGGGACAAGAAAATCCTCAGAAGACGGCTGAGCAGAGGTTAAGCAAACATCGGTGCCAAGCCAGTGGCAGCTCGGTAAGCAGACAGCTCCCATCCTTGGCGAATGCTTAGGATTAGTGTCTGTTCAGAGAAAAGAAAAGACCTAATCTCAGCTGTGGTGGGGAGAGAGGGCTAACTCCTCTTTTGTGAAAGATCACAGCCCCAGCAAGATCTTGAGACAATGTTCTAAAAACACGTGGCTGTCCTGCAACCCTGGGGGCACTTCACAGGCTATGGGAAGGGAGGAAACCCAGATCCCTTCTAAATCCTAGTGTTTAATGGGACTGAGGCCACTAAAGTTTAGACCAGCAGCATCAGCATTACATGGGAACTTGTTAGAAATGCAGATTCTCAGATCCTACCCCAGACCTACTGGATCAGAAACTCGGGCTGGGGCCAGCAATCTGTGTTTTCATCAGCCTTCCTGATGACTCTGATGCCTAAGTTTGAGAGCCAAATCCAGAGTGAAAGTTCCCTCTGAAAGGTTCCCTCTGAAAGGTGGCAGCTGTGAACTCCCTCTGCTCTCCTCCATTCCAAGTACCTGGGGCTTGCAGGTCTGCAAAGTGCTATGATGGTGCTATCATTGCAAAAGACACAGGCTGGCTGGGCACGGTGTGTCATTCCAGCACTTTGGGAGGTTAAGGCGGGAGGATTGTCTGAGCCCAGGAGCTTGAGACCATCATGGGCAATATGGCAAGACCCTGTCTCTACAAAAAATAAAAATAAAAATAAATTAAAAATTGCCACGTGTGGTGGTGTACACCTGTACTACCGGCTACTTGAGAGGCTGAGGCGAAAGGTTTGCTTGAGTCTGGGAGGTGGAGGCTGCAGTGAGTTGTGATGGCACCACCGCACTACAGCCTGGGCGACAGAGTAAGACCCTGTCTTTTTTTTTTTTTTAAATTTCTGGAGAAGGCTGTGAATAGCATTAGTTAATTACTGGGTCTGCAGCCTGCATTGTGAAACATTCTAAGGAAAGACAATTGAATAACCCTGCTCCAGTGTCTCATTCTTCTTATGTTTGGGAAATTTAATCCAATTATTTAAGCCAATCCTTAATGTGTGGGCAAGTTCTCCAATTGTCTAACCTAAATCCCTTCTACTATACATGCAAACCTAGAGGGAAATTTGTCTTAGAAATGATAACTTTCATCAGAGTTTTTGATCCAAAAGTTCGTAGAAAGAATGGGAAATAGGAGGGAAAGGGCTGCCCAGAATTAACGTCCCATTGGCTGGGCCCAGGCAGCCCTGTGTTTAGTAGACACTTCTGGTGACCTGGTAAGGTCCTGGGACTGTGTCATTGCACTGTTTGGGAGGCTGTGTAGTGAGGCAGAAATTACTTCATTTTTAAGAGGCTGGGTTAAAACTTGGCTCTCCTGTGTATGAGCTCTGTGATGTTGGGCAAGTTCTTTATCTACTCTAAGTTTGCTCATCTCAAAATTGGGGTAAACTCCGCAGAGGGTTGTACCAAATGTTGAAGGTGAGGGTGTGATGTCATTGTTCCTTAAAACCAGACGGCAGGGGCATGTGCTGCAGCGGACGCTAGAGAGGTGGGCAGGAGCCAGATGTTGAGGGGCATCGTATACCTCCCTTTACAAAACCATTGGCAAGAGTTATTTTGTATTTTTAACAGTCTGAGTTTTACTCTAAGAGCGTCCACATGTAGTGTCACCCAAATGCTTCACAGAGTAGGGAGATATTAGGTTGGTGCAAGAGTAATTGCAGTTTTTGCAAAGGAAATCTACTTTCAATTGCAAAAACCTCAATTACTTTTGCACCAACCTAATACTTCTGTAGGTTTCAACCCCTGGCATGAGGGGGTTGGTCAGCACAGTCACATCCTGAGGGCTTTTCCAGAGTCTTCCATGGCAATAGCTCCATACTTGCAAACTCATCACCACCTGCTGAAGGCCAAGGAACAATGTGGTAGGTAAAGTCAGCTCATGCTCTATGCTGAGGGTGGGTATGAAGAGTGGGAACTAGCGACCAGGAGGGTTATGTTTGCGAGTAAACCATCAGGCAGAAGGGAGATGTGAGTAATCTCAGGTCACTGAGTTCAAGGCAGTTGGGAGAGGCCCATTTCTTGGCCACATATTCATTTGTCAGTTCCCACTGACTGCCTGCATGTGTCAGACACTTGTTAGGAAGACAGGGGCGGTCCTGTCCTCGGCTTGTTCACAGTCCAAGACAGCTCCAGGCTAGAGTTGGAAAATGCCGGTGTTTCTGTGTGCGAGAATGATCTGAGGAAAGTTTTTGGCCTTATGGGGTGTGCACCCCAACCCCTTCCAAAGATATTCACATCTTAATTCCTAGAACCTCTGATTATGTTACTTGTCATGGCAAAAGGAGCTTTGCAGATGGATTAAGGACCTTGAGATGGGTTGTTCATGCTGGATTATCTGCGAGGACCCCAGTGAATCACCAGGGTTCTGAAAAGTGGAAAAGGAGGCAGAAGAGAGTGGAAGGAAGATGGGACTACGGACAAAGAGCGATGCCTGCAAGGTTCAACCTGCTGTGGCTGCCTCTGGAGATGGAGGGAGGGGGCCAAGAAGGAAGGAATGCAGGTGGCCTCTAAGAGCTGGAAAGGCAAGGAAATGGATTCTCTACTAGAGCCTCCAGCAAGGAACGCCCCCCTGCTGACCCCTTGATTCTAGCCCAACAGGAACCTTGTCAGACTTCTAACCTACAGAATTGTGAGATGATACATTTGTGTTGATGTAAGCCACTAAATTCATGAATTTGTTGTAATTGCCCCAGGAAACTAGTCAATGAAGCTCTGGACCTGTAGTCAGACCAAGACTAACCATTTGTCTCCAACTCCAAGAAGTCTCCTGCAGTCTCTGTACCTGAGGTCTTTGGTTGGGATGTGGGGACTGACTTCTTTGAGAGATTGGCTGCACTAAATCTCTGAAGGTCCTAGGCTGGGTGTAGCAGGAAGTTCAGATTCAGGGCCAGGAGTGCCCATAGGCACTTGCAGGGATGCTCTCAGGATGTCACAGAATCCCGAGTGTCAATATGGCAGGCGGATGAAGAGATACAGCCTTGGCAAAGCTTGCCAGGTCCGACGAAGTAACAACTCAGGCAGGAGAGGAGCCTCTTGTTTGGACTTGGCCTAAATATTGTATCTTTCTTGGGTTTTGGGTATCCCTTGCTGTCGTAGAGAGAACACAGGATTCTCTTCCAGCCAGATCACTTACAGATTGTGCAACATTGGGCAAATTACTTAACTTCTCCAAACCCTAGTTTCCTCGTTTGTAAATATGCACTTTTCTATGTTACTATGAGGAGGGTTGTTACAAAGTATAAATAAAGCTGTGTAAAGCACCTGGCACATAATGGGACAATGACTCTTTCTGAAGAAGGATAGTTGTAGGATTCTCTCCAGCTTTGTGGATGGTTGTAGAACCAAGTGTGAGTACCTTCCTGCTGGCTAGTCAGAGTCATGGTTAGTCAGAGTTTTGGGGCTGCTGGGAGTGCAGCCAAGCAGGCGATCCACCCCCCAGGCACCCTTTGAAATAAGATATACAGCTGGTCTTTTCAGTCAGGTTTTAGGGAAGGGCCATGTGACAGGAAACTGCATAGCCGAAGGCATTACTGGGTCTGGGTTCTTTGGGCGTTGATGGTGGCTCTAGCAGGGAAGACAATGAGAGCAGCTTGGTGAGTCTTGGAAAACACACCCATTCCCCCAGCCAGTGACTCTGCAGGGGAATAGGCATCTTTCAGCCTCCTGCATTCCCCTGGAAGGGCACTGCCTACGCCTCTCCAGGCCTGATCTGTTTTCCTGATATTTTAGCATCCTTCTATAGCCAAGGTACTCCGACAGGTCTGAGAGGAGGCAGAGGACCTGAGGTCCAACCCTGACCCTAGGCTGCTCTTTTATACCTACCACCCCAGAGTGAGCTCAGTGTGGCAGGAGCCCACTCTGAAGTTAAATAAGAGCCACCTGGGAAGGCAGCCCTGAAACCTCCCTGGCTTCCACCTCTTCCCACTTTTCTCCCCAAGCCTGTAGGGGCCTCAGGCTGCTCAAAATTCCCTTGCTCTAGACCCTCACTCAGCAGACCCCTTCCTGATATGTTTCTGGATAAGCAAGAGTTTACAATAGAACTTTGACATCCCAGAAGACTATACTTCAGATCTTTCTGACCCCTCCAAGACTTGAGAATAAAGAATAAGAGAATGTATGCATGAGTTCTTGGTTTCCTCCTAATTCACATTTCCACTGAGTTGAATGCTTCTGTGCTTACCCTCACTTTGCTCATTAACTGCAGTTAACTACCTTTCCAACTTCCCCTGAAGTTTTATCCCTCATTTGATGGCTATTTTTTACACAGAAACAAATTTTTAAAAATCATTTGTCAGGCCAGGCGTGGTGGTTCACACCTGTAATCCTAGCACTTTGGGAGGCCAAGGTGGGCAGATCACCTGAGGCCAGGAGCTTGAGACCAGCCTGGCAAACATGGTGAAACCCTGTCACTACTAAAAATACAAAAATTAGCTGGGCACTATGGTGCGTGCCTGTAATCCCAGCTACTCCGGAGGCTTGAGGCACGAGAATCACTTGAACCTGGGAGGCAGAGGTTGCAGTGAGCTGAAATAGCACCATTGCACTCTAGCCTGGGCAATACTCTGTCTCAAAGACAACAACAACAACAACAAATCATTTGTCAGAGCTACTTTGTACACATCTTCAGCGAGTAGAGAACGATGGAACCTGGTACCTTAACAAAATTACAAATTGCTACATTCCCTAGACCTTTGGAATTGCTTCAGAATGAGAGTTTGCCATGAAATGAAATTGGGACTGCTGAGTGCCGAGGGCCTATTGCTCCTGTCTACCCCATTGAAACAGTTTCTTCTCCACTAGCCACTGCTGGGTGCTAGGAAAGCAATCTGATTGTGCTAATCCAGGCGAATCCACCTTGGGATGTTTGTACATTCATCAGGATGAATTTAAATTTGGTAAAGCATCAAATATGAATGAGGTTTTTTTTTTTTAAATTAACTTTTTTATTTGGTGGAGTTGTTTTTATTCTACATTTGTGTCCTTTGTGCACTCTTCAGGCTGTGAATTTTTAAAAGAAGAACCACAATGATCATTAGGAAAAGAATACCCACTGTACACTAGAATAAACATGAAGGAAAGTTATTTGATTGCAAACCCAAAGCATTCAAAGTTTTATGGATTAATAAATTAACACTTATTAGTAATAAATGATGTTTTAATTATGTTAATTTCTAAGAAGATGGAGGGCAACTTTTTTTGCACTAATGAATGTGCTAGGTGCAAGAGAATACAGTGATGAATTAAACAGATATCAATTATTTCTCTTTAAATCTCCAGGTCTTCCACCTTTCTCACTGTTATGACAAATAATCATACAACTCAATGATGCTTATGTAGAGTGTTGAGTGGATATCAGGTGAACTTTGCCTTAAATCAATGGTTCTAAACTAGGGTGATTTTGCAACCCAGGGGACATTTGGCAATGTCCGGAGAACCAACTAGATGCCAATGGCACCTAATGGGTAGGAACCAAGAATTCTGTGAAAAAAGAATCTCCCAACAAAGAACTTCCTGCACCAAAATGTCAACAGTTCTGAGGTTTAGAAACCTTTCTCTAAACAATAGATTCTCCACTTTTGAAAGCTAATGTGCAATGGGAAATGTTACTGATGTGAATGTGCTGAGCTTGGGCCCAGAGTGGAGGCAGGAAGATCTGAGACCCTTCCCTCTGATGTGTGTGTAGCTATAGCACCAAGCTCTTTATACTGCCCTGTCATTACAGATGGCGTTCATGGTCATTTCCTGTAACTAAAAAGATTGAAAAGAGAAATCAATTCTGATTCTGCTATTGACTAGCTGTGTGATCTCAGGTAGGTCACTTACACTCTCTGGACCTCAGTTTCCTCATATAAAATGCAAAGTTTGCAATACAAGATCTGTAAGGTATTGTGTAGCATTCTCATTCTGTACCCACAGAAGCATTTGCAACACTCAAAGCCTGTCCTTCCTGTCTCTTGGTCTGCCAATCCTTTTCAAATCAGACTGGCCCTTCCTCTTTCCCCTACCATTACTTGAGCAGTTTCTAGGCTCATTTTTATTTAAAAAAAAAATTGAATTCCTAAGGCTCCAGAGTTTCAAATAACTCTTGGTAAATTAGAGCCCAATAAATATTTCATAGTTAAACCCAAAATAGCAACCTGACTCCTCCCTAGTATTAAACAGATTGAAAAAGTCTCCACAGTGGGAAGAGAATATCCCAGCAATTGAAGACATCTGTGGATATGGCAGTTTTACCCTCCTGGCTGTATCAAAGAAACAGACTCCTAAAGTGTATTTAAAGGTACCCTGCCAATATCAGCACTTCGTCCAGATAAATTGCAAGGCCTGGAGTTGGAAGTAAATTTGCATTTTGAAAAGGAGAGGCTGTACCTTCCCGGTAAATAAGCGCTTGAATAAATCAGGACTCAGTAATAAGCACTGTCTAAATGAGTTTAATAACTGTCTCTGACTTGAATCCAAGTGTCAGGACTGGAAAAAGTTGGTTGAAACTGGTCCCTTCTGTGAAAGATAAAATGGGTGAAATAGAAATGTCCTTCTGAGAAGTTAAAAGTCTTCTTGTTTACAACTGGCCAGTGGAGACATTAATAAAGGCAGAGCTCCAAAATACCAACACATTACTAATCTTGCCCATAGAAATTTGTTCTTTTATTGTAGATTTGTTAACGGTTGGTTAGCTCTGGCACTTGAATAGTGATCAAAGGTGGACAGAGAAGTACTGAGGCATGAATCTAGAAGGAGAGGAGGCTTTGAAAGGTACTGGATTGGGCCTGTTCCCACTGTCCCTTGCCCATCCAGAACCCATTCTCCTGCCCATCAGATTGTTTTGGGCAGGCTTCTCCCAGTCTGACCCATTCTGGAGAACTCTAAGGGAAAGCTGGCACTTGGAAACCCCAGTTTTATGAATGTCTCAGTTACAGATTTCTGGTCTTAATTACCGGGTTGGAGAAATGATGTGTGTTTTCTAAGATTAGCTTTTACACCAGCTACTGTAACTGGCTAGGCTTGAGCTCTTGCAGAAGTAGCCTGGCAGCTGCAGAGAAATGACTTTCTGTGAGGGGGCAAAGAGCCATCTGAGTGTTTGGAGAAGCCATTTACAGAAATATTTTTTTCCTTGTGTGGTTTATGTGTACTGGCTAAGGATTTTGACTTGGAAAAGAAAGAAGGTAAGTAAATGATAGCAGTCAGTCAGTTATATTTGTAAAAGTTTGGAAGTTAATGATTTCATGATCCATTCCGAGGACTCTTACAGCCCAGGATCTGTCATGACCAGATGTTTCCTTCATCCAGCAGCGTATGTTATTGAGCACCTGTGACTGTCCCTGTGCTGTGCAAAGGGGACACAGTTGTGAATCACCCAACATAATTCTGTCCTACTATTAGACCTTGTAGTCTAGTCTTTGTCCAGTTGTTTTTACCTCATCTAAATTATTGCTGTACAGTTATTTTAGCACTTGTATCATTTATCTATTACCACAATAATACTGTGTAACAAAGCACCCAGAAACACAGTGGCTGAAAGCAATGAGTATTTACTAAGGCCATGGTCTCAGGACGGCAGTGTAGGTTGGCCTGTCTAGGAAGTTCTTCTGGTCTTGGTTGGACCCATTAGTATGCCTGATAGTTGCCAGGGTTGACTGAATTAGGACGGACTCAGCTGGGAGGTTCTTCTGGCTTCAAATGAGTCTGGCAGTTGATAGGCTGTTGAGTGGGGCAGAATCACTGGGCCATGTGTTCCTCATCCTCCAGTGGGATAGCTTGGACATGTTCATGCAGCAATCACAGATGAGCAAAAGTAGAAACACTAGAATGCTTCCTTTTAAGCTTTGGCTTCTGTTGAACCTGCCTACTGGTCAAAGCAAGTTGGAAACTGAGAGTCAAAGAATGGGGATAGATATTCTACCTTTTGATAGGTGAAGCTGCCTGAGGATCCAGAGAGGGATAAAAGATTGGAGCCATTGGTGTCATCGGTCTATCACAGTATTTGATGATATGGGTGGCATTTTCTTTTTATTTGTAGAAAAGACAATTATATGTATCTGTGTTTATTTAAATATATTATTGTTTTAATTGAGGACTAAATACTAATTATTGTCTTAACTAGGAAAAATAGCCAATAAATACTTCTTGAATGAATACTTTTTTTTTTTTTTGAGATGGAGTGTCACTCTGTCACCAGGTTGGAGTGCAGTGGCATGATCTTGGCTCACTGCAACCTCTACCTCCTGGGTTCAATCAATTCTCCTGCCTCAGCCCCCAAGTAGCTGGAACTACAGGCACATGCCACCACACCCAGCTAATTTTTGTATTTTTAGTAGAGAGAGAGTTTCACCATGTTGGCCAAGATGGTCTCAATCCCTTGACCCTATGATCCATCCACCTCGGCCTCCTAAAGTGCTGGGATTACAGGCGTGAGCCACAGCACCTAGCCTGAATGAATACTTTTTGATGTAGAAAAAAGATATGGAAGAAAAAAAGGTGGCTTTAGAAAGTTTTGGGATAGCAAGTGGACTTCCTAGCTTAGTGAAAGATAATTTCTTCTGGAGAGGGATGGAGAGAGGGGAATTAAAGGTAGAAAGTTAGGATGGAAACAGATTGTGAAGGACCCTGACTTCCAAGCAGAGGGATCAGATCTTTTCCTTTTCATGTGAGTAATGGGAAAATATTAAAAATAATCTGAAAACAGGGATGAAAGTTGAAAGTGACATCGGAGTTACATAATGTAAAAGTCTTGTAAATGGAAGAATCCTTGTCTGCTTGCTTGCTTTCTGCATTTATTGAAACAGTATTGTCAATGAGTGGATGGAAATGCTGTTAGTGTGGGGATTCATTTGGCTCAAGAATAGTTTACATGAAACAACCCCCTCCATGCCCCCCTGCCCCGCCCTTGCTGTTTCAATCTTCTGGTGAGTCGAATGGCTTTGCTCTTTTCTGTGACTTCTTAAATACCTAATGTTTGTTTCTTTGCAAGGAAGACCAGGTAAGTAAGTGTGGATAAGATGAACTGGTGATCATCTCCACTGCAGGAAAAACACTTTTAAATACATATCTTACCACTAGCACAAGGTGTATGGATATATTATTACCTCTATATCTATCTCTATCTGTATAGCTATACTTGCATCTAGCAAATGAGGCTATGCTTGAATATTCATTAGTGTGTTTTAATTTCATACTAGTTACTTTTCAGGGTTGAGGCTCATGCTCAGCCAAAACTATTCTGGAGTTGATATTTGTAATTGAGACAGAACATTTTTATCTTTGTTTGTTTGTTTTTTTGTTTGTTTGTCACCAAACTGATAGGGAACAAAGTTCCTTGAATGAAGCTAGGGTTCTCTACCTGGGCTACACTTTAGAGTCATCTAGGGAACTTGGAAAAAAAAATCCCCATGCTTGCAATCACTGAGGTTGGGGCCCATACATCGGGATTTTTAAAAAGTCCTAGGTGTGTGCAGCCAAGGTTAAGGACCACTGCAATGGGTGCACAAACAGAATCTTAGTTTTTGAACATCCTGGTGTGAGCATTTTCTTTGTTGGGCTTTTCACTTTCCCAATGTGTTCTCTGCCAATGCCTCTGCATGGAAGAACCACCCACCCCTGATTGCTAATCCTCCCTGTAGCTGTGGTTTTCCCATGAAGCCACCACAAGCAAAATAAATTCCCTGCAACTGTGCTTTGCGTTACCTTCTATCGGTTTCTGCTGCTCACCTAGTGGCTTTCCTGTGGGCCTCCACTTGCTTACCACCCAAGTGAAGCTGGGGGAGGAGCAATGCCTTGTTCTGGAAGGCCAGCACCCTGGGTGCTGTGACTGGGGACTGATAGCCTTGCACTGGGATCTCTTTCATTCAGACTCATGGTGGGGGCCAAATTTCTAGGGTGTTGTGAGGAATAAACAGGATAATGCATGTGCAACCAGGGCATCGAATGAGCTGGAGCGGGTAGGGAGAAGCAGAAAGTCACATTCTTCAGCGTGACTTTTTAAACAGGCTCTTTTCCTGTCCCTGGCGTAGTCCACAGGTGTCTGGTGACTTTCAGCCATTGTAGTTATGCTTTAAGGTTTTAAAAAACTCTGATATGAATTAAAATTTGGAGTTTTCTTCCAACTCAGAACTTTCAGGTTTGATCCAGGCT
Source organism: Homo sapiens (assembly GCF_000001405.40). Taxonomy (NCBI): domain Eukaryota; kingdom Metazoa; phylum Chordata; class Mammalia; order Primates; family Hominidae; genus Homo; species Homo sapiens. The sequence continues at coordinate 37,896,752 of NC_000005.10, forward strand.
TGGACTTGCTATGGGTGAGGGTAGAGCATGCTTTGTTGTTCTAAGCTTTCTCTCTCTTGCCCCTTTATTCCTCTTCTGCCCATAACTGTGCTGCTGCCGCTGGTTCTCCGTGGTTTTAGTCTGATGTTAGAGCATTTGTTCTCTGGTGCTGGTACCCCCTGGGTATCAGCCAAATACTGGCTTTCTTTCTCTTGGGGCACTTTCATAGGTTCTTAGAAGATCGCCTTTCCTGAAAGGAATGTCAGGCACTGCCCACTGCCCTGTTCCCTGACTTGGGCGGGTGGGGTATAGTCTCCTGCTGACCACTTATAATTCTCTTCTCCCTGCTTCTGATCCCCCCACTCTGCACCCCAAGCTTTTTGCTGCTGGGGTTACTTTGCCCACCAGAAAATTCTTTGGGATTGAATCCTTTCAAGGTGACTCAAGTATAGCTGCCTTTCATGGTGCCCACTGTTCTTGGAGGTATTTTGTATCTCTGTTCACCCCACTCTGGAAGGCAGGCTGTGCTCAAAGCTTTACATGCCCTGCTCTGGTTGCAGTGCTAAGTGGTTCTATGAGTTTCTGCTCCTTCACAGGCATCGAGCTTGGGGGCAAAGTGTCACTCTCTCTTTCAGTCAGATATACACCCATTCTCTAGGCTTGTGTGCAGGTGGGGACGTAGGTCCCTACTCTCAACTGAAATGAGCAGGATTCTCTAAATACCAGCTCACAATTCTCTTTGGAGAAATCTTTATTCCCCCATCTTCCCTCAAGTTTTTACCCCTTATTTATTGTCTAAAAGTTAAGTGATAGACCATAGGTCACAGAACCAGCCTTTGAAACAATCCCAAACTTAAAAAAAAAATGGAAGAACAGTACAAAGAACTGTTTCCCCCTGTACCTTCTGAGAGTAAATTTCTAACCTGTATTCTATCGCCCTAGAACACTGTAGGGAGTATAGGATATTTCCTATGTAACCACAATATAACCATCAAAATCAGGAAACTAACATTGACACCTTGCTAACATCTCATCCTTACTACCCCATTCAAGTTTTGCAAAATTGTCCTAATAACATCCTTGGAGCACAAAGGATATATTCCAGAATCACCTACTGTATTTAGATGTCATGTCTGTTAGGTATCCTTCAGTCTGAAACATTCTTTGATTTTTAGCACCTTGACTCTTTGAAGTTTACAGGCCGATTATTTTGTAGCACATCCCTCAGTTTAGATTTGTCTGATGTTTCCTCATGGTTATGTTCAGATTATGCATTTTTGGCAGTGATTATCACAGAGGTTAGGTAATGTTCTTTTCATTGCATCCTATCAAGTGGTACAAATGTCTCTTTATGCCACTGCTGGTGGTGTTAGCTTTGATTACTTGATTAAGCTGGTATCTTCTAGGTTTTCTCACTGTAAAGCTACTCTTTCCCTGTGTAATTGATATGTATTTCATGGGGAGGTATTTTGAAACTCTATAAACATCTCATTCCTTATCAAACATTCAACTTATCTATTTATCTGTTCAGACTCATGTTTTCCTATTATACTGAATGAATTTAAATTCTTATTATTTTGATGCTCAAATTTGTCACTGGTTTGGCCAGTAGGATCCCGTTCAAGCTGGCTTCTGTATTCCTTTCGTGTGAGTACGAACCCCATTATTTTATGAGCATTTCCTGGCTTTCTGGCACAATAAGAGGCTCTAAGCTCATCTGTACTTTCTGTACTCCAGCCCTTGAATCAGCCATTTCTTCAAGGAGCCCCGGTCTGTTTTAGTAGAAAACAGTATTTAGGAGCCAATATCTGAGTGCTAGGTGTGCTTGTTGCTAGTGAGCTGTTGCTGCTCTTGGGCTCATTCAGTGGTCAGAGCTAGGGGATGTGTGTGTGTGTATGTGTACATGTGTATGTGTGTACATACACATGTGTTAACTTCTCTATCGAAAACCTTGAGTTCACACAAGTCTCCAGTTCTAATCCAACACCAGGGCTCATTGAGCCTTTTCCCTGTTGTGTTAATTAGGTTGGTGCTGCTTAGGTGTGTTAACTCTCATAGAAGCCAGTGAAGTTTCACAGTGACACAGTAGCCAATTATATAGCTCAAATTCATGGTACACTGTGAGGCCCATCAATCATGTAGTTAATATTCACACAGGCAGTAGTAAAAGGGGGGTAGTGAAGAAAAGCGATGGCTTGGGAGACCACCACACTGACAAGTCAAGTGGGTCTGGAGGTCCTTTTGGATGCTAGTCATGGTGTAGGGGGAGAGCAAGGTGGGATGGGTGGGGGTTGGAGAGGGACATGGGTGTGGTTTTGTTACTTTTTCCCTCTCTACCCTATCACCCCTATCGCAGAGCCTCTGTTGGCAGCTTCCAGTTGGGAGAAGGCCTCAGTGTTCTCACAGGAAGAGCCTCCAAGAGTGTCTTGAAGAAAGCTGGGTCCTGGCTGCTTTTATGATCCTTCCAGATGGGTCTGTTCTCATATCTCAGCCACCTTTCACTTCCTATTTGTTTGCTGCAGGTCTTGGGTGGTATTGTGCAGCAGCAGGTGTTATCACTTCAGTCTATTACATATATGTTTATCACTTTGAGAGGGGCAGCTTTACTGTTAGCTCAATGTTACTTGACAGGAGTGACTCCATTTTAAGACATTAGGAACCAGGTGCAGTATGGCTTATGTCTGTAATCCCAGCACTCTGGGAGGCCCAGGCAGGTGGATTACCTGAGGTCAGAATTTTAAGACCAGCCTGACCAGCGTGGAGAAACCCTACCTCTACTAAAAATACAAAATTAGTCAGGCATGGTGGCGCGTGCCTGTAATCCCAGCTACTCAGAAGGTTGAGGCAGGAGAATTGCTTGAACCTGAGAGGCAGAGGTTGTGGTGAGTCGAGATCGTGCCATTGCACTCCGGCCTGGGCAACAAGAGCGAAACTCCATCTCAAAAAAAAAAAAAAAAAAGGCATTAGGATCACAAATTATGATATATCACCCCTTTCTGTATTTGTAATTCTCTTTTCCAACAGTGAGAAACCTGGCTTCCATTATTCCTAATATACTGATGTCATCAATGCCCTTGTATGTATCTGGTGCCACCACCTCTTCTACAGGGCCACCTTCGTCACTCTGCATGAATTCCGATGCCCCACCCTGAGGCCCTGTGGATTCCTCCATCCCCACTGCAGAACTAAACTTGCTCTACTCCAGCTAATGATGTTAGGACTGAATTGTTTAGGAAGAGAAGGAAAATACTAAGGATCTCTTGAACCAGTTTTGAGTCACCTGTTAGCAAGCCTCACCTCGATATTCTAGCATAAGGGTCCTTAATCTGTCTGGTGTTTACAGACCCCCTTGAATAAAATTCAGGGGATCTGCGAGCTTGGATGGGAAATAAATTACATGTTTACTTTTTCTAACTTCTAACTGAATCTTACCATTTCCTTTAATTATGAATGTAGGGAACAAACCATGGTATTAGCAGTGCCTGTGACTTTGTCAACAACAGAAGTCACACATGTTTTCATATCACTTATACTTGTTGCAGAAACTATTTATGCTCATCATAACTTTAACATTATGGTAGTTGTGAGATTCTTCCTTAGATCTCATTTATTTATTATTTATTGTGCCAATAAGTCTGCATATTATGATATTGCAACATTACTCTAAATTATTTTAATAATTATCTTCAACATATTTAGTGTCCTTTATAATCCTATATGTTTTGTTGTGTGCATTAAAAATAATTATCCTGAGAAGAGGTCCTCAGTCTTCACTAAATTGCCAAAAGGGTTCAAGGAAACAAAAATGATTACAGCCTCCAGTTTAGCAGTTCTCTTTGGAATATGAAGGTATTTCTCCCTATTATTTTAAAATTTGGTGCCTGAACTAGGTCAGAAAATTTCCGAATTAATCTCCTGTTAAATGTTTAAACTGCTTAGCACTGTGCTTTGTATGTAGTAAGTCCTCAACAAGTGGCAGATATTATCTTATTGTTTTTACAACTTCCTTGTTGCACCAAATGGAGGGAGTAGCTGCTGGCACTTGTATGTTTTTGATTCCTCTCTTGGTACTTAGAGAGTTCCCTGACAATATGCCCAGGCTGGCCTGATGGAGGGAGATGGGAGACAAGTGGATGTGAGAGGCCACCTAGAGGGGAACCAGTCAACTTGGACCAGCCTGTTCTAGACGTTCTTACTCCCAGCTGACCCTGCTGGCACAGACCCACCAGCTGAGCACAGATGCATGACCAGTCCAACAGAGATCAGCCAAGCCTGGCCCAAATCAGCTGAACCTCCTGGCTGACATAAATGTTCATTGCTATTTTTGTTAACAAGTATGATGAAAATGAAACAACTAAGATATATGTTGTAAACTTCACTCATTTGTCAATCATATGAGTGACTTCTTTGCAGAATCAGATAACGGTTTTTACAAACTGAAAAAAAATTTCCCTATTGCATTGTGGTATTTATAATGTAAGGGCTATAAACATGACACAAAGTTTAATCTATGTTACTAATATTGTGTCCGTCACTTTAAGTCTAACACGGCAGTAACTCAAGCCCTGACGCTGATTTCTATGGTGTAAATGGTGATAATACTCCCACTATAGCTGACTTCTGGCTACCGATGTGATGTCACAGAATGTGGAGTTGTATATGACGGAAACGCTGTATAGTGAGGAGCATCTCTTCCCAGTTCCAAAAAGTTTTGAACCTTGGCACATTTTGGATTTTGGATTTTCAGATTAGGGATGCTCGACCTACATAACACAAGACATGTAAATAACATCAAAAGCATAAACAACAGAAAAATATAATTAGGATGTGATAAGTTTGAGTATCTCTGTTTTAACTATAATTCGTAAGTTATAGAATTTAATTTTTAATAGGAGCTGTGCTTAACAGACTCATAAAATTGGCTTTTTAAACAATTGACTCTTGGGTGTGGTCTCTGCTGGCTCCAGCATACCCCTGGTTATATAGCATGTTGTGGCAATAGCCAAATGATAGACTGGCAAAGGAGTGGGGAGGAGGGCAAGGGAAGGGAGGAAGGCTGATGAAGGGGATGTAACTGTGCAGATTTGCTTGTGCAGACAACTGGGACTCGGTCCTGCTGGGGACCCTCTAAGAAACTCTGTGGAATGGATCTTAAATTATCTCCCTGGTAGATTGAGGGTCACTTCTGGGGTATGAACTCCCAGACACATCTGGCCTGTTCTACCTGCAGGCTGAACATGCTTCCGGGGCCAGAGGGCACCCTCAGGCAGAGAGATGCAGGAGGTCGTTGGTGGGTGTAACTGTCTGCAGGAGGCCTCTGGGTGAGTTGAGGGGATATGGGTGGGCCACCCTATGCCCTTCTTTCTGGGCTTCAGCTCCCTCCTCTCTAAAATGAGGAAGGACAGTCTCCAAGTCCCTCTTTGATCCTCTAATACAGTTTGAAGAATATGCTTGGCCCTGGAGAAGGACAGTGGGCACAACTAGAATGGAAGAATCCTGCGCTTTGTATCTTTTCAGGGTGGTAGGGTAGAATGTGTCACTCTCGGCCTTCCTTTATGCTCATGCTGTCTTCCCTGAGGTGCCAAAGGAGAGGGGAGAGGAATTAAGGCCGCAGAGGTCTAATGCAGTGGCTGGTGGTCAGCCCATCCAGGGTGAATCTGCCCTTCCTCCTCCTCTGGGCCCCAGAAAGTCTGTTCTGCAAATGAGCTGCCCGTGTCTGATTGCTACTCCCCAGGTTGGGTTTCTAGACCTTCATGACACTCAGGTTACTGCATGGTCTGGTTCAGGGTATCACTTTCTGAGACATCCTCTCCATAAAGCCTCTTCGGCACTGTCTCCAGAGGCTCTTGACCCAGATACTCAGAGAATACTTGGTTCTTCTTGGCAGAAAAGCAACATAAAGTGAGTTGGTAAAACAGGAGGTCCAGCAGAGGACTTCCAAGGGCTTTTTATCTCTACTATTGGGACTCCATTGGTCTAACAAATATGTCAATTTAGGCAGCCAAGTGGGTGTTTCCCTTCCAGGTGGCCATGTTGGAATTGATTAAAACATAAATGTAGCTATTTTTTTTTTCTTTCCAGAATTGTTTTTGTAAAGCCGGTCTGTGAACCACAAAAGAGAACCGTTCATATTGCAACCACTTTATTTACCAGTTTTTGGTCCAGGTGGCTTTTTGATTATTCCAAAGTCTAATTCATCCACCAAGGTTGAAGGTAATAGAAGTCATCCACACAATACTTTCTGTATTCCAACTACTGTGCTAAGCACATTCCATGCATTTTCTCATCTACAATCCTGTGAAGTGTTGCAATTTTTTTTCTCTTTTTACAGATAGAAATGAGGTATAAAATGAGGTATAAAAAGTTAATAAACTTTCTCTAAGTCACATAGCTAGTAAAAGGTGAAGCTGAAATTCAAACCTAGCACTAAGACCACAGACTAGACTCTTAACTACTAATGAATTTCTTATTAATTGATCCATTCAATAATAGTATGTGTCAGACACTGTTCCGGGCATTGAGGAGTCATCAAAAAACAAGACAGACAAAAATTCCTGCTTTCTTGGAACCTAAATTCTATTGGAGGAGGCAGAAATAAAGAAATAGCATACTAGATGAGTAAATGATATAGTAGTTAGAATGTCATTTTGAAAATGAAAGGGCAAGGTTCAGGAGATTGGATGGCTAGATGGAGGTTGAAATTGTAAATGGAGTGGCCTGCATAGGCCTTATGGGCAGATTTGAAGGAGTAGAGCAAGTGAGCCATATGTTATCTGAAGACTATTTCAGGCAGAAGAACAGCCAGTGGAAAGGCCCTGAGGTGGGAACATGGCTGGCATGTTTGAGAAACGGGCTGGGCACAGTGGCTCACGCCTGTAATCCCAGCGCTGTGGGAGGCCAAGGTGGGAAGATTGCTTGAGTCCAGGAGTTTGAGACCAGCTAGGGTAACATAGACTCCTGTATCTACAAAAAATAAAAAATTAGCTGTAGTCTCAGCTACTCGGGAGACTGAGGAGCTACTTGAGCCTGGGAGTTGGAGGCTGCAGTGAGCCATGCTCATGCCACTGCACTGGAGACTGGGCAACAGAGTGAGAACCTGTCTCAAAAAAAAATAAATAAAAAAGAAACAATTGGATACATATTTGATATGATTTGAATGCTTGTGTCTCCTCTAAAATTCATACTGAAACTTAATCCCCAACGTAACAGTATTAAGAGGTGAGGCCTTTAGGAGGTAATTAGGCTATGAAGGCTCTGCTCTCATGAATGGGATTCATGCCTGATAAAATGGCTTGAGGGAGTGGGATTGCCCCCTTTCTGTACTTTTCTGTCCCTTCTGCCATGTGTGAATGCAACATCTGTCCCCTCCAGAGGATGAGGCACTCAAGGCACCATCCTGAAGGAGAGACCAGACCCGCACCAGACATCAAACTTGCTGGTGTCTTGATCTTGGACTTCCCAGCCTCCAGAGCTGTGAGAAATACATTTCTGTTGTTCATAAATTACCCAGTCTCAGATATTTTGTTATATCAGCATGAACAGACCAAGTAACAACCTCTAATTGTAAAGGAACTTCTGGTCCATTGTAAGGATTTTGGCTTTTACCTTGAGATAAACGGAAGGGAAATTGCAGGATTTTGAGCAGAGGTGTGATGTGATCAGACTTCTATTTGAACAGGATTAGCCATGGATAATAACTGTAGGGTGGTAAGGACAGTTATCTCTTCTTATAGACACATATAACCGGACCTTGTTACAGGTACAGGTGAGAGATTATAATGGTTAAGACCAGACCCAGAAGGGATGTCTGTGCATTCAGCAGTTGCATTAGAAGTTGCTACCAGGTATGTTAATTCTTTTCCCAACTGAGAAAAGACAATTTAAAGGGCCTGGCTAGGTCTCTGTATAATAGCTTTAGGAGAAGCAGAGGAACCAAGAGAATATGTTTGGCAGAGAAAACAGTCACCAGTGTGGCTGCTCACCAAACTTCCAACAGAACCTTGGGACAGGAGTTCCATGAGAAAAAATTCTAGACTCAAACTAGCCTAAGAAAGGTCAAGAGAGGGTCTAAGGCAGGTTAAAAGCTGCACATTGGGAAGGTGGAGAAAAATGTAAACAGGAAGGAGCTGGTAGACTTGTGAAGGTTGGGTTTCTTTGATTCCATAGGCCTGCAGTAGATGAAGGCCCATGTCAGGCAAGGGACAGAGGCAGAGTATGGCCAGAGACTGGCAGCCAAAAGTCCAGAATATAGGAAGGTGGAGCAAAAGAGGAGTCCTAGTCTTTAGACATGAGACAGGGTTTGGGATCCAAGGTTTGGAGAAACAACAGAGTGGAGCCATCAGCAAGCAGTATATCTGGGCTATGAGAGTCAAGCTGTGACTCTGGTCTCTGTCCTGGCTTTCAGGGACTTTCCTTTGGACATGGATTGACCCGTGGCACAACGTGTGATTCTGCAGAGCTCTTGTAGATAGTGTTACAACTCTACAATTCATTTTTAGAGGAAGGTCAGTAACGGCCTTCCCAGATTATCAACCTCCCATGGTTTTCCCAGGTAGGTAAGAGATACCACCTTCTACCCGGCTGGTGGCTCAGGCTCTAAACCTAGGACTCATCCTCAATGTTTCTCTTTATCTTGCCACCTATGTCCATTGCATCAGCAAAGACCTGCAACTCAACCTAGACCAATTATTGCGAAACCATCCTCTTCCTTCCACCTCCTCTGCAACACTCTCCCTGCTACCCACCAGCCCAAGTCACCATCCTCTCTCACTTGGACAACCACATGGTTTGATGCTACCCTTGTCCCTACAACTCATTCTCCACACTGCAGCCAGACATTTTTCTTTTTTTTTTGAGACAGAGTTTCACTCTTGTTGCCCAGGCTAGGGTGCAATGGGATGATCTCAGCTCACTGCAACCTCTGCCTCCCGGGTTCACGTGATTCTCCTGCCTCAGCCTCCCAAGTAGCTGGGATTACAGGTGTGCACCACCATGCCCAGCTAATTTTTTTTGTGTTTTTAGTAGAGACAGGGTTTCACGTTGGTCAGGCTGATCTCAAACTCCTGACCGCAGGTGATCCATGCGCTTCGGCCTTCCAAAGTGCTGGGATTACAGGTGTGAGCCACCACGCGTAGCCCAGACAGATCTTTTAAAATATAAATCAGATTTGTCACTCACCCAGGTAACCCCCACACCCCAATGGCTCCGCATCACACCTAGAATGAAGTCCAAGTTCCTGTTGACCCTTCCTACTTCATTTTCCCACTCTCTAACTTCTTCTCTCTGCTCCAGCTGCATTGACCTTCCTGCTGTTCCATGTGCACTCTAAGCTTATCTAATTTACAGTGTTTAGAAAATAACAAGGGAACTTCCTTTCTAATGTCTCCTTCCTTCATACATAACTGGCCATTAAGAAGGGTGACCATTTGGCCTGGTTTTCCTGGGCCAATATTAGCACTCCCTTTGACTCTCAAGGTTGTCTCAGTTTAGACAATAAATTATTTGGTCATCATATAAAAGTTTGCCATAATCTGTACGTGGCTTTCCCCCTCCCTCTCTTCCTTCCTTAAACATATGTAGAGTACCTACTAGGGACCCGAGATGTACTAAGTGCTGGAAGGTGGAGACACCTGAAAATAAACAAACCTGGTTATGCCCTCAAGGAAAGTTCAAACATCTGCACAAACACTGAAGAACAAAATAAAATCACAATGATGTGACCTAGACATTTTCTATTCTACAGACGAAATGGCTGGCTATTGGCTTAAATATTTTGCAGTTTACCCAGATGTTTGGCACCACCTAGACACTGTCTGACTTCCCTCTCCCCATCAGTTGATTTCAGCCCTCCCTCTCTTTCCTCCCTTGTTGTTCCCATTACTCAAGATTTGGCAGGTCTCATGTATGCACCATGCCAGAACTTCTTTACATGGACCATGATTAAGACCAAGGCTTCAGGTCTTTGCTGCCTTCTGACAATTCACTACGAACTTTTCTTGTTCTCTGTTCCTTCTAGACCCAATTCAGCCAGGCAGGATCTAAATTAGCTTTCTGATGGCCCTTGTATTGCTGCCAAAAGTGTTTTTGATTGCTTGGCCTCCAAGTTCCTGGACTCCGGCTCCTTGGTGGTGTCCTGGGGGAAGCACATGAGGCTTGCTGGCCCCTGGAGTGCTGTTTGTCTGCTGGACTTCCCGACCACAGGGTGAGGAAGGCCACCCTCCATGTGGGAGTTAGAGAGGCTCCGCATGTGGTTTTGAGCAGGGTCAGGGGTTGGGGTGAGGATCAGGAACACTTAACCTTTTCGGAGAAGCATGTCCCTGTGGTCATCTATTCCCCCTGCTTTGTTGGGGAGGGAGTTGGTGACCATTTGCACAGGATAGCATAAGAGGACCGAAATATTACTGTACCCTATAATGACTCCTTTTTGGTCTACACTGAATTCTTAGAACCTTACCTCTAATTTTACCTTGTATGGGTTTTATTCTTGATAAAGGATAACCTTTTAGCTAGCAAATACATCAGGTGATAATTACATTAACTGAGCCACACATCACTGCCCATCATCTCTAGGGACATAGGACTCAAAAGACTGGCATGTGTGTGGTGAGAGTAGAGAAGGTTTCAGGAGAATTCGAGATAATGGGGCTCCACTGAGCATGGGGAGTGTCTCTGGGCTGAAGTTGGGAGATTGAGTGTGTGAGGGAGGGCCTTAGAAGACATTCATGAGTGTAGCTTGAACAGTGGAGACATTTAAGAACAACCACCTAGGGTATGACTAGAGCGTACCCTGCTGACATTTACTCAGAGCGTGGCTGGGAAAGAGGTGGTGGTGCTGTCAATAGGAAAGTCATTCTTCCCTTTGTCTCTCAATAAACCAAGGAAGCAGAGGGTGGAGAGAACATTCTGCCCCATGCTCAGGAGAGCTTCAGCAGGCTAAGGAGAGATGGAGAATCAGGGCAACGCCAACTGCACACCTGGCTTCAGGAGAGTGGGCATATAGAGGACACAAATCCCTCACCAGATGCAGAATTCCCCACATTTTCTCAAGGGCAGCAGGGCCATGTTTATAGAAAAGTCAGACCTTAAATCCATACCCTCTTAAGAGACTCTGTAATGTAGGGAGACAGATGACCTCCACCATGAATACAGGGGCTGTGACTTGATCCCTGGCTGCAGGAGATACTTTATTACAAGGCATTATTGGATCCAGATGTCACACGTCCCATGGAGGCTGCCTGCATAAGACTTCCCACCAAAATCTCCCCTCTACTAGGGCAGAGAAAGGCCCTCAAGAGAAAGGACTTGGATCCATAGAGACAGTCATGCAGGCCTAGGACAGGGGTGCCTTTGGATGTCTCCAGAGTAGGATGGTTTGAGTCATGGTCCTGCAAGAGTCAGAAGGACTGGCCTTTCCCAGCAATGGCAGGTGATCTGGCGGGGAGTTGGGGAAGGAGCTGAAAGTTTAGCATTTCTTTACTTGAGAAAGGAAACAAGGGGATAATAAACCATATAAATGGAAAACATGTTTCTTAAAACAAGGCTGTATGTCAGCACACAGGGCTCATGAGACAAATTCTTTTGTGAGGATGAAGCTTCCCAGGAGTACATGTGTGTACTGTTCACACACATGAACTGTTCCATGCCCACGTACATGCACAGGTCCACAAGGATACATCTGATATGGTTTGGATGTTTTGTTCCCTTCAAATCTTATGTTGAAATGTGACTTCCAGTATTGGAGATGGGGCCTGGTGGGAGGTGTCTGAGTGTTATGGGAGGATCCCCCATGAATGGCTTGGTGCTGTCCTCAAGGTAATGAGTGAGCTCTCTGAGTTCACATGAGATCTGGTTGTTTAGAAGAGCCTGACACCTCCTCCCTCTCTCTTTTCCTCCCTCTCCCGCCATGTGATATGCTGGCTTCCCCTTCTGCTGTTTCTATGATTGTGAGCTTCCTGAGGCCTTACCAGAAGCCAAGCAGATAGGAGTGCCATGCTTGTACAGCCTGCAGAACTGTGAGCCAAATAAACTACTTTCCTTTATGAATTACCCAGCTTCAGATATTTATGTAGCAACACAAACAGACTAACATAACCTCCTTGTACATAGATATTACAGACCACTCTCATATTAACACGTGAATGTTATACCTAGACACACACACATAATATTGGAGTTCCTTTACTACATAAACATGTTTATATGTATATATACATTCACACATGCAATATGGAGACAGAAGCCAACTCCCAATTATCTATCATTATCCACTCTTTTTATCCAACATGTTTTTCACCTGAGAATGGCTTCTTTTTCTTATCACGTATAATTCAGCTATCATCAGTTGATCTATGCTTATGAAATGCAATTATATAGTAATTGTAATTTACCCCCCCACCCCCCAAAATGCTAAAAATTGATTAACTGTGAGAGGGAAGAACAAAAAAAATCTGAGCCCATGTCAACCTATATTATTCATTTTAAAGTCAGATAAAAAGAAACGTTGTAGAGACGTGCCATTTGATTTATTTGCATCTTCTTGATGATTGGTACTGATACTTGTAAGTTGGCTGGGTTTCATTCTTGTTGTTAGTTTTTTTCCCTGGCATAGATGAACTGACTTGGGCAAGTTGGGAGTATCCTTGACCTGACAGGCAGAGCCAGGTGTGGGTCATGGCTTATAATCCTCATACCCACTTTTGCTGTGTGTGTCTGCATACACATACACACACACACACACACACACACACACACACAATACACTGTTTAAATGTGTGATTTTTAGCCCTTGAAAACCTATAAGAAAATTGAAGAGGATGTTTCCTCTGGTGGCAGAGTACTGTAAGGGATTCTATTAAGTCCATGAACTGGGGCTCATGATTGAGGCTGGCACTTCATTTTTAATGCCATAAAGGGTCTCCTTTTGGGGTGTGTATTCTGTCCCTCCAGACTGTAGGAGACATAACAAGTGGGAACTTTCTGATGTGACTTCCAGAGAGAAACTTGTGATTAGGCAGTCCCTCAGGCCTCCTGAAGCCAATGAACAATTTAACCTTGCAGAACTGAGCTCCTACTAGAGTGTGGGGTTTTCACTGGTAATTGATACTTGAAAGAGAAACCTTTCCTGTTTCAACCATTTGGTTGAAAAGCTTGATCAAACGTGTTACCCTTTCTGGTAAATTCCATGACCATACTTGGATCTTTATTATTGAGGATCCTATAGAAAGAGCAAAGGAGACTGCTCTTCAGGAGCAAGACCAGCCACACCGTCCAGAGGAAAGTAGATTTGAAGTGTGTGGGGACTCTGGAGCTAGACCGTGGACCTTCTAATCTTAGCACCGCCACTTCCTGACTGTGACCTCAGGCAAATGACTTAATAAGAACTAACACTTGACAGGTTTGCAAACCCCTTTACATAGAACAACTTGTCTAGTCCTCAAAATCAACTCTAAGGAAGGTAGAGTATTGCCTCCATTTACTGAAAAAGAAACTGAGGCAGAGGAGATTACATAACATGCAAAAGCCGGACTCTAATAAATGGCAGAACCCGTATTCAGATTCCTTCCTGCAGTCTGGCTTCTGCTTCCATGGCTTAACCACAACCACTACACTTTCCTATTGCACTTGAGCTTGCAGCATGTTCATTTCCTCATCTCAGAAATGCATGTTATAATAACCCTTGCTGCATAGGGTTGCTGAGGGATGTATTGGGATAATGTGTAGAACGGGTTTGACACACACCTTCTGATAAACAGAAGATGAAGCTATAGAAGAAAGAAGATTCTTCATGCAACTGGGACTTTTTCCTTTCTTCCTAAATTCCTGATATCCATTTGCTTTCTTGTTATGGTGTTGATGATGATAATGAATTTGAAGACTTCTACCACTGATACCACTAAATGTTTTCTCTGTGCCTGGCACTGTGCTGAGATCTTTTACATGCAGCACCTCAGTAAGCCTCACAACAACCCCTTTTATCACTAAAGAAACTGAAGCTCAGAGAGGCTAAGTAACTTGCTCAAGGTCTCACAGTTAGTAGGCTGTGGAGTGCAAATCAATTCAGGTCTGTCTGACATGTGCTCTTAATTATTGAAGCTTTTGCTTCTTTTCCCAAAAGGGAGCATATTGAGGTTTTAGCAATTTAGGTTAATAGCTGCTTTATACTGTGTGTGTGTGTGTGTGTGTGTGTGTGTTTGTGTGTATTTAGATCCATTAAATATAAGTCCAAGTATTTTGCTAAACGTTTTTTTACTTGCCCCATTACAGAATTAAAATACTTGAACAGAGCTATAGTAACCAAAACAGCATGGTACAGGCATAAAAAGAGACACATAGACCAAAGAAACAGAATAGAGAACATTGAAACAAATCCACACACCTACAGTGAACTCATTTTTCACAAAGGTGCCAAGAACATACACTGGGGAAAAGACAGTTTCTTCAATAAATAGCGCTGGGAAAATGGAATATCCATATGCAGAAGAATGAAACTAGACCCCTATCTCTCACCATATACAAAAAAATCAAAATGGATTAAATAATTAAATCTAAGACCTCAAACTATGAAACTACTACAAGAAAATATTGGGGAAACTCACCAGGACATTGGTCTGGGCAAAGATTTCTTGAGCAATATCCCAAAAGCATAGGGAACCAAAGCAAAAATGGATAAAAGGGATCATATCATGTTAAAAAAAAAAAAAACTCTGCACTTCAAAGAAAACAATCAACAAAGTGAGGAGACAACCCACAGAATGGGAGAAAATGTTTGCAAACTACCCATCAGACAAGGATTAGTAACCAGGATATATAAGGAGCTCAAACAACTCTGTAGGAAAAAATCTTAATAATCTGATTAAAAAATTGGCAAAAGATTTGAATAGACATTTCTCAAAAGACATGCAAATAGCAAACAGGCATATGAAAAGGTGCTGAACATCACTGATCATCAGAGAAATGCTAATAAAAACTACAATGAGATATCATCTCACCCCATTTAAAATGGCTTTTACCAAAAGGCAGAGAATAACAAATGCTGGTGAGGATGTGGAGAGAAGGGAACTCTCATACACTGTTGGCGGGAATGTGAATTAGTACAACCACTATGGAGAACAGTTTGGAGATTCCTCAAAAAACTAAAAACAGCTACCATACGATCCAGCAAACCTACTGCTGTCTATATACCCAAAAGAAATCAATATATTGAAGAGAGATTTGCACTCCCATGTTTGTTGCAACACTGTTCATAATAGCCAAGATTTGGAAGCAACCTAAGTGTCCATCCACAGGTGAATGGATAAAGAAAATATACTTATGCACAATGGAATACATTCAGCTATAATAAAAGAAGGATATTCAGTCTTTGCAACAACATGGATGGAAGTGGAGATCATTATATTAAGTGAAAAAGCCAGGCACAGAAAGACAAATGTCGCGTGTTCTCACTTATTTGTGGCATCTAAAAATCAAAATTGAACCCATGGAGATAGAGAGTAGAAGGATGGTTACCAGAGGCTGGGCAGGGTAGTTGGGAGGGTGGGGAGGATGGTTAATGGGTACAAAAAAATTGAATGAATAAGGCCTAGTATTAGATAGCACCACAGGGTGACTGGTCAAAAATTTAATTGTACATTTAAAAATAAAAGGGTATAATTGGATTGTTTGTAACACAAAGGATAAAGACTTAAGGGAATGGATAGCTCATCTTTCATGATGTGATTATTAGACATTGCGGTTCTGTATCAAAACGTCTCACGTATACCATAAATATACACCTACTATATACCCACAAAAATTAAAAATTTAAAAACCACAAAAAGGAGTGAGCAAAATCCCTGCAAAAAATAAAATACTTGAATAGGCTGATGATTTTACATCCTCTCTCCTGATTAAAAAAAAAAAAATCCGTGCTCTTGTACCCCTTCAGTTTTTCTTTTTGTTTTGGTGTTTCCTTTCTATTAACCTCCTGAAATTTTTTGAGTCAGCAGCTTTTGCAGTGCCTGTAGTCTTTTTGCTTACGGGTGAGTTTTGGTGACTTAAAGACTATCAAGAAGATATTTAAAGCTTCTGTCAATTCCTTTGAAAATAACAGAATTTAAAAAGTGGAATTTCCCTCTGTAAGTGGCTACTTTCTAGAGGAAACCTAACCTCTGGGGATCTTTGCCAAGAATAAATGGAGGGCGTATTATTTGCTGACCATTATCCTTGAGTTCAGATAGCCTCCTCCTGTCTCCTGGCCCCAAGGTATAAATAGAGACACAGAGGAGACTGGCAGAGATCTTGCTGACAGCCCTTCCAAACTTCCAGAAAGGATGACTCTGCCTATAGGAGTCTGTCTCATGGGTGGGCAGCTCTCCTGTTGACAAAGATGCCTTTTCAGAACAGTGGCCCCTATGGCTCCCCCGGCATCTGTGCATCTGTCCATCCACCTGTTTCCTTGTAGGCATTTTTTTAGGTGCTATAGATGAGAAAATGAGCAAGATCTGGCTTTTACCTTCCAGGAGTTCCAGTTTACTTGAGACAGATGCATAAATAGATGACAATATGACACTAAGTCTTTGGAGAGTATGCATGAAGGCCATGGGAACAAAGGGGAAGGGGCTGTAGGCACTACCTGGGGGAGTCCAGGGAGGCCTCACGGAGGAGGGGGCGTTTGAGCTGGACCCTGAGGAATAAGAAGGCGCTTATCAGATGGGACCGGCATAGGCAAGAGACCAGATTTGCTAAACCAGCTATAGTACGTATTTGGAAAAGGGTTAACAAGTGGATGTAATTGATTCATTCTACCATCTATTTCCATACAGTTCGTAACTTCTGTCATTGGATGAGAAGAGATAAGGACAACAGAGAATCCCGTTCCCTGTCTAGCTTGGCAGCACTGCCCTTCTTGTTGAAAGCATTGATTTATTTGCCTTCCCCATCTGGCCTTCCAGGCTGAAGCACTGAACATTTCTACTCCATTTTTTTTTAATGTACGTTATTCTTTTGGAAAACTGTTTTGGGGAATTTGAAAGACAAAGCTTCCACTTCATTTGTTTTCCTTAATCAAAAGCCTCTGCTGTCACTGGCAGTTCCACATTTCTTCCTCTCCAGCTTCCCCCAGAGGCACACTTGGAGATGGGAGATGGGCTGGAAATGTCTCTCGTGCAATCCATGGAGACTGCGATTGCCTCCGGAGCCTGTTCTGACTCCTTTAGTGGCCTTGCCCCTTGAGGTGCATCAGGATGAACCCTTGTCTTGGCTTTGCTCTTTGGGAAGATTTTTTTGTAAACGTGTTCTCTTTGGAAGGACAGACATTTTCTGGGCTTTTTTTTTTTTTTTCCTTGGACCGCCAGCCCACGCCATCCATTCTCCATCCACGATGCATTGTTTTCCATTGTGTTCTCTCTGTTCCTTTGGATCCCTGATCTGGTGTCAATGTGCGAGTAGGGAGTGGGGTGGGGGGCAGAGGGAGAGGAGGGGGTTGTTCAGGATTGAGGGCCAGGACAGTAAGAAAATATAGACTTATAATGAGAGTTTTGATGCCACTGACCACTAATTGTCAGTCTTCTTGGTAGGTACCCTTACTGTTAATAACTCAAAAGATCAGGCAGTTAAACATTATTTGATTTTAAAATACTTTTTTTTTTTGAGACAGAGTCTCACTCTGTTGCCCAAACTGGAGTACAGTGGCGTGATCTCAGCTTACTGAAACCTCTGCCTCCCAGGTTCAAGTGATTCTTGTGCCCCAGCCTCCTGAGTAGATGAGATTACAGGCATGTACCATCACACTCAGCTAATTTTTGGATTTTTAGTAGAGATGGGGTTTCATTGTGTTGGTCAGCCTGGCCTGGAACCCTGACCTCAAGTGATCCACCTGCCTCGGCCTCCCAAAGTGCTGGGATTACAGGCGTGAGCCACCACGCCCAGCTGATTTTAGAATACATTTCTTAATTGACCTTTGATTGCTTTATTGTTTTGTCAGGAACCATGAGAAATTTCAGGGTTTTAAAGAACATTTGTTCTGCTGCATTATTGTGAGGTGAGAGAATCAGGACGCTGAAGTCAGGTGTGAGAGCTGGGAAAGGCTGGCACTGCCTATGAACCTGACCATCCCACACAGAGGCTTTATTTTGGGCAAATCATTTCGCCCAGCCTTGTTTTGCTTAGGCATTCCTTATCAAGATATTTACCAGCCGTTTGGTTAGTTGCAAGCAACAACAGCCATGCTGCCATTCTTATGAAAACACACCCTCAGGCCCTACAGGTAGCTTCCTTACTGGGTGCCAAAGTGAAAATCCTATGACACAGCTCCCCTATTTTAGTGGATAGAGAATGTCAGGGGGATGAATGAGCCCAGAGGCCATCTGTTCTAACCCTCTGACATCCAGATTGTTCAATAGCTTTTCTGACGATGTATGCCACATGGCAGAAGTAGGACTAGAACCCTGGACTTGTTCATTTTTAGCCCTGTGCTATTTCTTCTTCACTGAGCCACTTTCTGTGTATTTGAGTGTTCCTTTAACAACCACAAAGTGATTGGGTTGATTCTAACCACATTATTTGAATTTCTGGTGCAGTGGTTCTCAACCCTGGCTACGCATTAGAATCAGCAGGGGAGCATTTCAAACATACCCACGCCCAGGTCTCACTTCAGAACCTGAGTCGCTGGGTGTGGGGCCCCAGTATGAATATCTTAAAGAACTTTGTGATCTAATTCTAAAATGCAGAAAGGATTAAGAACCCTTGTTCCAGTGTGGAGGAGGAAATAGATCCTTTCCTAAGAATTCTTAATTTGCTGACTGGACAACAGAGTTTGCTAATGCAAACCTAATGTCATTCTTTGACCTGAGAAGATAGTTCTCTCCAGGGGCATGTTAAAGTCTAAAGCAAACATTGCTTTTCTTACTCCAGATTTGCAAGTGATTCAAATATTCCCTGACTAATTTAGAAAGGAATATGGGGCTCAGAAACCCAACAGAAATACAGAGGTTTTCCTTTTTTTCAAAAGTGACTTGGAGGACCATCAGGAGGGCTAGAGATCCCATCCTCCCATGTCCTGCTCTACCCTCACTGAAATTTGAGAGTAAATTTGTTTTATATTGGCAATAATTAATGTCAGATCCTGGATCTAGTTGTTACAATAGGCAGCTGTTTATAATAGAAACGGCTCAGGCTTTCTCATACAACCTGTTTTTTCAAAATCCTGCAAAGGTGTTTAAAGCATAACAACTAAGGTTGTCACACCCACCCCCCCCGACTTCTAGGATTGTTCCTGATTCCCCCTCTTTCTCTGTCTTCGGAGGGGAAGGTGGGGGGCTTGGGGAGAGGTTGCTGTGGGGTGTGCTGGAACTGCTGCTCAAGCTGGTTTGGGACAGCACCTCTTCCCTCAGTGACTTCACACTAGTAGCCTGAAGTTAGCCGTGGTGGGAGTATTGACAGCACGGAAATCAGCAAATGCTACTAATTCAGGATTTTTTTTTCCTCCTCGGAGAACATGTTGTTAAATGTTTACCACCATACCACATGTCACAGGTACTCTCTGGGGAGTTCCCAAATAAAAGATATGAGTGTTTTTACCGGGGATTATATTTAAAATTTTTCTCCAAAGAAGATTCTGGATGCCTGTGGTATTAACACCACACTTTCATAAGATATCTAAAAGCCAGTTCAAACGTTTCATACTTAAACATCCAGATTCCTATCTTCCCCCAGCTCTAAATATGTTCCTTCCGTAGTCTTTACCAGATCAGTAAATGGGAACTTCATTATTCCACTTATTCCAGTGAAAAATCTTGGCGTCATCTTTCACTCACACTCCACATGCTGTCCAGTAGCAAATCCTATTGACTTTGCCTTCAGAATACAGAACAGCCAAGACTTTCAGCTCCACCGTTGCCACCAGGTCCAAGCCACCGTCATCCCTCATCTGGATGATTGCAACGGTCTCCCGACTGGTCTCCCTGTTTCTACTCTTGTCCCTACAAGTCTGTCTGCCACAGAGCAGTGAGAATCATCTTGTAAGCATGTGTGTCCTATTACGTTGCTCAGAACCCTCCAATGCCTTCCCATCTCACTCAGAGGAAAAGCAAGGCTTTGCCAGGCCCTGGTGATCTTTCTATCTCCTTCTACTCTCCCCACTTGGTGTCTCTCTCTCTTACTCTCTCCCTTTCTCATTCCACCCCCTTGGATATACTAGTTAATTTGCTATATTTTTGCTTTTACCAATCCTAGAACGTAAGCTCCAAGTGAGCAGGGCTCTGCTTTGTTTGCTGCTATATCTTCAGTGCCTAGAAGAATGCTTGGCTTATAGTAGGCAATACTTATCGAATGAATAAATGTTTGTGAGGGTGTACACACAGTGAGTGTGCATGTGTGTGCATCAAGCCATATGAAATTGACAGTATGTGACCACTTTTGACAGTTTTTATTACTAGACAGTATGGAACCTCAACCATCATTTAGTTCAACTCTTCATTTTACAGATGAGCCCCTTGAGACCATGAAAAGGCAGATGACTTGCTTTAGGGACAGTTAGTGATGGGATCACGTTTTCTTTTTATTAGCAAAATGTTTTTGCAAGCAGAACACCCAGGTAATGTCAGTGATGTTTGGGATATTGGTCCTTCCCATTATGGTTTTTGTCTTCATCTCTGAGCAGAAATGCTTTCAAAGAGACTTTCCTCCCCTTTGGGTAGGATAATGCTTTCCGGATCACTCAGAGAAGGCTCAGAGCTGCTCCTGCATCACCATCAATAGGGTGTCCTTCTGCACCAGTTGAGTCAGGGCCAGGAAGCACCTTCTGCTTACTGCTTTGGGCCTTTGGCGAGGAAGCTTGCAGCTCAGTGCCTTCGGCTGTGAAATCTGGACTTAACTATAAGACTTGAGCTAGGAACACTTGGAGCATGCCTAGAGCCACGTGGCTTTTAAAATGCCAAAGTCCCAGCTCTGCAAGCATCCTCCTGCATATTGGTGCCAAGACCCCTTCCTGAGGAGTCATGTCTTGAGGAGAAAAGATCTCAGTGGCCCTCCTCATGAAAAAATATGAAGGGGGAATGCTGACTTCTTTGGTATATCTACTGTATAGTAAAATTTGAATGGTTTCATCTGATGTTTCCCAATAAATAATGTTTGATGTGAATTTATTGCTTAATAAAATTTACCAGAAGGGAGAAGAGTTGGTGGGAAGACATTTGGATTAATTTTCAAATGAATCAGGATTTAAGAGCAATTCAGGATGAAAACTCTCATGCTGACACTAAACAATAGCAACAAAGCTTGAAGTTCTTTTTCTGTGATATTGCTACTCTCAATTATCTAAAGGTTACATTTGGCTTCACCTGGAAAACCCTTTGCCCTTGGAATTCTTTAGCTACAGACTTGCATGCTTGGGTTTGAGTAGTTATGAATAATTTTCCTTAAAAATGGATGCAAAGCCTCCTAAACAGCAGGCTCAATTTGTTGAGATACATTTCACACATTTTCTTCCTGAACATTGAATCACTGGACTTCTCAAGGCTACACCTGACATCAGGATAAGTAACCTTTCAGGATGTCTGTACTAAAAACCAGGGCTTTGTCTGCAGAGATGTGGAAAAGTTTGCTAAATTCATTCTGTGCTTACAGTTGTGCTAAGAGCTAGATTTTCATAAGTCTTACTCAGTAGCCATGTCTATACTTGTGTGTGTGGCTACCTAATTTCCTATCAGTGGTGCAGCAAACCACCATGGCACATGTATACCTATGTAACAAAACTGCACATACTGCACATGTATCCCAGAACTTAAAATTACACACACACACACACACACACACACACACACACGTAAAGAATTTCCTATCAGAATTTGGCCCTCTGTAGAAGCTGGGAACATGTGTATGGGTTCACTTCCTTGGCTGGCTCCCATATCCTCTGTTATGGGCTTTATCATATCTTTCTTCCAGAAACTGGAAGACTTCCCAGCCTGAAATACTTCCAAAGCATGTGATCCACCTTCCTCACACTACAGTTTTGAGTTTGTGAGTGCAGCTCTGGTGACTATTGCCTGGATTCAAACCTCAGCTCAGTTAGCCATTAGACTTTGGAGCAAAATCCTCTCCTTGCTCCAGTTTCCTCATCTGTAAAATAAGAACAATAATAGCACTGCTGATCTTGCAGGGTTTTTGTAGGGATTAAGTAAGCTAATATAGGTAAAGGATTTACAACCCAACACATAGCAAGCACTCAACAAATATTATGATTATAATACTATCCCAATGTAGCTACATTTAAACAGATTCCCTCAATCATCAATGACTCTCCCAGTACTATCTGCTTCTCCAAGATAATTACATGTCTGTTCAAATCATCTGGACCATCCATATGGTCATGTTCTTCATTTTGTAAGTGCTGTGTAATGGCATTTTCCTTCAGTGACCTCTCTTTCTGTACTTCCAGAACTTTCTGGCTCATTCAGTAACAGCCTGGAAGTACTGTCATGGACTCTCTCATAACCTTCCTTCCTATTCTGAAGAACTAAGGGTTTTTATTTCTAACTAGACAATTAATGTATTTATAAACATACCCATGGCCATGTTAAACTAGCTGTAAAGCAGTTTAATTAGAGACTGCTCATTGACAAGCCCTACAAGTATTGGGCTGGTATTCTCTCAGGAAAGGTGAAGCCACTTATGCTTCGTGAACTATTCCTGTCACTTATGACAGGTGGTGGGAGCAGTACACCTTAGCAACCCTAGGACCAGGTGGAGGGCAACTGGACGACCACCTAGAGAATGTCAGATCCAGTCCAAGGGGCAAAGAAAGGCCAGAGGCTCAGGATGAAGTAAGCATTAGGATATCTGAATGGAAGCCACAGAAAGCCAGGAAGGAGAGTCCCAGAATTGTACCCTTGAAACAGGAGCCCAAGGTCACTGCCTACAGGGTAGGAGAGGCAAGGCAGATGTAGTGCAGATGGTCAGTGAACAGATGATGCAGTGAGTAATTTCTGAGACCTTGTTGGCTCAAGCCACTTTCCAAGGGCCAGGTGTGTACTTACCTGCCACCCAATATCAAATAATTCCAGAACCACCTTTAGGTCTTGGCCTACCTGTGTAAAGGATAAATGGATATAAGCTTGTGTTATAATTCAATTATAATTAAAGTCTCCACCCACATTTGAGTCCACTGCAGACAAGAACTCAGTAAATGCCCCCTCCCTGGCTTCCATGCAATGCTCTCCTTTGCTTCTCCTCCTACCGCTTTGGTATTACCTTTGCAGTCTTCTTCGCAGGCTTTTCTTCATTTCCGTTTTAAATGTTGATGTTCCTCAGAATTCTTATTATCCTTCTCTTCTCTTCTCATTCTTCCCCTCTCTGTATAATCTTGTCTATATTTTTTCCTGTTTCTTAAAAATTCTATTAAAAATAGTCCTGAAAGACTTAAAATGTGAAAACCAGTCTCCTACACCAATTACTCCTATCCTGTGTCCATTCTCACTCAGTGGAGACAATGATTTTTTAATTATTCTGGTTGTTTCTTTTGATAGTTTGTCTCTTTATTTATATAATATTTTCTACTGCAAGTTTTTTATTTATCAATTTCAGACAACTTCTGAAATTAACAAAATTCCTCTAACGTAGATGAGGATTTCGCTGTCTTGGATCTCCCAGCACTTCCCTCCCTGATACCCCAAGATGCTTATATTTTTTGTTAAACCAACTATCAGCATTTATAATATCACAACTATATTCATACTATTCACTTTAAATTCAAGTAGAGGACTATGATAATATTTACTTTCTAGTATCTTTTTTATGTCTCCTGGAGTCCATCAATAATCACTTCTAATTCTCGTGGGTTCTTCAAGGTAGTTATTGTTTCTTTTTTTTTGGAATGCTGCATAATATCTGTCACAAACCTATCAGTAGTTTTTTCTAAATGATTGCTCATATATAGTTATACTTCAATTCTTCCCCTTTCTTTTTCCTCAGTCCCTTTCACCATAGCCCTCCCTTCTCCTACTCTGGCCAGATCCCTTGTTCTCAGAATCCACTGGCAAGGGTATTCCTATGTTTGGTGAAGAATACTGTCTGAAAGCTCCTAAAGGAAAGGTGCATGGGAGTTAAAATTCTTTGAGTCCTTGCTCACCTGAAAATGAGCATCTTCTCTGAGCAGGCTAGGAGAAATGCTTTCAAAGAGACTTTCCTCCCCTTTGGGTAGGATGATTTGCTTTCATAATTGATTGGAAGTTTGGATGGGTCTGAAATTCTAGAATCAAAGCCATTTTTTGTTGGAATTTTCCAGGCATTCCTTCATGGTGTTTTTGGTTCCAGTGTGGCACTTAAGAAGTCTAATGCAGCTCTTTGTTTATTTCTTATTTTTCTTTTTCAAAAAAGGCATAGTCTTTTTTAAAATGTCAAAATGTAAAGCAATTAGTATTAAATTATAAGTTGATGGATTTTTAGAGATGTATTTGCCCATATAACCCCCTTCAGATCAGCAACCCAGAAGGTTACTTTGTGCCTGTTTCCTGTCAATACCACCCCACCCCCATCCTAGAGATAACCACTTATCTGACTTCTATCACTACAGATTACCTTTGCCTGTTCTTGAACTTCAAATATGGAGCCACACTCTTTTGTGCCTGGCTTCTTCTGCTCCATAATGGATCTATGAGATTCATTCATATCATTGTGTGTATTAGCTGTTCATTTGTTCTTATACCATGTACAATTCTAGAGTTTATCCGTTCTTCTGTTGATGGACATTTGGGTTGTTTCCTGGTTTTGGCTACTATGAATACAGCAGCTATGAACACCCTTGTACCTGTTTTTTTGGAAGACACACATACTAATTTCTCTCAAGTAAGCACTTGGGAGTATAATTGCTGAATACTAGAGTCAAAGACACTATCAGAGAGTTGGACAGTTTCTCAAAGTAGATGAGTCACTTTTCACAATGCATTAGAGTTCCAGTTGCTCCATTTCCTCCCAACATGTGGTATTGCCAGCCTGTTTAATTTTAGCCATTCTTGTGGGTGAGTAGTGATGTCTCGTTTAAGTTGTCATTTGCATTTTCCTAATGCATGATCATGTTAAACACTTTTTATCTGTTTGCTGGGAAGTTATCCTCTTTTGTGAAGTGCCTATTCCAGTCTTTTGCCCACTAAAAAAATTGACTTGTTTTTCTTATTAATTTGAAAGAACTCTTCATATATATTCTGGACGCAAGTCATTTTGATATATGTGTGGAGACTATCCTCTCATAGGCTATGATTTGCTTATTCACTTTGTTAGTGGTGAATTTAATTTTACCTAAATCCAGTTTATTCATTTTTATGATAGTGAGTGCATTTGGTGTTCTGTTTAAGAAATCTTCGCTTATGTCAAGGTCACAAAGATATTGTATATTTTCCTCTGGAATCCTTATTTTATTACTTTTATATTTAGGTCTATAATCTACCTTCTGATATCATTATTATTTTCATTCCTTTGTATATGAAGTGCATTGTCCCACCCTGAGAGATTGTGGTTGTGTGTTTAACCTAACATAGGTGTTTTGAAATTTCACTGTTACATGCTTAGATATAGGTCTGGATTTGGTCACTGGGTACATACTTGGAGGGTTTTCTCAATCCGGAAACCGGTTCTGCAATTCTGGAACATTTTGGGGGGGTATTATTTCTTGATAATTTCCTTCATCCTCTTACCCTGTTTTGTTTCTAGAATTCCTATTAGCCTGCAGTTGGATCTCCAGGATTGATTGTCCAAGTCTTTAACTTTTCCATTCTTGTTTTCTATCTGACTTTTGCTACACTTTCTAGAAGATTTCTTCAACATCACTGTACTGCTTTTCTATTGATCATTTTATTAGTTATCATTTTTAAGTTCTAAGAGCATTTTACTTTCTTGAGTATTTCTTTGGGGGGCCAAGTCAGCTTCTCTGCAAGCACTTTATATTAAGCCTTTTCATTTAAAAATCAGTTTTCCCTCAGCCACTTTCTTCTGAATGTGTTGTTCACTGCTATCTGCTTTTTGTGGTTGTGTGTTCACATCTTATTAAATACCCTAATAGTATGCTGGTGTGGTCTTGGGAGGGAGAGGAGACATATACTTGCCATCAACCTAGAATCTCTCCCATGGTTTCTGCTCCCTCGGTTTATTCCCAAGTTTATTTTTTTCATGTATAACCAGCTCTTAAATTCCAGATATATCAAAATTCCTGTGGGAAAAACACCACCTCCAACTCAGTACATCAATGACAAAATGCATCATTTCTACCTACCCCCTTCTTCCTTCTGAGTTCTCAGTCTCAGTGAGTGGCAGAAAAACAAGGACTCATTCTCAACTTCTCTTACTTCTTTACTCTCATATTGAATTCTCTCCAAGTTCTGTTGATTTTTTCAAATGCGTCTTTTATCTGTCCCTTCCTCTTCATTCTCACTGTGTGGTTTAGTTCTGTATTATTACTCATCTATACAATTGCAATAATTTCTTTCCTAATTTCTTTGCTTCTCCTCTCAACCAATCTCTTCTAACCCATTCTCCATACTTTGCCACAGTGCCTTTCCTGACACTAGGATTTGAACTCCATGAGGGCAGGAACTTTGTCTTTGTTCACTAATATATCTCCAACTCCTAAAACAGTGCTTTGCTCTTAGTAGGTATATTAGCCTGTTCTCACATGCTAATAAAGACATAACCCAAGACTGGGTGATATATAAAGGAAAGAGGTTTGATTGACTCACAATTCCACATGGCTAGGGAGGCCTCACCATCATGGTGGAAGGTGAATGAGGAGCAAAGTCATTTCTTACATGGAGGCAGGCAAGAGAGCTTGTGCAGGGGAACTCCCATTTATAAAGCCATTGAATCTTGTGAGATTTATTCACTACCACGAGTAAAGTATGGGGGGAAACTGCCCCCATGATTCAATTATCTCTACCTGGCCCCACCCTTGACACATGAGGATTATTACAATTCAAGATGAGATTTGGGTGGTGACACAGCCAAACCATATCAGTAGGCCCTCAATAAATATTTGTTGACTAAATAGATGACCAAATAAATCTGACCCTGTCGCTTTCTTACTTGGGAACTTTCAATGCTTTTACTCCCCCTCCCTCATCACTTGCATAATAAAAGCTGAACTCTTTATCATGACATGATCTAGCACTGGTCCAACCTCATTTTCTACCTCTTCCCTGCTCACCTGATCTATTTTCTTTTCTTATTAACACTGATTAGCACTCAATAACTTGTTCACAGACAGTGCTATAATTTCTCAGGAGTGCAAGCTTTTGCACATGTGAGAGCCCCTCTGCCTGGGACACCTTCCTGTTCCTTTGCCTGACAAGTTACTATTCATTTTTAAAATTTTATCACAAGAGTTACTTTCCTGAAAGAGGTTCTTCTGGACATTCGAGGCTACCTTAGGCTTTCCCTTCTTTATGATCTTATTACACATTTTGTACCTCCTTAAGTACTTTTATCATAAGTACTTTCATCAATCTCTGGTTTCACTCTACTTTTTGGTATGCAGGAAGATTATACTTTTTTGTCTCTTTGAAATTACGTATAGCCATGTGGCTCTATCTGGCCAGCAAAATATGAGTGGAGTTGTTGTGCTGAAGCATACTTTTAAGTGGGAGTGCAATTCTCCATCTCTTCTGCCATCTTCCAAGATAATCAGCTACATTCTATGTAATGGAGTCTCCGTTAGCCTGTGTCTCCAAATGTGGATGAAGTTGAGCAGAATCCCCGACCTGTGCATGATGGACATATAATATGAGCAAGAAACAAATCTTTATTGTTTTAAGCTGTTGAGATTGTTTATTACTGTGGTATAACCCAATCTATCCTGAAAAACATACTTCCACATAGTCATTACCCTATCTCTTAATAATAGCAGTTTACCATTTCTTTGAGGTCAAGGGCCATATTATTACATTTCTTTTTAGATTAGGCACTTAAAAGGTTTGTTAGTACAATGAAAGAAAAGTATTTTCGGACACCTGTGATGTGCCTGGCACCGTACTAAGGATTTTACTCATGTTATTTAATCCTCAACAACAAATAGACATGATTCCCACTTTACTGACAGAGAAAGAAGCTCAGAGGTGTTGAGGTGACTTTCTCAATGTCACACCGCTGGTGAGAAACAGAATCAGCCACCAACCAAGTAGTTCTGATTCTTCAGCTCACACTCATTCTATTACATGCTGCCCTGGGAGTAACAGATGAAGTATGCGCTGTCTGTGAGGAGGTTCCCATCCATGCAGACATTCCTGTCCTGAACCTTGTACTGGACAACTAAACAAGCATCAAACAAATCCAAGTGTCAAGTAAGTGATTAAAAAAAATTGGAAACATTTTTAGGATCTAATGGGAAATGGAGAATCCTTTGGATAACTTTTCAGTTCCTAAGGAAAAGCCAATCACATCCTGTGTGTTCAGTGAGAATCCCATCTGCGGCCCAGTACAGAAGCCAGTTTCAGAGCATTGCCTGTTCGGCCCTGTTTTGGTTGGTGTGGCTGACTTCTGGAGCCATTTCCTTGGTGGCATTTCTGAACATGTACTAATGATCAATGACAAGGCATGGTCACACAGTCCAGCCTCTAGCCCTGGTATGGCATACTCAGAACATATTTCCTCAAGAGTGTGTCAGCTAGGTTCTCAGGCAGCTATTAGATGATGGATTGAAGTAGACTGACAGGGGAATGAAGACATACTCCAAGCCTCATGGAACTGTAGCTTTGAGCACGGTGACCCATTGAAGGAAAAACCTCCATTAAGGGGCTGGTACTCAGGCCAGAGAGCACTTCCAAGAAGGAGGGAATAGCAGCCTGAGAGACAAAGGGGCTGAATGCCACTAACTGCCCCATGGAGGGTTTTCCCATGTGTGGAGGGAGTAAATTTTGAGAGAGAGTCTCAAGGGATTGCTTCCTGGTTGATGTGACCATCAGAGTTGGGCTTGGCCCTAGAAAATTCTCATTTCCTTTTAACTGTTATTCTTGCCCCTCCATTGACTTTTATTTGCATTATTTGTACATTCTTTCTACTCTGAACTTTAATAGTGTATAACATGCATTTGGTATTTTTCATGTACTATTATATTTAATATAATACATATACATATTTGGGGAATTTGAATGTCATTTGCACAAGCAGTTTATATGTTTTTTGAAGACAAAGTGGGGCTTATATACCTTGGGCAGGCATATAGCGTGGAGCTTCACACATTTCTAGCTCTGTTGTCTGACCCAGTTTGTGCCACTTCTTTGCTGAAACAGCTGTTGGTGACCAACAGCATCTTTGATCCTGAGGGTGTTAAGGAATCAGAATATGAATACAACAATCCTTTGCTTGTTTTTAGATCATTTAGATCCTGGTTTGAACAGCAAATTTTCTAAAGTTGTTTCCTGTGTTTTGGTAGAGTTCAGATAGCAAGGGTGTTTCAATTGTACGGGGATTTAATTTATAGAGGTGACTGAGTGACCACACGGAGGGGTCAATGCCATTGAAAGAAGAGTTTATTATTTTCAGTTTCCAGGAGGAGGGGACACAATCTGCCATACAGAGCCACCTGGGGAAGCACTAGGGTCAGTCAGGAGGCAGAAAGCATGAGCACAGCCTTTATCATGGTTTCTGCAGGAAAGGCAGGCGAGGCAGAGTATTTAGGTTTGGCTGGTTCTGAGCTATAATTTTGGTGGTCTCCAGTTATCTGGTACCTGGCCCTGGGGTGATTTAGGGCAGTGAAAGATTGGCTTGGAGTGTGAGAGTTGGATAAATTAGATGACTGGGAATATGGGCTTTGGATTTCTTGGTTTGCACAAGAAACATGTGCTCAAAGGCAAGTTGTTTGGTATCTGTAGGAATTAGCTAATCTTGGGAGGGGCAGTCTCTCCCCAGCCAGCAAGGTCCCCAAGATACCAAAGCATCACAAAATATAGATAATAAGAAACATGATTAATTCAAAAACTTATTTCTATAGAGACTGGACTAGAAAATTCTGAGAGGCTTTTCACCTATACCAAGCCCTGGTTTACTCTTCCCAGCAATACTATGAGGTGGGTGTTATCCCCATTTTACAGAGGAAGAAACTGAACCTCCTTGCCCAAGTCAGCCAGCTGGCAGCTGAGGGATTAGGGATTTAATCTCCAATTCCGCCACTGCACCTTGGGGTTTATTAAACCACACAGAGAAGATAGTTTGGCTCCATCTGCTGCTTGAGGCAGCATTGAAGTTAAGGCCCTTGGAATATGAATGGCAGTAATTAGGTCTCTGAGTTTAGGACCAGGCTGAGCAAAGGAAAGGAAGTTCATGTCTGGGCTAGTGCTCACAGGCCCTGCACTTCCTTTATTCAGCTGGGTGTCAGCAGGAAGGGTTGACTTTTTTTTCTTAAGCTAAGCTTCCAATTTGGACATACATCAAAATCCAAGGCGAGGCCTGAAACCTTGGGTGTCTGTGAATTTAACATGTTTGTAGCTGCTTGAGGCTGCTTGACAGGCCAATGTCAAGGTTATGGGGGTGGCCAGGCTGTACCCATTGACGTGTGCCTGTAGCTGGACACTCAAGCCAAACCCAGCAGAGAGTGGTCCCAGCAGTGGGGAGTCAGCTTTTGGCAAGGAGTGTGGTTGGCTTGAGAGGGGATGAGCACAGTTTGATTCTGTGTTTCTTTCCTTCCCCGCATGGACAGTTCCCTCATCTTCCTGTGCATGGGTGATACACCAGAGACTTAAAACTTTGCTACCTGTCTATTTTAGATTGCACTTTGAAAGCAGAATTGCTGAAAATATATCGTTGCTTCAATGACTGCCCAATGGCACCCTTCCATTCCAAGTAGGGTGCCTTTGAGTCATGTAACAAGGGCCAGGCAAAGGAGACTGCTCTTCAGGAGCAAGACCAGCCACACCGTCCAGAGGAAAGTAGATGTGAAGTGTGTGGGGACTCTGGAGCTAGACCGTGGACCTTCTAATCTTAGCACCGCCACTTCCTGACTGTGACCTCGGGCAAATGACTTAATAAGAACTAACACTTACAGGTTTGCAAACCCCTTTACATAGAACAACTTGTCTAGTCCTCAAAATCAACTCTAAGGAAGGTAGAGTATTGCCTCCATTTACTGAAAAAGAAACTGAGGCAGAGGAGATTACATAACATGCAAAAGCCGGACTCTAATAAATGGCAGAACCCGTATTCAGATTCCTTCCTGCAGTCTGGCTTCTGCTTCCATGGCTTAACCACAACCACTACACTTTCCTATTGCACTTGAGCTTGCAGCATGTTCATTTCCTCATCTGAGAAATGCATGTTATAATAACCCTTGCTGCATAGGATTGCTGAGGGATGTATTGGGATAATGTGTAGAACGGGTTTGACACACACTAAGTGCTCAATAAGTGTTAGCTTTTATTACTCATTATAAGCTGGTGTGTCCTCCATTTTTTTGTATTAGTTGTTTTTCCTCGTGCTCCTTCTCTGGGGCTATAGAAAGTGAGAGGAATCTGAGGGCTTATGCTGTTAGCTAAGTTTAGAAAAAAAACATCCTGGAGCATATAGTAGCTGTACTAATATCCAGTGTACCTTCTGACCTTGGTAAACCTCTGATGGGTTCTCTCCCTGTACAGTCTCACTAGCCACACTCCCCACTGAGCCTGAGGCCTTGCATCCGACAGGATAAATCAAGAGTTGTGAACATGCAGGAGCCCTGGTGGGACCTCGGGTGGCTGACCTGTGACAGCGCCTGGGCGCTGAGGAGGTGTCTTCTCTCAGGTGGGCTTATTGTTTGTGCCGTGTCTATTCCATTCCAGCCTGCCCCCACCTCCCAGTGCCACCGAAGCTTGGAGAGGCACGATGATGTTCCCCCAGGGAGGAGAAGGGCAGAAAACTTCCTCTGGGTGGATTCTGTGCAACCAAAGGAGGAAATGGGAATGGAGGCAATGAGCCTGGCTAATTTTCCAGGCTTGTTCCCATAATCTAAGTGAACACTCTGCATCTCTTAGCCCATCCCTAACCCCTGACATTTTTCTCCCCTCAGTTACCCTAAAAGGGTGAAACAGATTTATGTGACCACAAAAAAGAGTGTAATGACATGTAAGGAAAGATTCTTGTCTATAAAAGTGATTAAAAGGTAATGAGAGAGTGAAAAGTCTCCATCCATGGGGACTTTAGAACCTTTAAAAAAATAGTTTTCCTTAGCCGGGCATGGTGGCATGTGCCTGTAATCCCAGCTACTCAGGAGGCTGAGGCAGAAGAACTGCTTGAACGCGGAAGGCAGAGGTTGCAATGAGTTGAGATTGCACTACTGCACTCCAGCCTGGGCGACAGAGTGAGATTCTGTCTCAAAAAGTCTCAAAAAAAAAAAAAAGTTTTCCTAATTAGAAGGTATACATACAGTTCTATTTTGAAAACATAAGAAAATATCAGTCAATTCTCCTTCCACATTCCAGAAACAATCTTCTAATATTTTGAAGTACGTTTTAGACCCATTAAAAGTTGCACATATGAATATGTATTTTTCAAAAAATTGGGATTATTCTGTATTACAGAAATTGTTTTGTTTACATGTTATCGCATAAGAATTCTCTCTTGTTATTATATATTTTTAGAAACACAGGAGCATGGTAAGTAGAGGGCAGGTAGGGCCTGGTCTTGCATGGGTTTGCAGCATGGAGTCAGGGTAATGGATCAGGAAACCTGTGTGGAAATCATCCTTTTTCTCTTTAGTGGACTGAAGCAAATTTAGTCTATTGAAAAAATTGAATTTTAAATTAAAAGATTAATGTTATTACTTAGAGAAAATAAAATCTAGAAAAAAAATTAACACTGTTTGTGCAATGCGTGTTTCCATGATAAAATTCCAGCATCAATTTTGGAAGGTCATTTCTGAGTGTGGGCAGGGTGGGAAAGGCAAAGAAACAGAAAGGAACAGAGAAGGAAGGTTGTGAGTGTGCCTGATGGAGACCCACAAGGACCTGGGAGGTGGGAAAAGGGGGCTGGGGGTCTGATTCGAGACGGACTGACAGCTCACTGGGCTTGAGGCATGCCCCTCAGCTGTGCAGGTGAGCTGAGAGAACGTGTGGTGACAGTCAGTGCTGGTCACCAAATATTCCAGATCTACTTCCAGGCACACGGTCGGGTGGTGGCTGCCAGCTCCCCTGTGGTCTGTATGGTCGTGTGGCATGTTCTGGCCAGTACAATGTGAGTGGAAGTGCATCACCCTTAGGTGGACGCTTTAAGAGCTGGTACAGGGCTTCCCATGTTCCCTCTGCCACTGTGATTGGTAAGGTCCCAGAGGTGGCAGACATCTTTGGGTCCCAGAGCAAGGACGACACAGACCAGAGTCCACAACTGACCTGTAACAGACACCTTTCCTTTGAAGGAAGAACTCGTGGGTTCTTACAGGGAGCTGACTTGATATAGATGGGCACTCTGGTAATGGTATTTGGCCCTGTGGACCCAAATGTTAATTCAGGACAAAAGATGGAAGAGACTGAGACTCAAAAGAGGCTAGAGCCATTGTTCACAATAGAACCCACCAGAAAGAAGGTAACCCAAGGGTAGTAGTGGGTTCCCAGAAGCCACAGGGAACAGACTTGATGTGGGCCAAAGTGGTAATGATCACACGACTAACTGCAGACTCTGGGGTAGGACCCAAGGGAAGACTAGAGAAGTGTTGGAGAAGAAATTTCAGCCTTGGGTCTGAGAGGGTGAGCTAGGGTTCTACCTGGAATGACTAATTTTATGTCTCATCCTGGCTATGGTGCCGGTTCCAGTTGTTAGGTCAAACACCAGTCCAGATGTTGCTGTGAAGGTATTTTTGTAGATGTGCTTAATGTATACAATCACTTCACTTTAAATAAAGGAGATTACTCTTGATAATGTGGGTGGACCTCATCTAATCAGTTGAAGGCCGTAAGAGCAAACATCAGGGTTCCTAGGGCTAATTTTTAAAAAATAAATCTCTCTTTCTGTTTATATATTTTTAATTACAGAAATTCATATATAATATAGATCATATTTCTATAATTATAAATATATAACAAATTCATATCATATTTCAGTAATTAAAAAATATTTTCTGTAACTGCAACCTTCTCAGTGCCTGTTTTTAGCAATGCTTCTGTTCTTATTCAGTAAATCTCTTTAAAAAAACAAGAGATATGTATGCATATTTTGGACACAGTCACTTGGGAAGAAATCAGGAGTCTAGCTTTTTCTGAAGAGGGCCTTTGGGGAAGCAGAGCCCAGCTCCTGGAGCCTAGGGAAAGAAGGGGGGTGCGAGGTGTGTGTTCTGGCTACAGAATGATAAAGCCCTGCCCTAAAGAAAGAGCCACTTAGTTTTTCAAAAACCTCCTTTTGCCACACTTCTCATTCCCCTTAAATCATCAGATCCATTAACCAAAAGCCAAGTTGCTCTTCAGGGAATTGTTTTTCAGTTTTAAAAAGTCTTTTCCCATCCCGAAGCTGTTCCATATGTGTATCAAGGAGCTATCAACTTGAGTTCACATTCCCGTGATCACGTTCCTGGGGGGACAAACCACAGGACAGAAAACAAAATATTTATGGCAATTTTCCTTGGAAATCAAGTGGAACTTTTCAGGGGACTCAGTTCTGCAAACATGTAGCAGTTGAACATACGGTTGGGAAATGGGCCAATTTTGTACTTGCCTCCTCTCTGGGTGCCATCTTTCTCTCAGCTCTCCCCTCAGGCCCTCCCCTTCTCTCTTCCCTAAGGCCCCCCCACATGCCCTTTTGCGCCCTCAACTTGCTGTAATTAGCCCCTCTATACCCACCAATGTCTGGACAATCCTCTCCTCCCCCATTGCCTCCTTGAACCGTCAATCTTTCCTTGACCCTAGCCCCAAAGCCTTTGACTAGATTCATCACAATAATGAATAGATACACCACCACTAATGTGCTAGCTTCCTTCATCTAATTCAAGGAGTTACCTAGCCCCATTAAAAAGCCTTGCTCCTTACTTACTTCCTAATGGAGATCTAGGATGGGAGTGGTCGCCTCTCAAATTCCAGTCATCCACTGGTGTGCAGGAGCTACCTCCCATGGGCTCATGAGAACTGGTAGTTACATATTCAGAAATTTTGTGAGTTGGTTGTTAAACTGTTGGTCATTTGAAATTGCTCATTGTGAGAATGTTTGTCCCCTTGGAAATCAGTAAACACCACAAATCAGAGCTGTCTTTTTAATTCTGAGAGCGAGCTTACCAATATGTCACTGCACTACTCCTCATGGGCTACAAAGTGTCAAAGTGAAGTGTCACAAACAAATTTCACCAGCCACAGGGTGTGGGCTGTGAGTTGGAAATTGAAGTGGAAGAACTTTGTACCTCCTCTGTGGACAAGAAGAGCTTTTATCATTTTTCCCTTTTGTCTTCATTAAATTTTATGATTCTTTTTATGACCTTAATTTGTGATTATGACCTGCCATGTATTTCTTGTTTAAATAACCCTGTAATTGTTTTCCTCTGTATCTTGATTGGAATCTCCTTCGGGAAAGATGATGTGTTTTATAATAAGAGAAGTATTTTAGGAGCCATGTACCAAAATTAAAATTAACATATGCCAGGTTGAATCGTGGGACACCAAGGAAGACATGTTTTGGTTTCTTGAATGTTAACTGGGTCTGAAGGAAATAATTGAAAGGTCAAAATGAGCCTGGAACACTTGTTTATTGAGCCTCCAAAGAGAACCTTTCAGAGGTGGCTAGAGGCCAAGGCCAAATCTACTTTTTTTAGGCTTCTAGAATATAAAAAATGTGAGAAATGCCTTGTATATAGAAAGAGCCCTTTAAAAGGATGAGAGGTTGAGTTCTGGAGGAGCAGATGTTCCTTTTCTAGAATCTATCATGATTAGAACATAAAAACAATGACTTTTTGTAATATAACTATTGGCCTGTCTACCTCTTCCCAGACTGTAGACTCCCTGAGGACCAAGACTGTATTCCATGCCTGTAATTCCAATCCCCGGCATAGTGCCAGGCACTGACTGAATCAGTGCTTGCATAAATGATGGCTTATAAAAAGAAAGGTGTGAATGAATGAATAGAAAGGGTAAGAGAGGACGTCATGCGGTGCTGAAGTTGGTGAGGTCTCCCATCTTCAGTCAGTGGTTCCTAGGCTTTGAATTTCATAGGTGAGTGCATTTTCAAATAATTTTGAAGACAGATATAGGACTTCCAAACTTCTTATTTTGTCAAATAAGTCAACAGTTACTATCCCCTAGGACTAATGTTTTATTAAGAGAAAAGTTATTTTAATATAAAAATTAGTAATTTTCTAAGAACAGAGATAGCAACTTTCTATTGATATCTATTGATAAATATATTGATATCCATCTATATTTTATATATTTGGATATGTCTTTGGCACATATCCTTGCTGGGTATTGGAGAACTTGAATCTTGAGAATCTCATCCAAGTCCAAAATCATTTTTAATAATCCCTCCTTCTGATTAAAATAGCAAAGAAAAAAATTAGGTAACAATCATTGTCTACTCATTAAGTGGATATAGATTATTCATTGTTTGGCATATGAAGCAATAAATTTGAAAGCCATCAAGGAGATGTATGAGACTGGGCTACTCATTGAACATCTGCAAATCAAGACGGGTCTAGCCTTGGATTCTGAAGATACTGGGAGATGGGAGGGATGGTTCTGCTTCTTCTCTGCCCTTTGGGTTTATATGGATAAAGTCATCTTGGGTAATCTTAAATTTGAGGATTTCTGAGGGTTCTCAGGGTCAGCGTTGTGCACAAGTTGCACTTGGAGTTAGAGGTTAAAAACAGCTTAGTCCTGGCAAAATGCCTCGAGGGCAGTGGGAGATCAGGCTGGATGGCTGTCTAAGGTCTGCTTTAAGAGTGTGAAATGCTGGGTGAAGGAGAACGGGCTGAAGTTCTCCATATAATTAGAACCTTCGAATGCTGCTTGTTGCTTTTTTTTCTTTTTTAAAAAAGATAACATGATAAATGGAAGGCTTCCACTCTGTATAGACCGAGCTCTCTAATGGGATGGTGCCCGTTTCCTTCGAATCTGAGCATGTGCATCTGGATCACCAGACACAGCTGCCAAGAATGGGATGGATTAGCTTGAATTCTTTGGCCACTGAGTTCATGCATCCTGGAGTTTAGGGCCTGAGTATAACTTCTGTTAGAGAGAGAGGATTGCTTTGAGCCTCTTCCACTCAATTAGTTTTTAAGAATTCGGAAGAATTATTTTCCAGACAATGGGTGGGACAAGCCAGTATGTTTAGTAGCCATCCCGTAAAAAACAAACAAACAAAACAAAACAAAACAAAACAAAACAAAACAAAACAAACATGAAGCTTTTTGCAATGGGAACAAATGGAGTGAAATTATTTGTGTGATTTGAAGAAACTGCTTATTTCTGGGCTGGCTGATGCAAAAACAGTTTGCATCCTCCTTTGGTGATTTTATCCCCCAAGAATATTACTTACCTTTACTGGCAATACTTTAAAAATATTCTCATTTCAAACTCAGTATGAATAGCTTGAAATTGACATGTGGCTGTGTGATTCTCTTGGGAGTTCAGATCCCCTAGATGAAGTACGGGAGGGAAAAGATACAAAAGAATGACAGCTTTAATTTCAGTAGTGCACTCATCATGAGTGCACATCAGAATGGCACCTTGCAGAACTCTTCGTGATTTTGAATCTTAAGTTTCTCATTAGTATGATCAGTTTGATCAAGCCTACATATATTTTTAAAATTACTATTTTCTTCTATTATTCTTCAGAGCAGCAATTGACATGTTTTATTTGAAAATTAGAATGAGTTGAGGCAGGGAGCAAAGCCCAAAGTGGGGCTTCTTTTGCCCTAAAGTGTGATGAAGATTGAATGACTAATTCTTTAAGACAGTAACATTGAGATCTTGTCCAGAGGATGGATCTCTCAATCTGTCCTGTCAGGCAGTTCTGAGTGTAATGGGCTCAGTGGCCACAGGCAAGGGTGACTTTATATACAGAAAGACAGAATGTTGTGCCATGCAGGCAACCCTACCTGGTGCCTAGAATTCTTCATGCTCAGGAGATAGGGATTTCATAATGATGTTTGGTCTAGAACACTTGACATATAACTGATCAAGCAGAGTGCAAGAGAAACCCAAGCAGGAAGAGTGGAGGACAGAGGAGAAAGACCCTGGGGACAGCATGGCCGAGAGGTCTGGGCAACCCTCCCTTGAGTGTTAGACACACAGGAGGACTAGCAGGGTCAGAGGAGGGAGCTGTGGGCCACCAGGAGCTCTTGTGAAACTTACCTTCTGATTCTGCCCCTTGCAGCAAATGCCCCTGACCACAGCCCCTCTCCCACAATTTCTCTTTAATAGTGATTAAATGTGTTAGCCAGATTTATTATCAGATTCCTAAGAGTAAGGGTAGTATGTAGGTCATGGACCAGGTGGGTTCTGAAGTAGGAGCAAAGAAGGAAAGTCTG
Organism: Homo sapiens; assembly: GCF_000001405.40. Classification (NCBI taxonomy): domain Eukaryota; kingdom Metazoa; phylum Chordata; class Mammalia; order Primates; family Hominidae; genus Homo; species Homo sapiens. The sequence continues at coordinate 37,935,150 of NC_000005.10, forward strand.
AGTCGTTTTGCTAGAGGACTTCTAGAATAATCTGCTATTCTTGGTAATAAACTTTCAGACTTTTCCTATAAGATGCCAAGTTTGTGATCTAGTTTGAAGTCCTTTTGAATGGACCCATCTAATAATATTCCAGGCCCAGCAACATAGCTTTCACAAAACACAGAATTCTAAAATGTTACAGAAAGAAAATTCTTAGTCATGATCTGGCCCAGAGGTTTTTGAAGTGTTTTTTTTTTTTTTTTTCTTTTTAAAGCAGTGGAAGCTTTGCTTCAAAAGAAACCAGATGAAAAAGTCCAACATAAAGTCATTAAAAAATGGAGCAACTGTGGTTAACCCCAGTGGTTCTTCTGAAGTAGCTGAGAAAAGAGGATGAAATGATTTGCCTAGGGAGTGAATTCAGCAGCCCCCAGAATCATGGATGATGCTGCTCAATTCAACACCGTGTTCACGGCACCATGTGGTATTAAATAGTGAATTGACAAACAGTCCACAAGTCTGAGTTGGAGAACTGCTGGTGTGAAGGTTTAGAATGGTGTTGCTATCGTAAAGCTACAGAATATTTAGTCAATATGTGTTTTTGTATACAGAGTAGGGAAAGATGAAACCTAGGATGGGGAGTTTTCTTGTAGACCTGATTCTGGGGACATTGAGAGGACAAGAAATTCTTTCATTTAATGGCGATGTTTTCTTTTTGTTGGTTTGTACTCATAATGTTTTATACTTTATTGTGCATATTAAAGAGTGTGGACAACATCGGTGTACAGTTTAAGAATAAAAGTATGAACATCCATGTATCTACCCCCACCCCGCTGAAGAATGACAATATTTCCAATAATATTGAACATCCCTGTGTGTGCCCTGGTCCTATTAAATCCTCTTGCCTCCTCTAGCCACTAGTATGAATTTTGCATATATATATATTTGCTTTTCACAATAGTTTTAACACCATGTCTGCATCTCTAATCAATCTGTTGTTTAGTTTTGTCTGTATTTAACTTCACAGAAACGGAATCGCTTCTTATCTTGCTTCTTTTGGTCAACTTCATACTCTAGAACATTTCTATCATTGTAGAAAGTTCTGTTGGGCTGCATACCTCTAGATATTTGTCCGTGACGTTCAGTGGAGATTTATCCATGATGTTAATCATTAGCATGCGTTGCTGTATAATGTTTTACTGTTTGAATAACCACAATGCATTTATTCATTTTATAATTGCTGGATATTTGGTGTATTTCCAGTTTTTTACTCCAACAAAATACTTCTGTAATAGTGTACCTGTCTTCTGGTGCAAGAACTTCTCTAAGGTTTACACTTAGGAGTAGATATGCTGGGTAAAGAGTGGGGACATGTTCAAATTTTACCAGGTAATAACTAACTCCCTATTTATTTGACGTCATGTGCTTAGAATTGGATTAACACAATCCAATTACATTAAATACAACCCTTGGCTCTAGACACACTATCATCAGTGGAACATGAAAGGTTGGTCAGTCTATCTGTCTGTCTGTCTGTCTATCTATCTTAGTGAACATACCAAAAATAGATCTTTTCCAATTACTTAATAATTACTTGTGTCATCTTATCCTTTTGCCTCCTCGATGGAGGTAACCACTATCTGGAATCTCATCATTTTTTTCTTAAAAAAGAGTTGTTTTCACATAGATGTATGTGGTAATATGTATGTGGTAATTATGATGTTAACAAATTACTTTAAACCTTAGTTGCTTAAGACAACAATGATCACTTATTATCTTATAGTGTCTGTGGGTCAGGAATTCAGAGAAGGGACATTTGGGTTGCTTGTCTTTGCTCCACAATATCTGAGGTCTCATCTGAAGGCTTGACTGAAGCTGTAGGATCTGCTGCCAAAGTGGCTTACTCACATGGCCGGCAAGGTGGGGCTGGCAAGAGCTGGTAAGTTCCTTCCTCTCCATGTGGGCCTCTCTCCATGTGGGCTTCCCCACGGGGCTATTGAGTGTCTTCATTACATGACAGTTTTATTGAGGGGTTCAGCCATTATTTCTGTTAGCCTAGATTCCACTTTAGGGTATAACATGATGCAAGTTATAACTTTTCTTCATTTTCTTGTTGAAGATATATAAAGGTCTTGAATTTTTGGTAAAATCTAAACTATTCAGGTGTTGATGAGGGCTCATGTTATGACAGCAGTGGGTAGTTCATGCTTTTTTGCTAATAAGTGGAATGAGGGAGCCAGTTTCTCATGGTTGATGGAGGTTACAGGGAATACTGTGGGCTCACAAATCACTGCTGCTAACCAAGTGACACTGGCCACCAAGTTTGAACTCTGGATGAAATAAACATCAAGACATAGAGTAAGAAAGAATAACCCCCACCCCATGCATTCTATTAAAGAATCCCTTCTTGCACACCAGTTCAGTTGTTTCCATTAAAAAAACCAATATATCAATGAATAAGAATAAGATTATTTTATGTGTTTAACATGCAATGTCTGAAAATCCAGGGAATATTTTGTCTTGGATTTCCAGCTTCATTGTCTAAAAACACATAACATCACTTAGCCATCTGAATTAGGGATCCAGGTGCATTCCAATCCAACAAACAAATTTCCCTAAATTATTTTATAAATGTTTGAAGCCACAAGACCCTATAAATACAGGCAAGTTGATGTTTAAAAGAAATCTGTAGGCCCCAGGAGGGTAGCTACTATGTCTTTCCAGTTCTTTATCATGCTCTCTGGTATTTAGCTTAGTGCCTGGCACATAGTAGATGCACAAAACAATTGGATTACTAAATTATTGAGTACTAAAAGAGTGCCTTGGAGCTTTCTTTCTACTTATAGCTATGTGTATTAAGTGGAGCTATTGGGCTTTATATCTTACTTGTCAATACTACCAATGGTTATTTAACTCTGGGAAATTGTTTAGCATAGCTTGGTCTGTTCCTTGAAAAAAACAAAAATGCAGATTCAACTAGGTAATTTTGGTGGAAATGAGCATCTGGGGAGATGGAATTGGATTCCTAATTGGACACTCTAAGAACATTCATGCTTGAATTCTTCCGGGGTGAGAGAGTATCACCCTCCAGATCTTAAGAGTTCTTAAAAGGGAGGTGTAGTATTTCAGAAACAACCCTTTCAAGCCTTAATGCCTTTCATCAAAGGCTTTTAAAGTACTTTGCCTTTAACACGGCCCATGCCTACCTCCTGCCCAGCTTATACACATGCTTCCCTTTGAGGTCAGTGGAGGCTAATAGTGCTGAGAAAACAAGTGAGTGCATGTAGTGGTAGTAAAGGCTGCAACCTTGTCATATTTCAGTCTTGCATGTGAGTGTGCACCTGAGACTTCAGAGAAGTCAGCGGAGGCCAGAAGGAAATCAAGCATGAGCACCAAAGAAAACCAGCTGCCCAATGAAGGAACCTCAGGTCTAATAATTGGACCCTCTCAAAATGGAACAATTTACCACTGGAGGTAGTGAGGTCCTCATTCTTGGAGAGACTCAAGCTGAGACTGACTCACCACTTGGTGGCAATGCTGCAGTGGTGGGGGCGAGCAGGAACCAAAGGCAAGCTAGGGGAACCAGTTTATGGTCTATGAGAACTCTTACCCCTCCATGTCTGAGTTTATAAAGTCAACTCTGCCTCTCCTTTCTGGAATGGGCCATCAGAAATCTCTGATTTACTTGGACCCTCACCTACTCACATTTCTCCTGATACTCAAGTTTAGTGAGAAAGAGGCAAATGACTCCCATTGCCAAAAGTCTAGCTGGAATCAGATAGGAGTTCAAAAAGGACCTCCCAGAATAGGTTTTGGGACTAGGGCATACTCACCACTGATGTTCTCAGTGAGGACCCTAAGCCCAGAGAAGTCTGAATCACCAGTGACTTGGTTGGTTTCCTACTGTGTGCTTGTCAAGGCAGGACATGGGCCTGGTAGATTTTATCATGGTTAATCAAGTCATTAACTGTCAGTGTTGAGTTTTCTTGGCCATCTGTGTCTGAATGTGTTTGCTTCAGGGGAATAACTGTGATTGCTTAGTCTAGTGAATGGTTCTCAAACTTTTGCAGGCATAAGAATCACCTCGCGGGCTTGTTTCAAGACAGACTGCTGGGCTCCACCCTCAGATTTTCTGATTCAGTGGGTCTGGGGTGCAGCCAGAGAATTTACCTTTTTAGCAGATTTCCAGGTATGTTAGTTTTCAATTACTGCTGAAACAAATTACCACAAACTCTGTGGTTTAAAACAACACAAATTTATTATTTTACAGTTCCAGAGGAGGGCAGAAGTCCAAAATGGGTCTCACTGGGCTAAAATCAAGGTGTTGGCTGAACAGAATTCCTTTCTGGAGGCTCTAGGGGAGAATCCATTTCCTCGCATTTGCTGGCTTCTAGAGGCTGCCTGAATTCCTTGGCTCATGGCTCCTTTTCATCTTCAAAGCCAGCAAAGGCTGACGGAGTCTTTTTCAGATGCCATCTCTCTGGTTCAGATTGTCTGCCTCCCTCTTCCTCATTTAAGAATCCTTGTCTTTACACTGGGCTCACCTGGGTAATACAAAATAATATCTTTATTTTAAAGCAAAATGACTAATAGACTTAATTTCATCTGCAAACTTAATTCTTCCTTGTCATGTAACCATATATTCACAAATTCCAGGGATTAGGATGAGGATGTCTTTTGGCAAGAGTCATTACTGTGCCTGTCACACCAGGTGATACTGATGCTACAGGTCTAGGGACCACATGTTGAGGACCTCTGGCTTAGTGATATGAGGGACCATCTAGAGGGTGCATAGTTATTGGGAGAATTGTTTGTCAATAAAAGTGGGCAAGAATGTGCATGTCTTATGGAAAACTGTTATTTTGTATAGTTTAAGATTTTATCAAACTATTATGGAAAATACTACTTTGTAAAATGTTAATCCCAAGATCCTTGTGGATATCCAAACTGAAGGACCAAAGGCCGATTTCTCACGACTCTAGCATGCTGCCCTTCAGTTTTCCCCCACCAGTCTCATTCACTCCTTGCACCTGATTGGCTTTGCTCTTGTGATGGTCTCTACCTGCCATATTGTTCTCTTGCTCTTTACCTAATGAGACCCTGCCCCTTTGGCCTGAAGCCTCTCCTGGCCATGATGCCTTCTCTGATTGCTCTACTTGAAAATTATCTTATTTGCCAGTTTACTAGGTATTCTCACACATGAAATCATTTGGTTCCCATAACAGTGCCATGAGGTGGGCAGCCTGTCTGTTTCATAGAGAGAACAAGGCCACAGCAAGCTTGAATGAGCTGCTCAGGTTCACCCAGCACTCACAGGTCTGGGGACTCGGCCTGTAGTGCCATGACTCTGAATCCAAGCTTGTCCAGCTTGGATGAAAGGGGCATTTCAGGGGTACTCCCAGCTGGCGAGTTCCTGGTTAAATGACCAAGTTTTGGCCTCAGGTGAGCAGCATATCCTCTGGAGGACCTGACTTTCTCTTTAAGCTCTTTTCTTGTCCGTCTACATCCAAGGGCAATTCTCTCTTGTTATGGTGCTCTTTATTGGGTAGCTTAAAAAAAAAGAAGCCTCTTGTAAATGAAACTAGAGTTCCTTGCTTAGGAATTTAACTTGTCAAATATAAATGCCGTCATTTTAATTATTATGTGCAACTGAGATGAGCTGCTGTCATTCACAGCTTCATTCCTGGAGTTTTAAGGAAACAGACTCTTGGATAATGAGAACCACAGATTTAGGAAGAAGGTTTTTTTTAAAAACAGACACTAATAGCAGTGTGTTTTCTGTAATCTGTAAACCTTGTGTACCATGACACAGGTGGTCACTTCTTTTACTTTGAAGAAAATAATAATCATATGGCTGAATCTGGTCTGGGTAAAAGGTTATATGTTTAGATTAGCTCCATGAGATAGGAGAAGCAAGAGGAGGAGCAGAGACCTATGAAAAATTATAGCCTGAGGGTAGTAATTTTGTAAAACAAATGTATGACTAGATGGTGATTCAGCCCGTATTCTTTTTAAGCAAGTATTCAATTTACTGTTGGGTGAGTGGGAGGGAAAACAGTGAATGAACATGGGATTAAGATATAGACCCTTACACCTTCTAATCTTTCTTATCACTTATCATCCCTGGAAAACTCCCTGAGTTCTCTGCATTCATTTTCTTGAGGCTGTGGATGGATAGGCTGGGATTGATGTTTACCTGCCTGTTTGGAAAGCTTGTTGGGTCAGTTCCCCTGAGTGGTCATGAGACAGTACCCAGCCCAGCAGGTGTGTCCCTAAAGTGCATCTGTCATCAGAAAGGGAATTCCTCCTTGTTGCAAATGAAGTGTGATTGCTCGTCAGGTGAGTGAGCACCGTGGGCCCTGGGTTTCTGCCAAACTTGTGTGGGTTTGGGCTGTTGGAAATATTGCGGGATGTAAGGGAACATTCCACTGTTAACCCAGGGAGTGATAATTCACTATAGTGTGATTAATACAGTGATGAAAGATGCACTTCCTTCACATTCTTAGCTGATGCTTTGAACGTTCAGAAGAAATGTTAAATTCATTGATGAAAATATAAAAATGTAACAGTTCTGAATGTACTCCACCATGTCCTTAAGCACTGTCAGAACACAAAATTAACATGTTAAATCACCTCCTGAGTAACGGCCAACAAACATCCTCAAAATAGTCTTCTTAATATTTCACTGGTTACTAAATCAAGATATTTCTAGAACAAGAGACCCAGTTTAAAGATCAATAGGTGGTAGTAACATTACGAGATGGTGTCCTCACTCTGCCATGATGATATGATGATGATAAAGAAAGTAAAATAATTCACATTTATGGGGTATTATTTACATGTATAACCACATTTAATCCTCATGACAACCCAGTGAGGTAGGTGCTATAATAATCCTCATTATACTAATCAGGAAACTGGGGCTTAGAAAGCTTAACAAACTTGCCCAAGGTGACCCAGCTAGTGAGTTCCAAAATTGAGATTCAAACCACCAATCATTCAAGAAACAGTGCTTTATTTAGTTTTCTTTATTTTATTTTTATTTTATTATTATTTTTTGAGACAGGTTCTGGCTCTGTTGCCCAGGCTGGAGTACAGTGGCACAATCTTGGCTTACTGCAACCTTTGCCTTCCAGGTTCAAGCTATCTTCCCACCTCAGCCTCCTGAGTAGCTGGGACTACGGATGTGTGCCACCACGCCCACCTAATTTTTGTAGAGACAGGGTTTCACCATAATGCCCAGGCTGGTCTTGAACCCCTGGGCTCAAGGGATCCACCCACGTTGGCCTCCCAAAGTGTTGGGATTACAGGCATGAGCCACCATGCTCAGCCTTATTTAGTTTTCTTATACTGCCAGAAATCGTCACCTATTTTCTTCCTTCTTTCCCTCCCTCCCTCCGTCCCTCCCTTCCTCCCTTCCTTCCTTTCCTTTCTTTTCTTTCCCTCTCTGCCTTCCTCCCTACAGACTTTGATCTTTTCCATGTCTGTTCATTCTTTTTTCTATTATTTAATTCTCCAGGCATTGAGTAAGCACTTGCTATGTGCTAGGCACATAGGTGTTAAGAGGTAAGGATTTGAAGATGAGCAAGACTCAGATCCTATCTGCAAGAAATTTGCAAGTATCTTTGCTTCATCTCAACTTTCTCCACCTCTTCGTTCTCTTCCCCCCCTCCCCCTTATTTTCATCATCCTTGGCACACATAGGGGATGACTGGGGGCTACTCTACCAAGACTTCTTAAGAATTTTCCCTTCCAGATATGAACAGACACTTCTCAAAAGAAGACATTTATGCAGCCAAAAGACACGTGAAAAAATGCTCATCATCACTGGCCATCAGAGAAATGCAAATCAAAACCACAATGAGATACCATCTCACACCAGTTAGAATGGCGATCATTAAAAAGTCAGGAAACAACAGGTGCTGGAGAGGATGTGGAGAAATAGGAACACTTTTACACTGTTGGTGGGACTGTAAACTAGTTCAACCATTGTGGAAGTCAGTGTGGCAATTCCTCAAGGATCTAGAACTACCATTTGACCCAGCCATCCCATTACTGGGTATATACCCAAAAGATTATAAATCATGCTGCTATAAAGACACATGCACATGTATGTTTATTGCGGCACTATTCACAATAGCAAAGACTTGGAACCAAGCCAAATGTCCAACAATGATAGACTGGATTAAGAAAAGGTAGCACATATACACCATGGAATACTATGCAGTCATAAAAAATGATGAGTTCATGTCCTTTGTAGCGACATGGATGAAGCTGGAAACCATCATTCTCAGCAAACTATAGCAAGGACAAAAAACCAAACACCACATGTTCTCACTCATAGGTGGGAATTGAACAATGAGAACACATGGACACAGGAAGGGGAACATCACACACTGGGGCCTGTTGTGGTGTGGGGGGAAGGGGGAGGGATAGCATTAGAAGATATACCTAATGTTAAATGACGAGTTACTGGGTGCAGCACACCAACATGGCACATGTATACATATGTAACTAACCTGCACATTGTGCACATGTACCCTAAAACTTAAAGTATAATAAAGAAAAAAAGAATTTTCCCTTCCAGTGAACACTACCTGCTGAAGGTGGAAAAAGCTAGAAGGTAACTATGTCCTTGTCAGAGGAATTCTGATAGAAGAAAGGTAGACCTGAAAGGAAATAGTGCCAAAAAACAAAACAAACAAACAAAAAAAACACAAGCAAGATGTAGACAGACTGACAGCCAGAGGCTTCCAAATGAGAAAGTGCAAAGCTGGTGAAGGGGAAAATGGCATTCAGTCCTTGATCATTCCCAGGGTGATAGTGATCTGCTTGTAGGTGTCTAAAGGGTGTGTGCACACAGGAAAAGAGGCGATTGGGCCAAGTTCTTCAGATTAATCTACAAGAGAGATAAAGGAAAATAGGGAGGGGAGGAAAGAAAATGATTGATTGCAATTTCTAAGTAGATTTGTTTTTTTTTTTTTAGTAGACATTATATGCCATTTCAGACTTGGGGCCTGCTCATGAAAATCCAGGGGAGATGTCCTTGTTTGAACTACTTTTAGACATTCACTTTGCTTTTAATATCAGCTGAATAACATAGTTTATTTAAAAAGCACAATGCCCAAGGGACCTAGAGAAACTCCTCTGCAGTCATGTGGGCTTCAGTGGCAGAACACAACATGCTTCTCCCCATGTTTTATTCCATTTATTTCACGTGTCCAGAATTTAATGAGAATTGGATTCCATGAGAGATACTGCCAGATCAAGTGAAATCATGCATGGAAAAGCCCATCCTAAATGATGAAAACTTGTCTTGAAGTCACTTTCAGATCCTGATACCTGAAATCTTATCCTGTTTAGTTATTTTCTTAAAATTGTCTGCTATGAGCATGTATTTGTAAGTAGAAGCTTTACAAAGACTTCTAAAATGAGGGCTAAATGGGATTTCTGCATTTGTAGGTTTCTGCTCTTTGGGATTGGCTTGAACCACTGTGTTCCTGGAAGCTTCTTCCAGTGCAAGGCCTCATGAGAATCAAGAAGCTTCTCATCAGGTTCTGTTCTACTGTAGGGGCTGCAGTTCTCAGATGCTGCATTTGTCAGAGTTCTCCAGAGAATAGAATCCAGAAGACATCTATGTATATATACATCTATGGGGTATAATATTTATACATAATGGGATATGTATGTATCTCTCCATGTACACCTACACACACACAGAGAGAGAGACAGGAGAGAGGCTGGACACGGTGGCTTACGCCTATAATCCCATCACTTCGGGAGGCTGAGGCAGGCAGATCACCTGAGGTCAAGAGTTTGAGACCAGGCTGGCCAACATGGCAAAAACCTGCCTCTACTAAAAGTACAAAAATTAGCTGGGCATGGTGGCGGGTGCCTGTAATCCAAGCTACTCAGGAGGCTGAGGCAGGAGAATCACTTGAACCTGGGAGGTAGAGGTTGCAGTGAACCGAGATCATGCCACTGCACTCCAGCCTGGGCGACAAGAACGAGACTCCTCTGTCTCAAAAAAAAAAAAAAAAAAAAGAGAGAGAGAGAGAGAGAGACAGAAGAGATTTATTAAGGAATTGGCTCATGATATCGTGGTGGCTGGCAAGTTTGAAACCTGTAGGGCAGGCCAGCAGGCTGGAATCTCAGGCAGGGTTTCCATGTTGCAGTTTTGAGTCAGAATTTCTTCTTTGAGAAACTTGAGTCTTTGCTCTTAAGTCCTTCAACTTATTAGATGAGGTCCAATCATAATGGAGGGTAATCTATTTTACTTAAAGTCTATTGATTGTAAATGTTAGTTATGTCCACCAAATATCTTCACAGCAACATTTAGATTAGTGGTTGACCAAATAATTGGGCACCATAGCTCAGCCAAGTTAACACATGAATGAGCCATCACAGGTGTCAGGAGCCCAGGAGTTTCTGGGGATTTCATCCAGAGCACAGGGCTGACAGGGCCTGTTTTAGAACTAAAGTCAAACCCATGTTGTGCAGCTGTGGGAGCATACCCTGCCTGATGATGACTTCTTGCCTGAATAATTGCCCACTGTCATGGTGGATCAGCCTAGTTAATCCACGGGGCTTGGCCTAAAAGTGGGAGAGATGGAGCATGGGAGCTCATTTGGCATCTTTGTCTATATTTTTAAGAGGCCCCCCTTCTTCTGAGTGGATTAATCCCCAGCCAGGATGTATGACTTGGTGAGCCCTGGACATCATCCCCCTAAGATATCTTAGCCAGGTGTCCTTGTGCAGCGAACAGCCCTCCCAGCTGTATGTGTTGGCCTTGCCCAGAGAGAACCAAGCAACATTTCTTAGATGAGAAACTGAGCCTGGATATTGATGAACTTGCTGAACTGTGTGTCCTGGGTAATCTGTAATTGGGAATTCTAGATTCTAAAACTAGAGTCTGAGTGGCCTGACTACCCATGCTACATGTACCTTACTCCCTAGGTGAGGGAATCAGAGGGAGTATGCATGGGAAAAAACTGCCTATCCAAAGACTCCCTCTCCACACCTGTCAACTCACCAATTTCAGAATTAATTGCATTGTAAAATAAAAATGCCTTCTGAGAGTGTTACCTTATTCATATGTTTAGCAAGAATGACTTCATTCAGGTGATGATGATAATAATTATTTGTATCTAAAAAACATCGAGTGGTTTCAAATACTCATATTATTTGATCTCCAAGACCACAAGGATTTCATGGCTGTTTAGGGCTCACTTGAGGAAATTAACATTTCATGATTTAACGAAGCACTATTTTTGTAAGCATAATTTTTATTAAGTGAAACAAACATACAGAAAAGTGCATAAATCATAAATGTACAGTCCCATGAATCTTCACAAACTGAATATATCTATGTAACCGCCATCCAGATAAAGAAGTAGAATATTTCCAGTACCCCAGAAAACATCCTTCTCTAAAAATTTTGATGCTAGACTCCGCCCAAAGAGCCAGGGTCCAAAGAGATAACAATTCCAAAATAAAATCTCAAGGTGAAAATGAAAAATTATAGTCAAATCTGTGGATAAGGCCGGGGTCATTAACCTTTGTTAGGCAAGTTAGGAATAAATGAAAAAAGTACTAAATATTTCCTTGCCTTTATTGCTTTAAAACCTTCTCTAAACCTTAAATAATGTTTATATCCTTCGACCCAGTGATTTTGTTTCTTGAAGTCTGGTGGAGATTCAGAGATTTCTGTGGGAGATAGAAATTGGATTCAACCTAAGTACCCAGCAATGAGGGCTTGGTTAAATCTGTTTTTCATTGACTGATAGATAAATGGAATATTATACAATTGTTAAAAAATCAGAACCCATGCTTAAATGTTCATGACACAGTGAAAAGTGAAATGGAAAGATATAAGAATTGTACGCATATTAGACAATATGAATTTTATTTTTGTTAAAAATGTCTGGGCTGGGCATGGTGGCTCATGCTTGTAATCCCAGCACTTTGGGAGGCCGAGATGGGCAGATCACAATGTCAAGAGATGGAGACCATCATGGCCAACATGGTGAAACCCCATCTCTACTGAGAATACAGAAATTAGCTGGGAGTGATGGTGTGTGCCTATAGTCCCAACTGCTTAGGAGGCTGAGGCAGGAGAATTGCTTGAACCTGGGAGGTGGAGGTTGCAGTGAGACGAGATCATGCCACTAAACTCCAGCCTGGCGACAGAGCCAGACTCTGTCTCAAAAAAAAAAAAAGTCTGAAAATATTAGAAATACATGAAACAAATAATGGTGGTCTCTAAGTGTGAAATTAAAGGCAATTATAATTTTATTTTCATGCTATTTGTTTTACTTACTGTTTAATTTCTAAATGAGTTTATGTTACTTTAATAATAAAATATTCAGAACTTCTTTATAAAACTATTTTTACCTTTGATATATTTTCACTTATTAAATAACTCTGTTTTGTCAAAAATAAATAAAAGGCAAACAATCATCCTTATTTTCTTATCAGGAAGAGGCACAGCAGTAATTTATTTTCCCAAATTCCACGCCCTTGACTGATGTTTCAGTCTCACTTAAATTATTGCCTAGTTCTTTTGATTGCTACAGAAACCTTTGGAAATAAACCGAAACTGCAAATGACATGGAGATAAAGCAATGCCAGGCATTACTGTTATCTTTGCCATTCCAAAATGTCTTAGGCACCATGAAGAAAGCATTCACCTACCTGCACTATGGGTTTCAAAGGATGTGGGCTTCTGTTTTCTAATTTCTAATTGTTTCAAATTCTTCAAAAGTTGATCATCCATACATCATATGCTTGGTAATTTTCAATCAGAACATTCCATTTCTTAATTATTTTTGTTAAATAGGATAAAGAGTTAAATTTTTTCTTTTTCCTTTGCACTTGAAATCCATACCCAGTATATAGCCAGTGCCTGCTGAGGTTTATTTGTCCACTTGTTCAAGTGTGGGGTTTGGTGGTGGGAAGGTCATGGACTTGGAGCTGGGTTTTGCAACTTTGCAATCTTGAGAAAGACAGCCAACTTCTTCGTGCCTTTGTCTCTAGGAAATGAAAGCCCAGAGATGTGATGATTTTTAAGAGTTGAACTGAGCTGCAAGCTTGTGGATCATGTAAGTGCTAACAGAGGCAGACGGAGAAGGAAGATCTGTCATGAAGTGCTACGGTGGGAGGTGCGTCAGCTTGGGGTGGAGGGGTCCCAGGTGGCCCCAGGAGAAGAGGCCTCTGAACAAAGAAGACAATGCTTGGGTTACGGTGGAAGGGACACGGAAGGTGAGTGTTTTCTTCTTATAATTCTAGAATGATAGGGCTCCAAGAGTCCTCAGCGATCTTCTAACTGAACAAACTCATTTGAAATATGGGAAAATGGAGTATACAACAAATTAGAGACTTGGCGAGGAAAAAGGATCCAGTTAGCAACAGAGGTGGGATTTGAACAGGTTTTCCATTTCCAGCCTCACCATTCTTTCTCCTGTCTCTATTCCAAATTGAATGACTCTCCGAGGGTGCCAGTGGGAAGTAAGCTTCTTTTCCCCAAACCGGACACTTTGTCAGATGGCACAGCCTTTCCTTAAGAGCTGCAGCTCACGTGGTGCCAGTTTCAGATGCCAGTGTTAGCTGCTTATTCCTTGGGGTCTCCTAGGCCAGTCCCATGGCTTTATTACTTAGCCAGGCCAAGAGTTGGAGAGACTAGTTTCTGAGAAATATAAGATTTGAGGGATATTTTGTGGTTTGGATTTCCCTCGAAGCAGAATCTGAAATGAGGAATTGAGGGCAAGTCATTTATTTGGTAGGTGATCCCAGGAAACACCACCTGGGAAGTGAGGCAGGGAAGAGGAGGGAGGAAGCCAATAAATGATGTGTTATCAAACCAGTCACCACCATGGGCAACTGGACCTTGGTTCTGCTAGGGTACTCGGGGAGACCATATAGAACAGATACCTTAGAGCAGGGTTTCACAAACTCGGCACTGTTGATATCTGGGGCTGGATAATTCTTGGTTTAGGGGATTGTCCTTTGTGCTGTTAGATGGTTAGTAGCATCCTGAACTGTACCCGTTAGATGCAAGTTGCATCTCCTCCCCACCCCTCCTCCCACCTGTTGTGACAATCTAAAAATTCTCTAAACATTGTCAAATGTCCCCTGGGGGAATCATTTGTGAAGAATTGAGAAACCACTGCCTTAGAGTTATCCCGTTTAAGGGACAAGGAAGCTGGGGTATATTTATCCTCCGACTCTCTGTCTGTCACTGGTAGCAGGCTGTTTTTTGGGGGCATTGACTTTCTAGAATTCATTGGCCAGGCATGTTATCTTCATCAGAAAAAAGGATTCAGGCCAAGATTTTCAGGAAAACAGCTCTTGGCATTTAGAGGAGAGTTCTGAATGTACATGAGTGAGGCAGAGAAAACACCTAAGATTGTAGTCATTTGGGCATATGCTTTATCATTCATCATTAGCCATCATTTCTTCACCATTCTACAAATGTTTATCAAGGACCTACTGTGTGCTAGATGCCAGGCACAACATAGGAGATTCAATGTCCAATGATGAGCAAAAAATGGATACAGCTCCTGCCTTTATGCCTTTTGAAGTAACAGTCTAGAGGAGCAATGAACACTAATCAAGTAACACAAATGAATTTTTAAATCATACAGTGATAGTGCTATGATAAGCTACAAAGTACTGAAATAAGTCATAATACATTGGCTATTCTTCCAACACCCTGTCTTCAGGGCATTGGCAATTGTCATTCCCTCTATCAGGAACATTTTTCTTCCAGGTAGCAGAGCTTTGTTTTTCTCTGCATTTAGGGTGCAGTTAAGTGGTCCTCTCTTCAGAGGAGCTTCAGAGACCACTTAACTTTGACCACTTTATCTAAAACAGTGCTTGGCCCTTTCACCCTTTACTCTGTTCATTTCTTGTTCATAGCACCTGTCATACCTGACAGAGGTATTTTTATTGTTTATTTTTTGTCCCTCCCTGGCATGTCAATTGTCTCATTGCCTTTACATTCCTAGCAACTAGGTCAATGCCTGGAACTTAGTAGGTATTCAATAAATACTTGTTGTATGAATAATCGAGAGGGATTGACTTGGTGAGGTCAGGGAAGACTTTCTTAAGGCAATAGCAATAAGCCAAGATCTAAAGAGATAAGGAATTACCTGGATGAAGGGGATAGGGAAAAGCATTCTACACAGGAGGAATAGCATGCGGAACGGCTCTGTGGGTAGGAAGAAGCATGGAGATCCTAAAGAACTAAAAGCAGGACTGTGTACATGGAACAGAGAGAGGCTGGAGCTGTTAGTTAGGATTTTAAGCTTCAGAGTAAAAACAACAGAAAGCCATTGATGCATTTTAAGCAATGGAAAGTTGTACATGGGAAGGTGGAAGAAGGGTGGAAAACACAACCAGATTTTTATTTAAAAAAGATCATCTGGTTTCAGGGTCTGGAATGCTGGAAGGAGCCAAGAGCAGATGCCATCTTGGTGATGTGTTTCATCTTCAGGACCTGAGACCCATCTGGTCAAATATTTGTGTGTATATGCAAAATTTTAGGTCATTTGTTAAAAGGAGCTCATGAATACATGTCCTTGACTTCCCAGAGATGGAAAAAACACTTCTCTCCGCCAAAGAACTTCCAAATAGTGCTTCTAGCCTATGCTCCTCATCAGTGTCCATGTCTCTCAGATGTCTCTAGTTTTGGTTGAGGAATGAGGAAATGTGGTTGCCTCCTTTTATTGGCTGATTCGTCTGCTGAGCTCCTAACTTCTTAGCTAATCTAGGTGAAACCAACCCTTGTCCTGGACCCTGGGCTTTTGTGGAGGACTGTCTTACTGTTCACAAATACTCCGCCTTTTCCATGAGAAGCTAATTTATCCCTGCCTGTTGAAATTGGGCATGGACAATGACTTGCTTGGTTGTCTAATAAAATGTGAGCAGAAAGGATATGCGTCACTTCTGAGCCAAAAGTTTTCAGAGCCAGTGCATGGTTGGCCATGTTTTCTCTTGCCTTTGTAGGCACACAATAAATGTTTGTTGAAAAAAGATGAATAAAAGGAAAGAGCCCCAATTAGGAGCTGGGTTAGCTGAGGCCTATTCCCAGAGTTTCCACTAACTAGCTGTGGCATAATCATTTGGCTACTCTACTGGCCATAAATGGTTCTTTGTTATTTTGAAATGGAGTCTCGCTCTGTCACCCAGGCTGGAATGCAGTGGCAAAGCCTCTGCTCACTGCAACCTCCACCTCCTGGGTTCAAGCGATTCTCCTGCCTCAGCCTCCCAAGTAGCTGGGATTATAGGTGCACACCGACACACCTGGCTAATTTTTATATTTTTAGTAGAGACGGTGTTTCACCATATTGGCCAGGCTGGTCTTGAACTCCTGATCTCAAGTGATCTGTCAGCCTTGGGCTCCCAAAGTGCATAAATGGTTCTTAAGATTTCTTTTTTTTTTTTTTTTTGAGATGGGGGAGGGTCTTGCTATGTTGCCCAGGCTAGTCTTGCACTGTTGGGTTCAGGCCATACTCCTGCCTCAGCCTTGGAGTAGTTGGGATTATAGACGTGAGCCACCATGCCCAGCTCAGGATTCTTTCATTTCTAAAACCCTGTGCAGATATTGCAGAAGTAAAGTGATGATTTTTGGATGCTTATTGGAAGTCTTGTTCATGCTGGTGAATGGGGAAAAGACTTTGGGTGGGGGTAGGGAGCACTGATTGGCAAGTTATTTTGTGTTTTTAAAACAAAAATCGCTCTTCAGGGTGGTGCACTATTCCCAGATTTTCTCTGGAAGCTGTGTTCCAACACCTTTCTCAGACTTCCCCACACTCCCCCTCAGGACATCAGAAGGAGGGCCCCCGAATTCATTCTTGCAGCAAAGAGCCTCAAGACTCTGCTCAGACCAGGAAATGAGGGACCTGTTCCTACAAATTGCTGTCAAAATGTATTCTTAATATTTGTTCTCTGGAGTCACTGTTTTGGTGACCTCAGTCCCTGGAGGCTCCTCCTGGGGGCGATAGGATGCCTTCAGAGGGGAGCTGACAGCCCTGTGTTGTGTCTGGGCTCGCGGGAGGCCATCGCTGTGTCCATTGGAGCCAGATGTTTTCCCAGCCCTTAACCTGCTGTGGTTTCTTAGCTCAACGTCTCCAGTGCGACTCTCCCATAACACCCAGCGCCATCTTGTAGACGCGCTCATGCTTCCGGACCGCGGGCGCCCCACCGGGAAGAGCGCTCCACGCTGAAGAGGAAGGAAACTTCACACTTAATTCATCAAATTCAAACTGAGCTGTGGTGAAAGGAACGGGGCAGAGTGAAAGGAACACCCATATGCCCCAGAAGACCCCGGGGCATCGCTGCCTTTCAGCTTCTTTTGCGCTTTCTGCAGCTCGTGTCACATTCCAAGGACACTCAGCTCCGCACATGCACAGAGGGCCGCGTCTGTCCCGGGGGCGTGTTACCTAAAACCAGGCGCTGACCTCCAGGTCAGGAACTCTTGAGTATTTAATCTCTCCGCCGTTCATGGCTACCCGGGTGGCCTCTGAAATATTACTTAATGTCTCTGGGTTCTGATTTCCTCAATTGTGTGGTACCCAGTGACCTTACGATGACATTTCACTACCTACGAAAAATGGCGCCATCTGAATGTTTAGTCTTTACCTAGAAGTATAAGAAGGGGTTTCTTGCCTGGGAATGATCCTGTGAAGCTGAGGTCACAGTTTATCTTCTCAATTAGGGCAGGGATTAGTACAACAGAAGGTCATTCGTCAAGAAAAAGGAAAGCTTCTCCCTTTCCAAAAATGCAAGTAGTGAAACTTACATTTCTCACTTTTCCCTGATTGCTCAGAACTAAATATAAAATTTAATTGGCAAGTATTTTAGCACTTATTTTTAACATATTTTCTTTTGGTCATAATTTTTAATTTTATTAACCTTACTGATTTGACAGGGTCAAATCTAAATAAATAATAATATTTTATTTATTATACAATACATAAATTTCTGCATAGCTTGAAGGGACCTTGTGGATTGTTAAATCCAACTATGTAGTTTACAGATTAAGCAGTTAAAGTCTGCAGAGAAGGGACAGGACTAAATGTCATCAGCTTGTTAGTTCCAAAGCTGGGTGGGAAAAGCAGTTCTTCCTTCTGATTCTTAGACCAATAATTCATTCCTCCATTCCATAATGACGATTCTTAGAACGTGACCTTACCTGTAACAGTAGGGACAAAGCAAGACAATTGTCTTTGAGTTTCAGGAACAGACTTTTTAGAATTAAATAGTTTCAGGTACATGCTATAGGGAATTCAGTTGATTTGTCCTGGTTAGAAAGCACTTTGTTCACACCTATACATATGACTCTAGGTTATGGGTTCTTCTGGAGTCTTCTGAACCTGCTGGGCATTTCTGACTGGATGAAAATTAACAAAAGTCTATGTTCATCCTGATGAAAATTAGCAGCAGTTCATCTTAGTTTAATTGCCACAACGTGCAGCTATGAGAGTATGTATATTTTCATTCACGTATTTGAAATATTTATGGATTGTCTGTTATATGACTAGTACTAGGGGTTCTATAAATTTACCCATATAATGTGTATGTGTTAAATATATATTATTAATATGGGTAAATGTAATATGTTTATATAGGTAAATGTAATCTATTTGGTATGTAGATACACAAATTTAGAGTATATAACAGATATGTTTCTGTATAGACATATATTTTGGAGACATTCTGTTGTCTGGCTTCTTTATATTCCCATATGTGCTCAATTTCTGTATTCCCTTTCCTGATTCATCGTTTTCTTCTAGTATTGAAGTAGAATAAAGGCAACCATGTATTGTGGAGCAGGGGGTACACAACACAATTTTCAAGGACTCATTTCTACCTCTACAGCCATGCACAGCAGCCTTGCAGTTCAAATCACGAAGCTACCACCCATCTGATGACATTTTGCTGTCCTAATCGGAAAGGGTAGCTTTAGACAAAATGAACCATCTTTTGAGGGCTGAACTTGCAAATATGTTCGTGTGTGTGTGTGTGTGTGTGTGTGTATGTATATATATGTGTATATATATATATATATATAAAACAATTGGATCAAAAACATGAATCAAACTAATTGGTAATTTTTTTTCCAGAATTAGGCAAAGTGACAAGACTGAATCCTCAGGAAATATACTTAATTCTCCTTATTGGTGTTGCCTCTGAGTACATGCTGTGATGTGATGGTGTAAGAATAGCAATGTTATGTTGAAATTCTTTCAGTTCTCACTGATATGAAAAGAGTTCTAAATGTATTCCAAGTTTTGGACTGTAGTAGATTGAAATATACCAAGACCACAGAGTAATTAACTTCTCTATAGTTTGGAAAATTGATTGGAGAAGACACTAAGAATTTTGCAGATAATCTCTTTTAAAGTAATATTGTAAATATTTAAGTATGGTTAGCATACTTAAGTATGGTTAACCATACTTAAGTGTGGTTAACATAACAGTAATACCATATATTTATATGTCATCCTATCTCCAAGGAGCTCTTAGTAATTTACAAATTGTTTTTAAATATGGTTATAGCTCTCAGATTCTCTAGAAAGCAAGCAGGAACAAGTTCTATGAATACTGCTTAAATCAAGGAGTTTGAGATTCTTTGAGTGGCAAATCCAGACTCATCCAGTATGTCAGCATCTGAGTTAGATGCTCTTGGCACCCATGTCCTTCCTGTTTTGTGGTTTTCAGTGGGAGCCTAGACTCCTATTTGATCAATCTCTTCTTTCTAGCTTGCTTCCTAAACACTACCACACCACACTCCACTATATGAAGTTCCAAGCAATGTGGAATCTGTGCTGTTTTAGTGAGAGATTGAGACCTCTTTCTGTGCTCCCAGGAAATTTTGCCAAAATTGCAAACACACGGTTCTGGTGAATCTTTTTAAAATATTTGATGGTTAGCAAAGAATAATGTTTCACTGGATTTTTGAATTTTACCAATGAAGGGAGGTGATGGGGTGTAGTGGATTAGACACTTGCCTGTGATTCAGGGACCTGGGTTCTAGTCTTCAGCCCTGAGGCACTTATGTAAGTTTGGCCTGGGAACTGAGCTGGGAACATGAGGACCTTCCTCGGGAGATGGGGCCTCAGGAAATGACCTTGGCTTATAAGGGAAGGTGTAACTGAGGCCTTTATTGCCAGATCCTTTCCATAAAAACACAGTCTCTCCCTCTTCTCCTGTTACTATCACAGACTTTTGGAAATTTGAAATACAAGGACAGACCTAGTAATAATTGCTGCCATTCTTGAGGTCTTTACTTGTGTGCAGTCATTACTCCCTTTCATCTTACAATCTAGGTTTTAGCTCTGTGACCTTGGGCAAGTTACGTAACCACTCTGGTTCTCAGTTTCATCAAATATCAAAAAGGAGGGATTTGACTAGGTATAGTGGTTTTCAAATTGGGCCCTGTGAATCTCTAAGGATCAGGGGAGAACCCTTAGGAACTACTGAGTGCATCAAAGAAACAGCTACATAGGCAGGTCTCCTCAAGCTAGCAGTCCCTTCCCTTACTCTCAATCACAGAAGCTTTGCTTTTTATCTGTGTTAAATAGTGGAGTTATTTGGAAAAAAAGCTTCTCACATTAAAGAAGTTTAGCTTTACTCGGTCAAGATGGTATAAAAAGAGACTAGATTTACCCTTCTACCTAAAACAAACACATAATATATAAAATACAGTCGTGAGCCACATAATGACATTTCAGTCAATGATGGACCACATATACGACGGTGGTCTCATAGAATGTAATGGAGCTGAAAAATTCTGATGGCTTGGTGACATCATTCATAATGTCATAGTGCAATGCATTACTCACAGGTTTGTGTTGATGCTAGTGTAAACAAACTTACTGCACTACCAGTTGCATAAAAGTCTAGCATATAAAATTATGTAGAATACATAATACTTGATAATAAACTGTTACTGGTTTATTGTAGTATACTCATTATCATTGTTTTAGAGTGTACTCCTTCTACTTTTAAAAAAAAAGTTAACTGTAAAACAGCTGGTCCTTCAGAAGGTGTTCCAGAAGAAGGCATTGTTATCATAGGACATGACAGTTCCATGCAGGGTAATTGTCTTTGAAGACTTTCCAGTGGGACAAGATGTGGAGATTAAAGACTGTTGTATTGATAATCCTGACCCCGTGTAGGCCTAGGCTAATGTGTGTTTGTGTCTTAGTTTTTAACAAAAAATTTAAAAAGTAAAAGCAATACAAAAATTTTAAAATAAGTAAAGCTTATAAAATAAGAATATAAAGAAAGAAAATATTTTGGTATAGCTATACAATGTTTGTGGTCTTTTTTATTGTTTTGAGATGCAATTTCACTCTTATCACCCAGGCTGGAGTGCAGTGGCACGATCTTGGCTCACTGCAACCTCTGCCTCCCAGGTTCAAGTGATTCTCCTGCCTCAGCCTCCCGAGTAGCTGGGATTACAGGCATGCGCCACCACGCTCAGCTAATTTTGTATTTTTAGTGGAGACGGGATTTCTCCATGTTGGTCAGGCTGGTCTCAAACTCCCGAACTCAGGTGATCTGCCCACCTTGACCTCCCAGAATGCTGGGATTACAGGCATGAGCCACCGTGCCTGGCACAATGTTTGTGTTTTAAGCTACATGTTAATACAAAAGAAGTTAAAAAAATTTAAAAGTTTATAAAATAAAGTTACAATAAGCCAAGGTTAATTTATGATTAAAAATGAAAACTATTTAAAAAATTAACTTAGTGTAGCCTCAGTGCACAGTGTTTCTAAAGTCAATGGTAGTGTACAGTAGTGTCTGAGGCCTTCATGTTTACTCACCACTCACTGACTAAACCAGAGCAATTTCTCGTCATGCAATTTCCATTCATGGTAAGTGTCCTAACAGGTTTGCCATTTTTTATCTTTTATAAAGTATTTTTATAGTACCTTTTCTATGTTAGATATGTTTAGATACATAAATACTTACCATTGTGTTACAATTGCCTACAGTATTCAGTACAGCGACATACTGTACAGGTTTGTAGCCTAGGAGCAATAGGTTATACCACATAGAGTAGGGATGTAGTAGGCTATATTGTCTAGGTTTGTGTAAGTACACTATGATGTTTGCACAATGATGAAATCACCTGATGATGCACTTCTCAGAAGGTATTCCCATTATCATTAAGCACTCATGACTGTAACAGTTTTCAAGACAGTGGACATTAGCCCATGCATATGAGGAAACTAACAGAGGCTAGGGAAAGAACCACCCAAAAGAGTTAGAAAGAATGACATCTGGTACTCACACTGGGCCTGGAATAGTGCCTGTTCCCACCAGTCAGACTGGAAAACCTCACAATTCGTGAAGCAATGGGTGAAATACTTAGAAAAGTCTTGTCTCAGTGGAGGGAAATAGCCCTAGGCTAAACACTGCTCTAGTCCTGCCTAACAAGACTTGAAAGCAAGAACAAAAAGGACCAAACTGTATCTTTGTAATTTAATTGTATCTCAGAATAAAGCTTAAAATATTTATAGGAATATGAAAATGTCCAGTAACAAACATGGTGCAGTTTATAATGACTACAATCCAATAAAAAATTACCAGGCATGCAAAAAAACAGGAAAATACAACCCACAATGAGGAAAAAAAATTAAAGTCAACCTATAATTTATACAGATGTTAGAATTAGTAAGCAAGGACATTCATTATAACTATATTCCACATGTTCAAAAAATAAAGTAGAGACATGGAAGATATTAAAAAGAGAAAAAAGTTCACATCAAGCTTCTGGAGGTGAAAGCTATAATGTCAAAGGTGAAAAATATGTTACATGAGATTAATGGTAAATTAGACATTGCAGAAGAAAAGATTAGTGAATTTGAAGACATAGCAATAGAAACTACCAAAAATGAAACACACAGAGAAAAAAGAATTTTAAAAAATATGCAGAGGATCAGTGAGCTATGGGACAACTTGGAGGCCTCATATATATGTAATTGGAGTATTATTAGAGGAGAAAAGAGAGAAGAACAAAAAATATTTGAAGAAATAATGGCTGAAAAATTTCCATATTTGATACAAACTATAAACCCACATGTATTAGTTTCCTTTTGTTGCTATACCAAAAAATGTAGTGGCTTAAAACAACACAAATTTATTATTGTATAGTTCTGGAGTTCAGAAGTCTGATACGGTTCTTACAAGCTAAAGTCAATATGTAAGTTCAGCATAGCTACATTCCTTTTACAGGCTCTAGAGGAGAATCTGTCCTTTGCCTGTCCTAGCCTTTCAAGGCTGCGTGCAGTCCTTGGCTTGTGTCTGCATTGCTCTAATTTCTTTTCCCACTGTCACATGTCCTTTTCAGACTCTGACCTTTTGCCACCCTCTTACAAGGACCCTTGTGATTACACTGGGTTCACTATATAAGGCTGGATACTCTTCTCATCTCAAGATCCTTAACCTAATCACACCCACAAAACTCCCTTTTGTGATGTATAGTAATGTGTTCTTAGATATTATGGGTTGAAATGTGTCTCACAAAAAGATATGTTGAAGCCCTAACCTGTGGCCCTTGTGAATGTAACCTTATTTGGAAATAGGTTCTTTGCAGATATAACTAACATAAATTAAGATGAGGCCAACCTGGAGTAAAGTGAGTCCTTAATCCAAAATGACTGGTGTCCTTATGAGAGAGAAGGGAAACATAAAGAGAGGAGAATACCATGTGAAATCACAGACACAGATGGGAAAATGGCAGTGTGGCAGAAGTTGGAGTTACGCTGCCAAAAGTCAAGGAATACCAAGGGCCACCAGAAGCTGGATGAGGCAAAGAAGGATCATACCCTAGAGGTTTCAGTGGGAGCCTAGCCCCACCAGCACCCTTGATGTTGGTAGTTCTAGCCTCCAGAACTACGAGAGAATAAATTTGAAAAAAAATACACAAAGGCACATCAGAATTGTCAAAAATCATTGATAAAGAGAAAAATCATAAAAGCAGCCAGAGAAAAGAGGCTTAAATACAGAGGAACAAAGAAGAATAACAGCTGATTTCTAGTCAGAAACAATGCAAGTGAGAAGACAGTGGAACATTTTTAAAGTACTGAGAAAAAAGCTGTCAACCTTGAATTCTATACCTAGTAAAAATGCCCTTTGAAGATTGTTGGGAATAGGCCTCCAAAATCTGGCCATAAACTGGCCCCAAAACTGGCCATAAACAAAATCTCTGCAGCACTGTGACATGTTTGTGATGGCTGTGAGGCCCACACTGGAAAGTTGTGGGTTTACCAGAATGAGGGCAAGGAACACCTGGCCCACCCAGGGCAGAAAAACCACTTAAAGGTATTCTTAAACCACAAACAATAGCATGAGCAATCTGTGTCTTAAAGACATACTCCTGCTGCAGATAACTAGCCAAACCCATCCCTTTATTTAGGCTCATCCCTTTGTTTCCCATAAGGAATACTTTTAGTTAATCTATAATCTATAGAAACAATGCTTATCACTGGCTTACTGTCAGTAAATATGTGGGTAAATCTCTGTTCGAGGCTCTCAGCTCTGAAGGTTCTGAGACCCCTGATTTCCCACTCCATACCTCTATATTTCTGTGTGTGTGTCTTTAATTCCTCTAGCGCCACTGGGTTAGGGTCTCCCTGACCGAGCTGGTCTCGGCAGAAAATAAAAACAAATAGGCATCTTCAGACAGAAGCTGAAAGCATTCATTACCAGCAGAACTTCACAACAAGAAATGTTAAAGTCCTTCAGACAGAGAGAAAGTGATACCAGATGGATCTACACCAAGGAATGAAGAGCACCAATGGTAATTACATGAATATATATGGAAGAATTTATCCTTTATTGTTAATCTTTTCAAAAGAAAATTGACTGTGAAAAATAATAATGCCATTACACGTAAAATATGTAAAGGTAACGTGACAGCAGTAGCTCAAAGGCCAAAAGTGAAACATGGAAATATGTCATTGTTAAGGTTCTTATACAATACTTAAGATGGTATAATATCACTTGAAGGTAGATTATGATAAAGAAGTATACTATATCCTAAAGCAACCACTAAAATAATAAACCAAAGATTTATAGCTAAAAAATCCAATGAAGAAGATCAAATGGAATCATGAAAAATAATTAATCCAAGATGATGGCTGTATAATAGTTGCATAGGAGAATGATCTTAGAAGATATTGCTGGAGTGTTTGAGATTGAAACTTAAGGGTACATGAAACTTACTCTCAGAGAGTTAAGGAAAATATATATGTAAAGAGAGCTCACAAATTACAAAACAAATCAAGCAAAATGTGGATAGTAAGTCAATCTGAGTAAAGGATATATGGGTGTTTTTTGTCCATTCTGGCAAGTTTTCTGTAAGTTTGAAATTCTTAAAAAGAAATCACCCATTCTGGGCAAAGAGCTTGGAGAAGGATTTCTCAAAAGATGATACAAATAGCCAACGAGCATATGAAAAGATGCTCAACATTGTTAATCATCAGAGAAATAAGCCATAGTGAGATATTGTCTCACACCGAATATGACTACTATCAAAAAAACCAGAAACTAACAAGCGTTGGTGAGGATATGGAGAAATTGGAACACTTGTGCCTTGTTTGTGGGATTGTAAAATGGTGCAACTACTATGGAAAATGGTATAGAGGTTCCTCAAAAAATTAAAAATGTAATTACCATATGATCCATCAATTCCACTTCTGGGAATATATTCAAAAGAGTTGACAGTAGAGTCTTGAAGAGATATTTGCACAGCCATGTTTATAGCAACATTATTCACAATAGCCAAGAGATGAAGAAACCTAAATAGCCATTGATAAATGAATAGATAAACAGAATGTGGCATACACATATATTAGAATATTATTCAGCCTTAAAAAGGAAGGAAATCCTGTCACATGCTGCAACATGGATGAACCTTTAGGACATTGTGCCAAGTGAAATAAGCCAGTCATAAAAGGACAAATATTGTATGATTCTACTTATATGAGGCACTAAAATCATCAAATTATAAAAACAGAAGGTAAAATCATGGTCACCAGGGTCAGAAACAAAAGGGAGATTGTTGTTTAATGGGTTTAGAATTTCACATTTGCAAGATGAAGTTCTGGAGATCTATTTCACAACAATATAAATATACTTAAGAATACTGAGCTGTACACTTAAAAATGTTTAAGATGGTGAATTTTATGTGTTTTTTACCACAATAAAAATTTTTAAATAAAAAAGAAATGAACCTAAGTCAGAGAAAGAAGAGTTAGTAGATAGACTGTGGTATATCCTTACAATAAAATACTACTCATCAATAAGCAGGAATAACAATTGATACGTGCAACAACATGGATAAATTTCAAAACAATCATGCTGAGTGAAAGACCAGAAAAATAGTGTATATACTGTATTATTTAATTTATATAAAATTCTAGGAAGTACAAATTATTCAACAGTGACACAAATTAAATCAATGGTTACCTAGAAATTGACAGAGTGAGGCAGGGAGGGGTGGGAGGGAGGAACTGTAAAAGGATGTAAGGAAAC
Organism: Homo sapiens; assembly: GCF_000001405.40. NCBI lineage: Eukaryota > Metazoa > Chordata > Mammalia > Primates > Hominidae > Homo > Homo sapiens. The sequence goes on from NC_000005.10 coordinate 37,961,676, forward strand.
TTGTAGGATTATTGAATATGTTAACTCTCTTGGTTGTGCTGAGGATTTCACAGGTGTAAACATATGTCAAAACTTATCAAGTCATATACTTTAAATAGGTACAGTTTGTTATATTTCAATTATACCTTTATAAAACTGTTCAAAAAAACCTTTTACCATTAGTCTACTTGAAATATAACTTCTCTTTCTGTTCTAAACAATGAGCAAAATTTCTAATGAGGGAACTGCTGATAGTGTTGTAAATTATTATAATCCTGTAGAAAGGAATATGGCAATATGTATCAAGATCTCTGAAAATGTTTATATGCTTTGCCCCAGAATCTCATTTTTGGTAATCTGGCCTAAAGAAATTATTGAGAAGACAAAACAAGTATTATAGGTAGCCTTACAACCTCTCCCTCTCACCCCAAATCCCTAGAAATTGGGAAAATACTGTGTTTAAAATCATGTTGGAAAACAATAAAGGAGTCTCAGTTGGCCAAAAATTTGATGAATTTCAGAAAGCTGGAAAATAGTTGGGATCAGATTGAAGAAGGAAATCACAACCCAATACTCATACAGGACAGAACATCTACAAAAGTGGGCAGGGCTCTAAGGATGCTTCTAGTTCAGAGATCTGTGGCTCCCAGAGGTCTGGCAAGAAGTCCCCTGGAGCAACTGACTGAGTGATTAGTTGGTGTTCTGCAGTAGAAGAATCTAGGTTCACTGACCATCTGCACCCTCCCTCTCCTCTATTTCTTTCTTGCCCAGCAATCAGCAACCAATGTGTCTGCTTTTAGGCAGGAACAGTCAGTGAGCAGAGGCTAGATGGGGCCTTTGGTGGCTGTGACACCAGGTGAAACAATGAGCCCAACATCAGGAGACTGACTGAATGCCTGCTTTGAGGAATAGCACATTCTGTTCCTCACCCAAATCACAGTAGACAGGCTAGGGGTCACACTGCCCCGAACAGCATGTCCTGCTGTCTCCAAGTAGGCTGAAGCCATACAGAGGTTGAAATGAAAGGAATGGAAAAATATATAAAAGGAAAATGCTAACCAAAATAGAATAAATTTGGCAATACTATTATCAGACAAAAGGAAATTCAAGGCAGATATTATTAAGAAGGCCAAAGAAAAATGTTTCAGGGTGATAGAAGGTTATGCCAATCAAACGAGCCTTCATTACTCTGACAACATAGCTTCTAAATATAGACAGCAAAACCAAATAGAAAATATAAGGATAAATGGGTCACTCCACTATCACAATGAACTTTAACATACATGTTTTAAAAATTAATAAATCAAGTAGGCTAAAGATAAATACAGATGTGTGGGATTTGAATACACAATGGATAAATTTGACATACATACATAGTCAACAAACAGCATCCATTTTTTTTTCAAAAGCACATTAAACATTCAGAAAACAATCGATCATATATTATAAAATGTTAACAAATTAAAAAAAAAGAAATCATGTAGGCAACATTCACTGCTCATGATTAATTAAAATTAGAAATAAGAAAAACAGCAAAAACAAAACAAAAGTCAACTATACTCTTCGAAATTAAAAAAAAATCACTTTTTTGTAATACTTGTGTTAAAGAGGAAATAAAAAACAATTTAGAAAGCACACCATGGTAGAACCAATGATATGACCAGGACAGTACTTGTAGAAATATTTATTATCATAATTATATTTATTAGGAAAAACAAGGAAGACAAAAAATAAATGAACTAATCTTTGAAATCAAGACACTGGAATACATCCGAGAAAAATAAACTAAAAGAATGTGGGGTGATGGAATTAATAAAGATAAAAGCAAGAATTAATAATGCAGAAATTTAAAAATAAGTAACAGTGGAATTACTCTGTAAAACCAAGAGCTGTTTTTTTTTTTTTTTTGCAAAGGCCTTTGCATTCTGGTTTGTATTCCAGGCCTTTCCCTCTGTGTCCATCCTTCCTCCTTCCAACCCCACCCCATCAACCTCAGTTACTAATGCTGAAACCCAGTGGACATCCTTTACATCTCTGCTCAGAGTCCCTGCCTCTTGTACTTAACATATTTCATATACTTGTAGCAGGTGGCATTTATTGGTTTATTCTATTAAACGCTACACATGCCACGTTAGGAAATGTGAATACAGCCTGTGGAACTGTACACACTAGAGATTGTGTACAAATCTCAGCAATCTGGACCCTTTCTGAACCTACTGTCAAAAATCCAGTACTTATAAACACAGAGGAATTCCATGGACTTTCCCATTTCTTTTTTTTTTTTTTTTGGGACGGAGTCTTGCTCTGTCACCCAGGCTGGAGTGCAGTGGCATGATCTCAGCTCACTGCAGCCTCCACCTCTCAGGTTCAAGCGATTCTCCTGCCTCAGCCTCCTGAGTAGCTGGGACTACAGACATGTGCCACCACACCTGGATAATTTTTTGTATTTTTAATAGAGGCGGGGTTTTATCGTGTTAGCCAAGATGGTCTCGATCTCCTGACTTCATGATCTGCCAGCCTCAGCCTCCCAAAGTTCCCCATTTCTTTTGTGGGGGAGGCCCGAAGGAGGAATGTGCATTGCTTCAGTCTGAGAAGCCCTGCCAGTGTGGCCATACTTACTGAGGTGAGGTGGGCACTCTTGCTTTTATTTTTTTCCTAGGTATGTTGTGTTTCACCTCCACTTTTTGCTCTACAAAACAATAGGCCCTAGGAACATTTGCAAAGGTCACTGTTGCATATGTGGTCACATTCCCAGCCCTTCTAGTACCAGTGAAGTACCTAGTACTTCCCACTTTGATCCCACTGATGTAGGATGGAACCTTAAATTCTAACCACTTTCTCCCCCATCTGAATTAATAGTCTCATGACCTTGTATCTCCAAGGTTCTGGTAACTAATTAGCTAAAATGATTTTAATGTAGAATTCCTGGGTCTTAAAGGAGCCTGAAAAATAATCAATTTCACTGTCCTCAACTACTTTAAATCTTTGCACTAAATTTAAACAGGGACCTTTCTCACCTCCATCTTTGGAACAGTCCTACTAGTCAGGAGGCTTTTGTATAATTTTATTTTTTGTAGTGTTTGTGAATAAAACAATGGGATGTAGGAATGCTCCTAACCTGATACCGAAGTGCTTTTCTCAGGAGGTCTGTTCTCCTGGGGGGAAATCACTGATACCCAGTGCAGTATTGGGGATTGTATTTTAGTATGTAATAGAAGCACAAATGCAGTGGCTTAACCAAATAAGGCTTCACTAAAAGGCTAGGTAATAAGCAGTCTGGAGGCAGAGAAGTTGGGGGAACAACTAACCTTCCCCTTCTAACTACAGCCTGCTACTGAGAACTACCAAAAAGGACATAATAGTTGTGTGTGCAAAATGGTTTAGGCCAACTTACAATGCCTTTGATAAATATTTGTTTAATAAATACATGTTTCCAATCTTTGGAAATCAGCACTATGGTTACAGATGATCTCTTAGACCTCAGTAGGCCACTATACTGCGGATACTCTGGGAACATTTTACTATGTGGTTGGGCGTGATCTGGATACCAGATTCTCATCCTGAGTAACTTTATGTAACAGAGAATTGCTTAGAGCAGGTGTTTTACTTTAGATTCCCCTGTGAAGCAACTCTGAGACAAGGACTTGGGTGTCATTAGTTTATTTGGGAGGTGATCCCAAGAGGATAGGGAGTGGGAAGAGACAAAGAAGGGAGAAATGCAAATAAAAGGAACATTCATTAATGGTGCATTACCACTTATGCAGTTAGTCTTCTTGCAGGCTTTCTGAGAGTTTGGGTGGAACACACCAAGGATTGAGTTTTTCCACCAAGGAATAAGAACACCAAGGTATTCATTCACCAGCCTCCATGCCTCACTGGTTGTGAAAGCCAAGTGTGCTCCTGAGTCCAGAGAAAAACCTTACACCGAGAGAAATGCAGGGGCTTGAGGAAGGAAGGCTTGGGCCTGTCTGGGAACTGTCCAATGAAGCTTCAAATGACCTTCAAATGGGCTGAAGGAATACAGGCAGGGCCTGACCCACAGCGAGAAAGACTTGTCTGCTTGCAGTAGCAGAGCCTTTCCAAGATCATAGCAAGCCCAAGGGCTCCCCTCTTGGCAGGGCTGTACTGGAGGGAATGAGGAGGAGCTTGGCACCCCACTCCACCCTGCTCCGTGGTAACCAGCCTGTACTGAGATGGGTGGGAATTGGACCCTAATGTGGGGGAGACTGAAGGGAAATAGTAGTGAACCTCTTGGCTAGTTCATTCCCATTCCTTTCTGATTATGCTCCCAGTGGATTTGGGAGAGAATGTCTGCCTGTTGGGTCCTCACCACCACCACTTGCGCTTTGCAGTAAAGAGCAATTCAAGTGTGGTCTCAGAAATCTCCTGACTCTCACATGTTCTTTGAAACAGGGACGCCTGTGGCTTCACTAAATCCCAAGTGCTGCCACTGTAACTCCTTCCTCACACCTTGTGTCAGCCACAGTGAAGAGTGTCAAACTTTATGGACAGCAGTGATGCAGTCCACGTGTTCAGCCTTTCCTCTCTTCAAGGAAAACCTGCTAGCTTTTTATCTTAGCCTGCAATGGCCCCAGGCTATGGAAGGGCAAGACACCATCTTCAAAAAATACAAAATAGAAGAAATACCTTGGCAAACCCAGAAAGCTTTAGCAGTTAGCTGAGTCAATTTATTTAAATGAATATCAGCTTCTCCATCATGAGGAAGAACTGAAAATTAAATCAGCCTAATAATAACCGTTTGTTTCTCCCTCTGCACATACTGGTTGGCAAAACTTCCGTCTGCTTCCAACCAGGACATTTTATTCATTTCTGGTTGCATTCTTGTCATCCCAGTTCAATATGGATTTTTTTTTGTCCTGGAGCTAATTAGTTGCAGCTGATATTTACTCAGCATCAAACTTTTTGGAGATAAATACAAGTTGAATAGCCAGTTGGTGGGATGGAGTCTATTTTTTTTCTGTGTAAGTTTGTGCCATCTTTACTCTCTTCTCTTTTACATTTTTCTGCAGAGGCTGATAAAGAAAAGAAAACTCAAATCTTACAAAAATCTATCAGCATAAAAGGACAAGAGCTTTACAAGATAGATAAGAGAAAAAAATCATTTGCCAAACCTCGGGGCAGGTTCTGAGGGAGAATGTACAACTTTATTTTGATGGCAGGAATATATTTGCTGGATGAAAAAAAAAATCCTGCCTTGGCATCATGGGTACTGTTTGTAGCCTACAACTTGAGGTTTTTGCACTGGGGACTGAAAAAGTTATCAGTGTTAATAAAAAGAAGTTTTCCTGAGAATGGCTTTGGTGCACTGTGTGCAAGCATGTACTAGTCCTAGTGTTTGGTTAAAAAGAGACTATAATATGGAATGCATTACACAGAAGAGCCAAAAATAACATCTGTCTCACAAAGAAGGGGAACGATCTCATTTCATATCTCTTCTTATTTGACAGCCTCTTTTTTCTTCACTGGAAAATTATAGTTTTGTATAGTTTACAGAAATAACATTTAAACATTGCATGTGATTTTAGACTCAAATGGGATCTACTTAATACAACACACAAGCAATTAGAGAACTTCATTGTAATCACTTCTGAAACCCCAGAAGGTTCACATCTACAGGCTGAGATGCTGCCTTCCCAGCCTCTCCCATTTCAGAAGCTTAATAAAGGAAATCACCGCTGCCCACATTATATATACAGATCATCTTTACCTAGCAGTGCAGAGGTTTTTGAACTTTATGCTGCTACTGGTTGGGTGGATTTCTTGTTTCTCGAATAAAAATTATATTCACCAGGGATTCAAGTTTGGTGGACACAGAGGTTAAGCACATTTGGCAGCTTATCCCACAGATCTTTTTAGAGAAGAAAGAATGATTAGAAAGAAATTCCAGTTTTCTGTTTCTAATTTTAGGTAACAGAGGAGTTACCTGTTTCAGCTGTAAGCTAAGCCCACCTACTTACTTTCTTTTTTAATGCTTCCAAGTATATAAACTCTTCTTCAGGTCCAAATGTGCATATGTAAAGGCAGCTATTTTTGCAAATGTCTCCTGATAGCGTGGGTATTTTCATTAGGATTTGTCTTGCTCTTGGATCCTATTCTGTGCTTCAGCTGTTTTGATCAAATGGGCCTCCATATTTCAGAAGGAGCTGGTGCTCCCTAGTATTATGACTGCTTGATAAACTACCAACCTTCAGTTATTATAATCATTATTGTTTGATTGGGGATCAAAGTCTTTGATTTCAGTGTCCACATCCATTGGTTGAATCATCTCTTGAATGCCAAGAAAGAGTCTATTTGAAAAAGTAACAAATCTATTGCTTAAGTAATTCTGATGGTCTACAGTGGACAATTTTGAGTTTAGAGATGGTAGTGGTCTGGTGGTGTTGATGATGGTGTTGAAGTTGGTGGTAGAAGTGTTGATGATGGTGTGGATATAGGTGGCAATGACAGTGGTAGTCATGGGGATGGTAGTGATAGTTGAAAGGCTGGTGGTAGAAAAGGTGGTGATGGGGTGGTGAGACTAATTTTCCAGGCTCAGTTTTTAGAGGGAGTTACATGTAAGAGGCACTGAAGGCCTGCTATTAGTGGTGATGGTCAAAATCTTACTATTTAAAGTGTTGCCCACAGACCAGTGGCATTGGCCACCACCCAAGATTTGGTTAGAAATATAAAAGCTCAGGCTCCATCTCTGACCAACTGAATAAGAATATGTATTTTAACAACATTCTCAGGTGATTTGTATGCACATTAAAGTTCCCAAAGCACTGGTCTAAAGGAGAAATAGCCACAAACTTACCTGTCACCTTTGTGGCCCCATATTCCTGCCCTGACTCCTCCCATGAGGGAATCTCAGCCCTTACCTGTATATAAGATAAAAGAGGTCAGTTTTTAGTTGACCGGTGATGGTTATGTGGTCTAAACTCCAGGGTCTAGACTCAGCTTTAAGTATGGATCCAACAGAAAGCTGTTCATGCCCTGAGACTTAAGATTTCCCAAGTAAAATAAACATATCTTTTCTAAAGATTGCCATCATGACTGAAGCTCTCATTGGCTTCACTTTTTAAAAGAAGCATAGCTTTTTAACAGGAATAAGACATTTAGGTGTCACACTGAGGCACTGATTGTTATCTGATTAATAAATTGGCATACAGTGAATCTTGAGACTGCGACATATGGGCTCTTTAGGGAAGTCTGCAAAGGGCTTGCTGATCTTACCTGATATACAGTGGCAACCTATGGCACCATGCACACACACACACACACACACACATGCACGCATGCAAGCACATCCACCCAGAATAAGCACATTAGCAGAAATTTCGGGATAGTTAGTGGTTTGTGTATAAATTGTGTGAGGGTAGCCAAAGTTGATTTCACACATATATTATGGTTATGTGTTGCTATATATCAAACTACCACAGGACTTGGTGACTTAAAACAACAATCACTTATTTTTACTCATAAGTCTATTGTCTGGGTTGAGCTTGGTGAGGAAAGCTTGTCTCTGCTCATCATATAGTGTCAGCTAGGTTGGCCCAACTGAGACTGGAGAATATGCTTCCAAAATTGCTCTCTGACATGGCTGGCAGGTTGGTGCTTGGCTGGGGCTGTTCACGGTCCTTGGTTCCTCTCCAAATGGGCCCTTTGACTTGGGCTTCCTCAGAGCATGGTGGGTGAGTTCCCAGAGCAGATGTTCTAAGAGGCCTGGGTAGAATGGTAAAGCTTCTGAGGATCTAGCTTCTGAAGTCCCAGATGTCACTTCTTTGTGATTAACCTTCTTCTGGGTAGCTGTCCTTTTATCCCAGTGGCTGGCACATTTTTTGGACAGCACTAGTGTGTTAATAGCTAAGGAATCTTCTCATAGCTGCATGAGAATTTTTAACCTGGACTTCATCTATTTGCCCAGGTACTGTAAAATGAGAAAAAAAAAATCCTGCACAAATAATGAATATGTAGGTTAAGCTGTGGAGTGCTCTAAAAATTACATTGGACTGTGTGGAATAGGTTAGTCTGGAGGTCAAGAGGAGAGAAAGGTCAATACGGTCTCTGGCTCAGGTTGAGCTTACAAAGATCAGAACCCTGACAGATCAAACTACACTTGCTCTCACAAGAAAACTGCATATGAAAATGTGAGCAATATTAGAGGTGAAGTTGCAGTTCCTCATGTCTGGGAATATTCCCCAAATAACACTTTCATTAGGGCTTTCCACAACATGAAAATCTATAATGTCTTCCTATTCCCATGTCTGGCTTTCAAAGCTCCCCATAAATAGATCTCATGATCTCTGTCCCACCGTATTTCCCAAAATTTTTCAACATTTTTGGCCTAAGCCAACTCCATTCTCTTCAAGATCTTGATTTATCAGAACTCCATCCACCATTCTTCCTTGTCTTGCTTGGCTATGCTGTTCTCCCAACAACAACAACAACAGCAAACTCTCTTTGACTTGTCCACCTAATCAGATCACATTTCCTCAAGGTTTAGCTTCCATTTTCCTCCTTCCACAAAGCCTTTTCTGGCCATTCTAGCTGTTAAGGAGCAATTTGTTCTCTGAACTCTGATAGTCCTACAATCAGTGCAAAGAACACTCCCAACCTTCTTCAACTTTCCATTTCCCCCACTTGGGGAAGGGTTCCCTTTTTCCCTACCACCCCTTCTCAGTATTGAATTTTCTTCTTGGTCTTTTCTATGTTAGTCCTAATCCAAACATCATAACAAGAAACACCATTCACATGCAGGTATTCAATGATGTGAAAGGTATATAGCATTTTCTTTCTCAGGAATGTTTGCCTTATAACTAGTGACTATATTCTTATTTCAACTAAGTCAAACCAACATATATTTATTGAGTACCTATTATGTGCAAGGCAGCAAGGAGGGCTATAGAAATGTGAAATCAGCAGTAGACATGACTTGTCCCCAAGGAACTTACATTTTAGCTGAATAGAAGAACCTAATATTTGAATGCCCTGTGTTCAAAATCAACAGTTTAGTTTTAAACTTGTATTTTGTTGCTGCATGGAGCTTCACCAGATCTCATGTCTTTTCTTCTTGAGGGCACACAGCTAGACTAACTTTCCCTACCTCTTTTGCTCCGTGGAGCAACAAAATACAAGTTTAAAACTAAACTATTGATTTTCAACAGAAGGCTTCTCATGAAGCATGGTAGACTCACCACCAGGAAAAAACATAAGGGGCAGCTGGAAGGTTATTCTTCTGCCACCAGCCTTGACCTTTCAAGGTGCTTAGTTCTGCTTGTGTAGTGGGAATGTTTGCAAGATCTCAGGGAAGCTGTGACTGAGAGATGTTTAGGGTGGAAGTGGCAGTGGTGGTGAAGGGGGAAAACTGGTAAAACTTCTAACTCATTATGCTTGCAGATGCAATCAGGTGACTGAGGACATTATAAAGGAGCTGTGAGGACATGGCAGATGTCATTGTACTTCATTTTATTTAAATAGCCAGGTTTCTTTACCATGATCATATACTTTCTTTTGACACAATGCTGCTGGTGTTTGGAGGAAACAACAATTCTGATTTTCAGAGAATGACAATCTGGATTGAGCCATGCTTAGAAACTGCTAGCAGGCATTTCTTCCCTTCTGTTCAGTAGAGGGCAACAGAATATATGGTGATAGGTCAGGAACTGAGGCAAGAAAAATAGTAGCACAGAGAATGGAAATAAGGGAAAACAGATTTACAGAAAATAGAAGAGAATTAATAAGCAGGGAGGCATGTGGCATACATTTAAATGAGACAGTTTCCTAGCTTTTAAGACAAATTCTACCAACTTTTTATATATACAAGGAGACCACACAGTGTTTGTTATAAAATTCAACTAGAATGTATTTCTGGAGATCCCCACTTCCTCCTGTTCCAACCCTCTCCAAGAAACAAAAAGGAAGCCAAATTTGGGGGCTGGTAGGTAACATGACTACAGAAGAATACCACTAACTGAACATGGAACTGGAACTGTGACATTTAATTCTAGGCCAGGCTGGCTGCCAAGTCCCACAGAAAGCAAATGCACACCCAATATTTTAGCCACAAGTTAACACTGAAACAGCCCATTAGTGATTTGTAAATCAGTATTTCTACTGGTATGGTTACTATCTCATCTGGAGCTAGGTAGAGGCAATTTTAAGGGGGTTTGAATCAGTAGTTAACTGCTGATTCATTCATTCATTCATTCATTCATTCATTCCTCCAGTCACAGTCTTTTCTTTGTGCTAGAGCTGCATTCTGTATACATTATTCTTACAGTATTTATCACATTATATTGTTAGCTTCACCAGATCTCGTTTCTTTTCTTCTTGAGGGCACACAGCTAGACTAACTTTCCCTACCTCTTTTGCTAGAGTTCTGTCAAAAGGAATATGAGTGGATGTAGTGTATCCCACATACAGCCTGGCCCATAAGAAAACCTCTCACATAAAACTATATATGCACTTTTCTTCCAGCTGGCTGGAATGGATATAATGCCTGATGAAATTTTTTAATTTTCTTTTTTTATAATGTCTTTATTTAGTTTTGGTATTAAGGTTAGGCTGGTCTCATAAAATGAGGTGGGAAGTATTCCCTTCCCCTCTATTTTCTAAAAGAGTTTGTGTGAGACTGGAATTATTTATTCCATAAATATCTGATAGAATTCACCAGTGAAACCCTCTGGGCCTGGAGTTTTGTTTGTGAGAAGGGCTTAAATAACAGATTTAATTTACTTAATAGCTACAAGGCTATTCAAAATTTTTACTTCATTTTGTGTTTTTTGATGTTTGTAGAATCTGTGGTAATAATCCTTCTTCCGTCCCTGATACTGGTTGTGTTCTTAATGTAACTTTGGAAACCAAGTGCAGAAGATGTTGAAGCCACAAGACACAATGAACCTAGGTCCTTGGATAACCTTTTGGCAAAAACCTACCAACTGATCAGAAACACCTGCATCATTTTGTTACATACACTAGAAATCAACATTAATTACATTAAGTCACTGAGATCTGATGGGGGTTGGTTTGTTATAGCAGCCAGCATAACCTGACTTATTGCAGATCGTCATTATTGCTTTATGTGTTTATATTCCCCACTGGTGAGGGCTCTTGGAGGGCAAGGGGCCTGATAATCCTGCTCTTGGTTTTTGTTTCAGTGCTTAGCACAATACTTGGTGAATATTAGGTTCTCAATAAATGTTACTTGAATATAAATTAATGACTAAAATGTTTCCTATATATTTGGAGTTAGAAGTTTTATTTTCCTGGAATGGGTGACTCAACTCCAGTGGAAAGCTCTGAACACTCAGTATTGAATTACTTAATCTTTTTCTTTCTCCATTTCCTTTCCCTGCTTTTCTCCTCCCTTCTCACTACTTTCTTTGTTTTTCCTTTATTCAGAACTACATCTCTGCATTATTGTCAAATACCTTTTACTAAGGTAAAATCTCTTCAATTCAGATCCCACTGAAAAGGAATTCAGGATAATAGACATGAGCTGGGCTTATGTTTGCTTTTGCTTTCTTATCAAAACATACAGACAAAAATGTCAAACAACCAAACTATAACCATGACACTCAGAACTCTATGTAAATGCTGTATAAAAATGGATCCCAGGGAGAGACATTGAGATTATTTGAAAGAATAAACTTTTAAAGGACTCTTCCAGTGACATCAGTTTAATCTTGTTGCATATAAACAATAGACTAATTACAAATTACATTTAAAGTAGGTATCAGGTCCATATTTTGCTACACCTTAGTATATATTCCTATAAAATTATTCCTTAAATAGTATTTTCTAATTCAGACAGTCACTGAATTGGATCAGTCCTCTTAAACAACAAGATAGCATTGGTGAGGGGCTCCCTGCACTAAGTGGGATGTTAACAAAAGTGGTGTAAATCATGCACTCTGGATTCAGTCTTTTGCCACCATTGCTTCTTTGCCATAACCTAAAAAACATGACCAGCCTAGCTGCTAAAAGACTGTTCTGAAAGACCCATAGAAAAGATTCAGGTTCTTTGAGGCCATCCAAGAAGAGTCAGCCTCCAGCCACCCTGCCAGCTGACCCCAGACACAAAAGTGAGCCAAGACATGGTGGAGTTGAGCATGGCCCACATCAGCAGAACTACCCAGCTGACCCACAGACTAATGAGAAATAGTAAATTGTTGTTGTTTTAAGCCACTATGCTTTGGGATGTTTTGTTACATAGCAATAGCTAAGTGATACAACTTCAATTGTAACAATAACTTTCACTACTTGTGATTCTCCATTTGAGTGCGCATTCAAGATTTTCAGCATAGTGGTTTAGGTTCTAGGCTCTGGAGCCAAACTACCTGAGATTCAAATCCCAGTTTTGAGCTCACTTAACTTAATAATAGTGCTTGGCAACTAGGAAGCACTGTAAGCACGTTAAATAAAATGCTATGTTGCCAGTTCTGTGGCAAGCGTATACACAAGTGATCTCTCTCTAGCCCTTCAATAACTCAGTGAAGTAGATCGTATGACCCGTATTATTTAGTAGATATGAATACCAAGGCTCAGAGAAGCTAAATAACTTGCATAATATCACAGTTAGTAAGTGACAGAGCCAAGTTTATGAATCCAGAGCTGACCATATTTATAATCACTCTATTACACGGCCATAGCATCTTTGCCATTTTGGTCTTCTTTTGGAAATTTGGTCCCAAGTTGAGCTTTTGCCTCAAGTAAAATTTTAAAAAGTAAATTCAGAAATATAAATAATATTAGCAGGGGAGGAGAGGATGTAATGGAGAAAAAAAATGTGGGCTGCATCAAGTCCTAGGTATCTCCTGTTACCTGCTAAAGGTACTTTGACATAAAAATCCTGTGTATATGCATCAGTTTGGTCAGGAGAAATGAAGATAAAGGGAAACCGTAATGGCTAAATCTCATTTATTTGATACAGTAAACATGTTATTAAATCAGACTTATTATTGGGTATGAGGTTAAAGTTGGGGAATAAACCTAACTGAACTTACAACATTTGTTATGGATTTATTTTTCAAACAAATGCAGTTTTATTAGGTAAAGAATATTTCCATGGCAAAAATTGTTGTTTGTAAATCCTACTGAGCAAATATAAGATAATAACTTATATTTAGCCTTTACCTCTTCCTTTTCCCCTGCTAAAGCATATGGAATTATAATGTAATACATTGCTTAAACACAGCCTCTAGATTTTTTCATTGTTAAGTTCCTTGGAAAGACAACAATGATAGAATGAATCCTAAATTCTGAATTCTAGGATCTGTTTTACTGAGATTTTACAATTCCTTCATTAATCCAGATTTTCCCATCCAACTGTTGATCATTGTCACCAACAAGCAACAAAATGAACATGTTAAGCTTGCCGCTTTCTTATACACATGCTAACGAGTCATTAAAAAGCCCCAAAACCCACTGAAGTCAATTCTTTGGGAGCAGACTTTGGAAAAAGTGGCCTGCATAACATGCCTCTACACTTTGGATTCTGTTCTGGATGTTCTTTTCAAAGTGTTCAGTTTCTGTTTTCTTTTACTCTATCCAGTAAAGGAGAACCAAACTGCCATTTAACAGTTCATGCCTGGAACCAATCTTAAATGACCCAGGTTTTTCTGTTTTTTATCATGTACATCAGAATCATATTGTGCCTCCACCAAACGTTTGAGAGTTGTAATCCACTGCAGGAGCACAAGACCAGTAACTTCATGTGTACAGTGACAAACGTCTCTGCTAAGATTGATGGACAGCCTTCTATGTTGGGAGCTTCCTTGCTGAGAATCAGCTGTTGTTGCATGCACCCAAAGCCTCATCCTTGGGGATAGGCTAGTGGCCAAGTCCAGACTCATGGACAAATAATTATTATCATAGTAAAGTAACTTCAAAGATAGAGTGGAATTCTGTGGCTGTGAGATCACGGTAGATCTGAGTGCAACTTTTGCAGCATTTCATTAGTTTTCTCCTGGAATAGTCCAGGAAGTGGCATGCATGAGGCTTTCTGGCTCACAGATTTGCTATGCTTCTGGCTGAAAAAAATATTGAAATCTTAAGAAATATGTTTATTGTGCCCATATCTTAAGAAGCTTTTACTTGATCTTGGCAGGGCAAGCCGCTGTTTGAACAATTGAAAACATCTTTTTTAACTGTTTCCGGAAAGCATTTGCAAACACCCTGAAGTAAGGTTACATACTTACAGTTCAGCTCTAAGCCTCAATTAAGGCTGTTGTTGTATAGCGTTTGCTGCCTTTAACAGCCTGACACCATAATAATATTATACAGTATCCTGAGATAATGAGAAGAATGCCTAACATCTGCTTATACTCAGAGAACAAAGCAGAAATGGAAGGATGCGTCCAGCAACATTTGCAAAGCATTGCCTCTGCTTGCTGGAGATACAGGGTGGATTTTCCCAAGGATTATTTTTCTGCCATCCAAGGACAATGGCATAATGTTCAGAAAAAGCTTAACATAGGCCACTTGGGCTGGGGGCTCAGCAAGACTGACGTCATGAAGGGAACCATTTCTGAACTCCTCCAGAATAGTTAAAGATTATATTTTTTAGTTAGTTTATTAAAATAAGAGGAGCTTATTTTAAGACAGTGGAGAATACTCACTTGGATCTTTGTTCCAGTCTTCCCTAACCTCTAATGCTGTCCTCTGCAACCAAGTGATGGGGAATGATGGTGTTATGCCCTTCTGATACTTTCAGCAACAGTCTCACTTGGAAAGAAGTTTAAGGTGGACTTACTTTTTGCCATGCTCTGCTCTCCTGGGGTCATACATTTTAGGAACAAGGGTCATCATTCCCATTATTCCTTAAGTAGGAACTTGAGATATAGTGACGATAAATAACCTGCAAATGGAAACACAGCAGGTAGGAGAAGGAGCAGCAGAAATGAAACTCAATGTGTATGCTTCCTGGCTTGTTAGGCAATTCTGTGTTCCTGTCGGTTTAACAACGCTATAGGAAAAAAACACGATTGGCTTATCCAACTGAGAAAGAGGGAACAGTAATTGACTGTAGTGGACACTCATTGGTTGACTTTACAGTACTTTCTAGTTTTACCCTTTCTCTTTCCTAACAGAACTCTGAATTTCCTTCCCTGCAACTTACTAGGTCTTGTCCTGATCTGGATACTTCTGGAAGCAAATCTGACACATGGATTCAAGTAAAAGTAGTTTATTCGGCAGAATTACTGGTGGGGATTAGGGAAGCGAGATAAGGAGAGGAGAAAGTCAGTAAAGAGTGCGTGCTATGGCCTGAATATTTGTGTACTTCCAAAATCCATACATCAAAATCCTAACTCCCGAGGGGTTGGTGTTAAGAGGTAGGCCTTTGGGAGGTGACTAGGTCATGATGGTGGAGTCCTAACAAATGGGGTTAGTGCCCTTATAAAAGAGGCCCCAGAGAGCTCTCTTGCTCATTCCACCATGTGAGGACACAGCAAGAGGATGGCTGTCTATGAGGAAGCAGGTCCTCACCAGACACTGGATCCACCCGTGCCTTGGTCTTCTCAGACTCTAGAACTTTGAAAAATAAATTTCTATTGTTTAGAATCCACCCAGTCTTTGATATTTTGATCTAGCAGTCTGAACAGACTTAGTGTGTTAACAAACCTCCATGAGCAACTGGAACTCAGAACCCCTGGGGAAACTCTGGAATACTCTGTAGAACACACCTCAGAGTTATCCCAGCTGAAGAGTGAGATTGCTGAGATATTTATCTGCCTGTTAAGCATTAGTTGAGGGCTGCCTCAGAGGGTCTTGGCTCTGGAACTTCTAGCTTGTCCTGTGCATGGGCCAAACATGTTGCTTGGGTGAGCAACCCAAGCCAGGATGTGTGTGTGCAGCCAGGATGTGTGTGGGCACCAGCAGCTGCTGCTGCAGTACTTGACTCCTCCCCCATCCCAAGGGGCTGACCTTGATTGGCTTAAAGCAATCAGCTCAGTCCATCCCCTTGAACACCGCCATTGATTTGTTATTTGGGCATGTGACTCAAATCAGTCTCTATCAGGAAGGACGCTCAAATCCCAGACTTTAAGTGGTCTTGCAAAAGTCATCTCTGTCTTCCCCATTAGATATGAAGATGCATGGAGCCTTGGAAATTGCTAGTGGCCATCTTGGAAGCACATCAGAAGCACCACGTGAGCCTGCTGACTCGTAGCCAAAACTGGAGATACAGAAATGGTCCCAATCATAGAATTTGAGCTTTGTTTCCCAGGACTTTTGTAACACAGTACCCAACACTAGGTAGTTTAAAACAATAGGCATTTATTGTCTTACGGTTATGGAGGCAGGGGGTTGTCAGGACCATGCTCTCTCTGGTGGCCTAGGAGAGACCTTCCTGCCTCTTCCAGCTTCTGGTGCTTGCTGGTGATGCTTGGAGTTTCTTGGCTTGTAGATGCATCTTTCTAATCATATGCTGTCTTCTGCTGGTGTGTCTTCAAGTTGTCTTCCCTCTGTGTCTGTCTGTCTCTGTATCCATGTTTCCACTTTTTTTTTTTTTTTTAGAGACAGAGTCTTGCTCCGTCACCCAGGCTGGGGTGCAGTGGCACGATCTCGGCTCACTGCAACCTCTGCCTCCTGGGTTCAAGTGATTCTCATGCCACAGCCTCCTGAGTAGCTGGGATTACAGGCGCATGCCACCACGCCCAGCTAATTTATTTTGTATTTTACTAGAGATGGGGTTTCACCGTGTTGTCCAGGCTGGTCTCGATCTCCTGAGCTCAGCAATCTACCTGCCTCGGCCTCCCAAAATGTTAGGATTACAGACGTGAGCCACCGTGCCCGGCCTCATGCTTCCACTTTTTATAAGGACACCAATCAGATTGAATTAGGGTCCACCCTAATGACTTCATTTTACCTTGATTACCTCCATGGAGACCTCACTTCCAGAAAAGGTCACCTTATGAAGTATTAAAAGTTAGGACTTCAACAAATGTATTTTGGGGACAAAATTCAACCCATCACGAAGCCAAAACTATTTAACCATGATAGGAAAGCAAATTTTTTTGGTTTAAAGGCATTTGGGTTGAGACTTCCCATTGCCTGCAGTGACATCTTACATACCAATTCCTTGACCTTTGCTTATGAATGAAGCAAAACAGAAAAACCCAAAGCAAGTGAGGTACTTTTTTGCTGAGAGCTCCCATGGCTGGCATCATCAGAATGTGGGAGCAAGCACCAGAGTCAGCATAAGTATTGCTAAGGTACTCAGTAAAGGTTTTAAAAAGGGCCTCCTTTCATTCATTGACTCAACAAGTATTTCCTGAAATCCTCTCCTCCCCATGTGTCAGGTACTGTTCTAGGCACTGGGGATATAACACTAATCAAAAAAGACACATTGCCCTTCCCTCAGGAAACTTACATTCTGGTAGGGGAGACAGGTAACAGACAGGAGAAATCAGTGAAATGTAGAGTATATTAGATAATGCTACAGGAATAGGAAATATCAGGGAGACTTGGAATTTTAAGTAGTGTGGGCAAAGTAGGCCTCACTGGGAAGATGAAATTGCTTTCGAATGTCATCCCAAAGGAAGTGATGTAGTTATTCATGTAGGTGAGTCTTAATGGAAACATGGTATCCATTCTGGGTCTAACTGGATGCATAAAATGGGTGAAAAGCAAGAAAAGCTTATTCGTAGAGGAGAGGCTCTCTGTCTCTTCTACGGGCTTATAGGTAGCAGCTTTTATGTTTGGAAGGGAATTTGGTTTATTTTCACCTGGCCCATCTGGGCCACCTAGAAAACTCTACAAATCACTGCATCTACAGAAAACTAGTCATGGTAAAGGTTGAGTCCAATTCATAGCCAATGACAGGCTAAATGTGGCTTTAAAAGCTGAGACAATCCTTGCCAGCTGTTACGAGTATTCTCTCTGGCTTCAGAGTTTCAGTACTATGAAAATGAATGAGAAGGACCAAGTCTGTAATGTCCCCTGAGGTTAATTATTTTTAACAGCAAAATATTGACTTTCTAAAACACTCAAATATACAAGATGTGACTTGTATGAAATGTGTGAAGGCCCAAGACTGATCCTGTAAGTACCCCATGAAAATAAATTGTACTGCTTCTAGTTGTAGCCTCACAAGTTCTTAGGGATGGACAACTGATATTGCACAATGTTTAGACCTAGTTGAATATGCTATTTACAGTAAGGACTCTTCATGCTCCAAAATGATGTTGAGAAGAACAATTTGTCACTTTGCCAGTTTGCACTATGTAGCACAAATTTTTTATACAATTCCAAATTAAAACAGCAGCCATTAGTTAAGTAAAACGAACCATTTACTCCAGTGCAGTTGGTAAACATGGTTATATTCTACTACATTATTGCTGCTGGATAGTAGCTATTTGAATTGTAAGTGTAAGTTTCCTACATACATTGTGGTAGTAATGATAAATGCTCGGACACTTGAATAGGAAATTTAAAAATGTCCCCTCTGTAGGCAAAGTTAAGTTAGAGGAATTTATAATTGATGTAAGTTGTTAGGTAGGGTTTAAGTTCATACTTAAAAAAAAAGGTGAGAGAGGACCCCAAACTCAGAGGCATAAACGAGAGACAAATGTGTGTTTTTTCTTTTTTGTTTTTGTTTTTTTTTGAGACAGGGTCTCATGTCTCATTCTGTCACCAAAGCTGGAGTGCAGTGATGCCATCTTGGCTCACTGCAACCTCCACTTCCTGGGCTAAAGCCATCCTCCCACCTCAGTCTCCTGAGTAGCTGGGACTACAGGCACGTACAATACACCCAGCAAATTTTTGTATTTTTTGTAGAGACAGGGTTTTGTCATGTTGGTCAGCCTCTTCTCCAATTTCTGGGCTCAAGTGATCTGCCAGGCTTGGCTTCCCAAAGTGCTGGGATTATAGGCATGAGCCACTGTGCCCAGTGACAAAGGTGTTTCTGATGTAACAGTCTATAGACAGATGAGCAGTCCAGAGTGGAGAGGTGGCTCTGCTCTCTAAGTTTAGCCAGGAACTAGATTTCTTTTGTTTTGTGGTTCTGCCATGCCTTAGGTTGTTGTCCTTATCTCCCTTGTTGAAGCTGGCTCACCATTTTGTTTACTTTGCAGCCTTTAGGAAGGGGGAAACAGCAAGTGGAGAAGAAGCTTCCTTTTTAATGACATGACCTGGAAGTTGCAAATATGTCTTCAACTCATATCCAATTGGCGAGAGCCTAGCTGCAAGAGAAGCTGGAAACATCTCTAGCTGTGTGGCCATATTCTGGGGCTTCTGCACTTTCTTTTATGAGAAGGAATGAGATTGGAACTATAAGGCCTGATAAAATTTGGAAGTTATCATTTATTTAACAATCACCAGGTACCGAGGGCCTGCTGTTTTCCTCATAGTCTTATAGTCCAGTTGGAAAGATAGACAATTAAATAGAAATTTAAAATAAAGTGTGAAGATGTTGTATTGGGGAAACAAAGTACTGTAAGAACACAGGGCAGGAGAACCTAACCTAGTCTAGCGACAAAAGGATCTGCAAGACCTTCCTGGGGGCATTGATGCTACGCTGAGAATTCTGTGGAAGGTATTGTTTGGGTAAACAGTGGAAATTTTCAAAGGGTGGGGATCAGAGACAATGTGTTTTCTAAGAAATCTTCCAAAGACAGAAGTCATTTTACATGGCTGCTGCAAGAAATCTTACCCCAAGGCAGGAGCAAAGGGAAAGCTATGTAGAATTTATCGAGAAAGGAAGAAGGATTACTGAGCTGGAAAGAAATTTTCTTGGCACCAGTCTTATAGCAAAGTATAGAGTCATGATGAGCCCCAGATTCTGGTCATCTACAGTGATTTGAAACATGGACGTGGTTATTGTTTGGCCACAAGCACCAATAAATCGATCAAGCTTTTCAACAAGAATTAGAATATTCCTATAATTATCCATTAATCACGTCTTTTGGAAAGGTAGGAAGTGGTAGGGATCACATCTGTTTGGTTGTTTGGCAACAAAGTATTAGCTCTCCTAGTGTTTATCTGGTGTTTACTAAAAAAAATGTTGTAAGTTTGAGTCATGATGAAATCTATTTTATTTGGAGAGTTGCTTTTGAGAATGGATAGCAAATTGTCCCAGGGAAAAAACATGATCAGGAAAAAAATATCGTAAGATAATGTTTGGGTAGGAGTAGAGGAACTTACTTGAATGTTTCTTGCTAGTTTGGAACAAAACATCTAATCTTTTCCTACTTTGAAACAGGATATCTCCCTTTTGGTGTAAATATTTTATTAGGTTTTGGTTAAAGGATGGATTCTGAGCTACCACATAATTTTAATTTGACTTTTCTTTCTTTCTTTTTTTTTTTTTGAGACGGAGTCTCTCTCTGTCACCCAGGCTGGAGTGCAGTGGCGCGATCTTGGCTTGCTGCAAGCTCCGCCTCCCGGGTTCACGCCATTCTCCTGCCTCAGCCTCCTGAGTAGCTGGGACTACAGGCACCCGCCACTGCGCCCAACTAATTTTTTGTATTTTTAGTAGAGACGGGGTTTCACCGTGGTCTCGATCTCCTGACCTTTCTTAAGATTATTCATGTACAAGCACTTATTGAGTACCTGTCATGGTTAAGTGCTGCTAGGTATTGCTGGGAGTGGCAGGCCCTGGGTGTTGCTAGACACTAGGTGTTAAGGCTCTGATGTTGAAAAATGTAAGCCCGGTTCAGACAAAATAGAGACAGTGCTGGAAATTGAAGCACATTACACTTCAGCTTTACTTCTGAAATGCTGTATGTCTTTGGCTAGTTATTCATCTTTTCTCCTGTAAAATTCCTTCTGTATAATAAGAATGATCATAGTATTGTCCTTTCCCTTTTCCCGCTTCATTTCTACCCTGTGGCCAAATTCCACCATTTCCAGTTCTATCACTGTAGCTAGGATATCTTTCATATTGGACAAAACCAAGTATAAAACACCAAGAGTTTCCATTCTAAGACTGTTTTGAGAAGAATGACTCAAAGTATTTAATGGAAGGAGAGGTAGCTTCTTCATCACAGACCTTTTATAATTTTTTTTTTTTTGAGACGGAGACTTACTCTGTTGCCCAGGCTGGAGTGTGTAGTGGCGTGATCGTGGCTAACTGCAAACTTCACCTCCTGGGTTCAAGCAATTCTCCTGCCTCAGCCTCTGGAGTAGCTGGGACTACAGGCGCCCGCCATCATGCCTGGCTAATTTTTGTATTTTTGGTAGGGACAAGGTTTCACTATGTTGGCCAGGCTGGCCTTGAACTCCTGACCTCAGATGATCTACCTGCCTTGGCCTCCCAAAGTGCTGGGATTACAGGCGTGAGCCACCACACCCTGCTGGTTACTGTGTTTTTTTGTTTGTTTGTTTGTTTGAACGGAGTTTCGCTGCGTTGCCCAGGCTGGAGTGCAGTGGCGTGATCTTGGCTCACTGCAGCCTCTGCCCACTGGGTTCAAGCAATTCTCCTACCTCAGCCTCCCAAGTAGCTGGAATTACAGGTGCCCACCACCACACCCAGCTAGACCCTTCACGTTTTTACTCAAAAGATATCAACTTAGGTATCTCTTGGAGTTCAGTGTCAAACTGAGGCCATTTCCATTGTCACACACATCAGACACATACTAAGTAGAAGAATGGAATGTAGGAAGGTAATTTCTCCCAGCATCTGACAGGAGTAGTGACATGGAGTGGGTCTTAATGTTCATGATGATTATATGCTAGGCACTGTGTTGCATCTATTACCCAATTTTGTATAATGAACCACCCAACAGTCAAGCATTATTATTCCTATTATGTGGATGAGGAGGTTGAGGGCCAGAGAGTCTATGTACCAGCTGATCAAGTGCAGAGCAGGATCCAAACCCACATTTCCACATCTCCCAACTCCAATGACCATGCTGCCTCTCCTTAAAGTGTTTGTCCTCGAACCATTGAAATTCAGACACCTCATTAGCTTGGTTGGGTTAGCCCTGTTCCTTTTAGGAATTCAGGGTGGGTAAATTTAGGAATTTGGATGAGTAAACTTCTCCAAGGCTGGGGCAAAAAGAGACAGATTGAGCTGAGAAAGGAAGTTGGCTGGAATACTATTGCTTAAGCTGCCGTCTTACTGGCAAGAACAGACCACTTTTGTTTAGCAAAATGATTGGAGTTCACCACCCTGTCTTTTCTTTAGATGGGACTTAAAGACACTAATAAAACATTTTGTTTTTAAAAATTTTCTGGGGTTTTAAAAACTTGTTCCAAATTTATGTCCTGACCAGGTGTCCAGAGAACGTGTGTGATCACCTTACACAAACAGAAGTTGTTCTTGCCCTGTACCCTGTGTTGTAGTAGTCTTTCTCATTAACTGTGGGCTTCCAGAGGGCAGGGAGTGGAACTTATTCCCTGAGAAATTCCCAGAACTCAGTGCAGTACTTGGCACATGGCTCAGTAAATGTCCACGGAAATTAACTAGTATCCCAATGTTTTTTGTTCATAACGAAAGGAATCTGTTTTAAATTCAAATGGACAAATGCCAATCAAGTCATTTCCAACTGTTTCTGTTCCCGGGGTAGTAGTGTGAGTTTAGTTACGTTTTAGTTTTACCTGTAGGGCTGGCATTGTCTTTGTGCCATATCCTGCCTTCTTTAGGGGAAAGCCCTCCAGCTGTGAACACTGATTCCACAGGTACAATCCCTGGTGGTCCACCAAAGAATCTGACAAATGGGTAGTAACATTTGTAACATGTCCATTTTATCTGTGAATATAACTGTCAACTTTTTCAAGCGAGAAAGGAAATTTGGAGAGAAATTAGGGGAAGCCTGTAATAATCTTGAAATAGATTAAGTTTGGAGAGCTGTTTGGAAAATGGTTAAGTTCTCACTAGCACAGGAAGAGCAGAAAGCAGCACATGAATGAGGACAGCTGCTCTGTGGTCTGAGTGGGTCTATTTGCATTTTTACTGTTAGGGTAGCCATGGCCTTTTTACTGATGTTGGTAATGCTCTGGTGGTTAGCTTCAATGATTTTCTTTATTGTGACTTGCAGATCAATCTCCTACATGGTTGTTCCATTTAACCTGTATTCCCTAGGTTATTTCTTAAAGCAATTTATTGAACATTATCTTAAATTGAACTGCATTTACTATCCCTTGGCCCAATTACTTAAATGGTCCACATCCATTTGATTTTGATTGCCTGCTCTCTTGCCATTTGCTTTCCCTCTAATTTTACTATCAGTTGCAAAAGAGACTATTTAGTTCCACAGCCCCTTCTTTCCCAAACCACTCTATTTGAGCAGTGTAACTCATAAAGGCAGCTCTTCTAATTTGAAAAGTCCTAGTTCTTCCATATGAATATGGTTTATTTCAACAATTCAATTCTACAAAGATTTATGGAGTGCCTACTTTGTGATAGAACTTAGCTAAGAGCTATCTGCTTGCTCCATGTCCCCTTTGGAGTGAGTTTGTGAGGCAAAGGTCTCTGATCTCTGATCAGGGTGTCTCAACTCTGGATCCTGTCAGATGGTTTTTCAACACCAGTTTTGACTCCTCTGGGTTCCTTTCAACACTCCTCTCACAGTGCACAGCAAATGTCCCCCAGGTTAGTTGACTGTAATCTTTGTGTGTTCATATATTTGTTAACTTCCAATTAATAAGCAAGCCTGCTCCTCCAGGTGTTTCCCCTGTCCATAGAATGGTTTCTACACTTTGTCTAATAACGTTTGTATAATATGCATGGTCCTGGTTCGTGTCTTGAATTATTTAAAAAAATTAGCATCAATACAATTTGTCATTTCCCATTCTTAGGATTTTCTCTTTAAACTTCTGAACTCAGGCAAGATCCACCATCTTCTTACATTTCTCCTAACCCTTGTAAACCAGCACTGTGTTTTTATTGGCCTTCAAACTTGTTTAAGTAGAACTAGTGGTGAGAATGGAAATGATTTTCTCTGAGAAACCTGATTATTTATACTGCTTGAGTAAAGACATCTTTAAACAGGGCTCCCTTTTGGTCTTTTACAATTTCCACCCTGGTGTGAAAGTGACATTGTATTAAGCTTTCCCATTATTTGCTAATTCCCTTCTCCATCTTCTGAGGTCAGTGCTGCTGTCCCCATTTTCCAGGGAGCCCATGGAGAGCCCAGTTGCAGGTAGAGTTCTCTCTTGAGGTGTTCGGCTCTACCCAGTCCCAATCAGCACAGACAGGATTTGACCTGTTCTCATGAGGTGGAGGAAAGATCTAGTCTAAAGCCACTTAGTCATTCAGTGGCTGAAAACCCAGAAATTCCAGATTTGGGGATATTTGCCCTGATTACTCAACCATACCCTCTTTTGAGTGACTCTATTACTCAACCATACCCTATTTTGAGTGACAGTGATTTGATTCAACCATGACATTGAACAGCAGATTGAATTACCAGGGTGTTGAGTTTACTGAAGGGAAAGACAAAACAAGGTAGAAAAATAGTGGCAATGGAAAGAGGCAGAATTTGGTGGCAAATGGAAGGTAATGGAATTAGTCTGCTATCTGAAAGAGCTGAGAGGGTGAGGATTATTCTCATGAGCCCATGAAGTGTTTTTTTAAAAACCATGTACAATTCGAGTTCTCTGTGAAATGCTTTCTGTGTCACGGCAAAAATAAGGCCCTGTTTCTTAGCCAAAAAGAAAAACAAAGACACATTAAAAAAGAAACAAACTTGTATGTTTGAAAATATGACTTTTGGTCTTAGAAATCCTTTTCCTTTTCTTTCTTTTTGGATTTGTTCTATGGTAAATGGAAGAGCAGGGTTCGATTACCTTCCTTCTATCTCTGCTCCCTTTTCTGGTGGTGTCTGGATTCCACTAGACTCTCTTACTGGAGTGAGGATACAGCCATTTGACACATAACTGGAGGAAATATGACTTTTTTTTTTGTTTGCAGCTGTATTGTATTCCAAAAGGAAATGTGGTTCTATTAAAAGTTTGCTATAATCTTAAGTGTCTGGGCTCTGATACAACTGTGCACTCATAAAGAACGGGTCAAACAGTCTTTTGAACATTAGGTGCTAAATGGTCTCTTTCTGGAATATGCTGATTTTCTCCATTTGAGATTCAAAACTTTGTGTAAAAATTTGCTTCTCCACCAAAAGACGGCTTTTTTCTCTCTCAAGAATTAAAGAGGAATGTCTAATGTAAACACTTAGTCCAGTGTGAATAATTTTATCTTGGCTGTAAGACACTTTTGAAATAGGTTCATATGAAGGTTCAAAGTTAAGTTTGTATGTAAAATACATTTCAGAACTTCCCAACCCTCATGTCAGGTACAGTATATTTGACAATAAGAGATCAATTTTCTCTATTCACTCTGTCAACTAAATACATTTCCCCTTCATTCTATTTGTTTCAATAGAATGAGACTGGCTACTTTTGGCATTTGGCATTTGTTATAGTAGCTTGTATTTTTTCCAGATGACTTTAGTGTATATGTCAGCACAGTGTTCATAGAGCTATATTTTTTAAAGCAGAATTTAGTCTAACTCTTTTATATAGAAGAAAATAAAGCCATATGGAAAGATTTCATTTTTCAAATGTACTTTTAGAGGACAGAAATTTTAAATTCTGCTTTTGTAGAAAGCAGGTTGAGTTTGTTTCATGTCATTTTCACTGTTGATTCTGAGTTTGCACTCAGAGCATTGCACTGACTCTTGGCTTCACTTGCTCAACATGTCTCTTGCCCTTGTGTTTAGGCAGATATGAAGAGGAAGGGGGACTTGGGCAGATATTTCGGACAGCCAGGCAAAGTCAGACATTCTTGGAAACTGATGCAATCTAGGTTTCAGAAGAGATTGTAAAGCCCCAAAGACCTTTATCTGTTCCACAGTGATGCACTGGGGAGGACTCCAGCCAAACAATGGCATCTGTGGCCCCTGGTGGATTGACACTTAAAGGCCAGCTAAAGTGGGAAACACTTTCCCAAGATAGCTGGACTGCCTTCACTTGGAGATCTGACCACTTTGTAGAATTTCAAGAAAATTCTCATGGAATCATGGAATAAAGATGTCAGCCAAAAGCCCTATATATGTGTGCAACAATCTGCTGTTTGAAAAAGAAAAATCCTATGCAGTGTGGCTTGTAAACTACACTTTGCTTGAGAAAGATAATGATTATGACTAGAAATACATCCAGGTCTCTTTAAAATACCAAGCACCAAGCACCGCACTCATTTATGAATGTGTGAATGTTGATTGCAATTAACCATGATTGGGTAATATGTCTTCTCACTTCCAGCATGGGCTGGAGCAGGTTGGAGATTTTGAGAACACCTGTGATAGATGGAAGCCCCAAGGGGAAAAACAGGTTCTAATGGGAAAGGCCAGTTTTAAAAACACAGCTGAAAAAGGGGAACTTTAGGGGGTATTTTCTTTACCAGTAAGCTGCTCCTGGCTATTCCAATGAGAAGAGACCAGTGGCTTGAATACTATGGAAAAAGCTGGGTAAGCATATTCAAAATTGTGCATTTCTTAACAAAGTGATTGGCAACAAATATAGATTAAAATGAAAGATTCAATAAAAATTGAAAGCAGCTGTAAAGTTATTAAAAATCAAATGAGAAAGGACAGTATATACTTGTTTTTAGCTGTTTCATTTTTTTTTGTTCTGGATTCTTTTAATTTTGGTAATATCTAATGGCTTCTAAATAAGACTTGAGCTTTCCATCTTATTGTTGTAAATAAAATTAAAATATTTTGATATGTCATAGCGTGTCTTCCTTTGGTATTTTTAGTGTCTAATGTAGTATATTTCAAATTGCAGGTTGCAAGTGATTAGTAAGTAGAAGAATCTAACTTGGCTTGTGACCAATATTTTTTCTTAACATTTTATTGAAGTATAACATACATACAGAAAAGTGCACATGCAATTTGATGCATTTTCATGAATTGAACACATCCCTGTAACCAGCATCCAGATCAAGAAACACCACTTCCCTAGAAGCCCCCTCATGACTCCTTTAAATCACTATCTCTCCCAAAATAACTCACTGGCCTGACTTCTAACAGGATAGATTAGTTTTGGCTGCTTTTGAACTTTATATAAATAGAATCATACAGTATGAACTCCTTTGTGTCTGACATGATGCATGGGATTCATCCATATTATTGCAAACAATTGTAGCACTCCACTGTGTGAACATACCAACATTTATTTATCTATTCTACTGTTGATGAGCCTTTGGATAGTTTCCAATATTTGGCCTCATGAACATTGCTTCTGTTCATATTGCTTCCGTAAACATTCTAAAGTCCAGTGGTGGACACATGCACTTATTTCTCTTGAGTATGTACCTAAGAGTGAAATTGCTGGGTCATAGGATGTGGTATGTTCAGCTTTAGTAGATGCTGGAAAAGAATTTCCCAAAGTGATTGTATCAATTCAGAGTAAAATATGATAGAATAAATAGAAATATAATAGAATTGAATGAAATGGAAAAGAAAACGGAATGTCACACACTGTAGTGGTGACTGTTGTTTCTTCAAACCTTTGTTTCATTTATAGATACTTATGTTTGTTGATCTTAGTATGAAATATACTCCTTTTAGGAGCTTTCTTTGTGTCCAGTGTATTACACTTTTCTTCCTCTTACTCCTTCCTTTCAGTTTCCCCTGGAAAATGTCCTGGAAATGTATGGAATAAAAAATGGATGATTGGGTAATGGTTATCCAACAATGTTAAAAAAGAAAGAAAGAAAGAAAGAAATATACCCCTTTTTCTGAGTTGCCATAAAAAAAGCTTTAAAAATACTTGTCTAATCTTAAGGCTCAAGTCCAGACAATTATATTGACTGTATTGCTTTAATGAGCAAATTGTCCTCGTGTCAGTGAGTAATAGAAAAAGCATAGTCAAGAGTGGGGAAATTATAAGCTCTTTTAGGATCTGGACCAACTTTCAACATTAATAATATTTTAAAACATGCTGTGATAAGAGCTACACAAAGAAATGAAAGCATAAGGTTAAATAGTCATTTGATATTTTGAGACAGTCAGAACAGCAACCTGGATAATCTCATGCTGATATTTCCCATCCTGGGTATGGAGAATGCTTGTGGAGGGTGCCTTAAAAAGCCTTTCCTCACACTTAGCACGGTTCCAGCTCTGCTAGTTCCCCAACCAGGGAAATCAACCCCTCCTCAAGTCCAAGGCAAAGGGACAGTTCTTTCATAATAAGGAAAATGGATACATCACATACAAAACATATATGTCCAAGTTTCCTGATTGATCACCTGAAATGGTTGGGACTCAATAAAGAATGTAACAGACATCATAAGACAGGCTATAGTAGAGCTGTCTGTCTGAGATCATATCCTGGCCCTCACTACTTACTACCAATGTTTCCTGAATTCCCCTCCCTCCCCTTCTCCTGCTGTCTTTCTTTTCCTTCCTTCCTTCCTTCCTTCCTTCCTTCCCTCTCTTCCTCACTCCTTCCTTCCTTCCCCTCTTCCTTCCCCCTTGCTTCTCTCCCTCCCAAACTAACTAACTTAGTTCCTTCCTTCCTTCCTTCCCTCCCTCGTTCCTTCCTTCTTTCCTCCCTTTCTTCCCTCCCTCCCAATCTTCCTTCCTTCCTTCCTTCTTCCCTCCCTTTTCTTTTCTTTCTTTCTGTTCTGATTATAAGGGTGGCACCTATTCCATAGTATAGTTCTATCTTTTAGGCTTATAGTTCTATTAAAAGTGTAAATCGGATCATGTCATTCCCTTCCTTAATAACCTTCAATGTTCCCATTGCGCTTATGAAGACATCTTCCTGTGGCTTACAAGGCCATGTGCCTTCTGGCTCCTCCTTACCCCTCCAGGCCTGTTTACTGCCATTGCCCTTACTTTGAGCCATATTGAACTCCCTTTGGTTCTCTGAATGTGCCAGTCTCACTTTACTTTTATGGACTTACCATGGGCTGTTCCCTTTCTGTATTTCGTACGTGGCCAATTTCTGCTCATTTTTCAGGATGACATGTTCTCCAGAAGGCTTTTGCAAAGTGTGACTCATTTGCCCTCGCTCCCATGGATTCCTGTTCTTTTCTAAATATGCTGTCTTGTATTTGCTTGTTTAATTTTCTTCCCCACTGGATATAGGCTCTGAAGGAGCAAAGACAATGTCTTTTTCATTCATCTTTGAATCTTTAAAACAGTGTTCATCAAGACAATCATGAAACCCAGGAGTAGTCTCTGAAGGGCAAAATTGCAGAAGGCTTTTTATTTTCATCTTTCTACTTATCTATTGTTATCAATTTTGCTACAATGAGCATGCATTACCAGTATTATAAAATTATGAAAGTTTAAAATGAGTTAAGTATCAAAATGTAAAATAAAAAAACTCAGATAACTGTAGGAAAAGGATAAAGGGCGGCAACACATTAGTGAATCTGTTATCTGTGGCTGGTGTTTAAAGAGTGGTAGAATTCAGGGCCCCTGTCTGCCCCCATTTCCAATCCCATATTTGTTAATAGGACTTAGGGCGTGGTATTATAGGGTCCAGCCTTAAGGGCAGGTGGAATCAGAGAGGAAATGAATTTAGTTCAAGAGGAACAGGATCATTTAGAAGAGACAGATGGGACCAGCTGTGAAAGTTCTTTGGAAAACTGGGAGAAAAATAAAAGGTTTCCAAGTAGAATAAATATAAGAGCTGCAGAACCAGGAAATATGAGAAAAGGCAGGAGGAATAAGAAGCACAAAGCATATTAGAGAGAGAAAAAGGGCTAAAAGAAAGAGAAAGAAAGTAAGAAAGGAATTGGGCTTAGTAGGGGAAAATATATATCAGGAAGATATTTTAGGGGGTAGATCAGGAAGGAACAGAAAGCAGGAATGTCCACACACCCTACTCAGAGAAGCCTATCTGGCCTCCTGCTGGCAGTAGATCTGCCTCATGCAGCCCTCCAGGTGCAGTCATCATAGCCACAGGGTCCTGCAGGGGACTCTGAAAAGTCTCCTTGGGTCCCTCTTTTCTTCGGGAGGTTTTGTCTTCCTAACTTAAGTGCACTGGGCCTCTGGTGTGAGCCATTTATTTATGTTTTGAAATGTGAGTGTTCAGTGTGAACTTTCCCTCGCCTGCTGTATCTGTGTGCCTGGGACAAAAGACATGACTGAGCTGTCAGTGCTCTGAAGTATGCAGCCTGCCTGGAGGTCAGGTCACAAAGCAAAACTGCTTAAAACGTACGGGGCTCCTCTCGGGAGACAGCTCAGAGTCCATGCAGCATTTGTCAGCTGGGCTGAAGATGGAATTGAGGACAAAAAGAAACATCCAAAAGAGCACTCTATGAATGGAAGGACTCCATAACGTGTTTTAAACTGGTGTGAAGTCAGGTTTGAAGTGTGGAGGTTGGAGGGTAAGCTCTCTTTCCCCTGGAGCCTAAGTCATTCTCTGGCAGATTTTCAGAAAACGAGTTGTGGTAGGTACAAAATGGCTGCAATGAGACTCACTGGCCATGAGTCTTCCTGCTAGTTTACCCAGGTGAAGACTATAGATCAGGGTTTGAAGGTTGGTTTTAACTCAAGTACTGACTCCGACCGATTGACAGAGGCTCTCTGGGGCTCTGTTTTGAGAACGATTCTAGGCCAAAGTCCAGTAGTGATCATGTTTCCTTGGGCTTAAGAGGGGCTAGTGGTCATACTGTATCACTTATTTTCTAATCCTGCCATAGATTATACTTTTAACCATGAATAATTGCTCTTAGAAATGTATAATCTTGGCCATTGTCTAGTGAGTCCATCTAATAAAACTGATCTTGAAGTTGAAAGGGCTAAGGCAGGAGGTAGTTAAATAGCCTCCATGATGCCTGGGGAAGAACTTAGCCTTCATGAGATCAGGAAATTCAATATGTGGAACAACATGGGCTGAAGGATGGGAACTTGCTTTACGTTGCGGACTTGAATTTATTTATGAGGCCACAGAGATTATTATTGAAGTTGGTTGTTAAATTTGTAAACAATTATAGAAAGTAGGGTTAGGCAGAGCTAGTTTGGCCCCTTGGCTTCAAGAACTCATCTTTTTTGGCTCTGGCATGGATTTCAGAGAACTTTTCACTTTTTGGTGTTGTTCTTTCATTGGAATAATTCACACACAGTGTTACATTCTCCAGTTCAGAATTCGAGTGTGATGTTTGATGACCCGTTGTGGAAACTATTCATTTTGCAGATCCACATGTTCAGATGATAAATATGGAGGGCTATTCAATCTCTGTCTTTGGGAAACTGTTATGATCTTGTAGAAATTGCACTGGTTTCAGAGTGAGATAGTTCTAGCCTCAAGTTTGGGCTCTGCCACACTAGGACATCTTTGACAAGTTATTTAACCTCATAGTTTTAGATCTATTTTAAACCTATAAAATGAGGATAATAATGACTTCTCATGCAATTGTGAATGTTATCTGTTGGGGTTCTTAGCTGCAGATAACAGAATTTGCTTTAGCTAATTTAAGCAGAAAGAGATACATGCTCATAGATCATTGGAAATGCAGAAAGAATGGTCTCTAGGCTTGGCTTCCAAAATTTACACTGCAGAACTGGCCTGCTAGGCAAGTTGCTGCCACAGCGGGCCCCATAGCAGGTTGCCTCTGCCCTGATGAGAAACTGATAAATCAAAAGCTGTCTTTGCTGTTGCCAGTCCTGGAAGAGCCCAATGCCTCCATCTTCATGCTTATCAAAACATTTGGACTCACCTGAGTGGCCTCCACTTCTTATTGGGCACTTCCTTCCTTCTCCCACCCTCAGTCCTGATATGCTCCTCTTCAAAAAGTTATGGTCAGTTCTACGAAGATGACCTCCAGATGCCTTGCACCTGGTCCTTTTTTCTTTTACTGCTACTTTGCTTTCCTCCTGCTCCTACTCATTACAATTTTTTAACCTTAAAGACACAACTCAAGTTTTACTGTTCCAAGCTTCATAGAATTAAGTTATCTCTCTCTCCTTTACATTTTAAAATAATAAATTGTCTGATTACCTTTATTTCTTCTGGTATTGTCTTTGCCTATTATCTTAAAATTTTATTCTGTGGTTTTTAAATGTGTTTTTGATCTGCTCTCCTCAACTAAACTGTAAGTTTCTTGATAGTAAGGATATACATAAAATTTGGTGGTCTCTATGGTACTTAGCACATGGTATGTACTCAACAAATATTGGTTGCTAACAAGCCAACTGGAAGGTTAGCTGTTAGCATACTTGGAGCTGGCTCCATTTGGAACTGTAGTGGATGCTGTGATGAGCTATCCAGGTTTCCCTTTGGGATTTATTCCTCCAGCTATTTGATCTCAAGTTGGGACAACTCTGAAAGGATCAACCCAGATTCAGAGGCCCCTCTGGGGTTGGCTAAGGTGTTTGCTGAGACTGCATCAGCTCAACTTCTTCTTCTCAATCCTGCTTCTGTTTCTTTCCTTCATCAGGTGCTAATCTCAACAGCACTTCCTAGTAAACTTTCTTCATGCTAATCTAAGGGTGCTTTCTTGGGAATTCAACCTGCAACAGGAACCTTGTGATAAGATAAAAAGCAATGAATAATTTTAAGGTTATGAACTTGGTTAGATATGTTTGGGAAAATTAAAAGAAGCAGTTCCAGTTCTAGCAAGGTTTTTTTACGCCTTGTATTTAAAATCAGAGCCATGTAATTATTATTATCATTTGCAAATGAGGATCCTAAACCAAATTAATGATTAAAGTGTGTCTTTGCATGCAGGTAGGATTTATCACCTTATTCAGAGAGTGATGTGTGAATCCACAAATAGATCTGTGTTAATATGTATATCTTATTTATTATATGCAGAAACCTTATCTAAAAGAATTGGTGATTTGTCTTGCATGATGGAAAACTGAATAAATCATAATGTTAATAAAAGACTATTACCTGAGTTTTCCAAATGAGCATAAAAACAAATGAGTTGAACTAAAAATAAAAATAGAACAAATTTGTTTAAAAGTTGAATTTTTGAAGACTTATTACCAATTTAATATATAAATTGCTTTATTAATTTATTGTTTTACAGTGAGGATTATGCATTTTGGAAGATATTAACTGTTATTTTGTAACAATTCTATTTACAAATGAGACTACATTTATTATGGAATTTGTAATTATACTACATGTATAACATGGCTGTCTTTCCTCTTCTCCTCCCCTAAATCAGTCATATAGTTAAAAGCAATTCTAGATTTCATCCAGTGAGTCTATGTCTCTTAGTTTACATACAAGGATAAAAGAGATGAAAAATCATGTCTAGAGTCAAGATCCATCTATTAGCCAAGGCAGGCACCTAATCCAGGATCTTCTAATTCCTCTCATTGTGTGTGGTAGTCTCTTCCCTGCTGGGGATTATCTATGTAAATCATCTCTCACTCAGTGCTGAAGGATGGTTTTTCTTACTCACTTTTTTTTTTTTACACTATGCTAAACAATTTGGAGCATTCACAGATCAGAGCATCTGAATTCCATAAAAATTACAAAAATCCAAGCAAGTTTAATTCGGTCAAGAGATTGATTTTTTTGGTTTCCCTGGTGCCCAGCAGGTGAGTGGACAGAAATATTTACTTCTCAAATTACGATTCTACCTACTATGATGGCACATGGCTGCTTGATAGGAACACATATGTAGAAGATGAGGGCGGGGGCATATTCTTCTCTACCTTAAAGATAATTAAGTCCAACTCAAAGGCTCAAGAATGAAGGGAAGTCTACTTCCCATAAATCAGCTTTATACGTCATCCTTCCTTGCCTACAGAAATACCAGAACCTTAGGCTTATTCCTCTCACTTGAGGTTGGGAAAATGTTGATTGGCCTTGGGCTTGTGGGGCTGTGTTTCTATATTTATTTACAAACTTGGAATCATTCTTAGACTTCCAGTAGGACAGAAGTAAAGTATGTCTATCAAGTTAGCCTGGACCGAAGACTGAGCCAGTGTTAAGCACTGTGAGTGGTGATTTAGCTTTTACTTGGCTAATTTGCTTCTCTTAGATAACCAAATGATCATACAAAGCAGAGTAAATGTTTTGGCTATATTTGGTTGCCTTTATGAATCAAATCTACCAGGACAGAAGGAACTTGTTCTGCTACTTCTAGAAAGGTGAGGGCTCGCCAGAGCTGTTTTCCTACAATCTGTGTACCACAACGAAAACAAACAAAATGAATAAACCTGATCTATAACCATGAAAAGAAAAGGAAAAAAATGGAAGTAACGTATGTGAAATCCATTGTAAGAATAAATCTGATATTCGGCTTCAATGGAGTTTAAGGTATCAGTACCTAAATTTCTTTGTCGGGGTTATAACACAATTTGGAAAAGTAGTTTTCCAGCTCTCTGTGACTTCCTCAACCCCAAACAGATAATGCTTAAAATTGTTATGCATTAGATGATAGAAGTTTGGTTTCCAGATCCTGATCCTCTAGCAATAACTACCTTATTAAGCACAATTATTTCTTTTAGGTGAAATAAAATGTCAGCTTGAAATTGTGCAGTTGCAACCTGTCTTGGGAAGAGCTCATTCCCTAGTTCTCACACAGTGATGTTTATAGTTCTTCTCATTTCCCAACAGTTATTGATTACTGGCAGATAGCTTCTTCCTGACATGCCAGCCAGAGTATATATGTGTCTACGTATTCTTTCTGCCAGATGCAGTCTTCAAAGTTCTAATTTTTACCACTAATAGTCCATTATATTCAAGGATTATCAATATACATGGTGGGGTTTTGTGCTTATACTTATAAACCTCAATGTTGTACAAATTCCTTTTTTCTGAGGCCAGTTCTATATTAGTACCACTACTATTACTACAATGGCCATTCATTGAATGTTAGCCATTGGCTAGACTCTGTGATAGAGGCTTTGCACATACCATATTTAATCCTTTCTGTACCAATGCAAGTTAGGTATATTATACCCATTTTGTATATGAACAAATTGAGGCTAAGAGAAGTGAAATAACTTACCTGGGGTCCTGCAGCTGGTTTCTAACAGACTTGGGATTCAAAGCCAGTTCTGTCTGGGTTCAAAGCTCCTGATTTTTCTTTTTTTTTTCACTAGGGAAATATGTTCATGTGATGCAAATAATTTGGAGATGAATTAACCTGCCCATTTTCCATATAATAGCTTAATACAGAAACATCCTACTTTTTTCCCTTTATTATAAATGCGAAGTCACCCCGTTTGTCCGTAGAACCTAACATGGTAGTCGTAATGCTTAAATTGCAAGCCGTCTATGGTAGTGATACAGAGTGCCTGGGTTTGAATCCCCTCTCAGCCACTTAGGAGTCATGTGGCCCAGGTAAGTCATTCATCTTGGTCCCACAGGGAGCTCTGCAGCAGAAATCCCATGTTAGATTTGTCCTGCCAAGAAGCAAGGGGTTTGGGCATTCATGCTCTCTCCTGACTCAGTCACTGGCTAACAGTCAGGAGATGGGGTGGAGAAGAGAGGATGCAAACACCTGGCACTTTCAGCTCTCTGCACATGTGGCAGAGTGATGCACTTGTGTTAGCCACAAAAGCACCAAGACACTGAGGAAGGCGGGTCACACTGAACTGGTAAACCAGGTCTGAGGGTTCTGGCCAGAGTCTAGGCAGAGTTCTTGCAGTGCGGGAACCATTTCACTCTTCATCTACTGCACTGCACACATGTCCTGTGCTGTTGGGATGGCTGTTCTGTGCCCAGTTCCTGCCATGCTTCAGGGCACCTGGGATCCCTTTCTCCCTGCCTCCTTTTTCTCCTCTTGAAGCCCGGTGCTGGGACACTGAGTATTGAAAGAGGGGTATGGTAAAGTCCCTGCCATTTGTAGGGCTCACCATCTTGTGAAGATACAATTGTACACAATTAGCTAAAATAATTCCTAAAGACAATGAAATTGGGGCCATAAAGAAGTAAAAACTCTGTGCTATGGGAGCACAACAGAAGTAGAGGATTCAGCTGAGGGCTGTAAGGAAAGGCTTCCTGGAAGTGGTGGCATGTCTGCTAAGCCTTGAAGGATAAATATCACCGAGATTTTGAGACGAGAAAGAAAAGGGGAGGGCATTGCAGATTGAAGGAACAGCATGAGCAAATACTGTAAAGCGTGCAGTTTGCTCAGGGGCTAATGGATGTTCCATTGGTTAGCTGGGATACCTTGGAGGGACACAGGAGAAGCAGGGCCTTGGCACTATGGTGGCTTTTCCATCAGGACGGTTCTGCCCATAGTGGCCAGGTTCAGCAGCATGGTGCTGTTAATGCTGTGGCTTTGTCTCCTCACCCCAAATGTGTATTTTGGTAAAGTGTCCTCCTGAATGACTGTATGTAACAGGAGGTTCAAATGAAAGTTTCTATTGAGGCCCAGCGACAATGGAAATAACATTCTAAACTGAAGCATAACACCATGATTTACAAAACAGGTAGTAAAAAAACTTAGACCCCTTAGTCCTTCACCTATATTGAGTGTGTAAAAGGATTGAGGAGAGGAAAACCTAGGAGGATTTGTGCGGAGCATTTTGGGGAGAGTAGATTCCAACCCAAAGGTGCTCCCCCTGGAGGAGTTCTTCCTCATTGACTTCAAGCGAAGAGAGAGGGGCTTCCAGGACACTACTTTGGAGCTGTGTGTCTCTTGAGCTTAGGGGATGCAGTCAATACTCATGTCTGACTTCACCTGGAAAGTCCAAAAGGTGAGAGGTGGACTGGCTAGTTGCTCTGAGCTGAGGCATGAAGGGGAGACGGCCATGGGGGCGGGCTTATCGGGCACTTCGAGGGCTGTCAGGTGGATGACTGGTGTTGCAGCAAGAGATAGATGGCACTGGGTATCCTTATCTGGCAGGGCCTCATAGAAAGACCCCTGCAGAGGGAAGCTGGAGGTACAGTGGGAGTTCTCAGGGCTGAAGAGGGAACAGGCTGCCAGCTGGAAGAGAAAGGCATTCTTCTGGTAGCAGATCTGTAGTTTGTAGAGCATCTCCAAAGAACCCAGAAGAGTGCCCATGACACAGGTGTCTTTCTTAGACATCTACTCGGCCCATAGAGTGACAACGCTGAAGTATCACAATAATATCCATGAAGTAGGAATGTACCTGCTCTACTTCCTTTACTTCTGCAGGAGTTCTAATTCAGAGGGCTTGGGATGCACATTTAGCAAGCTAAGAAAGGAAGAAGAAAAGTACTGGGCTATGCAAGAGGGAAGAAATTGTCTTTAGTCCATGTCCTAACCTTAGGTTTCTTGACTATAGCAGGTCCTAGCTTGGTAAGGTAGGGGTAAAGGGTAGAGGGAAGAAGTCTTAACTTTGTAGCAAGACAGAAGTTCACATGGGATTGGACATTGAAAATAATCGATTGAAACCAGGCACGGTGGCTCACACCTGTAATCCCAGCACTTTGGGAGGCTGAGACGGGAGGATTGCTTGAGGTCAGGAGTTTGAGACCAGCCTGGCCAATATGGTGAAACCCCATCTCTACTAAAAATACAAAAATTAGCCAGGCATGATGGTGCATGCCTGTAATTCCAGCTACTTGGGAGGCTGAGGCATGAGAATTGTTTGAACCTGGAAGCGAAGGCTGCAGCAAGCCAAGATCGAGCCACTGCACTCCAGCCTGGGTGACAGAGTGAGACTCTGTTTCACAAAAAAAGAAAAAAAAGAAGATAATGGATTGAGTGCATTCATATTTTCTAAAGGTAATCATAAGGTCATGGGACTGCCCAAATTTTCATCCAGGAGTATCTACCAATTAAACCCCATTGAGCAAATTGTTTTATGGCTAAATACCATGAGTTATGCTTGTTTAATGTAATGGTTACATTACTAATTAGTCTTAAAATTGTTTCCATGGGAAAAACTCATCCAGTTTCCCAAAGATGGAATACAGCACATGGACACTCCCTCATCTGCCCATGTTAGGTAATACCATGATGGTTACATGTATGCCAGACAATGAGTTAATGATTTTGATTTAAGAACCAAGTAAGTGACTTCCAGACTCTTAGGATCTCCCCTAATGTAAAGTGAAATGAGATACTGTTTTCAGTGGTCTGCTTAAAGTGACACCAGCATCAGATCTGTGGAATCTTGCCCCTAAGGTCCAGACCCTCACCTTTTTGTCTTCATGGCAAGCCACAGACCCTCAGTTGGGTTCCATAACAGAGACATGATTTTTTCCCCCAGTGGGGTTTTGCTGGCCCTCTAAGACTTCAATAAAAGGAAACCCAGATGCTAATGCTCAG
Source organism: Homo sapiens (assembly GCF_000001405.40). Taxonomy (NCBI): domain Eukaryota; kingdom Metazoa; phylum Chordata; class Mammalia; order Primates; family Hominidae; genus Homo; species Homo sapiens. The sequence goes on from NC_000005.10 coordinate 37,999,762, forward strand.
GGAGTGACTGCATTGGCTGAGCTCTTCAGAGAACTATGTGCTAAGCATTTCTCAAAGAACCTGCATATTCAGTTCTGCATAAGTTTTGTGGAACAAGTTTTCTTTTAAACTGGGGTTGACAAACTTCCGTACATGGGCCAAATCCAGCCATCTGTGTTTTTCTGTGGCCTGTGAGCTAGTAATGGTTTATTAAAATTTTAAATGTTTAGGGGAAAAATCAAAAAAAAGAATAATACTCTGTGACATGTGAAAACTATATGAAATTCACATTTCAGAGTCCATGAATAAAGTTTTATTGGAACACAGCCACACTTATTCGTTTATATCTTGTCTGTGGCTACAATGAGAGTTAAATACTGGCGACAGAGACCAAATGGCCTGCAAAGTATAAACTGTTTACTCTCTGGCTGTTTATGGAAAAAGGTTTGCCAATTCCTGATCTAAACTATTATACTACCTTCTATTTATGACTTTATTTTGATCCAAGAAGGTTCTCTTTTCCATATATTCACCATTTTACTATGAACTCATACATTATATAGTGATGGGGTTGCTGGTTTAGAAAATGAATCTTCCCCTGCTAGTTGATTTCAGTGTAATGTAATGGGCAAAGCATTCGACAGAGTTAGGACACCTGGGGTTTAGGCTTGGTTCTGTCATTAGCTAAGAGACCCTAGGCAAGTCATTTCATCTTTTTGGGCTTTGAGAAATGAACTATTTCACAGGTTTTCAACCTGTGCTTGGAGGAGTCCTAGTTTACCGTTAAGTCCTTTCAGGATCAAATGGACAGAGGGCTCCCACCACCCCACTATTGATCTTCAACCAGAGTCCCCCCAGTTATGTGGATTTTACATATTGGGCATTTGCATAAGATTTTAAAGGATACAAAGAATTGACAGCTAAGAATTTTTTGAAAAGCCACAAAAACAGATCAGACCCAAGGTCCCTCATAGTCCCATGAGACGAAAAGGAAGGAAGAGCTTTTGGGATATGATACTACTCAGAGGTTTAAGCCATGGGCAGGAGATGCTGACCTTCAAATTCTAAATTCAGCTTGTTGGCATATTATGTAATAGTCCACCTGTTTTGCTTTTCCCATCTGGATAACAGAAGTAGTACATAACTGGTTTCTCTAAAACATATGGTAGTTATAGCAATATACACTATTTGAAAAAGAAATGGTGGCCTAGCTAGCTTATTTCAGTTTTCGCCTTACTGAAAACTCACAGATGTAGATTCGGCCAAGAAAGCTGAAAGGTAAGGAGCATCTTATTTATTTTATGTTAACCCTGGGGATTGACAGGGCTAAAAACAATTTGAAATCTGTGTTGATTTTATATGCTCGAGTGTAGACCATTATGGTTTTGACTGGTGAAGTTCATTAGAAAGCCTAAAAAGGGTAAATATAATAAGCCATCATTTTCCTTACTCCCTAATGTAGACAAGACTGGATATTTTTAGATGCATTATCTTTGAGTTGATAAACATTTTCAGTTATTATCTTAAGAAGGCAAGTTTAACGGAATTTTCAGCCCACATTCCGTGTTTTATGCCCATTTGCAAATGACCATTCACCCGCCCACTTGAAATGATTAATGATAGAAGGCAAGCAAATTGCTTAAGATACAGATTTGATTTATTTTTTACTAAATATTGCCTAATGGCTGGTACACTGGGGAATGATGCTGAAAGTTTTTCTTCAGTCAAATTTTGGAAGTACAAGTGAGCGAAAAGAGGTAAAGAGATGTTCAAAAGAACAATAGGAGAGTCCATTAAATTTTATTTAGATAGCCACACTCAATTTATTCAATAAAAGTTTATTGACCACCACCATCTCTCACGCACAGTGGAGGGTATGACAATGAATTAGACGGAGACCTGCTTTCAGGGCACCTACTATCTGGAGAGGAGGTCAGAGGCAAAGAGGAGATCCTCTCTACTTAACTCAGACAATCGACCAACTATTAGTGATTTGAAGCCCATCTGGTGGAACTGGACTTAACTAAATGGAACTTAACTTAATGGAAACATTGCATGAGATGGTAATTCTTTCCCATCTTTTCTAATTTTCTTCCCCAATTTCTAGTTTTGACAGCTTGATTTATGTTTCAAATCTTCAGATAGTAGATTTGAAGAGGCTCTATAGGCTTACAATCCCATCCGTTCAGCATGAGGTTTGGAACAGTGTCTGCAATGTAACATTTGGGAATAGAATTGTGGAAGTTCTGAATCCAAATCTTCTAACTCTGAGCTTTTACTGTGAGGGTTCCCAGGGAAAGCCTGGAATCCTACCCTTTGTCTGCAGTTGAGGCTGAACTGCTGGCTCTGCCCCCAATCACTCTGTCACTCTTGGCCAATCACTTAAGTTCCTTCTCAGGTTTGTGGAGGGGGTTGGGGGTAGTGCTTTTTCTATCCACTCTTCCTCACAGCAATGTTGTGGTAATTCCCTGGCAGGTAGCTCTTAACCACTTGACTTTCAATGGACACTTCCATGAAGCAGGTGATCAAGATCGAAAAGGCATGGTGGAATGAAGTATCCCAAGATTTACAGTCACAATGGGGTGGCTGGAGGGATGTAGGGTGTATTTCAAAGCCTGTTCAATCTCCTGAGTTGGGAACTTTGAAAGGAACTTGGACTTCGAAGGGTTCGAATTTGTTAGTTCTTGGCCAAGCACAACTTTCCATTCCTAAGAAAGACGTCTATAAAAAGGCCATTTGGACTTCAAAGAGATGATATTTTGATGCATTAAGTGTACATATGAATCAGAAACATGTGGATTAAATTTCCCACTCAAACACGTGGCCTTGAAAATTTCAGGGGAAAATGTTTGGCAAAGTGTGCCTGGGATTTGACTAAAGATGGAGCTTTTTTATGTTTGGGAAGTTTTATCTTCTTCCACATGCCGCCCTGTGACGTGACTGACATAGTCCTAATGTAAACCCAGAGGGTGGCAGGGAAAAAATGGCCTCTGACAAATACATATTGAGTTTACTAAAGGGATGGAGGATATAGACCTTCATTAAAAGGGTCACTGAAGTTTACAAAAACCCCAAACCCAATCAAATAATGTTTTCCTGGAATAAGGGCATGGGAAAGCAAGACACCAATTACACTGGCGGCAAGTGCTGTGGGACAGTTGACTCTGTTTTAATGACTAGTGTCCTGCCCTTTCAGTCTAAGGCCACCATCAATATTAGTGGGACCTTTGCTAGACACCCCTTAAAGAGCTCAAGAGGAAAACCAGCCCTTCTGAGCTTGGCTACCTTATCAGCTTGGCACTGGTTTCTGCACAAACTTTGGTTGTAGTGTTTATCTAGAGTTCACTATAGGATTCACTATCTAAAGTTCACTATCTATAGCATGCCTCCCTGGGTTCCTCTAGAAGAGACTGTGCGTGCAAGAGAGGCTAGAACACTGCACCAATCAGTGTTAGTGGAGCTCTCCAAAGTGAATGAATGATCACCTTCCATTCAAATACAAAAGGGTCCCCCATCTGTCCTTGAGATCAGTATGGAGCCCAAATCATTGCTTGGTTGAAGATTAGGCACAACATTTTTTCTTTCTTTTTGTTCTACAATAATGTATTTTTTCCTCTGAATATAACTAATTCTTGCTAATTGTGGAAAACTTGAAAAAACACAGGACTATATAAAAATCATGATACTCCAATAACTCAGGCACTATTAACATGGATATTTTTTCATGCCATTAAATATTTTTCGAAACATGACTTTTAACAGCGCTTTCCAATTCCACGATGCAGCTGTCTCAGAATCTATTCAACCAATCTCCTATTGTCAATGTTTAGTTTGTTTCCTTTATTTTTTTGTTATGATAATGTGGCGATAAACATTCCTGAATATAAATCTGTGTTCCCATCTCTGATTATTTCCTTAAGGTAGATTCCTGGCAGGAAGATTTCTGATTTAGCATGAGTGAACGTTTTTATACATTATGCCAAGTAGGGTTCCAGGAAGGTTGCATTAATTTATACTCCCACCTGCAGAGTACTTCAGGGTCTCATCCATTCTTTGAAGCCATTACTGTGTTAGGGGGCACTGTCTTTATTCATGAACAGCCTCACAGATGGGGATATTTGTAAATCTTTGCCCTGCCGAGCCCTCCAGTAAGCACGGCAGTGACCATGGATACTACCCACTGAGTCATGGAGGAGGTGAGAGGCTTGAAGAGCATTTAGAAGGACCATGGTGGCTTTAGGACATATTGGCTAAGTTTTTCTTCTCCCCTAGCCCATCAGAGGTCAGATTATCCCCTCTCTGAGTTGTCTAAGAACATGCATGGCTGCTTCCCTGGGGGCTTCCTCGGTTGCGGGCATGATGGAGGCTCTCTTCTAAGTGTATTATAGGGTTTATCTCCCAAAGACAAGAGAATCATACCCTTAACTTCCCAATCCAAAGGGCCCAAATGAGAGCTAAGATCTGGGACAATTAGGCAGGATATAACCCAAAGCCAAGATGTTGTTCTCCGCATTGGCCAGGGAGGATTACCCACTCACTGATTACCAGTTTAGACCTGACCAAACTGTGTTATCTCACCAATTTTTCCTGGCTGCAAAAACCAGTGGGTCTTAGCATCAGGGGATTGGCACTCCATAGGTATTATCCTGTCTCCCCAATTAAGTGGGGGCTGCCTTCGGGGATCTGTGATCCCAGCCCAGCGGCTCTCTCCCTATACCATTTAGGCTCCTGTGTCATCTTCTCTCTTCTCTTATCGCTACTGTATGTTAGGAATGCCAATTAGCACTAATATTAGGTTAAGTAACATGTACTTTGGGAAAGTAAATTTTCTGTTAAGCAAACCAACAACAAGTTTCAAAGTCAAACACACAGATTTCACAGTCATTTTGTTGAATTATCCAGGACCAAAATAATAATAATAATAATAAATCCACTCTCTTTGTTAATTTAGTACTTACAGTGTAATAGGAGAGTCTGTGGAAACATAAAAACAATATTTTTAAAACATTTTAAAAACTAAAAATGAAACAAAAGAAAAAAGAAACACTAAGTAAGACATTTTCATTTACTTTAGGCCACATAGCATCCTGACAGGCATAATTAATGATATAATTTCCTGAGTGTCCATAGGACCTGTTTAAAAAAAAAAAATAACACATATAACAAAAAACCAAACAGGTAATTAAAGTGCTTCCCATTTTTAATGAATAGACCCTTCAGAAACCTGGCAGGCAGCATCCGGGCCCCACCTCCCACTCTTTATTAACTGACATGTCAAAGAAAAAAGCCATATCATTTTTATGTTCCCATAGCGCAGAAACTAATTTTGGGTATTTTAGGCCAGGGAGATTTATAGATCAGCATCAGAAACTTCTCTTGGGTTCCTGAGAGAGTAGTAACATTCCAGAGTAGGATGGATTTAGTAGCCGCCCTGTTTAAAATACGGGGTCCTGTCAAGCCTATGGGTATCCCTGAGTAACCTTCTATTACGGCCCAGCTGTTCCTTAAAAGAAGTCATGGAAAATGTCAGGGCACTGTGGCAGGTCTCCCCTCCTTTGTGGGATCACCTTGAGGAGTGAAGTTTGAGCAGCAATTCTGCAGGAGGGTTTCTGAGGCTCACAGGAACATTGCCTGCCAAATGCTATTGAAGATGGCCCTTGAGGTTGAACATTTAGTAGAAAGGAAGAGAAAGAGGACCTGGAAATCAGCCTTTTCAGGGAGACTTGGGAAGGAGGAAGTTGATGTTTCAGAGCACAAGTGAAAAGATGATATAAGGTTAAATCAAGAATTCATTTGTTTAAATTTTTGGTGTTAAGAACAAATATTTGTTGTTCATTTATTGGCCAAGGAGAAATAAAGGTATAATTGTCATTTGGCTGGGTTAACTACTTTTTGATAGCCACAGAAGGAAGCTTTTTTATTTTATTTTTCCATTAGTTATTGGGGTACAGGTGGTATTTGGTTACATGAGTAAGTTCTTTAGTGGTGATTTATGAGATCCTGGTGCCCCCATCACCTGAGCAGTATATACTGCACTATATCTGTAGCCTTTTATCCCTTGCCCCATTGTATCATTCTTTTGCCTTTGTATCCTCATAGCTTAGCTCCCACATATCAGTGAGAACATAGGGTGTTTAGTTTTCCATTCCTGAGTTACTTCACTTAGAGTAATAGTCTCTAATCTCATCTAGGTCACTGGAAGTGCTGTTAATTCATTCCTTTTTATGGCTGAGTAGTATTCCATTTTATATATATATATATATATATATCACAGTTTCTTTATCCTTTTATTGATTGATGGGCATTTGGATTGGTTCCATGATTTTGCAATTGTGAATTGTGCTGCTATAAACAGCATGTGCAAGTATCTTTTTCGAATAATGACTTCTTTTCCTCTGGGTAGATACCTAGCAGTGGGATTGCTGGATCAAATGGTAGTTCTATTTTTAGTTCTTTAAGGAATCCCCACACTGTTTTCCATAGTGGCTGTACTAGTTTACATTCCCACCAGCAGTGTAGAAGTGTTCCCTGTTCGCTGCATCCATGGCAACATCTACGGTCTTTTGATGCTTTGATTGTGGCCATTCTTGCAGGAGTAAGGTTAGTATCGCATTGTGGTTAAAACGAAGTTTTTAAAACCTTATATCCACCTGCACCATTTCCTCTTTATTCTGAGGAAGGTGATAACAACATATTTGTTCCATGAGGTCCTTAAGCTGTACAACTAGATCTTTAAGGAATACTTCATAGAGTAGGTTGCTTTAGAATCTGAGAGGCTTGCATCTGAATTCTTCTAAACTGTGTGACTTGGGTCAAGTTTAAACCTCTCTGGGCCTGAACCCTAAGCTGAAAGTGAGGATAAGCACATTGACTATATAACATTGGTTCAGACCAGGCGTGGTGGCTCATGCCTGTAATCCCAGCACTTCGGGAGACCGAGGTGGGCAGATCATGAGGTCAAGAGATCGAGACCATCCTGGCCAACATGGTGAAACCCCATCTCTACTAAAAATACAAAAATTAGCTGGGCATGGTAGTGCGCGCCTGTAGTCCCATCTACCCGGGAGGCTGAGGCAGGAGAATCGCTTGAACCTGGGAGGCAGAGGTTGCAGTGAGCCGAGATTGTGCCGCTGTACTCCAAACGAGTGACAGAGTAAGACTCCGTCTGAAAAAAACAAAAAACAAACAACAACAACTACAACAACAACAATTGGTTCAAGGATTCAATGCAAGAATGCATGTAAAGTTTCTAGCAGTGTCTCACACATGATAAGCCATCAATAAATGGGAGCCTTTAGGAAGATTCTTGGAGAAGCACCAGGAACAATGGAAATGGATGACTAACTGGATGGACTACAAGAAGGGTGAAAGCAAGGATGTGGAAACTGCCACTATTGGCTCTACAAAGAGATGTGATGGAAGTCTGGTCATCTCTTAGAAAGCACCGTGAGAACAAGTACTGTGCCTTGTTTTGCTTACCACATTTCCAGTGCCTGGAACATTGTGGTACATAGGGTGTGACTATTTGGTGAACGAGTAAATGAATGAATGAACACTAAGTCCAAGTTCACATCCCGGTTTGTGTTAGTGCGTTCTCATGCTGCTAATAAGGACATACCCAAGACTAAGTAGTTTATAAAAGAAAGAGGTTTAACTGACTCACAGTTCAGCATGGCTAGGGAGGCCTCAGGAAACTTACAATCATGGTGAAAGAGGGAAGCAAACACGTCCTTCTTCTCATGGTGGCAGCAAGAAGTGCAGAGCGAAGTTGGGGAAAAGCCCTTTATAAAACTGTCAGATCTTGTGAGAACTCACTCACGACCACAAGAAGAGCATGGAGGTAACCGCCCCCATGATTCAATTACCTCCCACTAGGGCTCTCCCATGACACATGGGGATTATGGGAACTACAATTCAAGATGAGATTTGGGTGGGGACACAGCCAAACCATATCACTGTTCTCCATGGAGATTTGTCTAATCCATTCTGATTCCTCTCTTTGTGTGTGTATGTTGGGTGTGTGTGTGTGTTGGGGGTGTGTGGGTGTAGGTGTGTACAGTTTGCTATCTACAGATAGTAGAGGCAGGAGTTATGACTTACACTTCTCTGGAGTCTTTCCCTGCCCTCCTCTCACCACTTCTGACATTTCAAACAAACGCCATCCTTAGACACACATTAGTGACTAAACACATACACATTAAATTGGAATTGAAAACAGTGCAGTGCCTTCGTGGAGCAGAGTAAGCAGATGGAGTTATAGATTTGTGGAAATTCACCCTGTCCACAGTTGGGCTGAATTTTCTGTGCTCCCCTAATCATTTCAGGAGTCTCAGGGCTTGGCAGAGACTGGCTTGTCCTTTTCTGTAGAATGTCTGCACCAACTTAAGCACGGTTGTCATGTGTTTAAAGTTCCCTTGTTGCCTTCCATGAGACATATATTCTCCCCAGTTTAACTTTGGTTGAAGCAGTTTACAAATCTCTGCCAACAGAGAAAATCCTTGAGCTTTCCCCACTTTTTGAATGGGCAACCTGAAGATAAATTCAGTTGTTTCTCCAGACTTTGTTTTCAAAGTTGAACAGGTATCAGAAATATGACTCCAGCCTGATCATATTTCATGGCCACCACAAGTGGCTGCTAAGAGATTTCGCTTAAGTCTGCAGCTGGGGCTAGTTGGGTGCTTGCCAAGAATAAGGGCATGATATATTTGTGTGGTGTATATGAAAGTCTGTTTTTATAGGTATAATATTCATATATATTGCTTTGGGATTAAGGGAAGGGTGTAAATACCTTGTGGGTTTATTCTCCTTTCTGTCTACTTGGCCTTCAGCTGGGTCCTAGAGATGACATATCCCCAGAAAAAGCCAGAACTTGATAGTGATGCCTTCAAAGAGGGAAATTCTGATGCCATATATAAGGCTAGGTTAGGTATTAGGCAGCGTGATATTAAGATTTGTCAATGCACAGTTAAATCAGAAATAACCATCAATGTTCCTACATTTTTGTTGGGAGCTTCAGGTACTATTTTCACTCCTGTCATCACTCATCATATGGCCTAATGCCTTAGTCTGGGTATCTCCACTAAGGAAATGGCTCATGGAAGATTTCCAACAGCACTCCCTCCCCTTCTTATTTAACAAAATTTCTATAAAGAAGATAGAATTTCAGGAACTGTTTGAAAAAGAAAAAGAGAGGCCTTTGTGACTTAAGTTTTCTATCTAACTCCATTTCCCAATTCTTTAACACAAATTTGCATCCACCTTTAAAGCGCCTGACATGGTATCTAGCTCAGTACGTTGCATATAGAGAGCACTCATTAAATATTTTTGAGCCTGCCTAGGTTTAAAATATCTTCTATTGCAAGAGTTTGTACTTTGTGTGTGTGTCTGTGCGTGCGTGCGATGGAGTCTCATTCTGTCGCCCAGGCTGGAGTGTAGTGGCACGAACTTAGCTCACTGCAACCTCCGCCTCCTGGGTTCAAGCAATTTTTCTGCCTCAGCATTTGGAGTAGCTGGGACTATAGGCACCCGCCACCATGCCTGACTAATTTTTGTATTTTTGTAGAGACTGCTTTTTCCCTGTTGGCCAGGCTGGTCTCAAACCCCTGATCTTAGGTGATCCACCTGCTTCGGCCTCCCAAAGTGCTGGGACTACATGTGTGAGCCACTGTGCTTGGCCAGAATTTGTACTTTTCAGAGAACAGAGGTTAGAGGACAGTGGAGGGAGACCGAGTGTATGTATGTGTGTGTGTTTCTGTGTGTGACTTAGGCGCTGAGAAAACTGTGTGGCTACAGGGGACAATAATAACCATGGTGCCCTGAGCTCTTACTGTGTGACAGGCACTGTCCCATGCATGGGCTTTGCCAGCATTATCAAATCTACTGCTCAAAAGTTTACAATGGCCGCAAGGTAGGCGCTGTTTTGCAGATGAGGAATTGATATTTTAAAAGGTGAGGCGACTTGTTCAAGGTCAAACAGCTAATAAGTGGCAAAGTTGGGATTAGAACTCAGGTTTCTCCTGCCTCTGGAGCTGGAGTTCTTTGTAACATTACTCTTCTTGGAGTCCCTGAGAGGTTAACACACAAACAACAACAGCTCTGAGGACTTGGGACCTTTCTCAGCTGTGGAAATGTTCAATGAACACCAGCTCCTTGAAAGCCTGAGTGAAACATGACTGTGGGCTGGACTCAGAGGTTCAGGCTTTGTTAGTGGAGTGAACTTGTGAACTCCATCAGAGCTGGCCAGCGTGCTGCTCCTCAGGAGGTTGGGAATGACTTATGAAGAGGTCTGTGAGCCCAAAAGATGTGGTTTTTCTGGTGCTGCTCTCCTGACCCATCTGCAGGGACCAGTCCCATATCAGATTCTCAGACCTGGCCTAGGGGCCTCCCCGCTGTAAGCCTGGGCTTTCTGGATATACCCTTGTCTGTGGATCTGCCTCCTCCTAAAGCTGCTCTAATTCCTTGTTGATGGAGTGGCTGTTTACTATTGAACACTCTGTTGGCAGGATGCCTCCTGAGTGTTTTGGAAAGAGGTATCTCATCTGTTGTGGATGAAGGGCTATTTGCCCAACAATGTCTGTTCTCTTTCTCATCCTCTTTCAGTTTCCCCTCACAATGTCTACAGAGCATCTTGATCTGCTTTTGAGGACTGGGTCTGTAACCCTTGGACTACTAATTTAGCTACCTCTGGCCCTAATCATCTTAGAAATGAACCTGGGATCTGGATATTCAGCCTAGGGGCAGGAAGCCAGTTTAAATACCTCAAAGAATAACCAATCAAGTGATTAAAGAAACACTTTGCAAACTGAGATCGATATCCTAAGCTCAACCCTCACTTAAAGTCGTAACACCAATATAATCAATTTCAGGAGGCATTAGCTTGCTCCATCAAGGAGAATCAAGCCATGTTATCTTCATGTGGGCTGCATACATGATGCATAATAGGAATTTAAGTGAGTGAAATCTCAAAGAGAAGAGGAATTCCATGAATAGCTCATCAGTCAAAGATGACAATAAAATGTCTACCTGCTTAATGGAATGGGTCACTTGCTGCTTCCAGGAAGCTGGTTAATTCAATTTGTCAGGCCAGGCAGACGCTAGGGACCCAGGCTCCTCTCTAGAACTCATAAGGAACTATATTGCATTCTGATGCCTTTAGTTTCTCACTTCCTTTCAGCAGCATGTACAACAGGATCCATTGGCCCCAAAAGTGGTATTAGGAGGAGGCTCCTCTGAACTGGCAAAGAATAAACTTAGTGCTGAAGAAATTTGGCTAAACTATGACCTCACATGTAGTCACCTTCCTACCATCCTGGAACTCCTTGCTTGCTGCTAGGAGACCTTTGAGATGTCCCTGTATGGTGAAGCCACCAAGGAGTGATATCTGACTCTGACTCTGATGGTTACTTTCTTTTTTTTCTTTTTTTCTTCTTTTTTTTTTGAGATGGAGTCTCGCTGTGTTGCCAGGCTGGAGTGCAGTGGCGTGATCTTGGCTCACTGCAAGATGGTTACTTTCTTATGTAGAATTAAGATTCATTTTGCCCCAAATTGAAACACATTTTCTTTTTGCGTACCTAACTTCCTTACTAAGTCTTCCTTGATTGTGGAAGAAAAGGTAGTAAATTTCCCATGATCCTACCCATTCTCAACAATAAAACACTCCCCTTGCTCTTCATGAATACATTATCCCACAATAATATTTACTTAGATATTTGCCTCTGCAGGATGTTTAGTTTGGGTGAATATTGCTCAGAGACATTTAGAAGATGCAGAAATAAAAAATCAGGCAATGACTTGGTTTGGCATGTAGATGTAAGAAATGTAGTATAAGCATGGTGCTTTTTAGAGGGCAGACATGTGCAGGCATAGCCTGACTTTCTGACCCAAAAAAGTAAAAGTTCAGGACAGCAGGATGACTTTTGGGAATGCTCAGATTATTTGAGAGCATTTGTGTTTCGTGAACGACCTAGTTATTATTCTTGAGGCTGCACAGCTACAGGCAATGGTCTCCAAAAGGTAGCTCTGAGTGCTTACAACAAGCAGGGTTATTTAAGAACTTTCCTGGGGCCCTGGGGCACTATTGAATATCAATAGCCAGTTCCAGGTTGGGAGTGAGAGCAGTGTACAGTTACAGGAATGAGTGCCGACATTTTTCATGCCTGGCCTGCCATCCTAGCAAGCTGCTTGGGTAAACAACATCTAAATTTTACAGGCTTTGAACATGTGGCACTCCACTTATACAGCAGGACATTTGAATTGATTGGTAATTTTGAATAAGCAAGATTTCTTGTTGAGTTCACTAGAATTTCTTTGTCATATGTTTTAGATTTTCAAAGCAGTGAACCAGGAGGCTTAGAGCTTCCAGTATTAGTGGAACCAGATCTGAACAATGCCAAAGACCAAGATCTTAGAAAATTAAATAATCTTTGCAACATGGGTAATGCTTATCACTTCAGAAGGCAGAAGGCTTGATGGAGGACTTTTGCGCAAAGTTAATTGAATCCAGCTGCTGCCCTCCTCAGTTTGGATTGGACATGATCTTGGTAGTGGTTTCATTTCTTACCATTTTGCTGCAAGTTTTTTTTGTTTGTTTGTTTGTTTTTAGAAAATACCGTGTTGCTTTTATCTTGTTCCTATCCTCATGCTCTCCATTGCAAGTGAAAGGAAAGAAGGAAGGAAGGAAGGAAGAAAGGAAAGAAAGAATCTCCAATCCTTTCTAGATTAGCGATAATGGGACCCCTGTAGGTTTGACTTTATTTAGAGTTGGCATTACTTCAAACTAGAAGGCAAATCCCAAGGTCTGGAGATCAGGTCAATGGAAATGTGGAGGACTTAGAATTTTCCCACAGTAAATGAAATGAGCAATCAGCTTAGACAACTCCCAAAGGCACTGTAGAATATGTGTTGTACAAGTGAATCTATACATCTTTGCACACAAAACGCATCCTAGGCTGCCCTGTTGAGTGCTGTTCCCAACCTCTCCTTTCCTTACACAAACTTAATTTACCCAGCGATTCCAGTTCCCTCCTCCTCTGGATTCAAGTCATGCTTCTGTAATCTGTGCAGTTTAGAACTCATGCCATCCCTGCATTGTTTTACCCATGTCTCTCTTCTTCATCAGGATCAGAAACTCGTCTCTGGGGCTAGTTGTCTGGAATGAGACGGGCACCATATTTTAGCCTACTTTTCTAAATCCCACAGAATCAAACACACTGCTGGGCACATAATTATGTACAATAAATCCTTACTGATTAATTTAATCACTATAGTATATAGTGGAAAGGAACTAGAACCAAAAGAGCCAAGAGTTCTGGTCCTCATGCTTCAGTTTTCTCACCAATAGGCTGAGGGAGATGGATAAGATTCAGTGGTTTTCAAACTTTTTTTTTTAACCTTGGAATTTTTTTTCAAGAGAAGTCTTATTTTATCTAAAGCACCGGTAGGCAAGCATTTATTTTAAATGTTCTCTTTTGAAAGTTTACATTTATCCTGGTAACCGATTAGTCAATCAGTGTGTGTAAAGAGGCTTTCTTTATAAACAAAACATTGGAAATCAGAGGTTATGGTGGCAGCTGGTGTCTTACATCAGCCTCAGCACCTGATGTGTTTGGTTTAGGTTATACAATCCTAAGAAAACCCAGATTCACACAGAGGCTATTTGCAAATAAAGTTTTTCTTTTTTAAACAGGTCATCCTGTTATTTAAAGAAACCCACCAGTTAAACCTTTCCAGACATTACAAGAAGGATGGGAGGACATTTTCAATTAACGTTTTAATTGCTGTTGGCTTCTAACACCAGACAATATTTATTATCTCATGAACATCAGATGAAAAAGTATCCATGTTTTATTATGTGAAAACGATAAGATGTTTTTAACACGTCCCACTGTGTCTGCTTATTTCTTGTTAAACAGCTGATAAAAACACTGCGGCGAGACACACACTTAGGACATGCCAATTAATTAATGTGAGTTTTATTAAAATATAAATATAAGCCTAAGGTGACTGGAAACTCATAGAATGGTACACTTAAGATTTGCACATTTTATTCAGTGTAAATTTAACCTAAAAAAGGAACAATATTGAACTCTAGTTTAAATATGCATATTGATGTGTTTAGGGGTGAAGTATACTGATGTTTGCAACTTTGAATATATCAAAGAAATTAAATGGACTACAGCGTGGATAGAGCTGGGTAGTTGGACAGATATATGGTAAAGCAATATAGGAAAATGTTCTTGCTCACTGTACAATTCTTTCAACTTTTCTGTTTGACAATTTTTATGATAAAATATTGAGGAAAATGTAACTCAAAAGACAAATCTTTATCTGAAGTGTATTTCAAACATATGTCATCTTACATGATTTTAATTTTGCATCCAACATGGAAGTCTTCCTGGTAAATGGAATTTCTCAAAACCGGGATGATTTTAAGCCATTCTTGAGAGTGACAACCAGCCAACTGGTTCTAATGATGGCAGTGGGAGAGATTTCATATCACTGATGTGATATCAGCCAAGAGAAAAAGCTGTAAGTTTTGTTTTGTGATGCCTGGCGCTTCAGGCTGTGTGACTGCCAGCACAAAAATCACAACCTGTGAGCAGGCAGAGAATTCTACACTATTGCAGTTATTTCTGGTCCAGCTTGGGAAACGGCACTCAGAGCAGGCAGGATCTCCCCGGACCATGAACCTGATTCCTCCTCTGTTTATTTCCTAGAGAATGACTTACCTCGTCCTCATCACCATAAGGGAATTCGTGAGGCTTTGCATTGCTGGAAACTAACACTCCAGTGAAGAGACACTGGGTGGAACCTCAGGCACCTGGGAGAGTGGAGGTTGAAGCAGCTTTTCTGAGTCCCACTTCCAAGCAGGATTAGCCCAGTGTCTACTTGATGAAGCTTCCTATTCCTCAGCATCACAGAGAATATTTCAGATGCTGAGGAAGGACACCAGAATGTATGTGCAGTCTCCAAATTTGTCTCCTTGCACCTTCCTTCTCCTTTCCCCTCAATCTACCCAATTTACACATCTAGTTTAATCATCTAAAATATCACTTTTGCTCTTTTCCCCCTTAAAACTGTTCTCTTCCAAATGCTTTAGTGGCTTGCCATTACTTACAGGATAATGTATTATTAATATCTTTAATCTCTCACTCAAGGTCCTAATGAATATGGCTCTAATCTGTGTTTTTAGATTTAGTTTTCTCAACTCTTTAGAAACTTCTTCTGCTGCCGCTAGATTGGCACCCCACTGCCCCCCTCCACTCCTCTCACTTCCTACATATACTGTAAAAATTCTATTCTATATGAGAGGTTTGCATGCTTTGCTCCCTTCCACCTCATCCATCCAAATCCTGTCAGCTGAGGTCATTCTTTTTCCCTCCGAGTTTCTGTATCAGTTAGGATGCTTTGGACTGCAAGTAACAGAACACAAGAAGCCAAGTATCAACCATTGGTTTTTAAGCTGTAGCATGCATTAAAATACGAGGAGGGCTTGTGAAACCACAAATTGCTGCTCCCAACTCCCCAATTTTCTGATTAGGCAGCACAGGGGTAAAGCCGAAAAATTTGTATTTCGAACAAGTTCCTAGGTAAGGCTAATGCTGTTGGTCAGGGGGAACACACTTTATGAACCACTGGCTTACACAATGGGAAATTTATTGTCTCACTCAACAAGACATCTAGAACGGTGGTTCTCAAACTCGGCTGCACAACATAACCACCTGGAAGTATTTTTAAAATCCTGATGATCACACCTCATCACTTACCAATGAAATGAGATCCTCTAGGGGTGAGATCCATGCATCCATATTTTAAAAAACACTCCAGGTGTTTACAGTATGCAACCAAGTTTTGAGTCCACTGGTCTAGAGGCATGGAGGTTGCAGTTCTAGTTACTTCATTGGTCCAGCAGTGTCATCATGGACCCATTTCCTTCCATCTTTCTTTTCTGCCTTCCTCTGGGTATTAGCCCTTGTTGACTTTTTCTTTCTCCATCACACATTGCTTGCACCTGTTCAAACCTTCCTCCTTTAAAAACAGCATCCAAAGCTTGGAAAAGGAAAAAGCACATACACCTTCCTTTCGTCTTTTTAAACCTATAGAAAATGTTCCTGGAAGCCTCCCGACACCTCCACATATCTGTGACCTGAACTGAATCACATGACCGACCCTAGGCCAATCACTGAGAAGGGAATGAAATGTTGACTTAGACCATCGATTCCCAGAATTAGCAGTACATTACAATCACCCAGAGAAGTTTGAAAACGATTGGATTTTGGATTTTATGTCTGACCCACTAAATCAGAGTCTAGAGATGGGGCCCAGTTATGGAAGTTTTAAACTACCCTCCAGGTGATTATAATGTGCAGGCAGAATTTAGAACCGGAGGCGGAGCTTGCAGTGAGCCGAGATCGCTCCACTGTATTCCAGCCCGGGTGACAGAGCAAGACTCTGTCTCAAAAAAAAAAAAAAAAAAAAAAGAACAATCAAGATTCATCCCTGGCCGGGTGTGATGGCTCACGCCTGGTAATCCCAGCACTATGGGAGGCCCAGGCAGGCAGATCACTTGAGGTCAGAGTTTGAGACCAGCATGGCCAACATGGCAAAACCCCGTCTTTACTAAAAATACAAAAATTAGCTAGATGTGGTGGCACACGCCTATAATCCCAGCTACTCAGGAGGCTGAGGCACGATAATTGCTTGAATCTGGGAGGTGAAGATTGCAGTGAGCTGAGATGGCATCATTGCACTCCAGCCTGAGTGACAGAGCGAGACTGTCTTAAAAAATAATAATTAAAAATAAATAAATTCATCCCCTAGAGCTGTGAAGCAGCTCACTCAGCCCCTTAGGAAAACGCATAGCCACTTGGTGCTTGAACAAAATCAACGTTCTCTTAGCCGGGAGAAGGGGTATTGGCTATTGGAGAGACAACTGTCACTCACGGGACATCCATATGCTGTCATGTATAGCTAATCAGCAGTGTCTGGGCTTTCACCCCCATTGAGAGCAGAACTCTGCTGCATTTCTCTATGCTCCTAACAAGTTCTTATCTTAGTGCCTTGCACAGAATAGGTATTCAGTACATATTTGTTTATTATTTATTGCTTTGTGGATCTGCCGGCAGATTCACTGGTGGACTGAAGTTACTTTGCTTGGACATTTCATTCCATTGAAGCCTGCCAGAAGGACTGCTTCATCTCCCCTATCTTTGAAGCTGGAGAGGAGACATTGAAAGCTCCTGCTCTGCTCCTCGATTAGTGTATCTGCCTCTTGACCCAGCTGTGGTTTTATGTGACAGTGAAATTCCACACTCTCGGCATGAATGCGTGGCCCGACCGGGGCCATGCCAGGAGCTGTCGTGGCATTTATGTGTGCCTGCTTTTGTCTTCAGGGTGGTGAGGGCCAAAGTTTACCCCTCAAAGCAGTTTGGCAAATCAGCACTGGGGCTCTTTTGTGCAAGTACATTCAGATGCATGATTGAAGCACTTCTTCCTCCTCTGCAGAGAACTTGACATTCCCCTATCACGGTTAGAGGAAAAGGAAACGTATTTGAAACTTGACAGGGTGAAGAAACAAGCCGTCAACTTTAAATTAAAGAGGTTGATGGGGAGAGGGGAAGGCTGGTTGTGACTTTAGAAGTACATACTCTCTTTTATTCAGCAAAATCCCATGCACAGCTCCTTATTTACAACTCCTACAGCAGGGAATGCTGAGGAGGGCCCGGCCTGGCGGAGGCTTAATGGGCACGTTAACCTGCAAACTGTTTCATGTTGGGCTGAAGAGAAAGGCGGCTCTAGGAGCAAGACCTGTGAGATAGACATTTGGAAATTTTTATTTCAGGATGGGGGAGATGCTGTTTGATAATTAATCATTCCCTTCCCTGTCATAAAGTCTGCAATAAAGACTTTATATTCTGTTACACAAAACCCTACTCACAAGGAATGTTGCTCCTACTCATTTCTTCCCTTTCCAATCTCATAATTAGCCTGGCCACCCCCAATTAATGACTTGGTTCTAGGTAACCCAAGCCATATGTGAAGAGCTTCCTTGCATATGCTTACTTGTGTGGCTGTCTCTGCCTAACAGACATTGGTATCAAATTCACCTTCTGACATGCAAAAAATGACCATTTCTTTCCTATCATTTTGCCCTGATTTGAAAATCCTCATGTCACTACCATCTTGTAGGGGAGAGATTTTACAAGCCTTTTATTTCAGGGACAAAACTCTTTTCTTTTGGGAAGCAGGTGAACCCCCATTGATAAACTTTAGAGGCCCCTGGCTAGCAGTGAACTGAATGGTGTTGATTTCAGTTTGTTTTCCATCTCATTTTTTGGAGAGCTTTACAAAGCCAATAGCATAGCTTTATGGGGCCGGAGCAGGAGCTAACGTTTTCTCTGCCAATGCCGTTTCCTATAAATCTTGCAAAGCCCCTTGCCACACTGTTTACAAAGATGCAGCATCAGAGCGCCAGAGCAAGGCTCGGATTTCTTTCCTGAAACTTCATTAAGTTGTAAGAAAAGCTCAGTGCAATTTTCATCCTTCTCCCATGAAGAGTTATTGTAAAAAGTGAAAACTACCACATGTGGCTAAGGAAAGGAGTAGTGGAGAGTGTGTGTGTTCCTGAGCCCGACACAAGTGCCTTTAATTTGCCAAGTGACAGTCATCCAAGCTCCCAAATAAATGGAATATTTCAGCCCCAATTCTCATCATTTCTTCCCTAAAAAATTCTATTCAAGTGTAAAACGAATATAAATCTTTCTCGACGATTAAAAAACGACAACAAACAGCTTCAGTTTTTCTTCCCCCAGCAAATGTTCCACTGGCACCTACGAAGAGGTGGGGACAGTCTCCAGAATGGAGAATTTTCTGGTTCTTGGCCATACCTGTCTGGTGGATGGGGTGGCAAAGAGGGGAGACTTGTGTTACTACTCCATTACTTCTTGGGAGGCAAAAGGAAGAGGAAGCGGCCAAGTGACTCTTCCATCCCCGAGCCAAACAGCTTCCCTGCCTGCCTGTCCAATTCCTCAGGCTTTAAGGGATGGAGGAGGTGGTTAAAATAGTACCTTGAAAATTTAAGGAACTCTTAGGGGATTTGCAAGCACTTCAATCCTTGTGTTCTCTTAGAGATGGGAGTAGAAGAGACCTTCCTGGTGAGTCTCTTAGTGTGGGGCAGGGAGCAGCAGGGACAGACAGTGGAGGTGAGTCTACATTGAGTGAAGCTGGAGTAGTTTCTGGAATCTTGAGCGAGTGTCTAGGAGCCTTGACAGGCAGCAGGCTGGTTGATGTGGCTGTGGGAGACAAGGCTGAGGCCTGATTCCAGCACTCCCTGACGCTGCAGGTGGTGGTTGGATACCTTCCTTAGTCAACTTCTATCCTCACCTCTGATCTGGAAAATAGGGATGACACCATCAAACTACTCAGGATTTCCACCACTAATGACTACCTAGGACTTGCAATAGGAAACGTTGACTGTTTTGACCATTTGTAAGCCTGACTTCCCAGATCTGGGGGCTCGCCCAAATGTCTCCATTTACTAAGCTTTTTGCAGGCCCTTCCAGGCCTTAGGGTCTAAAGCCTGACAATGCTCTGACAAGACTTTCTGCAGGCTTGGCTAGTTCTTGTGGGACTATGAACACACAAAGTGAAGGCCAATTGTATATGTGCAGTTTTGCTCCTTATAGAGAAGCCTGAGTTATTAACTAGGAAAGAAATGGAAGAAATGTCTTAATTTTTTAGAAACTTGGCTTTTTCCCTGGTTGTTTCTTCCCTTTGGGTGTCAGTTGTCTTTTGGCTTTGTCAACCAAAAGAAAAGATTCAATGTGTTAATTTGAAAAAATCTTTAATAAGAAAAAAAGACAATTTTTATACATCGTTATTTGCCTGTGAGTCAGATATTGTCTCTTGGCTGACTGCAATATTTACTGTTTCTACAGCAAATGTCCTGCTGCCTTGTGTGATTTTGTTAGCAACCGACTTCAAATCTATTTGAGCATATTCTTTGCTGCTCTTTAACCATTGTCCTAAGAACCAAGCCCTCTATTTGTCATTTGCATTTTTTTTTTTGAGATGGAGTTTCGCTTTTGTTGCCCAGGCTGGAGTGCAATGGGGCTGTTTCAGCTCACTGCAACCTCCACTTCCTGAGTTCAAGTGATTCTCCTGCCTCAGCCTCCCTAGTAGCTGGGATTACAGGCACGCACCCCTACGTCTGGTTAATTTTTGTATTTTCAGTAGAGACAGGGTTTCAGCATGTTGGCCAGGCTGGCCACAAACTCCTGACCTCAGGTGATCTGCCCGCCTCAGCTTCCCAAAGTGCTGGGATTACAGGCGTGAGCCACGGTGCCTGGCCAGTCATTTGCATTTTGGAGCACATTCTCTGTGAATATGGGCTCCCTTCCTCTTTCGCTCTCAATTTCTGCTGGTCCTGCCTCACTTGACCTGTTGGGCAGAAACCAACCTCATAAAGGAAATCAACAGCAGACATTTAATACAACCTTCTTATGATGCTTGGAGCAGGATTAACATCTCCTGCATAGATGACTGAAGAGTGATTTTGCAAAACTGTGCTTTGTGTAGCTGCTGTTTGAACGCACATGGCTTCCCATGAAGTGAGGGACACATGCACCAAGATGGGCTCCTGCTGCATTTCTGGATGTGTCCTCTCTAATGCTCAGTCTACTCCTAGCAGTGTGACCTTTGCTGCCTCTGCCATTCCACCCCCAGCTCGGTTGGGGGAGCTAGATGAGGGTTCAGAATAAGAAAATGTCTCATTGTGGCATCTTCCTATCTTGTGTCTCTCCAAATAACAGGGTGCTAAAAATGTGGCAGTTCCCAGAAGTCAGAGTGTGGGAATGATGCTAACGGTGGAAATGCTCTGAGATTCCTTGATTTCTCTCATTTTATCCAACCCCTGCCTCCCTACTCCCATCCATCCCCACATCCTGGTATAGCAAGGCTGAATTACAACATGGCAAGACACGTCCTTCTGGGACTGTTTACAAGGCTGCACTACTAGGAGGATATTCAACATAGATCTAACCCAAGTGAGTACTCATTTTAATGAGTAATTTTACAGAGGAGGGAATGGGCTCTTAAGGGGTTAAATGGCTTGTCCAGGGTAGACACTGTCAGTTGTAGGCAGGACTGCGCCCATTTGACTCCCAGGCTTGTGTTCTTTTTTACAAAAAGTGTTCTTTTATCCTACCTCCTAACAAGTTAGGCTCTGTGCAACAGTTACCATGAGGCAAATTCAATTCCACTTGAGGGAAGTCCATTTTGTTTGGGTATCAGCAAAACTCGCAATATTAAGAAAAGCCTAGAAATGTAAGTCTGCATTAATTTAAAATGTTAAGCACTTTGGAAGGCCGAGGCAGGCAGATCACTTGAGGTCAGGAGTTGGAGACCAGCCTGGCCAACATGGAGAAACCCTGTCTCTACTAAAAATTCAAAAATTAGCTGGGTGTGGTGGTGCACACCTGTAATCCCAGCTCTCAGGAGGCTGAGGCAGGAGAATCGCTTGAGCCTGGGAGGCAGAAGTTGCAGTGAGCCTAGATGGTGTCACTGCACTCCAGCCTGGGCGGCAGAGCAAGACTCTGTCCCAAAAATAAATAAATAAATAGTAAATAAAATGTTAAGCAACACTGACACTTCTGAGGAGCTCTGTGGTGCTCTTTGTGTTCATTACCATGTCTGTAAGCCTTGTATTTGAGTGGGATGGTTGTTTCATGCCTGAAGGGTGGTGTAACTTTGTGCGTCTATACTTCTAAAAAGAATGTACTGAGAGTTTAAAGCCTTTCTGGGATAAAGTTGAAGCCTTTATACCCAATGCATTATTTTCTTTCAGATACTATGGCCAATGATGCCCATTCACCCTTTGTTTCTCCCTCCCTCATTCCTTCCTTCCCTCCCTCCCTCTCTTCCTTCCTTCCTTCCTTCTTCCTTCCTTCCCTCCTTCCTTCCTTCCCTCCTTCCTTCCTTCCTTCTTTCCTACCTTTTTTATTTTCCTTCTTCCTTTCTATTCTCCTTCCCCTTCCTTCTCCTCTATCTCTTCTACTTCTTATCTTTCCTTTCTTTGATAAAAGAATGGTTGAGAGTGAATTGTCAAGACAAAGCCATAGAGTATGATTCAATCAATGCTAACCACCCTCAAATAAAACGCTATTTACTAATCTCCTAGATTAAATGAACAAAGAAACAAACAAAAAAACCCAACCTTGGAAAAAGAAGGTATGTAGCAAAGATATAAATAGGCATCTACCTAAGATTATAACATTCTGACTTCTTAAAGGCATTCTTATGAAGAAAACATGAGCTTGGATGACATGATGATGAAGTAGACAAGATTTATATCTACTTTATTCCTACATCCCCTCAATTTTGAGTCCAGATCTGAGACTCCCATGGGTATAAAAATGTGCAGGGGAGTAATCTAGCTTCCCAAAATTCAAAAAACACAATAGCCAATCTAGCATGACATCTTTCCTAACTTTCCTTAAGAGTCTAGACATGGTCTCATAGGAGTGACACCAGTTGTTATAGGCCAGAGGGCAAAACCCCATTTGGATTTTATTGCTAAGATGCCTCAGGACAGAATTTGTTCTGGTCAGGCTGAAATAAGAAAAGGAATTAATATTAAGGAGTTGGAAGTGTGAAACTGAGCTCGCGTCTAAGGAACACAAATACATTCCAGAGAGACTGAAAGATGCTAATTTTCTCATGAAATGTGGCGTGGGACCTATCCCCTTTTCAGCTAGGTTTATCATATAGAAGTAGGTGTGTGGCGGGGGTTGGGGGGGTGTATGTGTTGTCTTTTCTAGAAACCTCTTTCTTGTTTTTTTGAGGTTAATTAAAACCATATTTGATAATATGAAAATAGCTCTAACCATGATGGTTTTCATCAATTCAGGGCCTTTCAAGTATTCTCCTGGCATTCTGAGACTAAAGGTGTCATGATCACCCTAAGCCATTTGGAAATTGTCATGGCAAATTGTGCAGTAAGTACTTCCTTGTGAATTTATGAATCTCATCAGATTTCGGAATGTGCTGATCTCAGAGGTGAGGGCAGGGATCCGAGCCTGACTGCTTCACTGCTCATCCGTGGCTTCCTTTTATCTTCCTTTCCAGTGCAGAGCTCCAAAGAGTTTTTCAAAGCCCATTAGACTGCCCGATGACATTCTTAACAGAAGAAGGAACAGTGTTTGTTTAGTTGAATTAGGGGAAGTCTCCTGTGGCCAGTGAAGTTTTATTGAGCCATTTCTAGAAGAACTAAAAAAATCAAGTGGGCTTCTTTGTTTTGTGCTTTATTGTTTATTTACATTTGCTTGAAAAGGTAATCTGCACAGGTTTGATGTCAGCTGGGAAGTGGGACACCATTCGTAAGACAGACAGGAGGACTCTGGGGGAGAAAATATTTGGATAGACAGACCACTTGGTTGAAATGGAAAGAGGGAGTCAGAGAATTTCATTATGTCAGTAATGGGCTTTAGTGGCACTTTCTGAGTGTATAATGTGTTGGGTAGTGAAGGTTTGCTGGGGGGTCGAAGAAGCAATTGCCAGCAAAAGCAAGATGTGCCAGATGGAAAAAAAAAAAAAACATAGGGAGAAGATTAGTTAGCTTTATCAATAAGGAAAAGTTGGGATAGAACAAAAGCACAATAGCACTGTATCACATAGCCAAAATTATCATAGAGGTATAGATGTGTGTGTGCACATGTGTGTGTGTGGGTGAGTGCATGTATGCATGTGTGCAAATGCGTATTCACTATATATGTGTGTGTGTGTGTGTGTGTTGAACCTAACTTACTGAATACTTGCCATGCACCGGGCACTGTTCTGGAGTGGTTCAAATCTCATGACTCTTTGTCCTCCGAGTGGCACTTTGCTTTAGGTAAACATGTTTGAGCCTCAGGTGCAGGATTTCCCTTGCTTGCCTTCAGGGGAATTTAAAGAAATAATAAAGCAGAAAGTCTACAACTCTACCTGGTATGGGATTTAATGAAACTACTCTCATCGATCTCATTTTATAGAAACACAGAGAAGTTAAGTTTGTCCAAAGTCACATGGTTAGTAAGTGGAATTGGTAGGATTTGCCCCAGAAAGTGCGGGGCCAGAACAGTGCTGCTTTGCTGCCATAGTAGCACTTTCCCTCTCTACAGGCACTCCTTAGTTTTCTCTGTTTGTCAATATGCCAAAAGTGCACGTAAAATGATGTTCGTGGAAGTATAATTTATATAGCACATTATTGGAAAATACCTGAATGTTCCACTAGAGGGAATTGGTTAAATACATTTTGGTATGTTCGTGTGAGAGGGCACTATACAGCTGTTAAAAATAATATTCTCAAAGAATATATGTGACTACTAGGCTTAACTAGGTTATGTTACATGGAAAAAGCAGGCAGCAAATCTGTATGTATAATTTGATGCTAATTTTGTTTTTTAAAACTACTGTGAAGGGAAAAATGGAGACAATCTAACTGTATATGAGAAGAATGAGTAATAAACTGTGGCTTAGTCATTCAATGGAATACTACATCTAGTTCAACTGAATGAAAATAATCTCCATGGATCAACTTGGGTAAGTCTTAAAACATAATGCTGACTGAAAAAAGCAAGGTACAAAAGAATACATATGGCATTGTATCACTTATGCAAAAATCTAAAATGTACAAAAGTAATATACATTTTATGAATCTAATTGCATAGTAAAGGTCAGGTGCAGTGGCTCACACCTGTAGTCCCAGAACTTTGGGGGTCCGAGGTGGGCGGATCACTTGAGGCCAGGAGTTTGAGACCAGCCTGGTCAACATGGCAAAACCCCATCTCTACTAAAAATATTAAAAAATTACCCAGGCAGGGTGGCCCACGGCTGTAAGCCCAGCTACTCAGGTGGCTGAGACAGGAGAATTGCTGGAACCCAGGAGGTGCAGGTTGCAGTGAGCCGAGATTACACCACTGCACTCCAGCCTGGGCAACAGAGTGAGACTCTCTCTCTCTCTCTCTATATATATATATATAGATAGATAGATAGATAGATAGATAGATAGATAGATAGAAACATTTTTGTACTTTTACTGTATATATATATATATGTATATATATATAACAGAATGAGACTGTCTCTGTATATATATATATATAGAAACGTTTTTGTACTTTTACTGTATATATATACAGTACTTTTTGTAATATATATACAGTATATATATTCGTATCTATATACAGTATATATATTCGTATCTATATATATACAGTATATATATTCGTATCTATATATATACAGTATATATATTTGTATCTATATATATACAGTAAAAGTACAAAAACGTTTCTATCTATATATATAGAGTAAAAGTACGGAAACATTCACAGGATCTATACACACCAGCTTTAGGATAGCACTTCTTCATTTCCTTTAGGAATGAGAAAGAATTAGATGAGTTTCAGCTGGATCCATTTTATTTCTAAAGGAGAGAACTGAGCAAATGTGGTAAAATGTTAACATTTGTTAAATCTGAGTGGCGCATCCCTAGGTTTCTTTTATACTGCTTTCTGTATGTTTGGAACATTTTATAATTAAAATTTGTCTGTGTGATATATAATAAGGGTACACACGTGGAAGAGGTTAGCGGGCATCAAAACATAAAGAGCGACTATGTTGGAAAAGTATAGTGCAAACTTATTTTCTTTAAGTTTTTCTGTATTTTTTAAATCTATATAGTAAGTGTGATATAAGAAATAAAAGCAAGACACGTCTTTTTAGGAAGCATCAATGTTGTAGGCAAAGAGTGCTGCAGTGGAATATGGAATCTGCTTCTATGTGACACTGGTTGATTCGCGTAGGCACTTTGTAGCAGTAGATACTTTGCAGCAGTTTCCTCACCTGCACGGTGGTTTTATGGGCCGAATGCTCACTAAACTGACTTATTCTTCCCGGTAACCTGCATACAGACCTCCCAGGCCCTGGCGTGAAGGTGGCACTGTGACTAGCTCTTGCCGATGGAATGGGAGGAGTCAGTTAGAAGTAAGTATGCCTGCTCTGACGTTTCTCTCTGCCTTCTGTCTGCTGTGTGGATGAAGTCTGGGGCATCCTGAAACCCTTTGTTGAGATGGGGGAGCCACAGCAGGGGAGGACCTGGATCCCCACGTATCACCACAGGTGTGACAGAGGCCCAACCAGAAACGTACCCCTTGAATTTTGTGAGAGCAAGAAGTAAACGTTTGGGCTTGTTTGTTATAGCAGGTAGACTACTCTGACCAATACAGGCTCCATCTGTCAGATCCCTTCAAGTTCTGATACTCTATGAATGCCAGAGGCCCTTGGTTTAAAGCTGTCTCTCCATTCATTTATCTCTTGATGAAGTTCACTTGTCTCAGGGACAGACTTATCTAAACCAGAAATTTGGACATGTCCAAAAGAAATAAACTGCTGTAATAACAAGTGAGTTGAAAAGATAAAGGACAGTAGCCAGAAGACCAGGGGAAAATCCAGAACTGAGTAAGTCTGGGCTGTACATGGCTTGAGACTAAGGACAAGAACTTGAACATTTTTTGATCTCTTTATAACCCCCCAGTCTTATATATTGTAATCACTTAATCAATACCTGTTGGATAAATGAATACATGTGTAGGAAGCTGCTATCAGTGATAACCACATACCTTGAAAAGCCACTGCTGCATAATTTCTAGAATTATTAACCTTTTAGTTTTGTGAAGGGGGTAAGAGCACATGATCTGGACTCGGAGGGGTCAGGCAGGCTGGGTGAGAATCCTGGCTCTGCCTCTTCCTTAGCCTTTCCAAGCCTGTTTTCTTAGGCATAAAATAGGGATAAAAATGCTATAAAGCCCATAGTCATTTTGAGGATTAAAGGAGTTAGGTAATGCAGGTGAAGCACAGGCCTGCCCCACAGTTGAGTAACTTGGATTTATGACATAAATTCACGGTGATCCTAAGTTAAATCAAGATAAGACTCTTGCTGGGCGCAGTGGCTCATGCCTGTAAACCCAGCACTTTGGGAGACTGAGACAGAAGGATTGTCTGAAGCCAGGAGTTTGAGACCATCCTGGGCAACATAGCGAGACCCTGTCTGTACAAAAAAAAATGTAAAAATTAATCAGGCATTATGGTGTGTACCTGTAATCCCAGCTACTTGGGAGGCTGAGGTGGGAGAATCACTTGAGCTCAGGAGTTTGAGGCTGCAGTGAGCTATGATTGTGCCACTGCACTCCAGCCAGGGTAACAAAGCAAGACCTCTGTCTCTAAAACAAAACAAAAACAAAAACAAAAACAAAAACAAAAACAAAAACAAAAAATATGACTCTCTACCTCTCCTTACCTAGTTCTCCCATAGGCACTATCTAAGTCAGCACAGGTGTTGGCCTTGACAAGATTAGCATTGCATTGGTAGAATGCTCCAAAATGGCCTCATTAAAGCATCATTACATCATACTTGCTGAAGTAATCAATGATTCTCATGGAACAAGAGCACAGGAGGTGAGAGAGCACTGTTTCCTAATGCAGACGGCCTTCAGGATCACTTCCTGGCTGAATGACCTAGAGAAGGGGACGCGAGTACACCCGTTTCATTTTCTCATCTCTGAAGTCGGGGGAGAACACCTGCCAGCCGTGCCGTTTATTGTGGGGGTGAAACCAGTGTTCCTGAAGCTCATGGCCTGGCACAGAAGGGTGCTCCTGGGTGTCATTTCTCCCTCTTCATGTCACCTCTTTGAAACCCAGCCCTAGTTGAAGCTCAGATGATATTTCTCTAGTTTTTATACAGAACACTGTGGTTTTGGTAAAATTCACATTTTGGGAAGCATTCCCACCACCTCCCCGTCTCCAACCTCCATTTACTTGAAGGGAAATGGAATCTATCTGGTTTTGATTCATTTACACTCCACTTGTTAGCATTGGTTTGTAAGCATCAGCCAACATCCGAGTAACTCTTGGAACCTTGTTCTAAAGGCTGCATTTTCAAGTCTAGGAAGTTTATTTTTCTTTCTTCTTTTTAAAAAAATGCTAAAAGGAAACTGGACTTCAGTACTAGTTTGAGTTTGGGTTTATTTTCTGTGTATGACTGGCTTCCAACAAATTTGGTTAAAAAATACACTTTGCCATTGCAGGTTTTACAATTTCAGCTCAATTGAATTTACTCTTGAAAAAAGTTTTCATATTCTAACCCAAGGGAAAGCTTTTGTGTTCTGTTGCTGTTTTGCTGGATCATGGAATTGTTAACTTTTCAAGATTTTTGGTTTGCCACTCAAATGAAAAAAAAAAAAAATGAAGACCTTTACTGCGTATTTGCATGGTATTGGCTTTCTGTTGACCATTTGCATGGTATTGGCTTTCTGTTGACCTTATCTTTATTTGATTTGGTAGAGGGTTTTGGTAGAAATTGGTAAGAAGTTTCATTCATGAAGACAGACTTGGGAAATTACATGTAATTATCCAAGCCTATACTCAACAAGAGGAAAAACAGAAAGAAGTTGGATGCTTCCCTTGGAGTGGAGGGTTTCTCAGAGGTTTCTACTGAGCAGGACACTCACTCTCTACCGTATCATTTTACCCACCAGGCCTGTATAATAAACACAACCTTAAGACAGTGCAGTCTACTTTCCGTCGTGTAGTAATAGGCTTCATCTGCTATTTCTAGCTAACAATTGTTCATTGTTCATGTTGCCTCAAGGTTTAGAAACCGGAACTTCTCCCTGGTTCCCAGGAAATTGAAAACAAAGAAGGAGGTAATTTCCACGTGTATAGCAGCCACTCCATTTGCTAAAGGTCTCAAGTCGGTTATCTGTGTTTTTTAGATGAGTCTGTAACAGATTTGATTTTTGTGTAAATCTCAGACAGGAGATAAAGTCTTCTCTTGAATTTCCATTTAGGTTGTTTGTTTGAGGCTCAAATGAGCTTTCTGGACAGACTTGGTAAGTATTGTTAAGTTTGACTAAAGTACCCATTTGTGATTTCATAAGGGGATCAGTAAATCTTAATCTTCTAGTCCTCTACCTTGCTACTGTCTAGAGCCAGTGCATAAAATGTCACAGTGATAATTTTTACCTCCATCTTAATTATGAACATTTTAAGCTAAGGGAGCTAAGGGAGACAGACTCATAAGTATCAAATTGGTTTTCTTTGTTCCTATACCCAGATTTTCATATGGTCAAAATACCCATGGAATATATGAGTGGCAGCAGTAAACAATCCTTGAAGTTCTTGCTTGTTTAACTTGACTGTTGGTGATGCCCAATGAGGCCCTGTCTGCTCCAAGCAAATTACATAAAAAAGATGTGAATAAAAACTCATCAAATACTAACAGAGGTGAGATCTGGGAGGAGTGGAATTACATTTATGGTCTGTTTGTTTTCTTTTTCTTACTTTTCTGAATTTTTATACAGTGAGTATATGTGTGTATGTGTGTGTGTATTTTAAGTTTTTGTTTACAAAAGAGATAAGTACATATGTTTGTTTTTTTAAAAAATCAAGCTATAAAGAAGTGTATAGAGTAAAATACATAAGTTTTTTTTATTCATCCTCTAACCACACTCTGCTTTCTAGAGATCATAATTGGTTTGTGTGTAAATTTCCAGACCTTTTCTCTGTTTTACCTGTGTAATTGTTAACATCATATTGAAAGCATGAGATTCCATACAGTACAGGTAGAAAACAGTTTCCCCTTGCTGTCTCTATAACTATAATATGCAGATTCATTCTCACACTCTTGGACAATCATGTAGAATAACAACTCTTCCAGTCCCTTCAAGTCCCACCCATCACCCCAGGCACTCTGGCTCTTGGTGCATCTAGTGGGTTCCCGCGGCTTGTGGGCAGCCGCTGACAGATGCAGGTGCTGGCTGGGGAGAGTAAAAGCTTGCCCTCCACCCAGTAGGTGTGTGTGTGTGAATGTGATCAAGAGATAGGAAGGTTATGGGTGGAGTGTTGTCAACCTCTCTACAGGTGGGGCCCTTTTCAAGACCATCCTGGCTGGCTCCCTTGCATATGGCCTAAGGGCAAGACTGATGCACTCTGGCTCCTGCTGCTGGGAGATGTGCAGTCTGCTGCACTGCAGCTCTCTCAGTACCTGGGCCTGTCTGCTGCACTGCAGCTCTCTCAGTGCCTGGGCCTCCGCACGCAATTTGCAGCCTCTTGCTAGTAGACGATCTTTGGTCTTGAATCAAGTGCCAGTCTACACTTGGCAGACTCCAGCATTCAGGGAGATCTCCTTGAAACCTCTCTTACTTAGAAAGAGGTAAAGGTGGAAACACCACCACACCCTGAAAAATCATTCCAAAGGAATTCTTTCAGCATTTTCAGTTTCAGTCCTTTTATAGCCTTGAGGCGAGTGATGGGCTAATGGTTGCAGTTGTCTCCTTTGCAAGTCCTGTCTAGGTGGTCTAGAAACTCATTTTAAAATGTGAGACCACTAATTGCCTCTTGCTTTGTTCTGGGTCTTCTGGGGCCTTAGACAAAGCTGAAAAAGAGTCTCCTTTTCACATTTTGTTATAGACCTAGGTAAATCATTGTTTTTCCATAAGTTGGAACATATTAATATTCTGTAAGTTGCTGTCTTAATTGTCAATATATCAGTCTTTTCATATCGGAAGATGTTGAACTGTCTCATTCTTTTTAATGGCAGTGTATTGGGTAGATAAACTAGTCCATTGGGTAGGTAAACCAGAGTTTATGTAACCATTTCTCTTTTGATAGGCTAATTCTAATTTTTGGCTTTTACAAGTAATGCCACTATAAATAATTTTTAAATTCACATGAGTGTGTCTGTGTGTGTGTCTGTGTGTGTGTGTGTGTGTGTGTGTATATACATGAAGTGTAGCCAAAGGTAGGTACTAGAAAAATTTTGCTAGATACTACCAAAGTGACTCCAGGAGAGTTGTATGAATTTCTGCTTTCTTCAGCAGTGCTTAAGAGTGAACATTTCCCCACACCCTCACTACATATTTTCATTGTTTTTAATCTTTGCCGTTTTAGAGGCTAACAGTGACCTTGTTATTTTATTCTATTATTTTCTTGATTACTAATAAGGTGAGATATTTTTTCTCACTTTTGTCCATTTGTATCTGTGCTCCGTGAATTGCCTATCACATATCCTTCATCCAGTTTGGGGTTCTGGGTCTTTCTCAGCACCTTGTAGTTTAAATAAGGAGAAGATGTCAAAATAATGAAGCAAAGACAGATTGTAGTGACTTGCTGAGAACCCTGGTCCCACTCCATGGGGACAAGAAATGGTGGAAGTTCTACGGCTCAGACTATATCACTTGTTCCCCTCAAAACTGTTTGCAAGTCTGAATCTGAAACATAGGCTAAGTCTTCTCTTCCTTCAAACTGACAAATATACTTTTATTAATAAAATTTTAGCCAATTCCTTGTATTTGACTGAGAGCGTGTACAAACTTATTTTGAATCTGAAGCCTAATGGGTTGTATTTATGCCTCTTTGTCTCTTCTTAATTCTACACATATTAAAAATTACTAAAGCCATATTGGATTTCAAGAAAAAAACCAAAGGAGATTTTTCAGAGCACCTAGCAGCCATGGCAACATGCCTTTACAAGGGGCATGTACTCTGTTAAAAAATATTCCACTTACAGGTAATGACAGACATTTGCCAAACAGCCCCAAGCTAACCCAAGAAAGAATGGGCAGATGGTTTGAGGTGTGTCAGGAATAGGATTTACAAAATAAGATTATGGTTATGCTGGAAAGTAACAGCAATGGTTGTAAACAAATGGAACAGACCTACTTTTTGCCACGGGGCAGAGGAAGAAAGGGGTTTTGCATTGCTGCTTGTGAACTAGTGTTGGCTCACTTAGATACACAGCTCTCTGGGATTTTATGTATGTTGTTAGGCACTTGTATAAGACACATGACTGGGCCTCCAATTGAGTTTCTTCTGATCTGAAGCAGGGAAACTTCATTCTAGTTCTAGAAGCCCCTGCTGGTGTTGGCCCTGTCTTGGTTGTGTCTGGCAAATGAATCTGCATCCTTCTCCACGTGAATTTAACTATCATACCAGTTACGAACTATCAGTTGAGAAGACACTGGAGAGAACCAGCCTGTTTATTCCTGAATGTATATTTTTGACTGTGGGAATTAGAGTTATAACAGAGGAAGGTACAGAACACCTCCCAATATGATTGATCTATTTGCTCATCAGCCCAAATCCTGGACCTTGAAGTGGTAATGAATGAGTCTGCCTCTGCCCTGAATTTAAAAATCTCAGCTCTCTCTTTTCCAATTAAATTAAGATTTAGAAAGATAGTGCTTCCTCTCTTGGGAGAATTTGGGCATTTTCCAAGGGAAAAGAGAGAGGGTTGTCAAAGGGGATTTGTTGACAATGACATGAGAAGAAGGTGATGACAAAGAAAGACTGAAGGTCTCAGACTTTGGGATGGGGTCGAAGCTCTCTCACCTGGTTAGGAACTGTCACCATGCAAGTGAAGGGTGGAATTTGGCTTTTAGAATATATTTCCATTAGCTCTGGAGTTTGACAGCTAGCTCCCAATGGCAGCAAAGCATGTGAGGCCTCCAAGTTGGCAAGGCTGATCTCTGACTAATGGGGAAAAATTACCCAATTAGAATTAGCAATCTTGCATCACTGATCAGAATCCTTACATTACCCTTCATGTGGGGGAAAAGAACGAGACCTTCAAAAGGAGTTGGACTGGTTTTAACATGGCCTGTTGGTCACTGAGACAGGAAATATTTAACATGGATTAGATGCATTTGGAATTTGTTTGACTTGTCTTGAGCCTAAGGTTTCCAGGTATTAGTGGTATTGAGCACTCATTTAGTGCTTTTATGTATTTTTTAAAAAGTGCCCTCTCATTATTTCTAGGTAGATACAATTGGCCCTGTTTGATCTTGTTTATTTGTACTGGATTTTTCAACTTAACACTTTTGGAGAAGTGGAATCTCTTGAGTCTTAAGCTAGGAAAACCAGTCTTGGATGAGTGTCCCAAAAGAGAACGGTGTTCTTATCATGAATTGATCCCAGATGGATTCTGGAATGAAAGGATTAACAATGATGTAAAAATGGCCTAAGCACGTGATAGTATACAACAGTGAGTCTTTGAAAGTAGGCTTGGCCACAGCCACGTATGTCTTCAGAGCTGGAGGTTAGATACCATTTACTTTGGACTTTGGATGGCATATGGTGGTCGGAATGATTTAAAAATGTTAAATTAGGCTGTTGTTGAAAGATGGCATAATTTGAGAACAGATGCAGCAAAACGAAACAATGAACTTGCCTTCCTCATAAATGATGTCAGAAATGAGAAGCTGAGGGCCATAGGCCAGGACAGAGGAGACTTAGCTTCTTTATCTTGTCTTCTTAGATTGTGTTGAGAAATCCTGTTCTTGAGCATGTGCTACTGTGTCTTTTGGAAGACAATAATAGCTGGGCAGAGGAAAATGTTGTGGCTTTTTGACCCCTCTCTGACCAGGACAACAAATATAATGACAATAATAAAAATACCCAGAGCACATCTTTATTTATCTCTTCATGGGAAGTTGTAAGACTGAAAGGGGCTTTTATTTAGTGGGTTCTACCAGTGGGAAGATATTCAGACAACACTGAACCCACACATTTGACTCTGGACCAGAGGCCGCATGTCTGACCCCAGGTAACTGGGGTATCCTGAGCAGACTGCAGGGTTAGATGGAATGATCTCTTCTCTATTGTCTATTGTGATCTGTATACTTACAATGAATTTTTCAAGACTCAGGCTACAAAATGCATTGGCTAAGAAATGACTAGGAACCAAGGGCAGAATGGGGGTAAAGTGAATTCCAGCAAAATGCTGTCCCTTCAATGAGTCTTACTGGAAAGACCAAGTGGCCAACTGGAACACCTCCATGGGATACAGGAAGTATGGGGCTTTGGGAAAACACACACACACACACACACAGCCTACTTTAGCACAGACCCAGCCATTTGTGAATCCAGATTTCATGGGGGAGATTCTGAGTCTGAGACCACTGGTTCATTATGCTAACCAGGCTGCACACTAGAATAATCTGGGAATATTTTGGCAAAAAAAAAAAAAAAAGACCATTTTCCCAGACCCTATCCCAGACCAATTCAATCAGAATCTCAGGATTTCAGGGCACTGATAATTTTTTTTTTTTTTTCTGAGACAGAGTCTCACTCTGTCATCCAGGCTGGAGTGCAGGGGTGTGATCTCCACTCACTGCAACCTCCACCTCCTGGGTTCAAGTGATTCTCTTGCCTCAGCCTCCCGAGTAGCTGGGATTACAGGTGCATGCCACCATGTGTGGCTGATTTTTTTGTATTTTTAGTAGAGATGGGGTTTCACCATGTTAGCCAGGCTGGTCTGGAATTCCTGACCTCAAGTGATCCACCTGCCTAGGCCTCCCAAAGTGATGAGATTATAGGTGTGAGCCACTGATTATTTTTAAAGCTCCCAAAGTGATTTTAATATGTGACCAGGAGTGAGAACCATTTTCTTGGTTAGCAGTTTGCTGAGATGGTTACAGACAGTCTCTCTTCTCTTCCAGATTCACTAGAAATTGCCATTAGACTCTAGGCTTCCTGAGGGGTGGGATCACCTTACATAGCATTTGGTTTTC
Organism: Homo sapiens; assembly: GCF_000001405.40. Taxonomy (NCBI): domain Eukaryota; kingdom Metazoa; phylum Chordata; class Mammalia; order Primates; family Hominidae; genus Homo; species Homo sapiens. Next base: position 38,034,342 of record NC_000005.10, read on the forward strand.
CACAGCATCTAATTTTCAAGGGATAATTGTGAATGTATTTGCATCAGAAAGAGGAACCTATTCATTGCTAGTAGTTTTCCGGGCTGTCAGTCAGGGCACCGGGTTCTATCATCAGCTTTCCCATTCATTAGGTAGAGGACCTAGGGGTAGGTCCAGATAAAACACAGGATGCCCAGCAAAAATTTGAATTTTAGATAAACAATCAATAATTGTTTTGTATGCATATGTCTCATGCAATGTTTGAATATGTATTTTTATTTGCTCAATCTGGCAACCCTACCCCGGGATATCTTCTTAGTCTGAGATTATTCACTTGTAAACTAAGGAATGCAGTTGTCAGAGATTAAACAATTTCATTTGAAAGGAAAAAAACTTAAAGAAATTATAATCACTTTTAAATAAGGTAAACTTAAATTGAAGTTTGACAAATTCCTTGTTTGCACTCCATTTAGGATTTCCGAAAGCAGGTTCTTAAATGGAGTGTCTAGGTATTCATAATGGTGACCAGACAGGCATACCCTAGAGTTATTATAAAAGCACTTATTTTTCTCCATTTAATGGTGTTTGTTTAGATTTTAAGGGAGTCTTTCAGGTTATTTGCTTAACACTGAAATGTGGTCTTTTCAGTTTCTTTAGAGATTGGAGACATTTGATTTTGAAAAGCCCCTCTCTCATCAATTAGTATCTTCATTTCTAAGCATACAAGAGGGTCTCTAGTTAGCTGAAGATATGTTTTTTGTCACAAGCAAATGGAAATTTTTTTTGTCTTTCAGACCCAAACTTAAATATTATTGTGTATGTGTGTCTGCACTTGTGTGTGTGACATTTGTCCCATTTTATTGAATGCCCCCATATGCAGCAGTTCTAGAGTTCTAAGACCTTATTACAAAGTATATGCATATATACAATTGTCCAGTGCTAAGATGAAGGGAATAGAGTCTCTCTGTAAATTAGAGAATCATTAAAATTGGAATTTCCAAATGAGTTTTTCCATGTCTGAAATTTCAGGGAATGGAATGAGTCAGATGTCCAAGGAAGGTAATTAGCAGTTTACCTATTCTTTTAAAAACAGTCACACAACTTTTGTAAGACAAAGACATTCCTAGTTTCACTCCACATTTAATAACCTGGGGTTAGGAAAGCTTTCAAGGACTGTTGGGGGTATGTTTTATATGGCTACCAGAGGGAAATTTTGGGACTTTTTAGACCAAAGTGAGTTATATAACTTGGTTGCTATGGTTTGAATATGATTGTTTCTACCAAAAACCATACTGAGGCTTGGTTCCCAATGTGGCAGTGTTGGGAGGTGGTGCCTTAAAGAGGTGATTAGGTCTTTAAGATGCATTAATGTCTTTCTCTGGAGATGGAGTTAGTTGTCTTGGGAATGGATTACTTCCCTCAAGAGCACATTGTTATAAATTGAGGTTGCCACATGTGTCTTGCCCTTTTTTCCATTCACCTGGTTCCCCTTCTATTTCTCTGCTATGTTTGAGGCAGCATGAGGCCCTCATCAGAAGCCACCAGATGCAGCTGCCAAATCTTGAACTTCTCCGCTTCTAGAACTGTGGGCTAAATAAACCTCTTTTTAAAAAATAAATTACCCTATCTCAGGTCTTCTTTTAGAACAACACAAAATGAACTAAAACAATGTCAACATTAAAAATGAGAGAAATGTTAAAATATATTTTAAAAATGACTTCTATAATACCTATGAGAATCTGCCATTTTCTGTTATTTTAAGAGCCAGGCCAAAGGAAAAATAAAGGTCACTGAATCCACTGGATTGGAATGCCTTTACTGTCCTCCAGTCTCTCTTCCCTTCCATATGCAGAAACATTTAGGGAGTGTGCACTTTTTGATTACTCTCTTCTTCCCAATTAGGACGCTTAATGGACAGTGTTATATATCCCAACCTCTTCCTTGCCGTTTCCCCTCCCTGATGTTTCTTGGGACCAGATACCACAATCTGGCATAGCCTGCTCTTGTGACTGGTTAACAAACCTCTCAAAATATTCTACTCCTTGCTGTTTGTTTCTACTTTAATACCTGCACTTCTAGCAAATTCTACTTCAAAAACATTATACAATACTATGTGCTAAGCCTTATGCCAAACATTTTATATGCATGATCTCATTTAATCTTCACAACAATCCTGTGAAGTAGATATAACTGTCTTCAATTAATGGATGGGAATTCTGTAGCCTATAGAAGTTGAATACCTTCCTCAAGGCCACACAGGTCCTAAATGTCACCAGTAGAATTTGAACCCAGGGCTCTGGAGCTTTTGATCACTATGTTATACTAAGATAAACTAGGGGCGATGGCTCATGCCTGCAATATCAGTAATTTGGGAGGCTGAGGCAGGGGGATTACTTGAGGCCAGGAGTTCGAGACCAGCCTGGACAACATAGTAAGACCTTGGTTTCTACAACAGTAACAACAAAATTATCCAGATATGGTGGTGTGTGGCTGTAATACCAGCTACTTGGGAGGCTGAGGTGGGAGGATCACTCAAGCTCAGGAGTTCGAGGCTGCAGTGAGCTGTAATTGTGCCACTGCACTCCAGCCTGGGCAACAGGTGAAACCCTGTCTACAAAAAACCCAAAACAAAACAAAACAAAACAAAACAAAATCCGAACTAAGATACTAGTTCTTTAATGAAAGTGACATCATTTATTAATGACTAGTGATTATTATTTTTATGCAACATTTATCGAGTACTTACTATGTGTCAGTCACTGTGATAGGTGCTTTATCGATCATCTCATTTGTAGCAGGGTTAAGCAGAATTATAACATATTCTACAGAATTATAATGTATTGATAAGGGATGAGACTCAAAATGTAACTTTTTCAAAGTCACACAGTTGAAAAAAAGCAGACCTAGGAGCCCAGACCATAAGTATTTATCTCAGACTTTTATGGTATTCCCTCTCTAACCCTCTTCTTTGAGAGTCTTCCAGTTATTTCCAGTTACAGTGTAGAAGAATTTCAATCCAAGAGGCTGTTCTTCCACCAATGGCTTTCTGTCTGCCTTTCATCTCCTCCAGGGCTGGAGTAGAATCATTGCAGAGGTATCTGCGCATGCTGTTAAATGTGGCACTAATGCTGCCTGTCCTGAAATAAACTTGGATTGGCTATCCAAGATGGCATTAGCTACCCTTGAAATGAAACGACCTTTCCCTTGGGTTCATTGAGTGAGGCCGTTGTTATCAATGAAGACATGCTTGAGGCTGTGCTAAAGGAAGAATGCTCCACCTTCTTGGAGTCTGATGTGACCAACATGGTTCTACAAAAATATCAAGTCAAAGATTTGATCTTGAAGAGAAGGAGTCTGATCTTAGCAAAACGAAAATGGTTCAGCATGTGGCATCTAAAGATATTGTGAATCTTGTGAACTTGTTTGTTAAATGGGACATTTAGGAGCAGATGTGGTGTATGGTGATCATATGTCCTGGCTGTTGCCTGTTTTATCTCAATATAATTAACAATGGTTATTCAATTTCATCCTCAAAAGTGTCCTGGTTTGGATGATAAGCTATATGGTTCCCTGTCTAACAGAAGCAAAAAACTAAATGCTAGTTTGTTCATCCATTCATTTATTCATTCAACAAATATTTATTGAGTTTCTACCTACTCTGTACCAGACACTGCTATGAAAGTTAAACAGATGAGGTGCCTGTCTTCATTGGAGATTAAAATTTAGTAGTGGAGGTTGAAAAGTAACAAGTAAACGATGGAATAAATCGATTATTAGAAGCCGTGATAGGAATTATGATGGAAATAGCTCTGAAGGAGAAAAGAGTGGCAGAGGTGGCCCCTCTCGAGAAATCTCGACCTGGGGAATTTGGAGGATGAGGAGGAGCCAGCCATGGGATATGTGGGTGGAGTTAGACTGAAGAGCCTGCATGACAATCTGGAGTGGGATAGAGCTAGGTATGTTCCCAGGATGGAAAGGATTGAGAATCTAGATCCATTTGAGGGAGTAAGGGAAGGCTTCAAGGAGAAGGCAGAAGGAAGCTTATCCACAGACTCTTGAAAGATGACTACTGGGCAGGTATTTCACTGAGCAGGGGCAGCATGAGTGAGGTGCAGAGTGGGTGGTTGAGTAGCAGGTGTTCTAGCCGGACTGCTCTGTGTGATCCCGTGGAAAGCAGTGGGAGAACATGCTAGAAGCTGAATTGAGCTGGCTGGGGAGTTGCAATGTATAGTTTCTAGTTAGATGCTTCTAAGAAGATGGCCTGGATTCAAAGTTATGCCTATGCTGAATCTTAAATTCTGCTTCTTGGTTTTTATGTCAGTGTTCCAGTTGTTTAATTAACAAAGTAAACAATCTGCTGGTTTTGTGATAGATGAATCTTCCAGATGGAAGAAATGTCTTTGTTTCATTTTAGACTTAAGGTCAGACTTGGGCATTATGGAAGGACTTACAAGGCACAGTCTATTTTAATGACCATAATTCTAGTTTGGGCATACTTTAAGATACGAGAAAAATATTACTTGAATTGCAGGTGCTCAATTCTGACACTCCTTCTCCCTCCATCTACTCCCTTATCCCCTAGCTCTCATCTTCAAATTTCATGGGGAATCTCTGAACGAATTCAACAGGCTTTAGCAGGGCTTTAGAACTGCATTTCAGATATATCATGACTTCATGTAAAGTTAGGTTAAGGCTCAGATTTCTGAATTAAAATATGAATTTATTCCATGGGTTAAGTTGATATGTAGGAAGAATTAAGAGTGATTTGCAATTTATCTGAACTATTATAGAGCTATTGACTATTTCATTCCCTCTCTCACCACTCAGATTGGCCCTTGTTCACTAACCCTTATGATGCCTTGGTTCAATCTTCAAAAGGCATCTCTGCTTCCCACCCCACACTACACTGCACATTGGGCAAGAGGAATGTGGGCTGGATCTCAGTCTCCAGTCATCCTTCTGGCTGGGTGTCCTTGTGCAGTGAACAACCCGTACAGCAATATATAGCAGCCCTGACCATTTACTGTTGTAATTCCAAACATTTGGAAGATCTCAGCTTCTAGCAGAGGGTGGCAGTGGGCCTGAATATATTTCCCTAAGGCAATATTTCTGAAAACACACACTAACTTGAAAAAACATCGAGTAAACTTTGTTCTGCTTACAACAACTCAATTTGTGTTTTATTAGTGTGTATAGAGCCACTGGAGAAAGTCCACTTCTAAGAAAGTCTTTAGAAAACCCCAAATTTTCCATTACTATGTTTTGGTGGGTAATTCTTGACCAGTCCTCATTCTACGGAACTCACAAAATCAAAGAGCTCATCAGTATGTTAAGTGACAAAATGTTCAACTTCTTTGTAATTCCAATATAAACTCATTCAGTGATCTGTGTGATTCAATTCACATCTCCCTTGAGAGACACTTCATGCATAGCAAAGTACTCAAGGAATGTGCAACTAAAGAGCCACACATCTTATTTCTCCCTGGGCTCTCAAGTGAATGACAGATTCAGCTCCAAAAGGTGAGGAAAACTGTCACACCAATGTAGCATTCTGATTGGCTGTGCTATTTGGATCTGTAGAGACTTGCAAAACAAAAGTCAGGGTATTTTCCCTCTTAAACCGGGTTTATAAATAGTTGCCTAACGCCCTGGGCAGGGTTGTTGCATGAAAGGATTATTGCACTTTTTGTAGAGGCTCTTGGTCACTCTAATTTTGGATACATACCTTACTACATACAGGAGGCATGCAGGAATCAGCTCTCAGAAATGCCCTGGTTGATATGTCTCATAGCATAATTATAGCAAAGCGCATTTACAGCACTAATGGCTTAAATATCAGCAATATCTATAATACAGGCTGATAAGCCTTAGGTTTCTAGGCAATTCAGCCCACAGATATGTACTGATATACTGCACAGTAATTACCACTTGGGTTCAGTTGTCCTACCAGTAGAGTTAGTCAAACTCTGGATTCTCAGTGAAATTATCTAGAAGTCTTATACCTTATCTGTTAACCCAGTGTTTTTTGGACTGTGGGTTGCAACCCACTAGTAGATTATGCAGTCAATTTAATGGGTCATGGCCAGTGTTTGGGGAATCTATGATATTAAATAGAATAGAGTCAGCAGAATAACGTAGAATACTAAATATCAAAGTGGATTATTCATAATAAAGGTTAGTATTGATTGAAATTTTACTCCATATTTTATCCACTCTAAGACATACTTTTTTTTACTATAGATCTTTGAAATCAGGATATCTTATAATTATAATAGGTAGTTTTTCTTTCTCAGTCAGTGATAAAACAATGGTATATCTTGCAATCATGGCAACTTAGATTTGGTATATGAGCACATTGGGTTTTGATGTAAAATATATCTCTTTTTGTGGTCATGGTCAAAAGAGCTTGAAGAAGACAGATTTGATTCAGTCTTTCCAGGTTTCCCTCTCCGCTGGAAGTTGGGTGGTTGGTCCCTTGCTGCCTGGAATCTTTGTGCAGAGTTTCTGACCCTCAATATCACCCCATTTCCCGATGAGGAATGGCTGGGCTCCCTCAACAGGGAATTACACATTCAAAAACTGTCATCTCTCTGCAGCCTGTCTTGGATGTTGAAGATGATTCAACCAGGATGGCAATAATGTCAGAGATCTCAGGTAATGAGTTTCCCTTGTGTGACCCTCCAGTTTGCTGTTCATACCAGTGCCTCCTGGAAGGGATTTCTTGGTGATGTAGAGCTTGGTAGGTGGCAGAGAGGGATGCTTTTAGATTTTGGTTTTATGGGCACTATCTCATAAGCCTTCTTGTGGTTTTTCCCATTAGCCAGGGCTTCCTGTGGCTACTATCACCAGTGAGGTTCACAAGAATAGTGGTCATTTAAGGATCTTGATGTTTTTAATGTCTCAGTTGGCTTCTGCTTCTTTTTTAAGGCTGACCACTCAGTGGGACTCCCAGCACCCTCCACCCCCAGAAGGTAAATCACGGGTCTCTGCTGAACCCTCACACTCAGATAACTTTATATAAATATATAAGGGAAACAGGTCTGTATTACACCAGGGTATCATACTCCTACTTTTCTTCTGCTCTGTTCAGAAAAGGAAAGTTTTAACCCAAAGGAATGAGCCACTTACTGGAAATTTTAGATTCTGTGGCAATTGAGAAGAGGAGTTATATTTCCCTGCCATTTTTTGGGCCCTGTTCCTACCTTAAATCTTCTTTAAATGCTCATCTTATTAATTCCCCAAATACTACCAGCTAGCAACTTGAATGCTGCATAAAACCTTAAAAACATCTTCTGTCAGACTCAGAATTTAAATGTATTTTGTATATAAATCCTGCCTGCTTTCCTTGAGTTAAACTGTTACCCTTCCTAAGAGTAAACTCTATCCTGACTTCTAAGACCATAGAATAATTTTGCCTGGTTTTGTACTGTACATAAGTGGAATTATACAAAATGTACTCTTTTGTGTCTGGCTTCTTCTACACGCCATCACGTTTATGAGATTCAGCTATATTTTTCATGCTTTTATAAATAATTTATTCTCTTTGCTTAAGAGTATATCACAATTTATTCCTCATCTCAACTATTGAGGGTACTTGGGTAGTTTCTAGTGTTTGGCTATTACAAATAGTGTTGTTATGAACATTGTAGTACCTTCTGGGATGTATATCTAGGAGCAGAATTCATGAATCAGAGGGAACGTATATTCAGTTTTAGTACACTGTGCAAATGAACTTTTTCATTTCAGCCATTCTGGTAGGTGCATAGCAGTATTTCACATGGTTTTATCTTGTGTTTCCCTGATGCCTAATAGAGTTGAGAGCCTTTTCATATGCTCTTTTGTTATTTGGATAGCTTATTTTGTGAATTGTCTACACATCTTTTTGTTGGGTTGTCTGTAATTTTCTTATTGATTTATAAGAGTTTTTCTGAACATGAGTCCTTTATTAGATGCATGCATTGCAAGTACCATTACCATTGTATAGGATGCCTTAATGATGTCTGTTGATGAAAAGGTGTTTTTAATTTTAGTATTGTTTATCAACATTGTATAATTAATGTTTTTGTGTACTCTTGATAAAATCTTTGTCTGTTTCAAAATCATGAAAATAATCTCCTATATTTTAGCAAGTTTTTTTTTTTTAAAAGGATCCTATTCTTCTCTTCCTTCTCTTCTTTCTTTACTTTTCTTGCTTTCCATTGACTCCCCTTTTTTGGTTTCTCCCTTCCTTACTTTGTTTTTCTTTTTGGTTCCATCCAAAGAAGCAGCATAAGAAAACCTTTCATCTTTTCATTATTAAAATCACATTACTCCTCTGTTTGAAATATGTCTATGGACTTCCAAAGGTTTCTGAATAAAATTAAAATTTCTTGACTTGGGAAGCAAGGTCTCTAACGATCCCTCCCTGCCAACCTATCTCTGTAGGCTTCCCTATTTTCCGTTTTCCCTACAAACACACTGTTTATTCCAATCACATGGCAAAGCTGAACTTACTAAAGGTATCTGCTTTTATATGAATCCATGCCTCTGCATGTGCTGTTCTGTAGGCCTGGAATTCCTTTCCTCCTTTTCCATTTAACTAATTCCCATTCATCTTTCAAAACTCAGCTCAGTCAACTTTTCTCTGGCAATCTTTCAGCTCCACATATCTGAGTGAGCTGTGTTTTCATTGCTCCCAAGGCACTTTGGGTACATCTAGATTATGGCACTCCTCACACTCAACTGTAATTATTCATTTAGCTGTTCTTCTCCCCAACTAGAGTTGCAAGATGCTTGAGAGCTAAGCATGTGTCTTATTTGACTTTATGTGTCCAATGTCTACCAGGCATATAGAAGGTGTTCAACACATTGAATAAGTACATTAAGGAGCAATGCTTCCCCATTTTATGGATGAGGAAAAAGAGGCTCTGAAGTAATAAGCTCACCAAACTATATGAAGAGATGTCACTTACTGAGGATACAATGCACTAGCATTTTCTGTTATTAGGACCCCTTAATTGTGAGTTCTGTGTAAAGCTTTCCCATAGCATATTTGATTTGCTAGTAAGCTTTGCACTAGTCCTTTCTTTTATCTCTTCTTTCTGGAAGTTTATGGCTCTTTTTAAAGACAACTGACAAATGTTTAAATGCCTTGGAAACATCGTCATGTTGGTTCCCTTTCTGTACTCAATACTGGGAGAGTCTCCTAGCCATTCATCTATATTCAGGAAAGATAAATGAAATAACTTATGCCAGCATGTGATTTTCATTTTTGTTACATTTTCATATAATATTTTATGTATTTGATTATGAATATGCAATATATATATATACAATTTAAAATCAAAAGATACAGTAGGATATATAGTGAAAAGATTCTTGCTAAAAGTCTTCCTTTGACAATACCAAATGTTAGCAAAGATGTTGGGCAACTAACTGGAGCTCTCATACACAGATGAGGGGAGTGTAAATTGGTACAAACACTTGGAAAAACCGCTGGGAAATATCTACTAAAACTAAACATATCTTTACCTTATAATCTAGCGATTTCTCAGAAGTGACTACTTGTAGTTCCATCAAAAGACTTCTTCTGGGAAACCACTAGAGTACTCCTTGCGCTTTTATTCATGACATCCCCTAACTGAAAACAACTCAATGTCCTTCAACAGTAGGTATGTACACAAACTGTGGTACATTCATACAATGTAGTACCACACGGTAATAGAAAAGAACTGCCATTTGCAATAACAGGGATGAATCTCATAGATGTAACATCCAGGGAAAGAAGCCAGACTTGCAAAATTACACACTGTGTGAATCCATTTATATAAAGTAAAGAACAGAAAAAAAATCTATTGCAATCTAGGTTAAAAGGAAGGTTATCTTTGGGGTTTGGGTACTTGACTGAGTGAGAGTAGTGTGTAATCTTCTGGGGTTCTGGGAATGTTCTGCATTTTTATCAGAGTGGTGGTTACATGGGTGAATGTGTATGTAAAAATTCATTGAGCTGCTCACTTAAGACTTGAGTACTTTACCTCAATAATATACTAAATTATAAGGAAAAAAAACCTACACAAAACATTTTTTAAAGTTTCTCTCCTCTTCTTCTCCCCAGCCTCTAAGTTATTCTTCCTAGAGAAATCAATATTATCCGGTTTTTTGGTGAATCCTTCAAGGATATTTTATGCTTATTCAGGCAAATACATACATTTATACGTGCCTGAATACAAACACGTGTGTGTAGTTTTTTCCATTTATTAATACATGGTAACTTTTCATATACATCATTTTGTACCTTTCCTTCCCACCCCCCCTCCCCCAGCCCTGCCAATCTTGGAGATTTTTGTCTTAGGTACATAAACATTGTGTATTATCACATAAATCACAGCCTGACTTATTATTTACCCTGACTAAAGGAGAATGTGATAAAAATAAATTGAATGATTATAGAAGTTATAAACCAGTGAAGTCTGCTTTTTGTTCATTTTCTCAGTGTTAATGGCAGTACCACCCTGGAACTAAAATCAGAGAAAGTTTAGACTTCAAATTGATTGACAATTTAAAAAATAACCATTTCAGAAAGTTGTAATTTTTCAGTGCTAGTTAAATGATTTATACTGTCATTCTTCAAATTGAAGTATGGAGTGACATCTTTCTTTAGTAACAGGAGATTAAAAATGATTTCCACACTTCCTAAGCCCAGAGACCAGAGGTTCAAGTTCACTCTGTAGGTCCAGATGAAAGTCATGAACCCATCAAAGAAATTTCTTGAGCACGTGCTATGCTAGGCACTGCCTCATTGTGAAGAGCTTGTTTCAAGGTTTCCCTATTGGAACTGCTGGAGTTTTAGTGTGGGGAGGCTGTGTGGCCCTACACAGTGGTCTCCCGACCTCTGAAAAATATGCAAATTTCCAGACCCCATCCACAGAGATTTTGATTTTGAGAGGGTCTGAGGTGTGGTCTGGGAGTATGTATTTTTAAGGAGCACTTCCAGGTAATTATGATAGAAGTGATTTGATACAAGGACTGGCTTAGGAAGCAGGAATAACATAAATAACAGAACCAGTATAGGTTCCAGTTGGATCTACCTCTATCTGCCCTACAATGTGATTTGGAGTTCATTTCTGTCTTCATCGTCTAGGACTGCCATAACAAAGTACCATAGACTGGGTGGCTTAAACAACAGACATTTATTTCTCACAGTTCTGGAGAAGTCCCAGATCAAGGTGCCAGCCAGTTTGGTTTCTGGTGAGGCCTCTTTTCTTGGTTTGCAGATGGTCGCCTTCTCACTGTATCCTCACATGGCCTTCCTTCTGTACACATGTGGGGAAAGAGAGAGAGAGAGAGCACTCACTTCCTCTTCTTATAAGGTTACTATTCCTACTGGATTAGGGCCCCACCCTTACAGCCTTATTTGACCTTAATTACCTCCTAAAGATCCTATCTCCAAATAAGTCACACTAGGGGTTAGGGAGTCAACATATGCAGTGCAGGGGAAGACAGTTCAGTTCATAGCAGTTACTAAATCTCTCTGAAACCTTGTTTCCTCACCTGTAAAATGAGGATAATAACACTTGGGTTAGTGGGAGAAGGATTGAATGATTATACCGGCATATGAAAGGTATCTGATGTTTTTTTTCTCTTTTAAACTTCTTTTGGAGAGAAATAATGAAAGTGAGGGACGTCATGACCCCGTGGCAATGTGTTGGTCCTATTGATAGCAACCTAAAGCCAGAAGGTCTACAGAATTAAAATGACTTGTCCAAGTTTGCCTAGTAAGTGAGAAACTTAATAGGTTTACCTATTAAGTAAGAAACTGGACTGAACACTAGGCCTCAGGGCTGTGAGGCCTGTGTTATTCTACACTGTATGACTTATTTTGCTTGGAGTTGACAAGAGTGGGTGTACCGCTCAACAGGCTTAGATTTGTCTTGGGTATTTAAGAGCAATGCCGCCCCCAGACACATGCGGGCATTATGGGCTGAGTGGAACACTATGTGCCCTGTGTAAAGCTATCCTTTCTTTGGATTAGTGAGCTGGGGCGGCCTCCTTTGCTATGCACTAGTCTGGCCTCACAATATCTAGTTTCAGAAGAGCATGATTGGCCAGCACGCAGGTCAGGGAGAAAAGGTTCTGTGGGGGTCACCAATGTCCTTGGGGAGAGGGGATCGTGCCTCTCGCTGGGCAGGAGGCTCTGCACCAACTGCATTGTAAAGTGCACCAGCTCAAGCAGCTGAAATAATTTGCCCTCTCAGGGATTTGAGTTTTGAGGGGCAGTATCTTCGATTGAATGACTGTCTCCAGCTGAACTCTGAGAGGCTCCAGTTACCCCAATCATTCCAGCCTGCATAAACATTCTCTATCTAGCCGTGGGTGGCTGGGTTCATAATGCCAGGCTGGCTGGTGAGAGGGTGGAGAATGTGCTGTTTCCCAATTGATAGGATTTCAGGGGCAATGGCTGGGGCCCATCTTCCTTAAAGATCTCTCCAGTGGAGTAGCTCTATACCTGAACTCCCATTAGCAATGAATTCCTTTGTGTGCTTGAAGGCTTTGGAGTCATTATAGTTCCTCTTTTAAGACTTCAGAACCCATACTTGGGATGAAAGAAAGCCCCTCTGTGAGTCTTGGTTATTAGGAAGATGACAAGGAGGCCCATGGAGAGTGACACAGAATAGCTAAGAAATGTTATAGCTGAAAGGCAACCCACAAGGAGCTCATTGGACCCCTTGATTTACAGTCAAGGATATCAAAGGAACAAAGCTTGTCCGAGGTCACACAGCTGGTTATGGCAGAACCAAATCAGATGCCAGACTATTGGCTTCCACTTCTTTCCTATTTGTTTAGTATAAGCAATGATGAAGAAAGCAGATCGGCTACAGAAGGGCAAGCCCTGGAGCACAGGGAATGGGAAGGAGACCAAAGACAAACTCTGCCTCCCAGCTGTGCCTAAGACAGGCCCTGGTGTCAGCACTTGTGCAGGAAATCCCCTCTTATAAACAGAGGCATATTCCAAAAGTTCTTTCATATGTTTATTTCTTGAATCATGGAACTTGTTTTCTCATAGAAATAATATTTTAAATATTTTAAATGGTGAGTTAAATTTCCCAAGATCCATCCACAAAAAACCTATGTAACTGATGGAAGACACAGAAAGTAGTATCCATGGGTGTATTTCAGTGAATCTTACCCAATGCTCATCACATTTATTATTTCTATGGAGTATAATATACAGTGAGTTTTAAGTCAGGTTGGAAGAAAGGCTTCTCCTGCACAGGGCAGGGCAGCTCTCCTAGTTCAGAGTCCGGAGGATGGGAGAGGGTAGGGATTGGAAGGCTGGGTGGGAGGGCAGGCACCCTCTCTGAACCTCAGCTCTAAAATGAGAACAGGGGGAATAATTCTGCCCTGCCCACTTCATAGAGTTGTGAGGACTGAGTGAGGTACTAGGTGGCAAAATGCTTTGAAAAGAAATAAAAGTAAGAAAAGCCCTTTAAACATTAATCACTCCCTAGATGTTTTGATGGGGTGGCTATGACAGACACGTGGATGGTAGCAGTGCTATGGTATTGTGTCCAGGCCTTAGTTAGTACTAGTAGTGATAACAATAGGAGTGACAATAAACTAATATTTATAGAGAGCTTTCTAGGTGTCAGGCATGGTCCTCAATGCTTTATAATACTAATTTATCATACCCATTGTGACGATTATTGTGTCAGGTTGGCTAGACCACAGTTCTCAGATAATCGGTAAAACACTAGTCTAGATGTTCTGTGAAGGTATTTTTTAGATGAGATTAGCATTAAAATCAGTAGACTTCGAGTAAAGCAGATTACCCTCCATAGTATGCATAGGCCTCATTCAATCAGTTGACAGTCTTAAGAGAAAAAACTGAAGTCACTCGAGGAGGAAGGAAGTTGGCCTTTAGAGCCAAGCTGCAACATCAACTCTTCCCTGAGTCTCCAGTTTTCTGGTCTGCACTGCAGATTTCAAACTTGCCAACCTCAATAATTATGTGAACCAATTCCTTAAGAGCTCTCTCTCTATACACACACACACACACACACACACACACACACACACACACACACAGATGCTATTGGTTCTGTTTCTTGGGAGAACTCTGAAAAGTATACAGGGGAAGAAGCTAAAATACAGGTTGGGTAAGTAATTTTTTCAAGTAAGCAGCTATGGCAGAAAGAGACTGGTTAGTTTTTCACCAAACGGTTTGCCTTTACCCCTGTGTGCTTTGGGCATACAGCTAGACTACATTTCCCAGCCTCCCTTGCAGATAGGTGTGACTGTGTAACTGAGGGCTGGTCCCTAGGATAGTGGGTAAAAGTGATACACATACCTCCAAATCATGCTTACTCTCCCCCGTCCTGCTGACTCCAGGTCTTTGGGGGTTGACAGGGCCATGAGATGGGAGGAGCTTGAGTAACTGAATGACCTCGTGGAGCAGAGCCTGTCAGCCTCAAACACACTGTACAATGACCTGAGTGAGCAGAAAACCTGTATTATGTTTAGTCTCTGAGATTTGGAGGTTTGTGCTTTTAATTATAACACTTTCCCTGACAAATACAGTGATGCAGCTAGATTCAAATCCAGGCCACCAGCCTCCAAAGTTTGAATGCTTCATCTCTATACTGCTCAAATGTCCTTTGCATGCACTAATTAAGAGGAAATGTCTCCTTCACCTTTCCCTGCCTGCTCCTGAAAACCAAGGATACAAAGCACCCCATCTTAGAGCAGCATCGTAAACATCATATTTTAGGATGCCTGAAACTATGCTGAGGAGCATGAGCCTTGGGTATGCAGGGGAGTGGGAGAGGAGTGGGTGGAAGAGGATGAAGATGGGTCCAAGTAGGTACTCAGTGTTTCCCCATTTCCCTGGATGTGGCCTTTGTCTTCCCCAAGCAGAGGAGTCCTGGCTCTTTACTAAATAGCAAGTGTGGTCTGTTTATGCTGGAGCAGACTGTGGAAATACACAGCCCGTTCTGCCCAGTGCCAACCATTCCTCACTCAGCAGTGCTTTCCCCAAGCTAAGTTCAACAAAGGAGGAAAGTGTGGCTGCAGCTCTGGAGAAGGCTGGCGCAAAGGCAGCTTTCCACATAAAGGCTGCTATCTATAAACAAAATCAAGGTTCAGGGGAGAGGGGGCTGCTTCATTTTTCTTTTTCTGTGCATTTTGGACTGCTCAGCCGCCTTAACCTATGCCCAACACTCTGTCCAGTCCAGGGCAGAGATATGCCTGGATTTGTCTATGGTCAGAAAAGCCTAGTTGGAAGGTGACAGATGGGCTGTTGTGACCAGATTCAAAGGAGATGACCAAGTCTCTCTACCCTGCAGAACAAAGGAATTCCTGGGAGGAAGCTTTGGATGAGAAAGGGATATGTTGATATGTATATGTGTCTATCACGGCCAACGCAGAAACTCTGTCCATGTTAGCTTTTGTATTGAAAGGTGACCTTGTATGCAAAGTTAGATACAAAATTCGAAACTTGAGGCATGTGTAGTCTAGCTGAGTGTGCAGGAAGAATTTGTTTGGTTTAGGAAAACATGAAATTAAATACAGTATTACGACTATATGAAGTCAAAAGACTTTTTTGACAGATTTTTTTTTGGCTTTTAAACTGGTGTTTGTTTAACTTTAGCTTCTGTCTAGTCTATTAGTTTGAAATAAAAAAATTAAGATGCATTTTTATTTACATTGACTGGTTAATTTTTATCATATAGAACACTGACTACCTTTGTTTAAATAAAACAATGGTTGATTTCTCATGGAGTAGTTGAACTGAAGTATTTCGAGCCAGCATGTTAGAATTTTTGGGATGGGGATATGTGACTTGACAAAGCTTCCCAGGTGCTTCTGAGCTTTCCTGCTTTACCACAGCACCCCCTCAGCCACATCCACAAGAATCCCTGTTTTGTGATGAATTGATAGACATTTATTAGAGCTTGAGGCAATCAGGTTTCTTGATTGCAAGCAACAGAATCATGCTCTGGCTAACATTAGGTAAATGGAGTTTTATTTATTTATATCAGGAGTCACCAGGTTTGATGAGAGGCTGGGGGGCCAAGCTTAGGAATGAGAGGAACCAAGGACATACCATAGGCCCAGGAAGCAGGAAGTGGGAAACGCAGCAACTGTCTCTGTCTCCTAGCAGGAACAGAATGGCTAAGGTGTCCCCACCACTCTGCAGTGAAGATGACCTCCAGGTGTTCCCTGCCTGTGACAGACAGAATACTGTAGAAGGCCCAAGATTCGAGTCCCCTGGTTATTCAGTAAAACATTGATCTAGGTACTGATGTGAAAGGATTTTGCAGATGTAATTAAAGACCAAAGTCAGTTGACCTTAAGATACAGAGATGATCCGATGGGCCGGATCTAATCGCATGAGCCCTTTAAATGCAGAAGAGGAAGGCAGAAGGGAAGGAAGAGAGGTGGAGCATCTGAAGGATGCTAGATGCTCCTGCTGGCTTTGAAGATGGAGGCCGTGTGCGCAGACCAGGGAATGGTTATAAGGAGCTGAGAGTAACCCTGGACAACAGCCAACAAAAAGAGGGGGACTTCAGTCCTTAATCTGCAAGAAACTGAATTCTGCCAATAATGGGAATGAGCTTGGAAGAGGGGCCTGAGCTCAGATAAGAATGTTGCCGGCTAACATCAGGTGAGACTCTGAGCAAAGAATCCAGCTGCCACATCCCAGAATCTCACCCACACAACTAGGAGCAAACAAATGTGTGTGGTTTTAAGATACTAAGTGTGTGGTAAATTGTTATGCAGCAATGGGTAACACTGTGTCACTTGGGAGATAGAAAGTCTGGGAGACAGTGTCCCATTGAGTGAGTGCAGGCCACATATTGTCCCCTGATCTTACCTGTGGGCAGGTGCTGTGAGGATTGGTCTTTCTCTTCTTTTGTATCTGGAAAGTAGCTCTAAGAATTACCTCCTGCCACAGATATACATCAGCAGAGCTGATTTCCCAACATTAATTTGGGATTTGATTACAAAAAGGGATGGGTGCAAGGTAGCCCTGGTAAGTGTCTGCTGGAAAGATTTCCTCAGTAAATGTTCTGGTGTGTCACCTGCCCTCCCTGCCTGTGGCTGGCTCCTTGGCAAGGTGCTAACCACATTTAAGTTTCTAGCACATCCCTTCTGATTTGCAGACCTCCCTATGTAAAAATGTGGATAATGTGCTGTGTCGTAAGTTCCAGTGCTTCAAGATAGGCTTAGGCATTTTTAAGAGGGAGAGTGACACAATGAAAGGTTCTAAGTTTGGGAGTCTGGATGTGCAGATTTTAATCCTGGGTTTTCTGCTGTGTGACTTTGGGCAGTCACTGCATCTCTGTGGCTTTAAGTTGCCCTCTCTGAAAACTGAAGGGCCCAAGATTTGTGAAATCTAAGGCCTCTTCCAGCCAAAAGAACCCTGACTATCCATCCAAAAATCACTCATTCATTGAATAATTGACAGTCGAGGCCTGTGTGGTTCTGAGGATGTAGCAGTGAGCAAGGCTGACAAGGCCCCAAACTCATGCACCTGCCATTGTAGTGAGCATGACGTGACAAGGAAATAAGTTTTGAAAGGTGCTACAAGGAAAATAAAAGTCCAGAGTCAGCATTATGTAGAGGTTAGGGGAAATCTCTCTACGGAGGTAACATGTGAGTGGGACTGACGACTCAAGACTGGGTCTCCTATGAGATGATGATCGCCAAGACGTTGAGCCACTGTGGTCAGGTGTAGTCTAGGCGTGGCCTGGCCCTCTGCCTGCCTGTTTTTATATGGCCCTTGAGCTGAGAATTGGTTTTACGTTTGTAAATAGCATATTCCTCTCCCAGGGCTGCCATAAAGCACCACAAACTTTATGGCTTAAACAACAGATTTATGGCCTCGCAGTTCTGGAGGCTAAAAATCCAAAATCTGGGTGTGAGCAGGGTTGGTTTCTCTGAGGGGTAGGAGGGAGAAAGGTTTTCAGGCCTCTCTCCCGGCTTCCGCTGACCTCAGGCATTCCTGAGCTTGTTGATGATGTCATCCCTGTCTTCACATTGTCTTCCCTCTATGTGTTTCTCTCTGTTTCCAATCACCCCTTTTATAAGGACATCGATCATACTGGATTAGGGCCCACTCTAATGACCTCCTTTGAATTTGATTACCTCTGCAGACTCTATTCCCAAACAAGGCCACATTCTGAGGTACTGGGGATTATTATTAGTACATTAACATTTCTTCTCTGGGGAGGGATGCCACTGAACCCACAACAAATGGCTACATTTTAAACAGTTATGTAAGTACTCAAGCAATATCCTCGGTTTTGCCTTTGGACCCACAATGCCTCAAATATTTGCTCTCTAATGCTTTAATAAAATGTTGGTCAACCCTGATCTACATCAGTGGCTCTGAAACTTTAGGGCTCCTCTGTCACTTAGAGAGCCTTACTTCCAGGATTGGAAGAATTTGCGTCATGCTAAAGCTGCTGATCTAGATAGTGGTTCCCAAATTCCGGTCCTTGGGTGTAGCACATCCCCAAGGGAGCTTGTTAATGGTACAGATGTCTGGTGCCCTGGACTTGCTCAGAATCTCCAGGGATGAGGCCACTATTTCCGACATGCAGCCAGATGTAGGAAATATTGGTCTAGTTTAATTATTTCGGTCAGGAAGAGCAAATGATTAGATTACTCCTTTGTGATTGGATTGATTTCTTGGGCCTCACCTGTCTGTGGGCGAGATCAAGGTAATTGGGGAACCCTGTTTTTCTTGTCAAGACTTGCATTGGAGGAAAACACCCTCAAAAAATGTATGGTCTGAATTCATCCAAGGCCAGAGATCTTTGTTTAGGCTGTTCCATAATATTATGATCATTAGGTGGCTTGTCAGCAGTTCATGGGAAAAAATATTGACTACAAACTCAATGGGAGCCAACAACGAGAGACATCTGCTAAGAGACCTCAGGCCCTGTGGGCTGCCTGGAGAGCCGTTTAATATCCAGACCCCAGAAGGTCACAGTCCCTGGTAGTCTGGGCCCCACGTTCTGTGACTGCTGGCCAATTAAGCAGACTTTAAGAGAGACATTGAGAAACTGGAATATTTCCAGGATAGAGGGATGAGGACCTGGAAATGATGTTCAAGGAAGAAGGATCAAGGGAGAGCTTATAAAATGGTGGGTTTCAGGCCCTACCCAACCACATGTGTTATGTTCAACAGTCCTAATGGTCAAAACCATGCTGAATTTGAGTGCCGTTGGGCAAAGCCTTTACTCTCTCCAGTTCCACACCTTTCTACTTCTTATCTATTGCTTCTCAATATCCATAAGGGATTAGTTCCAGGACCCCTGAGGACACCAAAATCCGAGGACGCTCAACTCCCTTATATAAACTGTGTAGCATTTGTATAAAACCTACGCACATCCTCCTTTATGCTTTACAACATCTCTAGGTTACATATACAATGTAAATGCTATTAGTTATTACACTGTGTTCTTTTAATTTGCATTTTTTAAACTGTTGCATTGTTACTTTTCATTTTTATTTTTCGAATATTTTCGATCCATTTGCAGAACCTGCGGATACAGAGGGCTGACTGTCTTTGTACCAGCCCAGTTCAAAGAGATTTGTTATCTGCTTGTTCTCTGGGACTTTACAGTCTGAAACTCTCAGAAGGAATAAAGATATATAATCAGGTCACACAAGGCTAAGAAGAGAATACTGGTTATTTTTAAATATCTAAAAGCATGCACTCCTGTATTAATTGGTTACATTTTTAACCGCTAGGGTTGTTGAGTGTGAAATAATTAGAAATATATCGACTGGTCTCTGCACTCGATTCCGGACACAGAGCTCCTAAAACCCTTGTAGACAGGCATGCCAGGAGAATCTTTTGTTCTAATATTTGGTCTTTGATGCTGGTTCTTGACACAGAGCTCCTAAGACCTTTGTAGTTTCCCATGTGATGGGAGCACCTGACATAGAGCAGCTATATTCCTTGGGATTTTCTGGGTGATGGAGGCATCTTTTTTTCTAATGAGGTGACTCTTGGTGGGCTCCTGGATGGCTTCAGGATGGGCAGTGGATACCACCAGATAGACCAAGCCATGGTTAGAAGCTTGGAACCTTCAACTCCACCCCCCATCCTCTGGGGAGGGGAGAAATGGAATTAATAAATTATACCTATGTGATGAAGCCTCCATAAAAATCCCAATACTATGGAGTTCAGAGAACTTCCATTTGGTGAACACATTCATGGGCCCAGAGGGTGGTGCACCCAAACTCCATGGGGTAGAAGCTCCTGCACTCGGGATCCTTCCAGACCTCACTCTATGTGTTCCTTTATCCGGCTGTTGATTTATATCCTTTAAAACATCCTTTGGAAGAAATCAGCAATAGTAAGTAAACAGTTTTCCTGGGTTCTATGATCCGCTCTAGCAAATTATCAAACCTGAAAAAGGGATCATGGGAACTTTTGATTTGTAGCCAAACAGGAAAAAAGTTGTGGTTCCCCAGAGACTTCCTGCTTGTGACTGGTGTCTGAAGTAGGGCACAGTCTTGTAGGACTGAGCCTTTAACCTATAGGATCTGCAGTAACTCCGGATGGTATCAGAATTGAATTGAATTGAAGCTGGTGTCTGTCGGAGAATTGGTCAGTGTGGGAAAAAATCCCACACATTGGTGTCAGAAGTGAAGTATTGAGAGTGGTGGGAATATACAGGAAAATGTTTGCTTTTCCTACCTCACACTTGTAGAACATGTCTGTGGCTGGATTGGGCCTGCAGTGGCTGCTGCGTACCCAGAATGTGCCAGGGGCTGAGGCCACAGGCATAAATAAGATCACTCGGCGTGGCCCCTCTTACAATTAACATTCTTTTATGAAAAAGACATACATGACACAATTCCAAATTGTGGTAGGCATTTCGAAGGAAACAGCAATGGCTTCAGTAGAGGATAATGAGGAGCGGCTCTGTTTGGATGGTGTTGTCAGGGAAGTTGCTGGCAATGTTCAAGGTTGGGGAAGACCTGTCACATGAGGGGGAAATGTGTTAATTCTGGCTTTCTTCAAAAGATAGATAAGGAATATTGAATGGATATTTGAAAAGAAGATTTTAGTTCAGTATAAGAAAGAACTTTTCAATTTATATTCACCAGCTATGTGTTAAGGGGCTTGGTGAGATTCAAGACAGTGGAAGTGACAGAGCTAAGCACAGATTTTCAGTAGATATAGTCGTGAAGGTGGCATGAGAGGATCCTGTCATCTCCAGAGAGATCACTTGCAATTCTGAGATTCTCTGAAGTGATATGTTGATAGCAGTGTAAAACCAGAAAAATCCTATTTGGGGCCCAGATTAAAGGTAATCTCTAATGAGATTATCTTCAAACTTCAAGGGAAACCAAATGCAAACAAAAGGAAAGAAATATGCCTGTTAGACACAGAACAGAGTATGCAGAGGATGCAAACAGGACCTTGATGTGGAAAATCCCTGAGGTACCAAACCAGTGTTTAGAAAAGTGGTCAGCAGTTCCATATATCCATTGTTACAGTCATTATGGTTCTTCTGAAGGAATGGAAAAGGAAGGGATTGGGTGGTACAGTTTCTATTACCCTTTAAAAAAGCCACATATTGAACCACGTCCAGATTATGGAAAATCCAAGTAGTGATTCCGAGTTGTTGTTTGCTTGTTTGTTTGTGTTGTGGATATGAAGGGGCATCTTAGAATGAGACCTCTGAAGCCATCCAGTAAAATAGGATATGGTGGTTTCGTTAATAGAAAAAAGTCCTCTCAGGTTAAAACTTTTAGCAAAGGTGACCCTGGAGATGATTATCTGCCTCCTAATCACCTCAGCTCATGCCTCCTTCCACTGCTTCCCCTCAGGTTGTGGCCTCTCCATTAAGAACAACTACAGCAACTAATTTTTGAGAGTTGCTTATGTGCCAGGCACTAAGTGCTTCCCACATGTTATCTTCTTTGATGTTTTATAACAATCCTTTCTCCATTTTACTGATGAGAAAATTGAGTCCAGTAGAATCAGGGATTACAGCCCAAGTCAAGGAGCAACGCAGGCACAGATAGGCCTTTTTAAAAGGTTTTTTTTGTTTGTTTGTTTGGAATAGAGACAGGGTATCACTACGTTGCCCAGGCTGGTCTCAAATTCCTGGGCTCAAGTCATCCTCCTGCCTCGGCCTCCCAAAGTGCTAGGATTACAGATAGCTTAGAATGTAAGCTTGCCTGACTCTTTCCATCAAGCTGCCCCTAATTATCTTTGAGGAAGATCACTGAAAACAGTTTTCACTAGGATAAAAATGTTAAGAAATTCTGCTTAGGTTGGTTCTACCAGTCAACAAACGTACTCCATTGCTAGAAAGGGAATATCTTAGGTTGTGTAAAGATTTATCTCTGGAGGAGTCATGTTCTCTGTGTGTGTGTGTCTGTTTTTAAAGTAAAACTTTGATAGTTTGCTTAATTTTAGGTTACTTGAACTCTTCCATTGTATTGCAAAGTCATGTTTTTATAATACCATATTCTGCACGGAGAATAGAATCTACAGCTGATGGTGTATGTTTATTCATGTGGTTAAGTATGTTTGATTTTTTGATTTTTTTCCTCTTTCCTTTATTAAGGTATAATTTACATACAGCAAAATACATAGATCTAAGTATACAGTGGAATGGGTTTTGACAAATGTGTAGGTACTTCTGTGTTGCCATTAATTTCCATTAGCCAGAAAGATCCCTGGTGCCACTTTCTAGTACATTCTCTCATTCCCCCAGGAGTAACCCCTGTTCTCATTTCTATCACCATGTATCAGTTTTGCTTGTCCTTGACCTTAATGTAAATGGAATCATATAGTATGTACTCTTTCATGTCTAGCTTTTGTCTCTCAGCATTGTTGTACATATCTCTGGTTCTTTTTTATTGCTGACTAGAATTCCATTATATGAATATATCACAATTGATGTATTCATTATCCTTTTGATGGACACGTGGTTTTATAATTTTTGGCTGTTATGAATAAAACTGCTATGAACATTTGTACACAAGCCTTTTTGTAGGCATATGCTTTCGTTCCTCTGAAGTATATTCCCAGGAGGGAATTGCTGTGTTGTAAGGGAGGGTATTCTAACTTTATAAAAATCTGTTAGACTATTTTCGAAAGTGATATACCTTTCTACATTCTCATCAGTGATGTCTGGCAGTTCCAGTTGCTCCACATCCTCCTTAACACTTGATATGATCAGTCTTTAATTTCAGCCAGATCTCATCATGGTTTTAATTTATATCTGTCTTCCTGATAACCTATAATGTTAACCACCTTTTCATGAGCTTATTGGATAATCCTTTAGTCCTGAGAAAAATCTGTTCAAATCTTTTGCCCCTTTTTAATTGAGATATTTTCTAAATGTATTTATTAATTATAAAACTATGTATTCTGGAAATGAAGCTATCTATCTATCTATCTGGTTAATATTTTCTCATGGTCTGCAGCTTGTTTTTTTCACTTTCTTAGTGGTATCTTTAATGAGCAGAAGCTTTTAATTTTGATGAAAGTAAACATTATTTTTCTCTCTGTTAGTGCTTTTGGTATTCTGACTAAAAAAAATCTTTGACTATCCCAGTCATAATGATATTCTTTTGGTTTTTTTCTAGAAGCTTTAGACTTATTTTTGGCATTTAGATCTATAATCATCCCAAAATAATTTCTTGCATGCTATAATGTAGGATACTAACATCAGTTTTTTTTCTATACAGACGTACATTTGTTCCAGCACCATTTGCTGTTATAGCACTATTGGTATTTTTGCGATGAATTACACTGAATTTTGTTGAAAATCAATTGATTATATGTAAATGAGTCTATTCATGGATGCTATTTTTTTTTCATTGATCTATTTGCTTTTCCTTGTGCCAACACATTATCTTAATTGATGCAACACTACAAGTTTCAAAATCTGCAAAGAAACCTGCTAGGGGTTTGATTGATATTATGTATAATCTATAGAGTAATTTGGAAATATGAATATCTTATCAATAATGAATTCTTTAATCTTTGCATGTGGTATATTTCTCCACTTATTTAGGTCTTTTAAAATTTCTCTCAGCAATAATTTTGTAGTTTACAAGCATAGAGGACTTGCGTATATTTTTAAAATTTTATTCTTAGATGTTTGAATCATTTCGAGCTATTATAAATGACTTAAAAACTTTCTCATTTTCCAATTTATTTTTGTTGCTAGGGTACAAAAGAAGTACAATGGGGCAGGTGTGGTGGTTCACACCTGTGATTCCCATGCTTTGGGAGGCTGAGGAGGGAGGATCATTTGAGGCAGGAGTTTGAGATCAGACTGGGCAACACAACTAGATCCCATCTCTACAGAAAAATGTCCAGTTGATTTTCGTATATTGCCATCGTATCCCATGACCTGGCTAAATTCACTCAGTAATCCTGGTAGTCCCAGTAGTTTGTCGTTTCCTTTAGATTTTCAACATATATAGTTATACTGTTTGCAAAAAGCTACTATTATTTCTCCCTCATCAATCTTGATACCTTTTATTCTTGGTTTTACATAATTCTTCTTTCCTGGTATATGCATTTAAAGCTATCACTTTTCCTCTAAGTACTGCTTCAGCTATATCCCACAAATTTTGATATGTTCTGGTTTCATTATTACTCAGTACAAATTATTTTATAAATTTTGTTGTCATTTCTTCTTTGATCCAAGGCTTATTTAGAAGTATACGACTTAATTTCTAAATAATTGAGGATTTTCTAGTCATCATTTTATTTTTAATTTCTAATTGAATTCCATTTTGAAGGGAAAATATATTCTGAGAGTTTCAGTTACATATTTATTTATGGTAGTTCTTTTGCCATTAACCCATGTGTCTTTGACACTGTGTTCAATATTTTAATTCTTTTTTCCTTTTGTACTTAACTTTGGTTATTTTTTATTGAGTTCCTCATCCTTCATGTTTCTAATCCTTCTTTTGCTTCCAGTCTGTTCTCAAGTTTATTCCCTGCATTCTTTGTTTCAGAAAAATTCTTCTATTCTATAATTTCTCTTTGGGTCTTCTTTAGAGCTTCAGTTTCTCCAATAAAATTCTTCTCTGTTCACCTATTGTGTCCAACTTTATTTCTAAATTCTGTAACATATTTAAGATATTTATTTTAGAGACCTACTGACTGCAATATCCAGTCATCAGTGGGCCTGCCTCTATTGACTGTTTTCTTTTTTTGATTATGGGTCATATTTTCATTCTTCTTTACATGTCTCATCGTGTGTGTGTGTGTGTGTGTGTGTGTGTGTGTGTGACATTTTAAATGAGAGACCAATAGGGACTAGATTCTTTATTTTTGTTTTATTTTTCCTAGAGAGAACCTTCCCTTTCTTCAGTGCAAAAGCTTGGGAAAGATATTTTTATCCATATCCTATCATGGAGTTTAGCAGAGCTGAGACTGGGAGAAAAGATTAATTAATTTCAGTTTACTTCTTGCTAGTGAGATTATGAAGATTTCTCTTGGCCTTTCAGCGTAACCCCCCAACTTCTTGTTTCACATCTGTCTACAGGGCTAATCTCTTTGGTCCTTTCAAGATTAGAACTAGAAGGGTATTTGGTATAGCGCTAGTGAGTTTAATTTCACCTCTGGATTCAACTTCAGAAACGCTCTGGAATGTAAGCAGCACAAGGGTTGGGGAGCTCTCTCTACTTTCCAGCTCTGCCCCAACTGCCACTGATTCCGCAAAATTCCCACGGGGGAGAACTGTTGTTCCGAGAGATTTATTTTTGTGTTTGGGAGTCTTTCAGATTCCAGTATTTCACATTAGCCCACACCATTGTTGAAAGTTTGGCTGATTTCTCCTCATTCCAGCAAACTTTATCTCATGTCAGGGCTGCTCTTCCTCCTGCCTGTACTCAAGCAAGGCAACTTGCCCTGAGTATGAAAAGAGTTACCACTTTTTGCTCGTCTTTGAAGGGTATGCTCATTACTGGAATTCGTTTATTTAAACTTTGTGTGTGTGTCTATTGCTGTTTGATGACTTTAAAGAAATATATAATTTTTAGCTTATTGTTTTCTTTTTTTATGATGAAAATGACAATGTTTATGTCTTTCTATAGCTTAACCAGAAAGAGGACTTCCATAGTTTCTTAGAATTTTGTCTTAGATTAGCTCTGGGAGGCAAGTGTGAGGCCTCAGAGCAACATAAAATATTCACAATTCTGTCTTTAGACTTATTTACACTTAGAATGCCAGTTGCCTGAGTCATGAGCAGTATTTGGCCTTGTGGAGTATTGCGGTTGTTTTAATCCCCCCGCCCCAACAAGCAGTTACTTTTACTGCATAAGCCTATTCCATATACCCTTTTCTTTCTTCAAATCCAGTTCAAGTCATGATCATTTTTCCTTTGATCCATCTCCACTGGCACCATCCTGATCTAAACTCCCATCATTGCCAAGTAAAAGCAGTAGCTTATTCCTGACATACTGTGAGTTTCTCCATAACCCCTCTCGGCTCTATCTCATCCAGTCCCCACACTACATCCAGACTGATGGTTACAAAACTATAATTCTGATCATTTCACCCTCCTGCTTACAAACTCAGTGGCTTCTCATTGCTTATAAGGTGCAGACAAAATTCAACAATTGTGTGCTCTCCAGCCCTGTCTTGCATCTAGCTCCTGTTAACAATGGTCCGTTAGTTTTCTTTTAATCTCTACACTCTTTGCTTTCTCTTGCCGTATGGTCTTTGTACATGCAGTTACCTCTACCTGGAATATCATTTCTCCTCTTTACCTAGTTAATGCCTGTGCTATTCCTTTTCAAACCTAACCTATGCATCACTTCTTAGAGAAGACTTTCCTGATCTCCGTAGCTATTTCAGATCCTCCTATCTGGTTTTATACCATTTGTAGTCACTTGACCCAGTGATGAATTTTGTATTATTTATAAGATTATCTAATTATTGGCAATCTCTTCCATGAGACTAGAAGCTCCAATGAGAGCACAGAAAAGTCTTCGTTTTCTGGGTCATCACTTCATTCCAAATGCCTACAACAGTGACTAGCATTTAATAAAATGTATGGAATGACTTAATAAACAAATTAATGAATTTGGAAAAAGACAAATGTATTTCATTTCTTTAACCTGGGATCTAATCTTTAGATAGTTCCTGCATGCATGCATTTATTCTAACTATCTATGTATCTTTATCACCATTTATTTATTTGATTTTCTAAAATCTTTAGAAGAAGGCTCTTGGACATTAAATCTTATCTAAGGAGTTTGTCTTAAATCAGATTTAACACATAAGGCTACATACTAAGTAGGAAATTTGACTACTTTTAAACTCTGAGAGTTGAGCGTGATAAGTATGCTATTTAGTTCACCATAGCAAAGGAATATGTTTCATAGAGCAATAAAGGACTTCTCTAATTCTTTCTCTGCTGGTTGCATTGACATGTTTATTTCTCCTGACCTAGATAACTGGACTGAATGGGAATTGAACATTTGCCAATTAATTAGCAACTTAAATCACTTGTGAAAATGGCTGTAAAAAAAATCGATTCAAGCTGACATAGTTGACTTTTCAGATGTCATGTAAACCTAAGTGGTGTTTTCTTTTTCTGTGGTGGTGTCCAAGGACTTAAGATTATTAAAGACCTTTCCCATAGAGTTCTTCTTCAAAGACTGGGTCTAGTTATCTAAGTTATTCTTAAATTATCTCCAGGTTTCCAATTCTATTTCTCATCAGTCTCTTGATCCAGTGTGCAATTACTGGCAATGAAAATGGTAGAATTGTAAAAGAAGCATCTCTCCTTCAAAAGTTAAGAAGATTGAATTTTACGCTCACATGGGATCAATTTTAATATTTTGGTTCCTAATAATTCTTTGGCACAACATCTCAAATGCTACTGGCACCCCCTAGACGACTCAGGGTTGAGAGACTCACAAGTGTCTCGATCAGTGGCCTTGTCCTAGCACTTTAAATCTCAGGGATAGCACACGTGGCCACACCTTCTCACCATAGGTTTGAGATCCTCTGCTGACCCCTCTTCTTATTCATGGTAGAGGTATTGCTTGAGCAAAAGCAAGAAGACATAATTATACTGTCTGCTGACAGGAAGGAAGAGTCAGCTACACCCTGCCATATCTTCCTCTTCTTCTTCTTCTTCTTTTTTTTAAGAACAAGTAAGTAAGTTCAAGAAAGACCAGACTGTATCCTTAATACTTAATTTTCTTGGCATCTTAATATGATTAACTGGAATTGAGCCAATCTGGAATGGCTTAAAATGTCAAGAAATGCCTGTTTGTGGTTTGTATAAGTGTGTGTGTGTGCACATGAATCCATGTGACATATGTTGTAAAAGAGAATAATTACTCTGTGCTAGAACATGTTTCCAAAGAACACAGGTCTTAAGAAAATGGAATTATTTTTCTGATGGTCTACTAATTCCTAAGCATTTCCCCTCCTTTTAACATCTCTCTCTTCTACATTTGTGTAAACATTTGTGTTCTAGAACATGTTTCTTGTTCAAGAAACCATGAACAAAAATTTTAATACTATTTTATTAATTATATTCTTAAGGAATATTATTAGTGAGGTTTTTATTCACTGCATATGAAATCCTGAGCCCTGCATAGACAGAAAGACAATATAATTTCTTAATATTCACTAGTTCAGCAATTTCTTGAGCACCTAATATGTTCAAGGTATTATATTAGGTGCTATTAATTATCCATTAACATGGAGAAAAAAATTATAATTTTTGTTGAAAAATACCACTGGCCTCCTTTTTTCTGGGTCCCTCATGTCTTGATTACTTAGGTTAGGCCCCTCAATGAAGGAGAGATTTTTGTGCCTTATGATATTCCAAAGGTAATAATTAAAATAAAGTGTCAACAGTTATTTGGGATTATGTTCACTGTAGTAAGTGCTATATATATATATATATATATATATATAATGTAATCCTCACGGCAGCATTATGAGGACATAGCTATTATTATTCCCACTTTACAAATGAAGCAACTGAGGCAGAGAGATCAGGTAACTTGCCCAAGGTTCTATACCTAGTAAGTGGCTGAGCTGAGACTGGACAGGCCAAAGAACCACCAGATGATATCTCTAGAGCTTGGTGATAAGACCTAATGTGTGCAACATTGACACGAGATGCATAGGAAAGAAATGACTCCTAGTACCTTTAAGGGCAAGGAACCAAGGGATCTTATGAAGTCACAAGTTCATTCTGCTTATTCCAGAAATATTTATATGAACCCTTTAAAAAGCAGAGAGGTTAAAGTAAACAGATTGATCAATAGAAGAAAACAAAAGTTCTGGGAACAGACCAACATATAGATCTTTATTTGATACTTCACAAAGGTAATATCTCAAGAAGAGAAATGATAGGTCAATCAGGAAATAGTAGTAATACCAATGCCTAACATCTGCTATACTCTGGACAATATTTTGTTAAAATTTTTTTTTAACTTTTAAGTTCAGGGGTACATGTGCAGGTTTGTTATATAAGTAAACTTGTGTCATGAGGGTTTGTTGTACAGATTATTTTGTCACCCAGGTATTAAGCCTAGTACCCATTTGTTATTTTTCCTGATTCTCTCCCTCCTCCCACCCTCCACCCTCAAGTAGGGCCCAGTGTGCGTTGTTCCCTTCTATGTGTCCATATGTTCTCATCATTTAGCTCCCACTTATATGTGACAACACGCAGTATTCGGGTTTCTGTTACTGTGTTAGTTTACCAAGGATAATGGCTTCTAGCTCTATCCACATTCCTGCAAAGGATATGATTGCATTCTTTTTTGTGGCTGCATAGTATTTCATGGTGTGTATGTACCACAATCCAGTCTGTCATTGATGGGTATTTAGCTTGATTTCATGTCTTTGCTATTGTGAATAATGCTGCAATGGACATACCTGTGGATGTGTCTTTATAATAGAACAAGTTATATTCCTTTGAGTATATACCCAGTAATGAGATTGCTGGGTCAAATGGTATTTCCGTTTTTAGGTCTTTGAGAAATCACCACACTGTCTCCCACAATGGTTGAACTAATTTACTCTCCCACCAACAGTGTAAAAGCATTCCTTTTTCTCCATAAACTCACCAGCATCTGTTATTTTTGACTTTTAGTAATAGCCATTCTGACTGGTGTGAGGTGGTATCTCGTTGTGGTTTTGATTTGTATTTCTCTAATGACCAGTGATGTTGATCTTTTTTTCGTATGATTGTTGGCCACATGTATGTCTTCTTTTGAAAAGTGTCTGTTCATGTCCTTTGCCCACTTTTTGATGTTTTTTTTTTCCTGTAAATTTGTTTCATTCCTTATAGTGCTGAATATTAGACCTTTGTCAGATGCATAGTTTGCAAAAATTTTATCTCATTCTGTAGGTTGTCTATTCACGCTGTTGATAGTTTCTTTTGCTGTACAGAACTGCTTTAGTTTATTTAGATCTCATTTGTCAATTTTTGCTTTTGTTGTGATTGCTTTTGGCATCTTTGTCTTGAAATCTTTGCCTGTTTCTATGTGCAGGATGGTATTGCCTAGATTGTCTTCCAGGGTTTTTAGTTTTGGGTTTTATATTCAAGTCTTTAATTCATCTTGAGTTAATTTTTGTATATGGTATAAGGAAGGGGTCCAATTTCAGTCTTCTACATATGGCTAGCCAGTTATCCCAGCACCATTTTTTGAATAGGAAATACTTTCCTCATTCCTTGTTTTTGTCAGGTTTGTTGAAGATCAGATAGTTGTAGCTGTGTGGCCTTATTTCTGGGTTCTCTATTCTGTTCCATTGGTCTATGTGTCTGTTCCTGTACCACACCATGCTGTTTTGGTTACTGTAGCCAGGTAGTATACTTTGAAGTCAGGTAATTTTTTTTTGTTGTTTTTGAGAAGGAGTCTCACTCTGTTGCCAGGCTGGAGTGCAGTGGTGTGATCTTGGCTAACTGCAACCTCTGCCCCCTGGTTTCAAGTGATTCTCCTGCCTCAGCCTCCCAAGTAGCTGGGATTACTGGCACCTGCCACCCTGCCCGGCTAATTTTTGTATTTTTAGTAGAGATGGTGTTTCACCATTTTGGCCAGGCTGGTCTTGAACTCCTGACCTCATGATCCACCTGCCTTGGCCTCCCAAAGTACTGGGATTACAGGTGTCAGCCACCATGCCCAGCCGAAGTCAGGTAATTTTTTTTGTATGTGTGTATTAACAAAGCTGTGATGCCTCCAGCTTTGTTCTTTTTGCCTACGATTGTCTTGCCTATTCAGGCTTTTTGTTGTTATTGTTCCATAAGAACTTTAAAATAGTTTTTTTCTAGTTCTGTGAAGAATGTCAATGGTAGTTTAATAGGAATAGCACTGAATCTATAAATTGCTTTAGGCTGTATAGCTATTTTAATGATATTGATTCTTCCTATCCATGAGCATGGAATGTTTTTCCATTTGTGTCATCTCCGATTTCTTTGAGCAGTGTTTTGTAATTCACCTTGTAGAGATCTTCACCTTCCTGGTTAGCTGTATTCCTAGGTATTTTATTCTTTTTGTGGCTTTTTGTGGCAATTGTGAATGGTATTGCGTTCCTGATTTGGCTCTTGGCTTGACTGTTGTTGGTATATAAGAAGATTAGTGATTTTTGCACATCGACTTTGTATTCTGAGACTTTGCTGAAGTTGTTTATCAGCTTAAGAAGTTTTTGGGCTGAGAATATAGGGTTTTCTAGATACAGGATCATGTCATCTGCAAACAGGGATAGTTTGACCTCTTCTCTTCCTGTGTGGATGTCCTTTATTTCTTTCTCCTGCATCCTTATCTTGTGCCAGTTTTCAAGGAGAATGCTTTATTCTTTATGTATTTTAACACATTTCACCCTCAAAGCCACCCTACAGGGTAGGTACCCCTTATTTTCATCCCTATTTTTTTAGATGAGACATGAAAAAGAGGCCTAACTTTCAAAGGTAAAAATCAACGAGTTCTGGCTCCAGAGCGAGGGATCTTAGTTACCAGGATATATGAAATCTATATTAGACATCTTACTTGGCCATTTAGTAAAAGGTAAAGTTATAGCCTAACCTCGTATCTTATTTTAAAATTCTAGATAACTCAAGGGTTTAAAAATAAAATATGAAACAATAAATATACTAAAAGAAAACTATTGAAATTGAAATAATTGAGATGGGAAGGTTATTTCTAAAAAGAGCATTTAAGATAGCAATCCAAAAAGAAATACTTTATAATTTTGATAAAATTTAGAATATCTCTATAGAAAAACAACAACTAAAGGACAAATGAAAGCAAATGGAAAATGACAAATGAGAAAAAAAATGATGACACATGACAAACAAAATTTTACTATCTTTAATATGTGAAAATGTACAGTCAATTAAGAAATGAGCCAGGGATAGAAATGGATGACTATATAGTAATAGATTTAAAAGTTAAATATCAGTTGGGTATGGTGGCTCAGGCTTGTAATCCCAGCACTTTGGGAGACTGAGGTGCATGGATTATTTGAGCCCAAGAGTTCAAGATCAGCTGGGCAATATGGCTAAACTCTGTCTCTACTAAAAAATGCAAAAATTAGCTGGATGCGGTGATGTGCACATGTAGTCCCAGCTACTCCAGAGGCTGAGGTGGGAGGATTGCATGAGCCCAGGAGGTGGAGGTTGCAGTGAGTCGAGATCATGCCACTGCACTCCAGCCTGGGCGATAGACTGAGACCCTGTCTCAAAAAAGAAAAAAAAAATATCAGTGGATAATTGATGTGAGAATAATTTTACCTTTACTAGTGCTCAAAAAGATATATATTTAAACAATGAGAAATTATTTTTGCCCATTGAACTGGTGAATTACCTTATTTATTGGTGTGATAGGTTATGAGAAACTGACATTACTGTATACTGCTGCTTGAAGTATAACTTCTTACAAGGGCAATTTGGCAAGATGTGTAAAAACCTTAAATTGTGTATTTTTTCAGCTCAGCAAGTCAATTTTTAGGAATTTATTCTAGGATCATCTTACATATAAGAATGTATGTACAATTGTGCCAGTTGAAGTATTGTTTCTAATAGTGGAATGGTGCAAACAACCAAAAAAACAGTAAAAATGAGATAGTTAAATAAATGAATCAAAAGATATTTGCACTGAAATCTATGCATCAAAATTTGGATATGCTCAATGTGTCATTTCATAGTCATATTTTCTTTAACAATGATAAACATGGTTCCATGTTATGGTGAACATCTATTTTTGGACAACCGCATCTTGGCAATGACATCTTACAGCTCCTTTGGGAAATCACCACTTCTTCATATGGTTTAGGTGGAATTGACATTTACCCACCTCCAGTGACAGAAGCTGTTTGATTTAGGCAAATAATCCTGTAATATCCTCCTGGCCACAGTGATAGGTACAGAGGTGGACACATCATGTGAGAATCCTCCTATCAGGGTGTACTTCATGACTTGCTGGGAACTGCTGGGACAAAGATTATCTTGCTTGTTTTATGAATGTTAATGTGGGAGCAGTTGGTTTCAAAACCATTGGCAGACATATTCATAAGAAGAGAGCCTGAGAATGAAGCTAATGGTGCTAAGTGGTAGTGCTGGAAAACAATGAGAGAGAAACCTCTTTACACCGTTGAGCCCTCATAAAGCCTTGTCTGAAGCAAATATTCTGTACCATCTCAGACTCTTCAGTATATGAACCAATAAATGCTCTTCTCCTTCCCACTTTTCAAAGGCCAATTTCGGTAGGGATGTCTGTTTCATGCAATTGAAAGCATCCTAACAGATACACATTTCTCTGTCTTGACATGTAATACATATACATTGGGAACACGCTGATTCAATTCTGGCTAAAAAGCAAATGGTTTAGGATTAAAACTGAAGATTAAAGTTCAGCATTCTGCCGAAGCAGAGGCTATAGCCAGAGATTACAATCATTGAAAGAACTGCTGGAGTATATGAATAAATCTGAAATTCTATGCAAGTGTTTATTATTATGGTTTCATTGTTAATATTTAATAGTCACATTTTAAAATGTTGTCATTATAACATTGGAACAAAACAGTAGTTTCTCAGAGCTGTCAACTGCTAGACAGCTTTTGCAGCCACTCTTCTGCACATCTCAATACTAAAGAGAGGGTCACTTTCAACTGGCACATTTAATAATGTCACCAACCATTTGTGCACAAGAGACTATGATTCAGAAAAAGGTTTCAACAGTGTGTTTTCTAAAAGGAACTTCATACTTAAGATTCATAGCTCTAGCAAATCTCAAAATTCCTTTATCTTTGACTGCCAAAAATGAGTGGTAGCTATAGCAATAATTTCAATGAGCTTTTCGTTTAAAATGATAGCTTCTATAAAGAATTGTCTTTGTAGAGAGTTCTTATGAAGTCTGTAATTTTGAAATTATATTAGTTAAAACAAATTGTGTAACATGTGCCCATTTTTATCTAACAATTCAGTCTATGATTTATACTCTTTATATTTCTCATTACTTCCGGATAAAAGATGGTTTATTAGGAATGTAATCATCCATAATTTGGTAAATTTTTTCTCTTGTGAG
This sequence comes from Homo sapiens, assembly GCF_000001405.40. Classification (NCBI taxonomy): domain Eukaryota; kingdom Metazoa; phylum Chordata; class Mammalia; order Primates; family Hominidae; genus Homo; species Homo sapiens. Next base: position 38,068,857 of record NC_000005.10, read on the forward strand.
ATTTTAAGATAGTAAAGTTTACATGATAATTTTAATTTACCCTCAAAAAGGGTAAAAAATTCCCCAAAAAGAATTTTTTCTTAAAAACTCATGGTTAAAGAGAATTAAATAACTAAATATGAGTTTTATATTATTATTTAACTTTTTTATAAGTCCATTTTGGTTCAAAAAGATATCATGATCTTCCAAAGTTATCTAGTTAATTCATTCTCTATTAATATTTGCATTAATTCATTATTAATATAGTATTAATAATTAATGCTGGTAAATGATTCCCTTTTTATTTAACCTTTTGAAAGCTTAAAACTTTTTAGTACATAAAATTAATAACTTTGGTAATCATTTAAAATTATTGTAGCATTTTATTCTCATATATACTTGGAATATTTCTACTAAAACTGTTAGAATTTAAATATAAAAAGCACATAAAGAGATTTTCACTTCAGATTACATCTAAATGCTTATGTATATTTTTGGATGAGTATTCAGATTATGTCTTGTTCACATTACTGACATTATTGCTGGTTGGATGTGATGGTGATCTGTTCCAGCAGCACAATCAATGGACGAGTTCAAGGTTGCCAGATGGCGAGGAAGTTGGCATTCAGCTATTCAGCTCTTATGCTTGCCAAGGCCAAGGCCAGAGATGAAACCAAAGAGCAGATTTTGGACAAACACAGAGGCCAAGGCCCAAAGTCTGTGTGTCACATATGTATCATTCTTAGTAGCTAAATCTTATGACTGGAGCAGCAGTTACTTAACCAATCTCCCAGAGAAAAGTGTCTGAAAACACATGCCCTGGCGTGACTCACCTCCAGGTGGTGAAATTACAGATAATTTTCCTCATTGCTTATCAGTATTTTCCATGTTTTTCTATAATAAACATGCATTACTTGGGTAATGAAGAAAAAACAGGAAAGTTTAAATCGTCTATAATTTACGATGAATAACAACAGCAACAACAAAAAGCAAATTTACAAAAACATCACATTAAAAAATAAAAATCCTCAGAGAGGTACACTGGGCAATCCCCTTTGGTGAAACATTGCCAGGCCTTATGCGAGTCAGGAAGTTTTCCCCAAGATGTATCCTCAATTCCTCTTGCCGTTAGTTAAGCCCTTTCATCAAAGGAGAAGGGACAGCTGCTAATCCTAGTCTAAATCTACCTCCAGGTCAGTGTTTACTTCCTTCCCTCTGTCTTCTCATTTTTAGGCCAAACTTTCCTTGTAGTGTCCATTCACCACACCCTCATTCTGAACAATTATAGAATTAAGAGGAAAGGCCCAAATTTCTCCTTCAAGAATGTGCCCCTGTGCTGTGTGATTGCTTCAAGCCTCATTGGCAGAATAATTAAAAAAAAAAAAAAAGAAGCTTATTAGTTGGAGATAAGCCCTGAAGCCCCAATTTATAGGGAAATCCTAGAACCTAGCAAATAAATAGCACCAGAATGGTTAGTACTACTCAATCCTACTCTATACTGGAAAGCTTAGAGGTAGAAAAATCACAGGAGGAAAAAAAGACTACTACATGCACGCCCACACACACACGCACACACATGCACACACACATGCACACACATGCACACACATGCATACACACATGCACACATGCATACACACATGCACATACACACATGCACACACATGAACATACACACATGCATACACATGCACACACACGCACACACACATGCACAGACATACACACATACACACATGCACACACACATGCAATACACACACGCACACATACACACACATGCACACATACATTATTTTCCATATATATTCCTTTCCATATTCTCTGCCAAAAAATGCAGGAAAAGTCATTGCCAAATTGTGTTAGGCTGTTCATTGGAAGGAAGCACAGCCTTTCTTGGGGTGGAAGCAGACAGGGGATGAGGCTCTTGGGGTCTGGCAAATCTTTCCAGTTAAGGCAGTTAGTTATTCATGGTCTGATCCAGGCAGTGCAAGTTCAAATTCTGGCCATGTCTGTACAGTTTCAAAAACAAAGCAAAGCAAAGCGAAAATGGTGATCAACTCCTTGTTTTCCAAAATTGTTCCTAGTGAGCGTGGATCTGAGCTTTGAGTATGCAGTTGGGCTTCAGGAAAGAATTGTTGAGATGTTGCTGGATCAGTTCTGCAAGCCAGTTGCCACTAGAGGAGTCTTTGTGATAACCTCTAGGAACATACAGCTTGGAAGAAACTTAATAAATATCGTCTGTGTTTACTTGAAGTTTACCCCTTTGTTTAGTCCCTAACCGTATGGAGACAGGTGAAAGTTTGGGCAGGACATAGGAGGCTGAACATAGACATGGTGTTGCTATGTTCCTGGCTTAACTCATAAATGGATAAAATAATGAAGTGAACAACTAGTTGAATCAGTTACTCCATAACTGTGAAAGTGCATTGAATTATGACAATACATGATATTATGCTTCTGCTGATGGAGTTATGGAATGGCTGTGGATTGAAATCCAAGTTATAACTTTATTTGAAGCATTAAGGGTAAATAATTTTAATTGGAAAAATTCGGAGCACAAATACTATCCAGTGAATTTGTTCGGCATACACACTCAGTAACTTTAGACCGAGATCCTTTCCTTCTTTGAAATTAGTATTAGAAACCTTTGGGCACAATTTAAAAGAACTCAGAAACCTTCTTTCCAGTTCTTTGGTACATTGTTATTTTTCTTAATTTATGTGGGGAGTATAGAGTATATTAATTAAAAGCTGCAATTGACTAGATCTAGACCAGCTGTCAGATCTTGGGAAAAGGTCACATCCAAAGCATTCTCCTTTGCTTTAAGCTTTAGACTCAATGCAGAAGCATGCAGGAGTGGGAAGGAAGATGAATCCATTCAAATCATCGAAATTTGAGTACCATTCTGCTCAGAATGTTTTAGCCAAATGAATGCATCTGGTTGTCATTGGCCAATGGGTTTGGTCCCAAGATAGGCTATACCCAAAAATAAGGCTATGCCACCAATGGCTGTTATACCAAAACACAGTGGGATTGTGTCCAGGAACTGAGCTCCTGGTGCCCCTCAAGCCAGCTTTGAAATGGCTCTGTGGTAACTGCTGTTGTCTAGGGCCCTTAGCTTATTAATGTTACAGGGTTGAGCACAACAAAGTCTCTATGCCTTTGCCAAGAGCAAGACGGTTGCTATGGGAGAGGCAGTCTGAGGAGAGGCTCCTAGCTCCTGCAGAATCTTCCAAGGGAAGGCTGATTAGATTTGACGTACCATTGTCCTCTAGAAACCTAATAAGATGCACATTTTTTTCCAGTAAGTGAGACAACTGTAGAATCCACATTTCATAGTTGTTCAAAAGGAGATTTCACACACACGAGTGAGTAAATTCATAACTAATAGCCCTTTGGGGGGAAAATTATATTTTCAATTACCATACTCACATGGTCTTTCACTTAATCTTGGACACTGTTGTTGGAACTGGGCTAGACGCCAGTTCTCAAAATAGCATAAATTGGAAATATTTAGGCAAGCCTTGTGATATACACTAGGTGTGTTTGGTTATTGTAACACATTTTCCTTTAGTGCTTTCAAAGTATGTATGATGGATTACGGGGTTTGAGATTATTATAGTAGGTGTCACTTCCCTTATACGACATAGCTGGGCTGGAGGTCACAGGAATCGGAACTCACTACTAGCAAAATCAGGTTATATATGACTAATTTGGGGATTGTGCTCAAAAATAACAAAACCTTTAAGTGGCCTAGAACGCATAAACATTTACTTCATCTGTAAAAGGGGGAGGGTTGATCTTTAAAGTTATTTGCAGCTCTAATATTGTATAACAGATAATTTTCAGCCCGTTAATTTCAGATTGTCTGTGAAACAGGGAAACTAATGACCACTACCTTGGGCATCAACCTGAGCATTGACATGAGGATTAAATGAATTAATGTATGAAAATTACCTACGTTGGTGCCTGGCTCAGGAAGTATTAGAGGCTGCGATTACTGTTTTTATTGGTATGTATTTTGAGACTTCCTTGAAACCAACACTACAGATCCTGCACTGTGTATTCTATCTGTAGTGCTTTACGTGCAGCCTGATAGAAAGCATACATTTCTTCCAATAATGTTGCTATTGCTCAGTTATCTCTGATTTGTCTCTAAAATGAAGACAATTGCAGATAGAATTAAATCAATTGAGAAGGGGTATATGAAATACTTTGTAAATAAAACAGGACAATTCAAATACAACAAAAAGTTTTGCGTTGGCTGTTGCTAGCACAGATACCCCCACATTGAAATCTCTCCAATATTCACTTGTTATAAAATGTAGGTTTTATTATTATTCAGGTATGGTGAGGCCAGCAGATCAGGAGACAAATGCCATTGAAAAGATAATTCGTGGCCAGGTGCGGTGGCTCACACCTGTAATCCTGGCACTTTGGGAGGCTGAGGTGGGCAGATCACCTGAGGTCAGGAGTTTGAGACCAGCCTGGCTAACATGGTGAAACCCATCTCTACTAAAAGTACAAAAATTAGCTGGGCGTGGTGGTGGGTGCCTGTAATTCCAGCTACTCAGGAGGCTAAGGCAAGAGAATCGCTTGAACCCAGGAGGCAGAGGTTGCAGTGAGCCGAGATCACACCATTGCACTCCAGCCTGGGCAACAAGAGTGAGACTCCGTCTCAAAAAAAGAAAAAAGGAAAGATAGTTTGTTACAGTTCCAAGAGGAGAGGGCACACCATATCACGCAGGGCCCCATGGGGCAGATGGAACAGGGGAAAGCATGGGTCAGAGCCTCTTCCGTGTTTTTTCTGGAAGGGATGGGCAAGGCAGGGTAAGCAGACTAGGTGGGTTTAGGATTTGCTAGTTTGAATGATTTCTGTGTGCTCTGAGGTACAGGGCCTGCCACTAGCTGCCCAGTATCTGGCCTGGGGTAATTAGGGCAGAGGATAGGCTTAACCTGCCAGAGCTCAGTAAAGGAGGCAGTTGGTAGGTGTGGGCTCTGGATTGGTTGGTTTGTGTGTGAGAGATGCACTCCCAGGGGAGTCATCTGCTTTCTCCAGGAATTAGGTACCCCTGGGAGGAGTAGTCTCTCCAGGATTAGCAAGGCCCCAGATGCTGGGCACCAAGAATATAAATAATAAGAAAAGAATACAGAAAAATTTAAAATATAGTTAATATGCTATTTCATATTTATAGCTTATATATATATATAGAAATTTAATATATAATTTTTAATATTGAGATGGGATTTTGCCATGTTACCCAGGCTGGACTCGAACTCTGAGGCTCAAGTGATCCTCTCATCTTGGCCTCCCAAAGTACTGAGATTACAGGCATGGGCCACCATGCCCAGCCAGCTTCTTTAAATTTTTTTTTTTTTTTTTTGGTTTATTACCTAGAGAAGGCCAAGGGAGTTTGAGTAAGGTTGGAAACTGAGACATTTAGCTGGGGTAAAAGGCACCTGTCCTTACCAGTCCCCTGGGCTGATTTTAAGTTCCTTGTGCATAAAAAGGATGAGTATCAGAATCAGATGAAACCTTTCTTATCTAGTCACAAGAGATGCTTCCAATTAGGTTGGAGTGAAAACTGTCACATGGAGTTGGAGAGGAAACCATCCTCCTCCATCATGTCCCCTGGCCATATGGCTTGGCCCCCATTCAGCTTCAAGAGGAATTAAAAAATCAGGAGCATCTTCAAGTGGCCCCTGTGGCACAGTTGGGCTTTGGCGTTCTCAGGATGGGCAGTGGGAGCCATAAGACTTCTTCAGTGGCCTTCCAGGCAGGTGTGAAGAAGTGGGAGCCAGGGTGAATTGCAAACAAGAGAGCCACATGTGAGGAATCTCTTTGCAGACTCCCAGGGACACTTAGAGGTGTACCTGAAGCCTCTGACTATGCCTCTGAATGAGTAGACGTTTCGGCCACACTGTAGGAGATGGCATTATTTTATTTCAGGACCATTTTCACTCATTTGATAGTTACCCGATATTTGTCTATGGCCATACCACGTTGAAAGTGCCTGATTTCATCTGATAGTTAACCAATATTCACTGAACTCTTCTTATCAGTTACACAAGAAAATTCATCTTATTCATTTTACAGCCAGTTGTAGCTTTTGCCTTGAACATGTATTAGATTGACCAGTCCCCTCTTTCACCAGATCTGGTGCTATTGTCTAGATCTGCTGAGACAGACACCAAGATGGGATTAGATGTGCAAGGAAAAGCAGGAAGGAAGAAAGGCGAGAAGAGACTGTATCACAGGTCTGGCATCTGTGGAAGGAGAGAGGGAAGGAAGGAAGGGTGGATGGGATGACTCTCAGACTGCAACACTGTTCCAAGAAATGTTCAGCCAAGGAGCCCTTGCATCCTATGTCTTGCTGGAAGGAGGCTGTCTTCAGACCTCTCCATGCTCAGTCATTGGTTGGAAGCCACACTGTGGAAGTGTGGTGGATCCCAGTGGGCAGCAGCTGTGGCCATCAGTTAATTATGCTCTAGCAGCAGGAGATCTGTGTGGTACACTTTCATTTGGTAACATCTGGGATCAAAATAATTTTGGCTACTTTGAACATCAAATTTAGGTTGAACATTTGAACATTTGCTACAATTGGGAATAGTGAATAAATGCCTGGAAGAAGTCTTATGAAAGGAGTTAACTATGAGTTAATATAAATCCAGTGGGGCCACTGAGGATGGTTGAGCAGGTTGTGCACTACACAAGGGCATCTGCTAGATGGGGCTAAGGTCTATCCCCAGTTTGCTCATTAGTCTATGTGACCTGGGCAGAGCTGCTTGTGCCCAAAGAGGTTGTTTTTTCTTATTTGCACAAATGTCAGCCCCAGGAGCTGGTTGTATTGCATTTATTCAATTACGTGTACTATAGAGTGACTTGTAGAAAGAGGGGCATCTATGTCCACTTCATGGAAATCTATAAAAAAAAAACTTCTTCATTTACCCATAGGACCAAAGACCTAGTCACATCTATGAAAGAACCACCAGCCTCCACCCACTTCTTACTTCAGAGCTTTCTCCAGCCTGGTGGAACCTCTCCGCCACCCCACAGCCCCCACTCCTACCTTGGAGTCCCTCTTCTATTGGTTCCACTTAGGGCTGCCCTGGTGTGCTACCCCTTCTGCACCAAGACTTACTTATGTGTGTCTCATCCTGCACCGTCCTGCCAGCTAGCTCTCCAATAGAAAAATTGTACCAAATAGCTCCACATGGGATGAAAGACTGACATCTCCCAAGGGAAGAGTAATAGATGATATTTATCCAACTTACTTTGTGCTACTGGCTTCATTTGCAGGACAGTGGGGAAGGGGTATTTTCATCCTCATTTTTCAGGAGGAAACCAAGGCTCCAGGGGTTAAACGACTCTGCTGGGGTCACACAGTTACTGAGTGGCTGAGCCAGATTTTGAATCCAGGCCTTTTTGCTACAGATTCCTTGCTCTTCACCACTGTTCAAGATTACTTCAGCTACAGTCTTCTCACATGGCCCCCTCTGTAAATCTGAAAGTAGGGAAAGCTTCTGGAAAAGAGAAGGGATTTTGCTCAGTGCTTCTTACATTATGCCACGTAAGTCAGTGTTTCTCAAGACAGTTGTTCAAACAATATTTTTAAATCAACTTAATTGGTCATGAGCAGCATTTCAAACAATGAAAATACAATACAATGAAAAATGAAGGATCTGAAATAAGAAGTAAAAAAGACAACGCAATTGAAGAAGAAATACCAGAGGGCATTGCATGTAGAAAATGTGTTGTTTCAGGTGCTGGAGAGGATGTGGAGAAATAGGAACACTTTCACACTGTTGGTGGGACTGTAAACTAGTTCAACCATTGTGGAAGTCAGTGTGGCGATTCCTCAGGGATCTAGAACTAGAAATACCATTTGACCCAGCCATCCCATTACTGGGGATATATCCAAAGGATTATAAATCATGCTGCTATAAAGACACATGCACACGTATGTTTATAGCGGCACTATTCACAATAGCAAAGACTTGGAACCAACCTAAATGTCCAACAATAATAGACTGGATTAAGAAAATGTGGCACGTATACACCATGGAATACTATGCAGCCATAAAAAATGATGAGTTCATGTCCTTTGCAGGGACATGGATGAAACTGGAAACCATCATTCTCAGCGAACTATCGCAAGGACAAAAAACCAAACACCACATGTTCTCATTCATAGGTGGGAATTGAACAATGAGAACACATGGACACAGGAAGGGGAGCATCACACACCGGGGTCTGTTGTGGGGTGGGGGGAGGGGTGAGGGATAGTATTAGGAGATATACCTAATGTAAATGATGAGTTAATGGGTGCAGCACACCAACATGGCACATGTATACATATGTAACAAACCTGCACGTTGTGCACATGTACCCTAGAACTTAAAGTATAATAATAATAAATTTAAAAAAAAGAAAGTGTGTTGTTTCATGAAATTTTTGCTTCAGTTTAACGTATGTACATATTTATGCATATACTTACTAATGTATATGCATATGTGTATTCATTTGTATGTGAGTGAGTTTTGTAAAACTGCACAAGCAATGTACTTTCTTTTAAGATTCTGCTACTTGCTTTTTATTAAATCAGGACTTATTTTCACGTGTTTTGTGTTTTATCATTTCATGCTTCTTTTAAAAATCCTTTTTTTTCTCCTTCCTTGCCTTCTGTTGGATTAATAGAGCGTTAGCTATTCTGCCTACACCACGACCTGTTCTACAATTGGCTTCTGGTTTAGAAACTATATTGTGTTTCTTTTATTGTAACGGTTACTGAAAATTTTTTAGATATACATACATATACTGTCAGGTATCACTTGACAACAGGGATATGTTTTGAGAAATGTTTCATTAGGTAATTTTGTCACTGCACAAACATCATAGAGTGCACTCACACAACCCTAGATGGTATAGCCTACAACATACCTAGGCTATGTGGTATAGCCTGTTGCTCCTACACTACAAACCTAGCAATGTACTTTTAACTATGGGCCAAAGTCCAGTGAGTTTGTCTCACATTGACGTGGGTGCTGGATTCATTTGCTTCTTAGCTTATCTGGCCCTAGTGAAACAGAGAGCCAAGTAGAGAGCTACATTGGCCTAAGCCCACCCCAGCTGTCTGCTCCTGGCCTTTGCCCTGACTTTTAGGGAAGAAGAGACCCTGCAGTCAAAGCTGGACTCCCAGGGAATATTCTCTTCCTTCTCTGTCCTTCTCTCTCCTTTCATCACACCCTGAAGGCAGTGTAGCCACTTAGGCCAGCCTAACCAGGTCTTACCCCTGGGGAGTGGGTAGTCCATAAATTTACAGGGTATAAAAAATGTGAAATAATTTCTTTTAGAAAGGCTGTGTGACTTAAATATTAGTAGCCTTCACATGAGTTTTTCAGTAGATAGGAACAACTGAGATGCTAGTTAACAAGAAGAATTTGTTCAATTAGAACACAAGATAACATTTTCATTAAGACCAATCTGTGAGCAGTATTGTGAATTGCAAAGTGAATTTAAGAAAATGTGAGGGTAAGATCACACTCTGTCCTAACCATCAACATTCCTTAGTTATGACTCGGTCCGTAAGTTTTTTTTTTTTTTATACAGAGTCTCACTCTATTGACCAGGCTGGAGTGCAGTGGCACGATCTTGGCTTACTGCAACCTCTGCCTCCCAGGATCAAGTGATTCTCCTGCCTCAGCTTCCCCAGTAGCTGAGATTACAGGCACACACCACCATGCCCAGCTAATTTTTGTATTTTTTTTTAGTAGAGATGGGGTTTTGTCATGTTGGCCAGGCTGGTCTCAAACTCCTGATCTCAGGTGATCTGCCCGCCTTAGCCTCCCAAAGTGCTGGGATTACAGGTGTGAGCCACTGCCCCTGGCCCTTAAGATATTTAGGACTATTGCTGCTGTATTTGGTCATTGGTCGATAATCATGAAAGCTAACATTGATTAATACATGGTAACTTATCAAATGAAGACATTCTGGTAAACTCTTTGACATAGATCAATACATAGATAATCCTAACAACCCTATAAGTTAGATTTTATTATTATCTCCATTTTTTTCAGATGGAGAAATTGAGGCTCAGAGGTTAAGTAACTTGTTCATGGTCATATATTTAAGAGCCTACAGCAAGTTCTATTGGTTGGTGTGATAGATTGTGAAAATGGCCTCAGTTCTTTCTCAGCTGGATCCACACCCCCTGCAATGTGACTCTGTCACTCCTTCTATAGAGGGGAGGAGTCTATTTCCCCTCCCTTTGTGTCAGGGCTGGCCTTGTGACTTTCTATGGCTAATAGATGTGGTGGAAGTGACTGTGTGTGCTGTCTAGGCTTCAGGAGACCGTGATGTCTTCTGCTTTCCAGCCCCTGCCTCCTTCATGGGAACAAGCCTGGGCTGCTCTGCTGGAGGATGATAGGTCACATGGAGCCAAGGTGAGCCATCCCAGCTGAGGCCATTCGAGACCAGCCAGCCCCCAGCCAACCCACCAACCAACTGACTGCAGACGTATAAGCAAGCCCAGCCACAACTGGCTGAACCTGGCCCAGATCAGTAGAACTGTCCAGCCAATTCACAGATTAATGAAAAATGATCAATTGGTTTTTTGGCCACTGAGTTTTGGGGTGATATTCTGCTCCATTACAGTGGCAATAGATAACAGAGAAAGTTGCCTACCCACAGTCATTTCTTCTCTTTTCTTTGAGGCCAAGTAGGCTTCCCATGATGGAGGTTTAAATGACATACGTTCACTTTTCCATCTTTCTTTGCAATTAGGGTGATGTAGTTCTGGCAGATGTACAGGAAAGTCAGCTTTATGTGGTGGAGGGTTGGGGGGTGATGGGCCAGAGGGTCATGGTTCTGAGAAACATTTTCCTTCTGAAAAGAAAGAGCCATGAGACAGAGGACTTCCCCTTTCCTCCCTGTCTGCTTTGGATGCTATCATTAAAAATGGACACTTGAGCAATAGCAGCTGTCTTGTGACCATGAGGCAACAAGCCTATAAACAACAATTTAACACATCAGGGATGGCAGAATGAAAAGCTAAAAAGAGCCTAGCTTCCTGACATTATTCGGCTGTGGGAACAATCCTAGAACTGCCTTGCCTTCTGACTTCTTCACTATTTAAGCTACTATGTGTTGATTATTCTGAGTGACACAGTGCAGGAACCTAGTCCAACCCTAGGAGCCTAGTTTGTAATCATGATGCTGTACTCAGAAGCATTGAGCACTGTTAAGATTAAGAGAACCCTGGGCTTTAGAAGCCCAAGTGAGTGTGAATGTGGGCATTGACAAGGCTTAGCGTTAGTAAATACTGGAGTAGAGTCTGGATCCAAACCAGGGGTGGGCTGGCACAGTCCCTGGCAAGGATCCTCAGCCTCTTGGCTGGACAGCACCACTGAGGCCAGAGCACAAGCTTTCATGCGAGGAGCCAGGAGGATCACAAAGTCTTTCTAAAGAGTCAAAAGCAGCAGAGTGACAGGAGAAACCACAAACTCAGCTTTAATACTCTGCCCTGCCCTTGTCTCTGAGTCTGAACCCCAATGTCAACAGAAACCTTTCTAAATTTAAAATTTCCTTCATATTGTTTTGATCCATTAAATTGCCATATTTTGTAATGTTTTTTATCTCAAAATTTTTTGTTATGAATCAAATATCTTGAATCATACAGATCCAATGAATTATGAAAGACAGACTTTCTATACACAGAGGAGCCCATATCAGACTTGGCCCTGGGTCCCACGTTTACTGGTTGTACCATCTCTACAAAGCTAAGCTCAGGGACATTTCTGCCCCTGGCATTCTGTCTGACTTTCTCGCTATTTTCTACAGGCATACCTCGTTTATTGCACTTCATTTTATTGCACATTGCAGATACTGTGTTTCAGACAAATTGTGGCAACCCTGTGTTAAACAACTCTATTGACACCATTTTTCCAACAGCGTGTGCTCACTTTGTGCATGTCACATTTTGGTAATTCTCACAACATTTCAAACTTTTTCATTATTATCATATCTGTTATAGCGATATGTGATCAGTGATCTTCAATGTTAGTATTGTAATCGTCTTGGAGTGCCATGAACTGCACCTGTATAAGATGGTGCACTTAATTGAAACATGTTATGTGTGTTTTGACTGCTCCACCCATCAGCTGTTTTCCCATCTTTCTCCCTCTCCTTGGGCCTCCCTATTCCCTGAGGCACAACAATATTGAAATTTGGTCATTTAATAACCCTAGAATGGCCGCTAAGTGTTCAAGTGAAAGGAAAAGTCGCATGACTCTCTCTTTCAATCAAAAGCTAGAAATGATTAAGCTTATGAGAAAGGCACATCAAAAACTGAGCTGGACTGAAAGGAAGGCCTCTTGCACCAAAGAGTTAGACAAATGGTGAATGCAAAGGAAAATTTCTTGAAGGAAGTTAAAAGTGCTACTCCAGAACATATAAGTAAGAAACTGAAACAGACTTATTGCTGTTATGGAGAAAGTTCAGTAATCTAAGTAAAGGATCAAACCAGCCACAATATTCCCTTACGCCAAAGCCAAATCCAAAGCAAGCCCTCAACTCTTTTCAGTTATCTGAAGGCTGAGAGAGGGGAGGAACCTGCAGAAGAAAAGTTGGAAGCTAGCAAAGTTTAGTTCATGACGTTTAAAGAAAGAGGTCATCTCCATAAGATAAAAGCACATGATAAAACAGCAGGTTCTGATGTAGAAGCTGCAGCAAGTTATCCAGAAGACCTAGCTAAGATAATTGATGAATTATCAATTCATCAATCACTCAACAACAGATTTTCAACGTAGATGGAAGAGGCTTACATTGGAAGGAGATGCCATCTAGGACTTTCATAGCTAGAGAGAAGTCAATGCCTGACTTCAAAGCTTCAAAGGACAGGCTGACTCTCTTGTTAGAGGCTAATGAAGCAGGTGAATTAAAGTCGAAGCCAGTGCTCAATGATCATTCAAATATCCTAGGGCCCTTAAGAAGTATGCAACATCTACACTGCCTGTGCTTTATAAATGGAACAACAAAGCCTGAATGACAGCACATCTGTTAATAACATGGTTTTATTGAATATTTTAAGCCCACTGTTAAGACTCACTGCTCAGAAAAAAAAAGATTCCTTTAAAATTTTTACTGCTCATTGACAATGCACCCAGTAATCCATGAGCTCTGATGGAGATGTACAAAGAGATTCATGTTTCCATGCCTGCTAACACAGCATTCATTCTGTAGCCCATGGATCCAGGAGTCATTTTGACTTTCAAGTCTTATTATTTAAGAAATATGTTTCATAAGGCTATAGTTGTCATAGATAGTGATTCCTCTGATGGATCTGGGTAAAGTAAATTGAAAATCCTCTGGAAAAGTTTCACCATTTCTAGATGCCATTAAAACATTTGTGATTTAGATGAGGAGGTCAAATTATTAACATTAATAGGAATTTGAAGAAGTTGATTCCAACCCTCATGGATGACTTTGAGGGATTCAAGACCAGTGGCAGAAGTCACTGCAGATGTGGTGGAAATAACATAAGAACTAAAACTAGAAGTGGAGCCTGAAGATGTGACTGAATTGCTGCAATCCCATGATGAAAATTTAATGGATGAGGAGTTGCCACTTATGGATGAGTAAAGAAACAGTTTTGTGAGATGGAATCTACTCCTGGTAAAGATGCTGTGAACATGGTTGAAATGACAACAAAGGATTTAGAATATTACATCAATTCAGTTGATAAAACAGAGGCAGGGTTTGAGAGGGCTGACTCCAATTTTGAAAGAAGTTTTACTGTGGGTAAAATGCTGGCAAACAGCATTGCATTCTACGGAGAAATCTTTTGTGAAACGGAGAATCAATTGATGTGGCAAACTTCATTTTCGTCTTTCTTTTAGAAATTGCCAGAGCCACCCAGCCATCAGCAACCACCACCCTGATCAGTCAGCAGCCATGAACGCTGAGGCAAGACCCTCTACCAGCAAAAACCCTCCACCTCAGTGGCAAAAAAACCTTGCCTCTGAGGCAAGACCCTCCACCACTTGCCAAAAGCTCAGATGATTATTAGGATGTTTACAAAATAAAGTATTATAAGTCAAAGTATGTACACTTTTTTGTCATGACAGCCTACTATTACATACATCAATTTTGTTAGACATAATGCTATTGTATACTTAATAGATTAAAGTATAGGGTAAACATAACTTTTATATGCACTAGGAAATCAAAAATTTTGTGTGACTTGCTTTATCTCAATATTTGCTCAATATTTGCAATGGTCTGGAATGGGACCTGCAATATCTCAGAGGTCTACCTGTCTCTTCCCAGGTGTGGTCAGGTCTTTTGATCTAGCCTCCGTTCTTGTTTCCCTGGAATCTAATTTTTATTGACTTTCTCCTGGGAGCAATGAGTCTCTCAGCCTCCAGCTTTTCATGTGTTATAGACCCTGATCTGCCTCACACACACCTGTGTAATCCCAACTCCTTGTATCGGTCCCTCTGGCCAACCCTGTCTTTTTCCACCCACAAGTATTTCCATTGATGTACTCATTTATCCCTTTTCTTCTTATATAGCTGGAGAAAAGCTTGGGTAGATCAAGCATTGTTTTTGTGTTTAAAAAAATATAGTCCTTCCATCCCCCTTCCTTCCCACATCTGACTCCACAACTTACATAAGAACTCCAGCATGAAAGTTGGAGGGGGAAAAAATTGAGAGGATGTCCAGATGGATACAAATTTTTGGAAAACACTGAACACTCTGTGTTTATCTTCTTGCAGGGCAAAGGACTCAGAGAGACCTGTCATGCACGTTGATATCAGCACTCAGGATTAAAATCTAAACCCCTTCCTCCAAGACATTCCCCTGCCTGACAAACTGTTGTTATTTTTAAGCAGGAAAAGCTTCCTTGATCCTGAAGATAAATTCATAGCTTGTGGTTGGAAGTACTTGTAGGAACACAGTTTGTGTAGGCATTTTGAGGAAATGGCTTCCCTTTTATGTATTACCTGTGAAATGCCAACTGGACTCTTGCAGAGATAAAAATGCTCAGAGCTATCAGCTAGAATTTTACTAAAAAAGAGAAACAAAAAGGTGAGAGGAACATTAAACTGCAGACTACTGGCTTCTCAAAGGCTGTACACAATGATATTGTCCTGATTCGGGCATTGTAATTGCCCCACCAACCACAGGTATTTTCCCTTGCAATAAGAGACTCTACCTTCCTGGGCCATCTGGAGGGCATGCAAAGGACATCCGTATGGCAAGTGAGGTGAAACACACCAGACTCTTCCAATCTGCTACATACCATTTTTTTGTTTCAAAATGGAAAAAGCTATGTAGATGTAGATGCTCACCAGGAGAAGGCCAGCTTGATGTCTCCCATGGGACCTGCTTTGGTGAATTTCATGTATGGTGTTCTCAGCCTGCAGGTTCAGATACCCATAATCAGTTCCCCCGAGAGATGTGGCTTTCAGAGGTGGACTCAGGTTAGGCAAGTTCATATGACTGACATGTAAAACTGGTCACTAGTTAACATATTTACAATGAAAAATAATTGTCATGGTGACCGGAATACTCATATCAGCAGGTCTTCCATATTATCTCCCAATAGGAAGACCTACAATACAAGGAAGCCAAGGTATGATGAGCACATCTCTAGGTCAGCACCAAACCAGCTGATTGAATGCTTGAATAGCAGGAGGCAAAGGTGGCCCATCATACCTCACTCCATTTCAGGGATGATCTTGCCAATGGGACCAGAAATCTCAAAGTCCATAGGAAAGGTGCCCTTCTCCTTGGATAGTGCTCTCTTTTGCTCTGTTTCTTAGGCTGGTTGACACTTTCCTTAGTTACATTCATATCCATAGTCAGATCACATCATCTCATCAGGTAGACCTGAGAGCCACTCTGATCATGAAGGTGGCAAAGCATGTTTCAGTTCTGATCTATTGTATAATGATTTCAAAATGTAAAATGTTAGAGACACTGATTTCTCTCCTTTTCAAGTTCTTAGGGGATACCTTGTCATACCATCAAGTACTTCTAACAGGTCATCCCCTTGTCTGGAGGTAGATGTGTGGTCCCCACTGTCCCCTGGCTCTCTGATTTTGATTATCTGTGTTTTTGTTGTATTCTTGGGTCTTTCCACAATTCTGTAGCTTCACAGAAATACCAGTGTCCCTAATATTTCAATGGCTGTTAGAGATTCTCTACACCCAGATTTAGCTAGAGAAGTTCTAAGAATTCTGCTAATTGGATCCACTGGTATTTCATTTGTATTCTTACTGTTGCTCAATAATAATTATTTTATTCAACTCTTGATGCTTCTGCATAGCCTTCTCCTCTGAAGAGTTTCCAAGCATGTTTCATTTTCCTCTAGCCCTCAAACTAGCATCTCTGCCTTTGTGTCTCAATGGAATATTAAAGGTATCTGAATATAAACTTTCATGCCCTAAAATTTTCATCATCTGCTTCCTCTTGTTTTTCTTAGAGGAAGAAGCTTCCATCCTCTTTCCAAACACCAGTCCCACACTTATGTGCCTTTGATCCCATGTTTTCTTAGTTTTTCCAAGATTTTTTCCCCTTTTCTTATTCCCCGTTTCTTACAAACAAAGGAAGTCCTCTCCATTAAAAATGTTTTTCTAACCCCATTGCCCTCTTAAGTTAGCATCCATTCTCCAGGTCCTGTCATTGAATCCTAGCATTTTGAAGTGGAGTCGACATCACCTGATTCCATGTCCTCATTGCTACTTTCTTCCTAATCCTTTTTAGTCTGTCATACCCATTGCTCTGCTAAAACTGCCCTCTTGAGGGGAGCAAGATCAAGAAAACAAATAAATGAGCTTCATAATGTGTTGAGAAGTAAATCTGTTAGATCACAAATTTATTTTTAAAAATAGGTTTTTGAAGAGAAAAGTAAGACAGAAGGTTCTGTCCCATAGATAGTAGTGAGTTAGAATACATAATTCATAAGTTCATAGTCAGTCACCTTCAACAACTGGTGTATACATTGTAATGTAGAAGAGTAAATTCCCCATTTACTACAACAAACATATTCTAGCAAAAATTATTTTTATAATAAACATAAAGTGTCCAAATATAATTTTTACAACAATCGTGTAGAGGAAGATTTGCAGTGATCATAGCTTTGTAGTCAAGGTTTACATTCCATGGGAGATAACTATAAAACATTTGTGGTTAAGAGCAAAAAAAAAAAAAAAAAAAAAATCACAGGAGAGCTTCTTGCCTTTTTCAATAAACAATTCAATTTTATGAAGACAAGATACAGAGTATGTATAGATTTAACTTAAACAGGAACTTTCCCGCACCTGCCTAATACTTATTTGTTATGCCTGGTGGTAACTGGTATGTTAAATTCTCTGACTGACTTTCTTATTTTTACAACCAAAGACAATTCTAATCCAGAACCTTGATATCTTTAAAGTGCTTTTGTCAACATTCTTTTTCTGTTCAAATTGTTCTTTCTTTATTAGTTCCTACTTCTTATCTTACACACAAACTCAGGTCTCTAACTCCTAAAAAGACAGAAAATCTTATCTCAACCGTCTTGGATTAGCATCTTACGCCTGCCTTTCCTGGTAGAAATCTTGAAGGTCAAGCTACACTGTTTACCTCTACCCAGAGGTTTCTTAGTAACCATTGTGATCCATGACGTATGGATTCAACAATGGTTTTAAATGAGGCTGAATTGAAGTTTTAGGGGCTTATAATATTTTTATTTTCCTAGAACTAAATTTCTTCAGCACCAGTCACACATCAATTAGGTACTTTGCATATGCTGTCATATTTAATAATCACAACTGTACTGAGGTGGGTACTATTGCTTTCATTTAACAGTTGAGGAAAAAAATGTTGAAGAACATTGTACGACCTGGTCACAGTCACCCACTGAGTGTGGAGCTTGGATTCAACAGTCAGGGCTCCTAGTTACAAGCAGCAGAGATTAAGGCTGGCTGATTTCGGCAGAGAATGAATTGATTATATTGTTAGTTCACAGAATCCCAGGCCAGTCTAGAGAAATAGATTAAGGCTGTATTGCTAGGTGTGATCCTCAACAAGAAGTGGATGGGTGAGGACACTTCTGGAAGCTCTGGACATTGTAAATTTTATTGCTGACACGCCAGATGGACACTGGATACCCACACCAGCACTATTCTCCTCACTGCCCCCAAAGACTTAATATTTCAGCAACTCTCCCCACCATCAGAGAGTTCTTGTGGTCCCTTGATATGAGGTCGGTGTGTCTGATTGGCAGAACGAGGGTCATGAACATGTACCCAAGCTGCAAGATTTCTTGGGAGAATGAGTTTCTGGAAGTTTCCATGTCTCTAGTCGGAGATAGGTTTTGTCTCTCTTCAAGAATCATAATGTGTTTATTTGTGTATGTGTTAGGAATTGGGGGCAGTGAGAATTCTCAAATAAGGGAAATTGGTTTCATATATTGGATGGTCAAAAAGAATAGCAAATTCCATTACCATAACTCAATGTGTCTGACCTCAAATCTTTATACCGTGAAGCCTCTTGAAAGTCACCAATAACCTCCTATTTGCAAATTTTAATGACTTTACCTTCATCCTTTTTGTTAACAGGTATAAAGATTTGACACGATTAAACATCTCTCTTGCCTTCCTTTCCTCATTCATTTGTTCATTCTTTCCTAAAAAGAAATCGACGTACTGTTTTTGCAAAACCAAAAAAGTAGAAGGAAGGAAATAATAAAGATAAGAGCAAAATTCAACAGAATAGAAAATAGGCAAACAAATAGAGAATGTCAACTGGTTCTTTAGAAAATATTAACAAAATTAATAAACCCACAGGAAGACTGATGAAAAAAACAGAGAAACACAAATGAAGTGACATCTATATACATCCTATGACATTAAGAGGATAAGAGGGATATTATAATCAACTTTATGTTAATATATTTGACAACTTAGAACAATGGACAATTTTCTTGAAAAAGACAACTTTCTAAAGTTATCACAAGAAAAACTGAAAATGTAAATGTTCCTGTATTTGTTAAATAAGTCAAATCCATAATTAGAAATCTTCCCACAAAGGAAAGCCCAGACCCAAGTGACTTCATTTGTTAATATTACCAAACACTGAAGTAAGAAATAATACAAATATTAAAATATTTTCAGAGAATAAAAGAAGAGGAAATGCTTTCTTATGCATTTTATGAGGCCAGTAAAACCGTGCTACCAAAACTCAACAAGGAAAATACACAAAAGAGAAAAATAGACCAATATCCCTCATGTTAATTTAAAAAATTTAACAATTATGAGCAAAAGCAATATCTAAAAAAGATAAAACATCATGACCAAGTAGGGTAATGCAAGTTTGGTACAGCCTTCAAAAGTCAATCAATGTAATTTAACACATTAAAAATAAAGAGTAAAAATGATGTTATATTGATAGATGCAGAAAAAGAATTTGATAAAACTCAACACTTGTTCATGGCAAAAACTCTCAGCAAACTAGGAATAGAAGAGGACTTCCCCAACTTGATGAAAGCATTTACAAAAAAAATCTAGAGCTAACCTAGGACCTGGTGGAGAATTATTAAGAATTTCCATTTAAAGCAAAAATGTTTCCTCTCATCACTTCAATTTAACATTGTACTGGAGGTTATAGCCAGCACAATAAGGCAAGAATAAGAAATATAAAGTATAATCACAAGAAGGAAGGAGTAGAATGATCTTAATTCACAGATGACACACTGATGTACATAGAAAAATCCAATGTGGGCCAGGCGCAGTGGCTCATGCCTGTAATCCCAGCACTTTGGGAGGCCGAGGTGGGCAGATCAAGAGGTCAGGAGTTTGAGCCCAGCCTGGCCAACATGGTGAAACCCTGTCTCTACTAAAAAAAAAAAAAAAAAAAAATTAGCCAGGCGTGGTGGTGGGTGCCTGTAGTCCCAGCTGCTCAGGAGGCTGAAACAGGAGAATCGCTTGAACCCGGGAGGCTGAGGTTGCAGTGAGCCAAGACCGTGCCACTGCACTCCAGCTGGGTGACAGAGTGAGACTCTGTCTCCAAAAGAAAAAAAAAAAAGAAAATCCAATGTGATCTACAAAAAATTTAAAACCACTGCAACTAAAAAGCAAATTGATGAAGTTCAAGAAATACAAAAGTCAATATATAAAAACTACTTACACCTTTGTATACTTGTAATAAATAATTGGAAATTTTTAAAAATACCGTTTATAAATACCTAGGAATACATTTAGTGAAATTTGTGCAAGACCTGTATATTGGAAATGACAGTACATTGCTGATAGAAATTTTAAAAGATAATTGGAAAGGTATATGATTGGAATCCTAATATCGGATTGAAAAGCTCAATATTGTTAAGTTGTTAATTCTCCTTAAACTGATCTATTGACTGAATGCAATTTCAATCAAAATCCCAGCAGGCATTCTGGAGAAATTGACAAGCTGATTCTAAAATGTATTTGAAAATGCAAGGACTTATAATAGTCCTTGAAAAGGAAGAACAAAATGGAAGGATTCACACTATCAATGTTCAAGACTTACTGAAAGCTATAGTAATTAAGACAGTATAGTTGGTGTAAGGGTAGACAAACTAATGAAATAGAAAAGAGAATCTGAAATAGATCTACACATATAAAGTTTATTAGTTTTTTAAACAGGGCAAATTAAAGCCAATGGGGGAAACAAAAGTCTTTTCAATAAATGATAATGGAACAACTGGACATCTATATGGAAAAAAATGAACTTTGACTCTTACTTTATATAATGCATGACAATTCAACTGTGAAAGCTAAATTTATAAAGCTTGCTAAAGAAAATGTAGGAAAAAAATATTTTTACAATCTTGTGGCAGAGAAAGATTTCACAAGACACGTAAAGCACCAATCATATAAAAATAATAATAAATAAAACTTCATAACATTAAAACTTATGTTCATCAAAAGTCATTGTTAAGAAAGTGAAAAGTGAAGCCGTAGTCTGGAAGAAAATATTTCATAAACATATAGCTGATAAAGGACTGATATCCTAGGTATAGATGAATTCCTATGAATCACATTTTAAAGACAATTGACATAAGAAATGAGGAGATACTTGAACAGGCGCCTCACAAAGAAGATATATGAATGCCTAATAACATATGAAAAGGTGCTCAACATCATTAGTCATCAGGGAAATGCCAACTCAACTATGATGAGATATAGAATGTTTAAAACTAAACAGACTGCTGTTGTGCGTGTGGAGAAATTGAAATTCTCATACATTGCTTGTGGGAGTATAAAATAATAAAACCACTTTGGAAAACTGTTTCTCACTCTTCAGTAAAGTTAAACATAGATCTATCCTGTGACCAAGTATTTCCATTCCTAACTGTATTGCCAGAAGAAAGGAATGTATCTATCTTACAAAAAGACTCATAACTCATATGAATGTTCATAACAGTTTTATTTATAAGAGTCCTAAACTGGAAACAACCCAAATGTCCATCAACACGAAAATGGAAAAGGTGTAGTATACTACTGAGCAATAAAAAAGAACTACTGACACATATCACAATATGAATAAAACACAAAAACATTATTTTGAACTAATGAAGCTAGATAAAATAGTAATAGCATATGATTTCATTTATATGAATTTTTAGAACAGGCAAAATTAATCTATGGTGATAGAGGTCAGAAAAGGGTATGGGAATATTTACTGGAAAGGGATGCCAGGACACTTTTTTAAGTGATCGAAATAGTCTTAATCTTGATCAGGTTGATGGTTACACAGGTCACAATTCATTAAGCAGTACACTAAAATTTATGAAATTTATGAATACAAATGTATCTTATTAATACCACAAATTGTGAGGGAATCTCACTGAGAAGTTAACTCTACAAATAGGAAGTCATAGAAACTGTTGGAACACAGTGGAAATGATCAATGGGCTATATATTTTCTAATGGCATTGAAGGCTCCAAGACTGAACATGAAATTGAGGAATAAATTAAAAGTTTGAAGATATTCTCCTATAGGACTAGAATGCAATCTATTCTGTATAGATTACATCAGAATCATGTATTCTGAGCATGTATTCTTCACATTCAAAAATCAAAATAGGGAAAATTCGTAAGAGCCCCATTGTAATGGTTTTTTAAACATCTGTATTAAGATATAATTGACAAAAATTGTATATATTTACAGTATACAACTTGATATTTGTAAATTTGTTTTACATTTGAAAATGTCTGGCTATTACTCAAGGTTTTGCCTAGTTCTGATCTTGTTGAGACACACTATTGTTTTTCTCAGAATCTTGGAGACATTTTTAAATTATCTTCTGGCATCAATGTTGCTGTGGGGAAGACTGCAGTGAATTTCGTATTTCCTGTCTCTACCCTTGAGGTGATTGGTTTTTATCCTGTCTAGATATCTGAGAATTACATTCTTTATCCTTGAAATTCATTATCTTAGCAGTATAAGTGGTTTCCATTATTTTTTTCATTCCAGTGGTTGTATTATTTTTTTCATTCCAGTGGTTGCATTATTTTTTTCATTCCAGTAAAATTTGCTTATATTATAGCATTTGTTGCTTTTTGTTATTCCATTTGTTGAATACTTTCAGGAACACTAATTAGGGATTTTGACTTTCAAGAACACTAATTATTGACTTTGTTCTATAAATTAATTAGCTCTTTATAACTGCATTTTTCTCTTTGTGTTTCTTTTATTATTTTTGAATTTGTACTCCCTTTCCTATATATTGGTAAGTTTAAAGGTGAGTCTAATCTGTTTGTTAAAGTCTCAAATTTAATCATAGACATATACCGATTTTTCTCCCTCCATCTGTTTTCCAAGTTTGTAACTTTCCTGTTTATTTTCTGTTATTTAATCATCTTGACTATGGGCCCTTATGTTATTAAATTTATCTTATTAATTAATTAATTAATTTTTTTTTACCATAGCTCAGGGCACTTGTGAAGAACTTCCTTCTGATTTTCAGTTGTTTTGCACCTAAGTTGGTTTATCTTTTGCATTCTAGGGCATGTGTGTGTGTGTGTGCGTGTGTGTGTGTACATGCACACACGCGCGCGCGCACACACACACACACACACGGTTGCCAGGGTGGTAATTTTTATCTTTCTCAACTGTCCTCTTGATACAGACCTATTATTTGCCCTAATGTTGTATAGGTGTCTTCTCATCTCTCTTGCTATTTGAGACCCATTTGTTTTCCTGACAAACCACAATTTTAGAGTTTGTTTTTTCATGTTCTTTCCACCTACCCTATAGTCTGAAAGAATGGCAGGGAAGGACAGAGGTTGAGGTATTGTGCAGACTTTGGTAGAGTATCAGGACTTGGCAGACATTTCTGAAGTGTTTATTAACTGCTTATTCAATGCATGAGGGCTTTCTTTAATGAGTTGAGGGATTGTATTCAAGTCCTATGGGAGAATACTCTCAAACTTTGAATCTATTCTTCAATTATCAATGCCATGAGAGAAGATATAACTCACTGTTCATTTCCACTGTCTTCCGACAGTTTCTCTGACTCCCTATTTGTAGAGTTAGCATCTCAGTAAGGTTCTCTCTCAATTTTGAGATATGAAAAAGATATCCCTGGATTTGGTTGATGACACCTGTGTGGCTCCTGGGAATGGTAGAGCTAGGAGCCTTGCCATGGTGAGCTATGCTACTCCACTGTGGAATTTGCTTTTTCATCAGCCAATACTTTTTTGGAAGTTTATGGCATGGGGTGGTGCCCTTCTCTGGTTTGGTGGCTGCTGTGGGATTTAGGGGGCATGCTTTTTCAACATCTCACTGTTGTGATTTCATGATGTATTGGGAGAAGGAGATTGTTCCCAGGTGGCTGCCTTCTGCCTGGGCAATCTTGTTCCTCTCGGCTTCCTTTAAAAGCTGTTGTCCTGCTTCTCACTTCCCTTTCTCACTGCCCTCAAGTCTCCTTTCTGGCTTCTTTGTCATTATCCACTTAATAAGGTATTTTCAAAGATCATTTTACACCCTTCTTCTCTTTCTCATTCTTTCATTTAAATTTCCATCCCATCTATTCTTTCAATATACTCTTTTATAACCTCCTAATTCACATCCATGCTCATTAGTAATGGCTAGGCAGATATTGTCCAAATTGCTATTTTATGCCCTGACCCATCTTCCATGAGCTGGTCTCATTTTTGCTGGATGTTATACTGTATGACACTTTGCTGGATGTTATACTGTATGACAATCCTAAGACAACCTTAAACTTAAAATATCCAAAAACAAGCTTATGGTGTTCTGTTTCAACCCAAAGTTTCCCCCTGTCTTCTGTATCCTCTCAGTCTTTGAGACACAGAAGCCTGGAGCCTTTTTAATTCTTTCCTTTTTTGGCCCCCTTTATCCAATGAGTTAATAAATTCTTTCAAGTAGACTTTTCCTTCTCTTTGTTTCCACTGCCATTACCCTAAAATAAATTTGTATTTTTCTCACTTGAGCTTTGTAATAGCCCTTACCTGGTCTCTCTCCTCTAATCTCTTCTTCCTCTAATCAGTGCTCCACATAGCTCCTGAGACATCTTGCTCTAAAATCTGCCGTGGGGACCTAATACCTTTTCGTGGTATTCAAGGACCTCCATAACCTGAACTCAATTTATAACTTGAGGCTTATTTTCCACTGTGCCCCACTGCATGCCCTAAATTTCAACTGCAGCCCCTTGTTAAGCATGCCCTGTTCATTCTTATGTAGAAAACCCTTTGTTGAATTCCCCTTATCCCATCTTTATCTCACCAAATTTTATCAGTTTTTCAAAATCCTGACCAAATTTTACCTCCTCCACGAACGCTTCCTAACCAACTGCTTTAGAAGTGACTGATCCCTCCCCACTCGGAACTCCTGTTTTTCCTTATTACTCGTCACATCACCTTTCAATCATTGCACACATGTGTTAGCTTGCCCCAAAGTTGTCAATTCCTTGTGGAGATGGGGGAGCAAGGTTATGGGAAGCTGTGATGCTTAAGGAAAGTTGTAATATAGTAAACTTGGACTTAGTACCATAGAGCTGAATTCAAGCTCAGTTTTAACCGCTGTGGGTGGTTGGGCAAGTCACTTACCCTCTCCGAGATTTATTTTTGTCATGTTTAAAGAGGTTATTGTAAATGTTAAATGAAATAGCATGTGTGAAAGTGCTTTATAAGTGTAGATTTATGTATACACACACGCAGGCATATATACATATGCATGCATACATAGATAGGTAAATAAAATGTAGATTAAGATATTGCTGGTTTCTTCAAAATCCCCACAGTACCATGCCTAATATAATAGTTTACACATAAAATGTTAATAAATGTTTATTTCTAGTTGCAATTATACCTACCTGCAGAACACCAACGAGATGCTAATGGGTAAGGGCAAATGTGCAGAAAGTTGATAGTTTGTGTGGTTATGCCAGCAATTTGCCAAGCTGGAGAACTACTTAACTGCATCATCTAAGATTTCATGCGTAGTGCAGAGGACCTGCCTAAATGGAGGCAAATGATTGGGCAGTTTGTTTCAGTCCTTCTAGCCCTTGATGAATAGTTTTTCACAGAACGACACATAATAGATATCATATGTAGAAGTGAAATGTTTGCTTATCAGTAGCTATTCCATATACACATTTCAGATGTGAGTTTATGTTAAATGCATTTCATGTAAACATAGACATTTATCTCCATAAATGTTTCCTTATATAGTTTTTGTTGCCATTCATTCAGTCACCACCGTTACTCTTTTCCAAACTCCCAATTTTCCAGTAGTGCTTCATCTATAATCACAGGCACCAAACTGGTATAGCTACATCAAAGTTGAATAGAGGGTAACAACAAGGACATGCGAATGAACATTAAGTAATTCCCTTAATAGTTGAAATCATCTGGGTTGGATCTTGTGCATGTTCAGATTTTCCATGACAGCTTTTTCTGTTTTTCCTCCAGAGCCACATGTCCCATGTTTAAAAAATACTGTAATTTTATGGGGTTTTAAAAAATCATTTTGCCAAAAACTATCCTTTTAAAAGGGGTCATAACAGAAGTCAAATATGTATTCTGAGACTCTGCTTGTGACATGATAGATTTAAGACTGTGTTTGCAATGCTTGACTGAATGTTCACATTCATTTTGCACCTGAATTGGGCAAAAATGTGGGTAAACTTTCTTGTCCCAGGCTGAGCCTAAGGTAAATTCCTGAATCAAATACTTTGAACAGTGCCTCCAGCAGCGCACTTGCAGGAGCCCACATGCATGGGGGATGGGGATACTTTCTAAGAAATAATTTAGTCTAAGGGGAGAATAGCACAACCTTGGCCTTGGAGAAGCCTGGTTCTTTAAGCAGTGGCAGCTATCTGCCAGTTGCTCCGTGAAATCATGTCTAAGTCCTAGGAAGAGAAGACACTGGGTGTCAAAACTCCGGGAGACACAGGGGCAAAGCCATATTGTGTGGGAAGGCAATGTTTCCACCTCACCACAGCAGAAACCCTGCCACCTCCTAAACCTCAGCACATCAGCGTCAGTGGAAATAGAAGTATCCAGTGGGAGTGGTAGCAGCACCTGTGGTGGGAGCAGCTCCAGCAGAGGCCGTGGTGCATAGGGAGGTGGTGGAGGCAGCCTAACTCAGCAGACACCAGTGTGCGCAGTGGTGGGGATGTGTCTTTGGGCTCTGGAGACAGTGGCAAGTTACCTTTATACTGCTTAGCAGTCTTGGCAGGGATGTCAACCACAGAGCCAGAGTGGTAGAAGAGAAAAAGTTGTTTAAATATATATATTCATTTGAAAAGTGTCCATGATGTATAACATGTTTGTGAAAGTTTATTCGGGGACAGAGAGAGAAAAGACCATGATGAATCTTTGAAGATGTTTACCAAACGTTTAACAATTTCTGCTTTATTCGTTCTTTTTCAAAAAGTACTTATTGAAATTATTGTCTCAAATGAGATACAACCTGAACCTCTACACGTAGTTTAGGTAATTAAATGCATCGCAAATACTGTATTGAGTGTTTTCAAAGAAAATATTAATTGCGCATGACAAGTCAAGTACATGACTTTCAATTTCTTCATGAGTAAAAACAGATTTTATTCACCAAATAGCTATTAAAGACATCTTAACTGATTGCAAATTTTAAAGAGAAGATTTTTACTGTTGTTATAGATTATCAGACTATGGGGCTGAGTATCCTACCAAGGGCAAGGAGAGGTGGCATCATTTATGATGAAAATGGAAGAAAAAGTGAAAACAAGGAGTAGAAATCTTACAAAGATGGAGACAAGACAAAGAAGAGGATTGCTGAATAGAGTTCTTAAAAACATGAATCAATTAGCCAAGCTTAGTCCTCTAAAGAGATGCTGCTTATCTGAGTTACCACAACTAGTGATAGCCTATATTCTCATGATCTGACCACCAACTGTTTGTCACTAAGGACTAGTGAAAATCCTTAACCAACTGCATTCTGCTTCACTAGACAGAGGATGTAAACTGGTAACGTGAATGAAATGTGCTGAAGGTTAGGATAGAGGGGTGCACAGGACTTGGAAAGATAAAAGGGAAGGGCACTATTCAAACTAGGAGTTCAGGGAAAGCCCTCAGAGATAAAGCTTGCATCTTACAGGAGAAGTCACGTGTACTCAGGCAAACAGAGGTAGGAAGGGTATTCTAACTAGAACTAGCAAGAGCAAAGGCACAGCAGCATGGAATCATGTGGCGAGTGTGTGCGTGTGTGCATGCATGTGTGTGCTGGGGTGAGGCAGAAGGTAGTACAATAGTGCAGCCATTACAATCAATAAGGGGCAATTAGTGTGAGAGCTCAAGATAAAGGGAGCAGAATACTGGAGTAAACTGATGCCGCTGATGCCAAAAACAGATGCTAGAAGACTAACAAAGAGGAGAAAAACTACATATTTGGTTTGACTGTATAATGTCAATTAAAGTCATGCAAGTGACCCACTATTTAATTGTATTATTTTATTTAATTTTATTTACTTAATTATTGAGATAGGGTCTCACTCTGTTGCCCAGGTTGGAGTGCAGTGGCATAATCATAGCTCACTGCAGGCTTGAACTCCTGGGCTCAAGCAATCCTCCTGCTTCAGCCTCCCAAATAGCTATGACTATAGGCATGTGCCACCATGCCCAGCTAATTTTTAAAATTGTAGAAACGGGGTCTCACTATGTGGCCCAGGCTGATCTCCTAGGCTCAAGTGATACTCCTGCCTTAGCTTCCCAAAAATGCTGGAATTATACTACTAACTTTTTTTGTCTAATTTTTGTGCTGCTCAATAAGATGTGTGTATATATAATATACATAGATACAAGTTTCATATCATATAGTCACCAGATTGATTTATTCTGTATACAATTATATATTTGTATATAATCACTTAATTTGATGCTATGTAATATATCACATATATTACATATAAAAACACATATAATCACTAAATTTGTCAAGTTAACTTTATTGTAAATTTGATTGAAATGCCACAATCAGCACCATACTTGCAGGCCAGTATTAGTTATTTTAATTAGTTAAGTGGCATTATTGCCTACTCAGGCATCAAAATTATTTTCTCAGTTTAAACACTTACATGGACTATTACACGTTATAATGCCTTTTGTCTTGCATGATTAATGTTTTCGTATTGTTTCTTTTTCGTGAGCAGAGGCAGTCTGCTAGCTGAGAAGTCAAAAGGCCTGTCTCGCACCTATGCTCTGTCCCAAGTAGCTGTGAGGCTATGCCTTTGTTTTCTCATTTCTCATAGGTAGGCTTTGGGATGAACGCTCCCTGGCTGCCCTTCAGGGGTGGCACAGTTTGTTGACAGAAGGGTGGAACCAGGACCCAGGACTCAGGACCCAGGACCCGTGGCTGGCAGCTCTGACTCTCCACTGTGTGTGATTGGGACTCAGTCCTGTCACCTGTTGAATGGGGAGAGTGATACCCAAGCAGGAGGGGGAGACCTGCTCTGCTGGTTTCATCAGGGTGTCACGAGGATTGAATGAGATCATGTGTGGACATGTTTGTTAAAAGTAAAGTACTTGGCAATATCAGGCCGGGCATGGTGGCTCACGCCTGTAATCCCAGCACTTTGGGAGGCTGAGGCGGGCTGATCACCTGAGGTCAGGAGTTCGAAACCAACCTGGCCAACATGGTGAAACCCCGTCTCTACTAAAAATACAAAAAAACTAGCCATGCATGGTAGTACCCACCTGTAACCCCAGCTACTCAGGAGGCTGAGGCACAAGAATTGCTTGAACCCAGGAGGTGGAGGTTCCAGTGAGACGAGATCACGCCGCTGTATTCCAGCCTAGGCAACAAAGTGAGACTCCATCTCAAAAAAAAAAAAAAAAAAAGAAAGAAAGAAAAAAAAGAAAGAAAGAAAGTAAAGTACTTTGCAATATCAGTGATAGTGCTGCCAGGCAATTAAGGCCTGTTACCAAAGGCCGTGGGAGTCAAGTGATTTTGCCAGAGAGTCTTACTTTTTTTAGTTCCTTCCTGTTCTTTTAGATGAATGTTTTAGGGTTAATACATTAATATGTCTGTAATATATACAACAGTAATATTTAATATAGTATTAGTCATTCTACAAACTTACCAGCATACCATAACATTCAATAGTATTTCCAGGAGGCAAAAATGTCCTTTACTGTATCAGTTGAAGTGTGGTTTACCAAAAGGAAAAAGCAAAACCATATTTGCTTTAGGTAGCAAAATGGCAGGCCTTTATTAGGGTCTTTTGTGGTAGGAGCTACCGAAATAAATAAATGAATGAATAAAGAAAACACCACTTTCAGAATAGTGGTCACCGACTTACCCTTGAACCATTTGAGTGGGGAGAAGTGAGACTGAATCAGGAAATTAAATTAAAAAGTAAATAATGGCAGGCCCTGATCCCGTCATCATTTCTCACCAGAACCAATAAGACTTTGAAAGGAGGACTCTGTGGAATTCATTTTTAAGTCTTGGGGAAACAATATGCAATTTAAATATCTGCACATAAAAATGTTGGGGGTGATTTGGGGGTTCAGGAGTTGTCAGACAGCACCGGGATCACAACCTCACTCCCCAGACCTTTACCTATTAAATGCAATTATATATGGTTGGCCCCGATGGTGACAATGCTATGATTGGCAGTTCCTGAAACTACCTATTTGAGGGAGAGTTTTCTTTTGGAAGTGGCGAACCAAGCTTGTCAGTATTTTTCAAAATTTATTTAGCTAGCAGGAGAAAATATATTGTGTTTGAGTTAGGCTATTAGTTTAGAGACTTTCACATTTAAAGCTCTCCTTTTTCAAGTAAAGGACAAGACCCAGAGAGGTGAAGGGACCTACTGGACCATCCCACCAGTCAGGAGTGGAGTGGAAAATTGAAATGCTAAGTCCAGCAGGTTGTTTCACTCTTTTCTTTCTTTCCATTTTTCTTTCCTTTCCTTTCCTCCCTCCTCCCTTCCCTTCTTTCTTTCTCATTCCACAAATATTTGGTCAGCTTCTCTGTTATAGAAGGCACTTTACTAACACTGTAGGAATACAAAGCCAAAAATAAGGCCCCCCAGGAAGCCTCCAATAGAGACAGTATGTAAGTAAACTACCCAAGGCAGGGTGAGATGAGCTCACTCCCCATGACCTGAACAACCTACTGGGGAGCCTAAAAGAAAGATCGCTGGACAATGAGACTTCATGGGATAGAAAGCTTTTGAGAAGAGCCTGAAAATGTGGCAGAATTTTGAAAAATAAATAGGGCTGGGCATGTCAGAGGCATTTGAACCAGAGCGACTCCATCTTGAATAGAGACTGGGTAAAATGAGGCTGAGACCTACTAGGGTGCATTTCCACAAGATTAGGCATTCTGAGTCACAGGGTGAGATAGAAGGTCAGCACAAGATACAGGTTACAAAGACTTTGCTTATAAAACAGCATGCAGTAAAGAAGCCAGCCAAAACCCACTAAAACCAAGATGCTGACAAGGGTCACCTCTGGTTGTCCTCACTGCTCATTATATGCTAATTATAATGCATTAGCATGCTAAAAGACACTCCCACCAGCACCCTGACAGTTTACAAATGCCATGGAAACATCAGGAAGTTACCTTATATGGTCGAAAAAGGGGAAGAACCCTCAGTTCTGGGAATTGTCCACTCCTTTCCCAGAAAAACTCATGAATAATCCACCCCTTATTTAGCATATAATCAAGAAGTAACAATAAGTATAAGCAGCTGAGAAGCTCATGTTGCTGCTCTGCCTATGGAATGGCCATTTTTTATTCCTTTACTTTCTTAATAAATTTGCTTTCACTTTACTCAGTGGACTTGCCCCGAATTCTTTCTTGTGTGAGATCCAAGAACCCTCTCTTGGGGTCTGGAATGGGACCCCTTTCTGGCAACAGATGGGAAATGATCAAAAGTGTCCAAGCGTTAAAACAATGAGTCTTTCCAGTTTGGTGGGAGAATGGCAGCATGGTGTGAGATAGCAGGCTGGGTCCTTGTTGACAAAGGATTTGTGCTGGGCTGTGGAGTGTGTGTTTCAATTGGTAGCCCCCAACAAGCCACTGAAGACTTCATCTGAGGACTGAAATGATTGCAGAGTTTGCTGATGGGAAAGGGGAGGCTGGGTGTCAGGTAAACAGGATGGAGTGTAAGCAGAGATAATGTGGGAGTGAACTGGGGCACTGGTAATGGGAATGGAACCTGAAAGGAAGAGAACAATTTTTAAATTATTATGGAGATAAAATCAACAGGACAGGCACCTTACTTAGATGAATGGGTGGAGAAAGAAGATGTAGGTTCTGGCATTAAGGATTGCAAGAGAACAGTCCCACATAGATGGATTAAAATGATGAGTGATGAATGCCCTTGGAAAATGCTGCAAGAAGAGAGTTTCTGCAGCACAAAGCAGATACCAGAGGAGTGAATAGCCGGCCACTGTATTGATTTGGTTTTCTCCAGTGAAATTCAGTGACTCTTGATGGGAAATGCAGAATAGAGACCCAAGGGGTCCCTCAGGGTCAGGAATTAGGACAAGACTGGGGAAGAGACTAGAGAGGTAGACAGCACATTATTGAAAGAATTGACTTGGACTTCAGGCTGGATAGGGTTAGGAATGAAATCTGAGAGACTAAAAGGATAAGAATAGAAGAGTAGGGAGGGACCTAGGTGAGAGAAGGGTAGGCTCAGTAGGAATCAAGGAATGAGAAAGATGGAAGATAAAGAGGTGGCATCTGTGAGGAGGACTCCAGAGGTGGGGATTTCGACAGTGGAGACGTTTTGAGTGATGATAAGAACTAATGTGGGATTGGGTTGTTGGCCTGGGCAAAGACCAAAATTATGGATGTCAAGAAACTATGAGGCTGTGAGTTGATAAGAAATTCCTCCCCCTAAAAATATTAGAAAGTGTGTGAAAGGCATGTATGGAGTGTGTGTGTGTGTGTGTGTGCATGTGTGTTTTGGGAGGAGAATTGCTGTACTTATATCTCACATTGTTATTGCTGTCTTCTTAATTCTTTACAAATTGGGCCAACTTGGAACTTACTCTTATTTTATATAACTCATGTGTTTTCTCATGACTTTCTTTTATATTTATTTGTTAATCCTGTTTCTGGGGAAACATCTACTGCAATGTGTTCTGCCAACTTATATTTTATATTTTTCTGAAATTATTCTTTGCTAGTTCTCCAAGGTTAACTTAAATACCTCACAACTGGCCTGAAATCTCCAATTTCATTTCTCTGGCTGAAACAGCAAAGAAGGAAGACAAGTAAGAGAGGCTTCACCTGGGAGGGGGTGAGGAAGAAGGCAGCAAACAGATTTTAAACTATGGTGGAGGCCATTATTTCTGTCCTCAGCATTTGTAACCTATAGCAAACCCAGGGTTGGTTGGTTTTTGTCTGATTGGTTGTGTTAAAAGACAAAATTACAAATGAATCCAAACTTACAAAAAATAAATTCAGTTTTGCAGATCTTAATTGGCTTTGTGATTCTAGAATCAGGCAGCAGTACAAGCCAAAAATGATTCCAAATACCCTGCCCCACTACATGTGTGGTGTTAAAAACCTTAGACAAATTAAATTTAAAGGACTTCAATTGAGTAAAGAATGATTTGTGAATCGGACGGCCCGCGAACCAGAATGGGTTCCGAGAGACCCTGGTACTGCCTCTCGGTCAGAGAAGATTTATGGACTGAAAAAGGAAAGTGATGTACAGAACACGGAAGTGAGGTACAGAAACCTCCAGATTGGTTACAGCTTGGCATTTGCCTTATCTGAACAGGGTTTGAACAGTTGGCTGCCTCTGATTGGCTGAAACTTGATGAATGACACAGGAATAGGTTACAGGCTGATTACACATCCAGTTAGATTACAGTTCACTGTGTACGAAGAAACCTTTAGGCCGAGCCTAAAATATGTAAGGAAGCAGCGTTAGGTTAAATTTACTTTAACTGTGGATTATATTTATCGTCAGAGAAAAGGAAATGATTTACAGAAAACTGAAGTGAGGACCAAAGATAGTTTGATCAGTTACCATTGGTTACAGCTCAGGCATCTGTCTTATTTTAACGCAGTTTGAGTGGTTGGGCCCCTGTGATTGGCTGAACCTCGGCTGCTATGATTGGCTGAGACTCAGCTTTCTGTTACAAAAGCATACTCCTAAAATTGGTTTTCAGTCAGTTTACCTATAAATTAGGTTGCAGTTTACTATGTGTGGAGAAACCTTTCGGCCAAACCTAAATGATGTATGGAGTCATCTTTAGGCCAAACTGAATTCGGTTTAACCATTGGTTGGGTTTTTTCCTCACTCACATGGTCCTGGGAGATAAGTCAGAAGGTAAATGCAAAATTTTGTCTGGACAGGAATGTGAATTAAGAGGGGAACAAGAAAAACCAAGACAGACTTTATGTTTTCCTTTGGGCCTACAATGATAAAGTTCTGTACTCAACTGCAGTTAGAGCCTTTTCTAATGTCCATGTGTGTAGAAAAAATAAGGACCGCTCTATGTCTCAAAGCCCCTTTTGAGATGGTATCAGGCCCTCTGCAGTAGTGATCCCCTCTTCCACCTTTCCAGTTTCCCAGTGAGCAAGAGTGGCGGAAACTCCAGGAAGGTAAATTAAATGAATAAACCCACTCATAAAAGAAAGTTTGCACCATTTTTTCTATCTTTGAAGCTCTATCCCATTCTAAATCCTCTGGGAAGATGTAATTGTAGGAGGGGAGTTGGAGTGACAGTTTGGTCCTACTCCCTTTTCTCTAAGCATCATCCTGGTAGAGCTAGAAGGATGAAGCTGATTTTTTGCTAGTGATCCAAAAGTAGTCCCCGTTGGGGGTGGCAAAAGCATTGCTGCAGGAGTGCTGGCCAAGTGTAGCGCTCATCTCCACCAGTGAGGCACTGCCTAAAAGCCAAGAGGCAAATTGACGACAGGTAGAAGTGGTTTCCAGTGAAAAGAACTTGGCAGGTGGAAAAAGTCAAAATCTGGGCCCTGGAACTTCCTGTTTGAAGGTTGTACTCTGGCTTTAACAACTAAAATCTTAACTGAATGCAAATAAAGAACATTAATTTTGTTTTTATTTGTTTGTTTTTTTGAGACGGAGTTTCGCTCTTGTTGCCCAGGCTGGAGTGCAATGGTGCGATCTTGGCTCATCACAACCTCCGTCTCCTGGGCTCAAGTGATTCTCCTGCCTCAGCCTCCTGAGTAACTGGGATTACAGGCATGCGCCACCACGCCCGGCTAATTTTGTATTTTTAGTAGAGACGGGGTTTCTCCATGTTGGTCAGGCTGGTCTCGAACTCCTGACCTCAGGTTATCTGCCCACCTCGGCCTCCCAAATTGCTGGGATTACAGGCGTGAGCCTGGCCAAATTTTGTTCTTTCTTTGTAACATTCTGCAATTTTTAAGGGGAGAGGAATACTGGAGAAACTAATTGCTTCTAAAACATGCAATAGAGCCATGACTTAAACTTCATTGTTTAAATTCTTTTTTTTTTTTTTTTTGAGATGGAGTCTCGCTCTGTCGCCCAGGCTGGAGTGCAGTGGCGCGATCTCGACTCACTGCAAGCTCCGCCTCCCGGGTTCACGTCATTCTCCTGCCTCAGCCTCCCGAGTAGCTGGGACTACAGGCGCCCGCTGTTTAAATTCTTTAAGACGATTTTTCCCTTACTGATTCCAAGGTTAGGTGTTTTTTTTGTTTTGTTTTGTTTTGTTTTGTTTTGTTTTGTTTGGTGTTTCATAGTAATTAAATATCTTTCTATTTATCTTTCATAAGACCATGTTTCATCACCTATAAATGGGATTTGCTCTGGTCAGATAAATTTGTATAACTTAACCTTTGAAAGGTGGAGAAATGGACATTTTTTTAAAAACAGAAAACCTGTACTGGCTGTACTTACACACACACACACATACACACACACACAAATTTTCTTTCACCTGGAGACCACCAAGATCGTACGGATGGTGAAGAGCTGGTCTGGTTTTTGTTTGGATTGGGTATTTTTTATTTTTAATATTTGTCTTCTGAGTCAGAAGTGGTTATCTCTTAAAAGAAAAATTTGATGGCTTGAAAGCTGGGTGTTTGTGCTTTCCTCTCTGAAATGTTAACATTTAAATAGCCTTCAGCGTGCTTCAAAGTTAGCACCCCACTAAGATAAATTAGTGACCTGCCCCCCACCCCACCCAACCCCCATGCACTCCTGCTATATTACCTCCCTGAGGAAGGCTGGGAGACCCCTCTGGCCTGAAATGGGTGATTCTATAGGAGACTAGGTCAATCTGGGTGGCATGAATGCTTTGCCAGGACAATGGTGGCTTTTCATGAAGATTTAGTCATCTGAAGAATGCAGCAGCCTGTCCTTGAAAGGAACCTGCTTCTGTTGATATGTTTATGTGGTTTCCGGAGGTGGGGGGTTGGGGGGGCAGGGGCAGGAGTGGGGAGTGATATGTGTATTGCCTGGAAATTTACAAGTCAGTTTGAGCCTGATTTATTGAGACTTTATGAAAAGTTAAAAAAAAGGTCACCTATCCAGTTTCCTGACAATCCTAGGTTAAAGATTGATGAAAACAGGCTTTTCTGTTTCAAACACTGACCCTGATGGCTGACTCTACTGCTATCACAACATGTTTCATGGTAGTTTTGAACATCTTTTTCTAAAATCCAAACCTCTCTCTCCCTTTGTCTTGTCTGTCTGCTAATTTAGACAAGCTGCGTCGTATATTTTTGTCATTCTGGATATTTGTCGCTTGTGTCATCTATTCCAGCAGTGGTGGCAATGGGGCCAAGTTTGGTGTCTATTAACTTGCTTTATCAGCCACCATGGGAAGTTGGGGACGTGCCTGCATTCCACCTTGCCAGTGCATGCTATGGAGGAGAAAATGTGAGTGGTTCTATGCACATCTATCCACATTGCCTGAAGTGCAATTCAACTTAGATGATCTCCCAGAAGGGTCTGCAGGGCACTATCTTTTCACATGGTGGCAACCCTTGTTTTTGCAATTCGAGAACAGAACAAATCAACCTGCCCTCTGGCCCAAACCTCCAGTGGACAACTCTCTCTACAGGAATCTGCAGGCACTACCATCCCAGGGCCTGGTATAAAGACAAAGGTTATTGGTAGTGGAGTTGAACGGAACTGGATGCAACACATTTCAGTTCAACTGATCTCTTACCCTCTCTGAGTCTCACTTTTCTTGTCTGTAAAAGTAAGATTTATCCCTATTAAATGACGGCTTTAACTTTAAATAAGATAGCAAAGTGACTCTCCTAGCATACTGCCTGGCCAAAAGTAGGTGCCAGATACATGTTAGTGAGATCAACATGTTGAACAAGAACAACTTGTAATGTATTTAAGACTTTATTTTTACTTCCCATGGTGCCTTTGAACTCTGTCCTGGGGTTGTTCTGGCAACATTCCCTTGACCCAGATGAAAAATCAGGCAAGCCCATGACTTTTATGCTTTTTCCCAGGAAAGTGTCAGCGTTGACCCCCTTGAAGTCAAATAATCTTGAATCAGAAGACAGAATGCTTACACTGGTAATAATAAATATTCTACGCTTGATCTAACAGCAAATCTCCCCTCCATCTTCAATGCCTCCCGGTGGTCCTGTGGTCACTGTGGCCTCTGCTTTCTTCTTACCCCACTCACCAATGACTTGTTCTTTCCCCCTGCCAGGGTGATGGAGATAGGATGGGGTGGGGGAAAGAGATAAGGGGCACAGGAGATCCTAATCAAATTCTTGGGGCCTGGCAGATGGCTAAGGCTTTCCCTCATGGGTGCGCCTATGGGACCCTTGGTGGCTTCCAGTGGGGCTTCTTATTCCCTCAGCAACCTGGACCCAAGTGGTGCCATCTCTATTCTAAATCACTTTGTGTCTGCCTTCACTGGTCCCGGGCAGCTGCTGGTCCACGGTGGCTGGCAGTACACTTCCAGGCTCCTTCGCATGAAGCCACCTTGCTTCCTCATGTCTCTCCACAGGCTTCCTCTCTGTCAAGGCCCACAGCTCCTCCAACAGCAGGGATGCATTGGGCTCTAGGAAGGGGGTCCAGGAAAGACCCTTAATGAGGTATTCCCCCTACCCCTTTGGAAAACAGAGAGAATTCAGAGCACAGATTTTTTTGTTTGTTTGTTTTGCAAAGATTTCCTCACAAAATTTTCTTCTCTCCATTCTCTGGTCCCTGTTTTATACTCTAGGTTCTCAGAGCCGTGTGTGTGTGTGTGTGCGTGTGTGTGTGTGTTTGGTGGTGGGGGACTCTGTCTCATATCTGCCTTGTTATCCTGATATTTATCATATTGACACCTCAGTCTAAATTGAGGCAGGAAATTTCCCCCCTCCCACATAAACACATTGGCCATAATTTACCATAAAAGAAACTTTAATTGATGACAAAGCTGTAGCAGTGTGAGACGCTAGCAACGATTAAAAGCTGGTGCCCCTAGTGTAGACAAAGCTCATGTTTAGGGCAGCTGAAAAGATACTGGTATTTGATCTTTTAAAAGAACATCAAAGTCATGATGTTGAGAAAAAATTGGCGCTTTGTTGGGTTTCTTTTGATTTATAGTCTAGTGTTGTTTTTTATGTTGAATTTCATGAGTGTTGGGGGGGAGTAACACTGCATAGAACAGCTACTATTCTTATCAGGTCCTGAGCATCTGAGAAGGTTCCAGATTTCAGGGACATAATGGGGGAGGTTCTACTCTGAGAGGGGCTTGGTTCTGGCCAGCCACACCCTTCTGTACACATCAGCCCTCTCGTGGGGTTTGCGTAGCTCGTGGGCTTTGGGCTCTGGACTCTGACTTGACTTGTGTGATCTGCCCTCTACTCTAGTGCTCACCCACCAGCCGTCAACCTGGAGAAGCCTAGGTGGGCACTACATACCCAAAAGCCTGCTTCCTTATGGAGGCCTGGGAAGGCCCTTCATGCAGCCAGCAAGCAGCATTTTCTCCCCCAGGCCCTACCCTTACACATCACTCCCTAGTTGTTTGATCACGGCCAAGCCATAAGAGGTCAAGGCTTGGAGGCACAATGTCCTGGGTTCAAGTCCTGATCCGACTGCATACTGGCTGTGTGACCTGCGGCATGCTACCCAACTTCCCTCAGCCTCCATTTTCTCATCTCTAAAATGAGAAGATTATAAAGAGCATCAGCCATGTGGAGCTGGTGTGAGAATTCAATGAGGCAAGACCTGCGAGCAGTTAGCTAATTAGCTCAGTGCTTGCCACACAGTAAACACTGACAAATAATGAGGTTTCATTAAGCTTATTATTTTGTGAAAAAGGCAGTTCCCTGGCCCCACCTCAGGAGATTCTGATTCTGGAATCTGGTGAACTAGTTTGGAAGTGTTGTCAAAGCCCTGCTCTGCCAGGTACTAATAGTGAGTACCCAGGAAGGTTACCTCCCTGAGCCTCTGTTTCCTCCTCTGTAAAACAGGTATAATAATGGTGCTGCCTCATGACATGCTCTGCGAATTCCATGAGTTACCATATTCAAAGAGCTTAAAGCAACCCCTGGCACACAGTAAGCACTCAAGAAATGCTAGCTATGACTAAGTCTGCTCATTTGGGGGCAGTTACACTCTTAGCATGTCTTATAAACTCTTAACAAAAATTTGAATTCTTTAAAAAATTATCTTCATTAGCTAGTTAATTATTAAGTAACATATAGACCACAATTCTAAATATGAGCAATCCAAAATTTCAGAATTTTAATAATAATGAAATATTAAATAACTAGATGTTAAATGAAAATAACTATAAAACAATTTAAAAATCTAAAACAGAAAGTCCTGCTACATATATTAATAGTTCTCTGACTCTAATGTTGCTTTTCTTCTCATTTAAACTCTTTCATGGCTTTCAGTTAATAAAGTCTTTTCTTCGTTCCTCTCACTTTCCTTAAATTTGTAGCACCTGTAAGTTCATCGTTAAATATTTTTTAATGTTGTCTTTTAAGATTAGCTTTCACTAGATGTTCTAATTTAAAAATCATCATTTAAAATAAAAATTGAAGCTGATGGAAATTTTTCTTAATATTTTTGGTTGCACTTGCCCACAAAAGAATCATAGAGGTTATCAAAGAGACTTCCACTTTAAAGGAACACTAAACAGGGCCTAAACAATTCAAATGCCTTGCTTCTCTTGCTCTTTATTTTGCATAATTCATAAACTCCCTGTAAACCCCAGAATTAAGTCAAATTCAATTCACAATTGTTTGATGTTTGTACTTAGAATCAATCCATAGCCTGTGTTTAAAATGCCATGATCAGTAACAACAGTGAGTTTATGGATTCAAAACATCTTTGCATACACCTTTGATTATTTCTTAGGATAAATGATTAGAAGTAGAATTGCTGGATCAAAAGCTATGCCCCTTGTGAAGGTTTTATTGCATGTCATCAAACTGTATTCCCGCAAATCTGAACCAGTTCAGACTCACACTAGCAATATGCAAGAATGGTCATTTCCCAAGTACTCTTATCAATGCTCATTAATATCATTTGCCAGTTAAATAAGTTACAATGGTATCATATTGTTTAAATATACAATTTTATGCACTTTACTAATGAGGTTGAACATTTTAAATCTATTTATTGACCATTTATATTTCTTACCTTATGACTTATATGCTCATTTTCCTTGACCATTTTTTAGGTTTTTCTCTTTTCTTAATTTATAAAGCTCTTTATATATTAAAGTATCACATCATCTCAAACATTTTGCAAAATATTTCCTAGTTTGTTCTTTATTTTTTATATCTCTTTTAATATGTTCAACAGCATTTGATATACTGTTTTTTGAATGTGTAGAAATTTAAAAACATTTTTGGAATTTAAAATTTTCCTTTGTGATTTTTCCTTTTCTTTTATGATAGGCCTTACTAACCTCAGGTTTCGATCAATATTGTTTTAAAAATATCTCTTTTAGGGGCCAGGTGCAGTGGCTCATGCCTGTAACCCCAGCACTTTGGGAGGCCGAGGCGGGCAGATCACTTGATGTCAGAAGTTTGAGACCAGCCTGGCCAACATGGTGAAACCACATCTCTACTAAAAAAATACAAAAATTAGCCAAGTGTGGTGGTGTGTGCCTGTAATCCCAGCTACTTGGGAGGCTGAGGCAGGAGAATCACTTGAGCCTGGGAGGCGGAGGTTGCAGTGAGCCGAGATAGTGCCACTACATTCCAGCCTGGGTGACAGAGCGAGACTCCATCTCAAAAAAAAAAACAAAAAACAAAAAAACAAACCAAAAAACAAAACTCTTATAGATTAGGCATTTATTTACTTTGCTTTTCCAAATAGTTGAACATTTATCCCAGTATCATGTATAAATCACACCAAGAATAGTTCTTAGTATGTAATAGGAACTCAAAACATGTTTAAAATGAATGAATAAATAATTCAGCTAACTTTCTTATGTAGGAATTTATTTGTTTCATCTGGCATTTCCTTATATTTGAGGAATCAAGAACAAGCTGAAATATTCATGTATATTGCAAAAGATCATGAACCTTGAAATAGAAACTATGGATAAATAGATATCATAAAGTCATTTCTTTATGTGGCAAGAGCCACCAGTTATCCAATGCACCATCACATATAACAAGTGCTAAGAAGAGTGAGACTATTTTGACAAATATGGACGACTCTGTTGGCTGCCCACTGCATAGCCACTCCCACTTTTTCCTTAGGAATAGAAACTCTGATTTTTATTCAGGCATGGGATAGCAACATGCTCAGTGAAGGAAGTCCCAGAACAAAAATTATAAATCATCTTCAGTCTTTTTTGGTCAGTAATTGGCTTAGAGTTGAGCATGTAACTCAGTTCTGGCTAATGAGACCTGAGAGAAAGTCCACTGGAGGCCCCTGGGAAATATCTACTCTCCTAGAAAAAGAAAGATGTGCAAAGGGAATTTCCCCTCCCGACCTTCCTCAACACACACACGCACACACGCACACATGCACACATGCACACACACATGCACACATGCACATGCACACACATGCACACATGCACACACACGCACACATGCACATGCACACACATGTTCTTCCTCCCTTTGGATAGTGACAGATGGGAATGTGATAGTTGGGGCTGTGAGCAACCATCATGCCAACACGAGGGAGGGGTCTGTGTCCTAACAGTGTCGAGTTTCTAGAATAGTCTGCTCTC
Organism: Homo sapiens; assembly: GCF_000001405.40. NCBI lineage: Eukaryota > Metazoa > Chordata > Mammalia > Primates > Hominidae > Homo > Homo sapiens. The sequence goes on from NC_000005.10 coordinate 38,110,503, forward strand.
TAGACTCCTTGCTATGTGGGATGATTAAACCCTATTTTAAAAAACATTTTTAGTGTCTTTTTGATTTTTAATTATGGCATCTAACACTGCTCTCTTGGGTGAGTCACTCAACCTTTCTGGGCTTTGTTTCTTTGAAATAGTGAGCTGGCTGGTTGTCATGGTCCTATCCAGGTTTAAAGCCCTGTGATTCCAACGGATGCCTAGTTGCCCTCTATAGGGTCTTTCTCATTTTTTCTAAGAAAAAATCCTTTTAAATCCTGAAATACAGAGAATGATAACATCCACGGTATACATTTCACATACATTATCTCTTGTAATCTTTATAACATCTCTGAGAACTAGGTAGACCCATTTTTCAGATAAGAAAATTGAGGCCCAAAGAGGTTAATGATACATCCAAGGTCCCTCAGGTAAGTTGGCTGAGTTGAGATTTAAACAAACTCAGCATCTCCAGGTCCAGTGCCATTCCTTCTTTTCCTGTGCCTCACAGCCGCAGGCACCATTGTCTCTGGTTGGTTTATATAGCAGCAGAGAAACCTCCAACGTGATTAATTTCCCCCTGCCATCCACGTGATCACCGATCACTCTGAGAACAACTCTATGGACAGCCGGAGAGTCCAAAAGGAATTTTTACCACCCACCATTGGATTCTTTTTTTCATAAATGAATTTACAGGGTCAGACTCTGATGTTTATATGAAAGGAGATAAAGCACACCTGTCCTTCTGGGAATCTACTTTAAGGAAAGGAGAATACATGACTTATTTTGGATAAGATATTTATAACCTACTAATCTATAAACTAAATGATGAATTACTGAAAGCTGGAGGTCTGCAGCCCCTGGCAGAATGTAGTTTGCACCCTGATCCTGCATTCTCAGGGCTGTGGAAGAGTAGAGAGATGCTTATGACACTTGGGGATGGGCTGTGTGCTCATCATGACCTGTTTCTGATGAGTAACTGCTGCAGAGACTGGAGGACATGGACCTGCTGGCTCCATCTCCAAAGCATATAGCCTGTACAGCTAGAAGGAAGGTTGGCATTATCTAGGCCCCCCCAGTTCATTTTGCACATCAGGAAATCGCTCTTATACTCTTATCCTGAGCATCTAGAACAGAATCGGGCCCATAACAGGCACCCAGTAAGTATTTTCTACATCCTGTTGTTGAGTAATAAAGTTGGGCTCTAAAGAGGTGAAGTGACTTCAGAGCAAAATAACTAATAAATGACAGAGCCCAGACTTTTGGTCTCCTCTGTCTCATCTGAAAGATTTAACTCCAGTAAAACTGGAAATATGGACTTTGTTGGGAGGTCAAAAATATACACATGGGAAAATCATTTTTTTTTCATTATGTCTCAAAATGTCTGGGATCCAATATAAATACGTCGTTTATTTAAAGAGAGGCCAACTATGTCTTCCTGATGGGTAGTGATGTGGGTAGGATGACTGGAATAGCTCTGGGAGTATTTAGTTGTGGACATAGGTCTGTCCCTTAGGGCCACTTGGAGGGCCCAAGGGAGTGCCTGGTCAACTTGTGCAATCCCTTTGCTGTGGCTGGCATGACCACAGCCACCCTTAGAAAAACACCCTTAGAGCCGCAAGGGTAGATTTCTTACCAGCACCTCAATCTGTAGACACATGCTGATGGCTTAAATACAATCCAGTGAGCCACCTTGAAGGGTAAGAAAGGTGCATACTGGAAACAGATTCTGAAGAGGTCATGTCAAAGGAGAAGAGAAAGGTTCAGCTGCTTTGACTTGGTAATGGAGAGAAGGAAAAGAGAAAGGACTCTCCTTGAAGGTAGAGACTGAATAACATTCATTGTATGGGGCACATAGCAGGCAAATGTTTGCTGAATAAATGAAAATTGCAGTTTTATATGAGTATGCATATATCACGTGCATGCATGCATGCGTGCACGCACATGTGTGTGTATCATCAATTGAGGGAGCAAATCCTACCTTCCTGGTCTCTGCTAGCTCATCATTCTTCCCATCTTTCTGGTTCTGACAGTAACTCAGGGTCTACCAAACATGGAGCCTGACATAATCAGTCCAATTGGTCCCACCCTATGTCTCTGACTGGCAGAGAAGGTGAGATCCACATATGTCACAAGATGTTTTCTGAGGGCTACTGGTGAAGAAGTTTCCTATCTCTTCTATGGATGCCACTTGAAGATATTCTCTTTCTGGTGGACAAAGCCATTGCCTTGCACAAATCCAGGTGGTGCCATTTGCTTTATGTTTAATTCAATTCAATGAATTGCATACCCTAGAGTTATGCAATATGGTGGCCCTACCAGTGGACATGGGTGAGGAAGCATGCATTTTTCAGAAGCTTCTGGCAGCTATCCTCTGGCCATAAGGGAAGCCAGCCTAGGGTTCAACACAACATGTGGATAATAGGAAATACAGGATAGAGCTGGGCATTTGGTGACGTTGATGAACCACGGGAACCAACCTTGCTGAACCTTTCTACTTCATTGCTTAAATCTGTTTGAATCAGGTTTTATATTACTTGCAACCAAAAAGTTATGAAAAGACACACACAGAGCAATGGATATCTTAGACTCGTAGCACTAGTCTCATCGGTATAGACACCCAGGTCAGACCACTTGGATCTCAGAGAGGCTATTTTGTTCTGAGTGTCCAATTTCACACCCTATTTATAGTCACCAGATAATTACTGAGTGTCTGTTTCAGCTTGGAATAGACATAAGAGTGTTCATAGACATTCAATAATTCTCTTCAACAAACTTTTGCAAAACTTCCTTTATTTCAGGCATTTTGCTAAGCACAAGGTCATAAAGTATAAATGGGAAAACTTAAATGCATTTAAAATGTGGACAAGACAAGAACCCGTCCTTTAGGAACTCACAGTTTCCTGGACCATCTGGGGTTGTTGGGGAGGTAGGAGAAAGAGGAGGCCACAAATGCCTGCTGTAATACAAAGCACAATTGTCAAATGTAAAAAGTAAGGGCAAATATGTCACCTAGGAGGGAGAAACTAGTTCCAAGTTTGGGCATCAGTAAAGTGGTCAAGAATAAGTGTGCCTCTGATTTGGACTTGAAGAATTCACAGAATTTCCATAGCTAGAAATGAGGATAAGGGCATCCCAGGTAACAAAATGTAAGCAAAGGCCAGGAGGCAGGAAATTACAGCTGAATAATCTAGCCGGGCAAATGCTGGTGTGTGGGAGTAGGGTAGTAAAGGATTAGGCTGGAAGGCAGGAAGGAGTCAGAGTGTGGCAGGCCCGGATGAGCTTTTTAAGGAGCTGGACTCTATTTAATAACCGAATATTATTGATACGAATAATAATAGCAAATAGACATGGTGCTTCGTTTGTACCAGGAATTGGTCTGAGGAGTTTCTTAACTAATTCAGTGTTTCTAACAACTTAATGGAGTAAGCACCATAATTTTTCTTCTTATGCTACAGATGAGGAAATTGAAGCACAGAGAGGCAAGTTTACTTGTCCAAGATCATTCTGCTAGAAAGTGCTGGAGGTGGGAATCAAACCCAGGCTGGCTGATTCTAAGGTCTGAGTACTCCAAGGTGCCCAAAATAGGAGTGGTGTGAATACTGATGACATGGGTTGACTGGGGAGAACAAATGGCAGACAGGCTGTCCCAGTAGCTCAGGTGAGAAACAAGGGTCGGTGAGGTCAGCCACAGAGACTGAAGGAGAGGAGATGGAGTTGAGAGAGAAATACAAAGGCAGGAGACTCCATACAAAGGTGAGAAATGAGGGCATTGACCTTGGCAGTTTGCCCTGCAGTGTTTGGAAAATGGAGCTTCCAAAAGTGTTTTTGTTTGTTTGTTTGTTTGTTTGTTTTTTGAGACAGAGTCTGGCTCTGTCGCCTAGGCTGGAGTGCAGTGGCGCGATCTCGGCTCACTGCAAGCTCTGCCTCCCGGGTTCATGCCATTCTCCTGGCTCAGCCTCCCGAGTAGCTGGGACTACGAGTAGCTGGGACTGCAGGCGCCTGCCACCACGCCCGGTTAATTTTCTGCACCTTTAGTAGAGACGGGGTTTCACCGCGTTAGCCAGGATGGTCTCGATCTCCCGACCTCGTGATCCGCCTGCCTCGGCCTCCCAAAGTGCTGGGACCAAATGGGTTTTGATGTGTTTGATGTGTTTCTCCAAGGTCACACCCAGACTCTTCCCACATTTCTCTCTGAAGCCTGACTTTTGAAAGCTAATACACTGATGAGTCCTCTTTCGTGGAATTTGATGGTAAGGATAAAGGAAATGAATTAGAAATGTCTAACTTGGATGTGGTGTGATTATAGTGACATTAATGACATGACATGGCATAGGAAGAGGCCAGGAAGAGAGGACCAGTGGGACAGTCTAGGGTATGTAGAGCTGAGAGATCTAGAGAACACACTTGTAGATGGCCAGCGGGCTTCTGGAAACACAGCCTGGAGTTGGGGAGCTAGACATGATTTTAGTTTTGGAGGAAGAGAAACTAGTTAAAGTCACATGAGGGCTGGTTCACATGTCTGAAATGACTGAATCTTTTGCACAGATAGGGAAGTCATTTTCATCAGTTTAAATCATCGAGTTAAAGCTTACCAAACTCAGTAGGCTGTAATCACAGAGATTCAATCTACAGGAACCCTAGACCAGTGGTTTGGACTCTAGCTGTATGTTAAAATCCCCAGGGGAGCTTTAAAAATGCTGATTCCAGGCTTCCCCTCTCCCTACCCATGAATTAAATTAGAATCACCTGGGCATGGGTACAATTTTAAAGCTCCTCGTGTCCCAACAGGCAATCTGACAGGCAAGCAGCACCTGGAAAATGTATCACTAGGTCATAACCTTTGTGTTAGAGAAAGAGAAAAGGAAATGGAAGAGGCATGCCAAAACCCCATCTAGAGATGCTGTGGTCTTGTGCCCATTACCTTGCCCAGGGCAAAAGAAAGAGCCAGATGTTTGGCTAAGCAGGGCAAGGCAGATTACTGGAGCTGTGTGATGTCTGAGATGGACAACAGCAAGGCTTAATGCTCAGACCCTAAACGTTGAATGGAGCCTAGTTCAATCCTTTCTTCTAAAGCCAGGAGTGGCCCCAGGACAGAGGTGGGACTGAGCCACTGGCAAGTGAGGCAGCTGTGAGAGGAGATGAGATCAAGGTGCCAGGAAACTGCTGGAACATTAGTGCTTTTTAATGAGCACATGCTGAACTTAGCTCTTCTTTGACTCTAGGAAAGTAAAGTAAACATTACAGCAAAAACAATGAATAGACAGATAAGGAGATAAAAGCGACTTTAATGTGAAGCCAGGTGGAGGCCACTACCCCAAACTATCTGATTGAACTGCATTTCATTCACTAACGGTGAACACAAGTAAAACCAGAGTCTACCTTATTCTAATTACTTAAAATAACATACGTTTTTTGCCTATAAAAGTAATGTGATGAAAATTTTGACATTGAAAAAAGGATTTAAAGAAAATAAAAATACAGACCATCCTGGCTAGCACGGTGAAACCCTGCCTCTACTAAAAATACAAAAAATTAGCCAATGGTGGCAGGCACCTGTAGTCCCAGCTACTCGGGAGGCTGAGGCAGGAGAATGGCGTGAACCCGGGAGGTGGATCTTGCAGTGAGCCGAGATCACGCCACTGCACTCCAGCCTGGGCGACAGAGCGAGACTCTGTCTCAAAAAAAAAAAAAAAAAAAGAGAGAAGAAAAATACTCAAAATCTTACTACTGCACATAACTGTTTTATGTCTCTCCATTCATTTTTAAGTGCACACATATATAATGTGTAGTTGACATTAGGCTATATTTATAATTTTATAGAATTTTATTTTTCATTTGACATTGTAGCATAAGCATTTCTCTATGTCATTAAAATGTCTTTGGAAACACAATTTTAAATGGCTTCATAATTTTTAACTTGTTTGACTGAAACATAAGATACTCAATGATTTCCCAATCCTTGAGAACTTAGAGTTTTTGCCTTTTTATATTAGAAGTGATCCTGGTATTCTTTGTGTCCAAATTTCAGATTAATTCCATAGGCCAGATTCCTAAGGTGGAAACACTGAGTCAAGGAATATGAACATTTCAAAGGTGCGCAACTCTGGCTGGTTATGCAAAAATGGAGATGACTGGAAGGAGCTAGGAGTAGCTCTTTGAGTAGGAGACAAGGTAGATAATCGCACATCAGGAAGGGGTGGCCCAAGAAGTTCTCCAGGCATTTAGTTTCCCTGTCTCCCCACTGCTGAGAGTTTGCTTGGCTGAAGTCAGATCTTGGCTCAATCAACACTTAACAGTCTCTCATACACACAAGGCCATTGGGAGGCATTGTGAGCACAGCATCTACCTCTAATTGGGTCTACTATATAAAAGTTCCTTAAGATGGAATTCCTGGGTTAAAAAAGGATGGATCTTTTAACTCTTCTTAATAGAAATGTCATATTTCTTGCCAAAAATATACCAATTTAGACTCCCACAAAGTCTGTGTATCACAATCCTATAGCTGGCATGTTTATATATACATATTATATATATACACGCACACACACAGACAGACACATATATAGTCATGCATTGCTTAATGATGGGGATATGTGCTGAGAAATGCATCATTAGGTGGTTTCATTATGCCAAAATCACAGAATCTACTTACACAAACCTAGAGAGTATAACCTACAGTATAACTGGCTATACGGTATGCCCTATTGCTCCCAGGCTACAAATCTGTACAGCATGTTACTGTATTGAATACTGTAGGCAGTTGTAACACAATGGTAAGTATTTGGGTATCTAAACATATAAAAGGTAAAGTAAAAATACAGTATACTCTTATGGGACCACTGTCGTATATGCAGTCTGTTTTTGACCAAAATGTTAAGTGGTGCATTGCTGTATGTGTGAATATATGTATATGTATATTTAATTCCTTCAAAATTTGATAGGTGAAAATCTTCATCATATTTTTTCATTTTAATTTACTTTCTTTTTTAAATTACAAGGATGTCTGAACATAATAGTGAACAAAGATTTGTATTTGCCCTTCTGTAAATGGAATCTTGGTTTCTATCACTCATGTATAGATAAGGTTCCTGGCTATGAGAATTATTCAAAAGTATCCTCTCTACTCTCTCACATTAAAACTCCTCACTAGGTTCTGCAATAGCCTTGTAGTACAGTGAAAGCATTTGTTTCCTCAAATAATGCAAATGGTTTCAGTTTATACTTCATGTGTCTCATCTGTGTGCCAAAGATTTGGATCTTATTCCAAAAGAATGTTTTAAAAAACGCAAAAGCTTCATATAAAAGCCTTAAAATTTCCCATTATTAAACAGGATTTAAAGCCTTTTGATTTGTAAAGTATTAAAATAATCCCTTTGCCTTGTGTGGGAGTTGGGGACACTGTCTTTCACTAGCTGCTGGTTGATTGGGACTTGGAGAAGAAAAATACTTTCCTCATGTCGGCAGAGAAATAAACCTATCCAAGACTAGCTATCAGAGTGCATGGCCTGAGCTGTTAACGGGCAGGTCAAGAAAGATATCAGAATTATGGGGTTTTTCATTATCATTAAATAACTCTTGATGTGCCAAGTCAGGAGGTCCTTGGTTTTATGTCTCTAATGAAAAATCATTTGAGGCTAAGCTTTCTTGGCTCCTTAGAACTTGAGAGATCATCACCTTAATCAGGAGAAAAAAATCTGTTAAAAAAAAAGAACATCACCATGAATCATGAGTGATTATTTCATTGTGACTGTGTAAGCAAAAGAAGGCATTAAGGATCCAATGAAAACAAGACTAAGATATCCTCCTTTTAGACGCTCATTCCACTTTCTCCTCCACCCTTACCATTCTGTGAGTTTACATGACCAGATGTTTCTCATTCATAGTGCTTATCACAAATGTCCTTTTTGCACAGGTTTGATAAGTCCAGAAAAGGACTCGTTTGTTGAGTCTGAGGCCTGGAAACATTTTCAGTGATTTAGTCAGTTCTTAGAATCGTGATGAGCTTGTAAAATAGCTGACCCTCTCAGGGGCATCATAGAGATAGGCACTGTTTGAATTCATGTCTGTCCCATCCCAAGGTTGGATCTTCCAGCTTTATAGGCTGGAGGAGGAAACAGGGTCAGAGGGAGAAAAGAGAGCTTCATGTGGGATTTACCTTCACTAGCCTGGCCCACCTGGGTTGCCCTGGAAGGTCTAGAGTGGGGTGAAGGCAACAAAGTAGACATTTGCAATTAATTCAAATACTTATTTTTCTCACATCACAAAAAGCTTAAAAAGAAAAGGCTCCAAGTTAAGTTTAATGGCTCAAGGATGTTGTCAAGGATGCATATTCCTTCTGTCTTTGTTCTCTGCCGTCCTCTGTTTGTGAGCTACTTTTCCCTCACGGCCATAAGATGGCTGCACGGCTCCAAAATCATGTTCTTCACTTGACAGCTTCCCAAAAAGGAAGGCAGAGAAGTGGGCAAAATACTTTCCTTCTATGATTGGCTACTTTTTAACAAGAAAAAGCCCCAAATCTTTCCCAGAAATCCCCAGTCGACTTTTATATCTCACAGGGTCACCTGACTTACAACTGGGTGACTTGACTGCCACTGGCCTCACAGGTGGCCTGTCATAATCACATTCATCCCCCAGGGCCAACCATATTGCTATCTGGACAAAACTGGGACTCAGCTAGCAAAGACAGTGAGGAGGGTGGTCCTCGTGTAGTTATAATAACACCTTCCACTAGTAAATCACTTTGCAAAGTAAACTCAGTATGTGGCATGACATCATGTTGCACAATTAAAAATGAGACAAAAAACATGTATCTAGTGGGTGGTGCTGAGATTAGGAAACGAGAAGATCTTCTGCATCAACTCGAAGCAAATACACAGATTTTTACTAACTACCTGTTATGTGTCTGGCATAGTGCTAGGCTAGTGTCACACTGAAAAGCCCTAGGAGTGTGTGATGTGACCCTTATTGCAAGGAAACCGCAGTCTGTAGGCAGGGGTTAGACAATCCCCATATCAATGAAAGAACAAAAGGAATCAGATCATTAGTAAGGCCCAAAATGTGAGGCGGAAAAAATAATGACTAGAGGAGATCAGGCTGGGGAGACATTATTGCAAATTGGAGACTGGTATGGGCTCTGAAGAAGAGGTGGGTTTCTGGTCGAGTGGGATTTAGATGAGCAGACAGGAGTAGAGAGGACATTCCAGGTAGGAGAACATTCCAGATCTGGGGGCAGGCCATGTGCAGAGGCTGAAACAAGATCAAACTTTGTTTGGGGGTGGGAGAGGCTGTCAGTGAGGAAAACTGAGTGTGGTACAGATTTGGATAGCTGCTGCTAGAGTTTGTGGAATGTTAATGGTCAAAAGTGTATCTCTGAGAGCAAAATGGCGTCTAAGGGAGTTTTACCATGTGAACTTTCCTGGAAGAACATTTTTGCTGTTTTTGGTTGCACGGTCTTGCCTGTAATGCCTACAGATAGGCATCCTTCAGGTCATTAGTGGAAAACAGTACTAATGGGGGATGGGGCTGGACTGCCTCCTTTGGGAGACAAATGACCATTTGTCCATTGAATATGTAACTTGCACAAAATCAGACATTCCCTGCAGCTCTGCCTTTACACAGTGTTGCATTCAGAGAAACAGCAATCTTGCTGCAGCCTTCCTTGGAGAGTTACATCGATCTTTATAATAGATTTTCTTAATGCATGCCTGATAACCTTTTAGACATCTTGCCCTTATCCCAAAGCTCCCCCTCACAGTAGCTGCTGAATGAAACCTCTCCCTGTCTACCCTCAAAACAATATGTTTCTATCCTGCTGACCCCCAGCCCCTTGCTCTTACACATCATAACTCCCAGAAGCCTGTACCCTCTGTGTGCAAAGATCCTCAAGAAGAAACTGGACTCAAAAAATCTACCCAGGAAAGAAGAGTTGGGGAGCCAAGATAATGGGGCTGGCTGCAGTGGGTGAGGGTGGGATGGTCACTATGAAACTCATATAGAAATCATACTGATCCCTGTTCACGTCTGGCCCAGCAATCTACAGGCTTAAAAATTACATATATATCTGCTTAAAAATTACATACATATAGATATATATGTAAAATATACATAAATCTCTATATAGATATATATGTAAAATATACATAAATATCTCTATATAGATATATATGTAAAATATACATAAATATCTCTATATAGATATATATGTAAAATATACATAAATATCTCTATATAGATATATATGTAAAATATACATAAATATCTCTATATAGATATATATGTAAAATATACATAAATATCTCTATATAGATATATGTAAAATATACATAAATATCTCTATATAGATATATATGTAAAATATACATAAATATCTCTATATAGATATATATGTAAAATATACATAAATATCTCTATATAGATATATATGTAAAATATACATAAATACCTATATATAGATATATATGTAAAATATACATAATATAAAATTTTCCATTTTGACCATTTTATGTGTCCAATTCAATGGCATGAATTACATTCACACTGCTGTGCAACCATCACCACTATTTCCAAAACATCACCCCAAACAGAAACTCTGTACCCATTAAGCAACAACTCCCAACTTCTCTCTTTCTCCAGCCCTTGGTAACTTCTAATCTACTTTCTGTCTCTCTGAATTTGCTTATTCTAGATATTTTGTGTAAGTAGAAATGTACATTATTTGTTTTTTTATGGATGGCTTCTTTCACTTAGCCTAATGATATCAAGGTTCCTCCATGTTGCAGCATGTATCAGGATTTTGTTTCTTTTTAGGACTGAATAATATTCCATTGCATGTATATAACACACTTTGTTTATCCATTCATCTGTTGATGGACAATTAGTTGGCGTCTACCTTTTGGTTATTGTAAATAATGCTCCATGAACATTGGCATATATCTGTCTGAACTCTTCTTTTCAATTATTTTAGGTCTATACTTAGGAGTGGAATTACTAGTAATTCTACATTTAACTTTTTGAGGAACTACCAGACTGTTTTCCACGTGACTGCACAATTTTACCTTCCTACTAGCAATGTACAAAGGTTTCCATTTCTCCACATCCTCACCAATACTTGTTATTTTCTGTTTTTGTCTTTTTCTGTTATAGCCATCCTAGTGGGTGTGAAGTGGCATCTCACTGTGGTTTTGACTTGCACTTTCCTAATGACTAATGATATTACATCTTTTTCATGTGCTTATTGCCATTTGCATATCTTCTTTAGAAAATGTTTAAGTCCTTTGTCCATTTTTTAATTGGGCTGTTTATCTTTTTGTTATCGAATTGCAGTTTTAATGTATTCTGGATATTAATCCCTTATCAGAGATATGATTTGCAAGTGTTTTTTTCTTTTCTATGGGTTTTTTCACTCTCAATAGTGTCCTTTGATATACAAAAGTTTCAAGTTTTAATGAAGTTCAATTGACCTATTTTTGTGGTTGTTGTCTATGCTTTAGGTGTTATATTTAAGAAGCCATCACCGAATCCAAAGTCATGAAGATATTCCCCTATGTTTCCTCTAAGAGTTTAACAGTTTCAGCTCTTAAATTCAGATCTTTGATCTATTTTGAGTTAACTTTTGCCTATGGTATGATGTAAGGTTTCAACTTCATTCTATTGCACAGAGATCATTTTCCCAGCATCAGTTGATAAAAAGACTATCCTTTTGCCTTAAATAGTATTGACACCCTAGTTGAAAATTAATTGACCATAGATGTGAGGGTTTATTTCTGGGCTGCCAGTTCTATTCCATTGGTCTGTATGTCTGTTCTTACACTGGTGCCATACTGTTTTGATTACTGTAGCTGTGTAGTTTTAAAATTGAGAATCTACAGATTTTTAGATGCAAAGAAGACCTTCTCCATTTTGAAAAGTCATACCTTCTCTACTCCTTAGAAATTGTTCCTGCATCAAGTATAGACAGCTTGTGGATTTCCCTCCCTTTTCCAACATTCTACATTCCAGCATTTCCAATATGACTCTAGTTTAGGTCATAGTTTAGCAGAGAAAGCCCTTCATTTTTAAGTTGGAAGGGGCAGAACCAATGAAAGCCTGAAATAAATACTCTGAACTCTTTCCATAGGAGCTAGGTTTTTTGTTTGTTTGTTTGTTTGTTTTCCCAGGCAGGGTCAAGGAATGGGGGATTCATACCAATCCTAAACAAGGGAGCAAATATTCATTGCAAGACATGAGTATCTATCATGTTCTAATCAGAAACATAAAAACCACATCTAATATTATCACAGAGAGAACTGAATTTAGGAAAAAATTACAAAGGGAAGGAGAAATGAAGAAGAATAAAGAAACAGAAAATATTAACCCAAAGATGAGAAAGAGCTGGAAATCTACTGCCACCCCCTAAGCCATATGGGGAAAAGAAAGAAGCAATGTTCCCAAGTATATTTGCCCATTCTCACACTGCTATGAAGAAATACCCAAGACTGAGTAATTTATAAAGGAAAGATGTTTAATTGACTCAGTCCTGCATGGCTGGGGAGGCCTCAGCAAACTTACAATCATGGCAGAAGGCAAAGGAAAAGCAGGTACCTCTTCACAGGGCAGCAGGACAGAGTGAGTGCAAGCAGGGGAAATGCCAGACACTTATAAAACCATCAGATCTTGTGAGACTCACTCATTATCACAAAAACAGCATGGAGGAAACTGCCCCGGTGATCCAATTACCTCCACTTGGTCCTGCCCTTGACACATGGGGATTATGGGGACTACAATTTAAGATGAGATTGTGGGTGGGGCACAGCCAAATCATATAATTCCACTCTTGGCCCATCCCAAATCTCATGTCCTCACATTTCAAAGCACAATCATGCCTTTCTAACAGTCCCCCAAAGTCTTAACTCATTCCAGCATTAATCCAAATGTCCAAGTCCAAAGTTTCATCTGAGACAAGGCAAGTCCCTTCCACCTAGAAGACTGTAAAATCAAAAGCAAGTTGAGAGGCCGAGGTGGTTGGATCACCTGAGGTCAGAAGTTTGAGACCAGCCTGGCCAACGTGATGAAACCCCATCTCTACTAAAAATACAAAAAGATTTGCTGGGCCTGGTGGCACACACCTGTAATCCCAGCTACTCAGGAGGCTGAGGCAGGAGAATCACTTGAACCAGGGAGGTGGAGGTTGTAGTGAGCTGAGATCGTGCCATTGCACTCCAGCCTGGGTGACAAGAATGAAACTCCGTCTCAAAAAAAAAAAAAAAAAAAAAAGTTAGACACTTCCTAGATACAATGGGAGTACAGGCATTGGGTAAATATACTCATAAATATACTCATAAATATACTCATTCTGAATAAGAAAAAATTGGCCAAAACAAAGGGGCTACAGGCCCCATGCAAATCCAAAATCCAATAGGGCAGTTATTAAACCTTGAAGTTCCAAAATGATCTCCTTCGATTCCATGTCTCACATTCAAGTCATCCTGATCCAAGAAATGGACTCCCACAGCCTTCACAGCTCTGCCCCTTGGCTTTGCAGGGTACAGCCCCCCTCCTGGCTGGTTTCACAGGCTGGTGTTGAGTGTCTGTGGCTTTTCCAGGTGCATGGTGCAAGCTGTCAGTGGATTTACCATTCTGGGGTCTGGAGAATGGTGACCCTTTTTTCACAGCTCCACTAGGCAGTATTCCCATGGGGACTCTGTATGGGGCTGCAACTCCACATTTTCCTTCTGCATTGCCCTAGCAGAGGTTCTCCTTGAGGGCTCCACTCCTTCAGCAAACTTACGCCTGGTTATCCAGGTGTTTCCATACATTCTCTGAAATCTAGGCAGAGGTTCCCAAACCTCAATTCTTGACTTCTGTGCACTTCTGTGCACCCACAGGCTCAACCACATGGAAGCCACCAAGACTTGGGGCTTGCACCCTCTAAAACAATGGCTTGAGCTATACCTTGGCCCCTTTTAGCCACTGCTGGAGCTGAAGCAGCTGGAATGCAGGGCATCATGTCCTGAGGCTGCATACAGCAGGGCCCAGCCCATTTTTCCCTGCCAGGCCTCTGGGCCTGTGATGAGAGAGGCTACTGTGAAGGTCTGTGATATGCCCTGGAGACGTTTTCCCCATTGTCTCAGTGATTAACATTCAGCTCCTCTTTACTTAAGTAAATTTCTACAGCTGACTTGAATTTCTCTAAAGAAAATGGGTTTTTCTTTTCTATTGCATCATAAGGCTACAAGTTTTTCAAACTTTTGTACTCTGCTTCCTCTTGGATGCTTTGCTGTTTAGAAATTTCTTCCACCAGATACCCTAAATCATCTCTCTCAAGTTCAAAGTTCCATAGATCTCTAGGGCAGGGGCAAAATGCTCTCAATCTCTTTGCTAAAGCATAGCAAGAGTCACCTTTGCTCCAGGCCCCAAGAAGTTCCTTATCTCCATCTGAAACCACCTCAGCCTGGACTTCATTGTCCAATCACTATCAGCATTTTGGTTTGAACCATTCTTCAAGTCTCTAGGAAGTTCCAAACTTTTCCACATCTTCCTGTCTTCTGAGCTTTCCAAATGGTTCCAACCTCTGCCTGTTACCCAGTTCTTAAGTCACTTCCACATTTTTGAGTATGTTTACAGCAGTGGCCCCACTACTTCGGTACCAATTTACTGTATTAGTCTGTTCTCACACTGCTATGAAAAAATACCCCAGACTGGGTGATTTATAAAGGAAAGAGGTTTAATTGACTCACAGTTCTGCATTGCTGGGAAGGCCTTAGGAAACTTACACTCAAGGCAGAAGGTGAAGGAGAAGCAGGCACCTTCTTTACAGTGTAGAAGGATGGAGTGAGTGCAAGCAGAGGAAATGCCAGATGCTTATAAAATGATCAGATCTTGTGAGACACACTCATTATCACGAGAACAGCATGGGGGAAACCACCCTCATGATCCAGTTACCTCCACCTGGTCCCACCCTTGACACATGGGGATTATGGGGATTACAATTCAAGATGAGATTTTGAGTGGGGAGACAGCCAAACCATCTCACCAAGTCCTAAGGATGAGGATCATTCAATGAAAGCTGGGGACCATAAGGCAGGAGCTAAAGCCCCAGGGAAGATACAGCCTCTGCAAGTATGCCACCCAGATAGAGCAGGAAGGGAAGAAATGCCCTGGCTTCTCCCCTACCTTACCTCTGGGTGAACCCATTCAAAGTCACTTGCCTGGAAGCCCCAGGAGATGCAGTCTCCTCATTTGTTATGGGAAGCAGAACAGAGAAGGATACAGAATGGATCTAAGGCAATATAGGCCCAGGAATTACATTCAATGAAAACAGGACCCACTAACACTGGCATGTGGGAATCTGATTTGGGGTGGGCTGTTAAAAATAATAAATTCAGTTATGACAACAGAAGTGCAATTACTGAGTATGAGATAAGTGAGAGGCAAATATGCAGGCTCTTTACAGGTTACCTAGCTGAAATTCATGACAAGGCTCAGTGAGGTCAATACAATTGAATAGTTTTAAAGACAGGGAGAATGAGGCTTAGCAAAGTGGCTTGTCCAAGCTTGTAACCGACGAAGTCAGAACTGGCTTCGAGGCACATCTGTCTCTCTCTCAAGTCTGTGCTCCTAACCATGAGGTCTGCTGCTTTTTAGCAAAGAAAAGCAAGAGTACAAGTTCTGTGAGACGACAGAAACGAAAGCTGACCCTGATGTGCAGTTTTTTCACCTGGCTGACTGTGGCCCTGGAGTGCCACAGAAATGTGAGTCCCTTCCAGCCAAAGTGCCATGGAGAAGATGGGAGGAAAGGGGTAAGGAAAGGGAAGAGGGGAAAAGGGAAATATGAAGAACATTCTGCCCTCTGGGTCAGCTTCCCTCTCCTTGTAGAAGTAATTTTGCCTGCTCTCCAAAATGAATGAGTACCCATGTTGAGAACTCCTGCCATTCCTTTAAGACAAGGGCCAAGTGGCTCAGATGGCAGGAGCAAGCAAGAACTGCCCTGGGAGACCCCCAGGCAGCCGGCAAGCCTGCTACTAGGCTGCAGGGGTGGAAGATTTGGGGGCTTCTGAGGTGCCCCATATGTGGTTCAACCTGTATATTTGGCTTCTCCATGCCTCCGTCCCTTTGTAATCAGTTTCCCTATGTAAAATTCTCCCTGTGATAGGCAACTTGGGGAGTTTTTAAGGAACGAGATCAGCTGATCCACCAAAGTATACCCAGGGTAAAGGGAAATGCTCTCATCTCGTGAGCAATTCAGGGACAGGTCCAGTGGGATCTGCTCCCATAACCCTTCCCCCACCTTCACCTTTCCAACTGCATTTAATACTCTCTTCCTGGTTCACTTTCCTCAGCTATATTGACCTCTTTGCTGTTCCTTGTGTTGCCGAATGCCAGGGATTCAGCTTAGGTCTGGTCGCCAATCTCTCATATGATGAGTATTGCCAGGGAAGGAAGGCTTCATTTCAGGCGACATCAGCTGGAGAGATGGGAGACAAGCCTCCAACTCACCTTTCCCAGCTCTGACTAAAGTTAGGAGCTTATATAGTGGGGAAGAAACACAGAAGCTGCAAGGAAGAGTTGCTCAGCAGGTGGCAGGTGGTCAGATGAAAGGTCTGGTATCTGATGTCTCATTGTAATCATGTGCAGGAAAATAGGAATTAAGGAGGGGGTGAGAAAGAGGAGCTGGTCAACAGGCAGCAGGTGCGTCTTATTGCCCAGGTGTGGGGATCTGAAAAGCCTCAGTTCCTGAATAGTATCTGGGAGGCCTGATGGTAGGTTTCCTGAGAAAGGAACTTAGATATGACAGGTGTAAATTTATCAAGCTTCACTTCTATGGAAGAATTGAGCTGGTTTTACTTGGACACATTAAACATTGTCCAGCCTCAGGCCCTTTGCACTTGCCACTCTGTCTGCCTGGAACACTCTTCACTCATATATCTGCATCATTCTCTTCCTTATCTCTTTTAGGTGCTCTGCTCAAAAGTCACCCATAGCAATGCGATCTTTCCTAATTATTCTATTTGAAATAAGAAACATCCTTCTCCATGATGATGTACCCCTTGCCTGCTTTTTCTCCATAGCATTTATCACCTATACCAAAGGTCCTCACACTCTATCAGGTATCAGAATCACCTCGGGTGGGAGGAGGCATGTTAAAACCCAGATTCCTGGCCCTAATCCCAGTTTCTGATTGAGTAGGTCTGGGAAGGAGCCTGAGAATTTGCATTTTCCAGAAGTTCCCAGGCGATGCTGGTCCCAGGATCACATTTGTATATATGTGTGTGTATGTGTCTATGTAAGTAATTTGTATATATATAGAGGACATCTATCTATCTATATACAAATTACTTTTATAAGCAAATAATACCTTATATCTATATAGAGGACATCTATATACTATATATACTGTATTTACACTGTAATACTTTTAAAAACTCTAGTATTGCTATAATTTTATTCTCTTTCTGCTATATACTTCATTTATTTGTAATCCTTGCTGCCCATTCTTTAATGATTCATATGGGCTTTCCATAAGACTGGCTTTCATTTTTCATATGCATTATTCTCTTTCTCTTTGTCTCTCCCAGTGTTTACATCCCTTATCTCTTTTCTTCTTGTTTTGTTATGTAGGTTTCATTACTCTTTACCTTCTTGAGTTAAATAGCTCATTTTCCACCTTTCCTGGTTTCTGTTCCATGTATTTAAAGCTCTCCATAGTCCTGGAAGCACTGCTCTGGCTCCATTCCACTAACTTTGAAATGCAATGCTTTTTTTGCCACAAAGCTCTACATATTTTAATCACTTTTCTAACTGATTTTCTCTTGAAATCAAATATTGTTCAGTGGTATCTTTATTGGTGCCTAGACATATGGAATTTTACGAAAACTACCATTTTATAGGTTTCTAATTTTATTGCACTGTGGTCAGAGAATTTAGTCTGAATGGCATGAATGCCTTGAAATGTTTTTAATCTTTTTGCAACCAAGCACATGTCCAGTTTTTGTGAAGTCCCTATGAGCTTGAAAAGAATATGAATCTCGTTTGTTGGGGATGAAGAGATGTATACATATGATTTATTGTATATAATAGCACTTATATTAATATATATTAGCCTCACTAATCATGCTGTTCCAATCTTTCACACGTGTGGTTGTTTGTTGTCTGCTTGGACCACCATTTCCTTCCCTCCGTTTATTCTCATTTTTCCTTCTGGGATGCTATTAGAAAATGTTGGCACTTCTATGTCTGTCTTCCATATCTCTTAACTCTTCTGTCATTCTTTTCCTTTCTTCCTTCTTTCTTGATGCCTACTGGGATAATTCTTCAACCTGAACATCCAGCTTGCAAATTAAGACTTGGTATCCGTTCAGCCTTCATTCACACACAGATACTTTGCTGTTCCCTGGCCCACAGTAAAGATGGAATAGGAATCAGGACAGGGAATGTGAGGGAGAGAAAATGACAAAAATACAGTTCTTTCCCAGAGGAGGCTGACCTGGGCTTCAGTTGTCCCCTTGGGCTCTCTCTAGCATAAGGTCATCATCGTCTCACTCCCCTTCCCAACCTCACCTCCCCTCAACCAACTGGTTCCCAACCAAGACTCTCACAGAGAGTTTCTTAAGATGTTTGTGTTATTTGACTGAGCACACTTGAGAGCCACTAACCTCCCCGTCTTTTCTGTAGAATCTGCAACTCAGGGTTCCATGTGGGAGTCAGCAGTCTGTGAATAGTCATTTCATATGCATTCTGACTTATCTGTGAGTCCCCGTTCCCTGTTTTTATAGCCACTGCTTGCCTTAATTTTACTCTTTACAAAATAATACAAGAAAGTACCAAGAAGTTTGGGATCATTTTATTAGCAACAAATGTCTGTCAGTATTAATTTATCCCATGTGTGAAATATGAGTGAGATAAATGCCAAACTATTAAATTCAACTTAACAGGAACAGCAAAGAATGAACTGAAATTCTTGGCTGGTAGAGTAGCCACATTTTTCTAGCAGACTTGACCTGCTGAAGTTCAGAGATCTGGAGTGAAAAACTTAACAGAGGTCGAGACAAGTACTGAATCTGGGAGGACACATTTCTCAGGATAAATTCGCCAGGATTTTAGCGAGTGGTTTCTCCATTTAGTTGCCAGACTTAGCAAATAAAAATATAGGATACCTAATTAAACTTGAAAAATAGCTTTAACTGCTGCATTTTGGTAATTTATTTTAAAAGTAGTGGAGTACAGGACATTTAGGGAGTCCCAACAAAGTGAATACACGACACAGGACAAAATTATTAAATACCGGACATATATGTATGGGTCACCTGGCAACTCAATTTCTCCATCCACTTGCCATTAGTAGACTTGCATGGGCCCTGTAGTTGCTCAAGACCATTATGAGAAAGGCCTTCCTTCCAAAGTATGATCCCCGACCATCTTGAGAGACAATAGTTAACATCAGGATCATTTGGGAAATTTCAGGACAAATATTTGCATAACAACAGGCTTGATTTAGAAGAGAGGTTCTTAACCCTGGATGTACATTAGGATCACCTGGGGACTGGGTTGCCAAATTAAATAGAGTGCTCAGTTAAACTAACATTTCAGATAAACACAAGTAACTTCTTAATGTGTGTCCCAAATATTGTATATAATATGCACAGTATTTATATGTACACTAAAAAAAAATTTTATCTGAAAATCACATTTAGCTGGGCATTCTGTATTTTCATTTGCTATGTTTGACAACCCTAGATGGGTGGGGGTGGGTTAAAACATGCCCCTGCCTGGGCCACACCCCTGATAAATTCAATCACAGACTAAGGGTGGGCCAGTTACGAATCTCTCCAGGTGATTCTGCTGGACAACCAGGGTTGACAGCACCTCCTCTGGAGTTTAGAGCTGAGCATCTGTGTTCACATGGCCCACCTGGGATTTGTTCAAGTGCAGATGCAGTGATCTGGGGTGGGGTGTGAGGTTCTGCATTTCTAACAAGTTCCCAGGTGATGCTGTCGCATAAGTCAGAGCACTTAGTTGTTTAACAAGCATTTCTGAGCTCTGAGGGTCAGAGTCAGGTGGGATGAGTGTAGAGGCCCACAGTCATTGAAGGGGTATAAGCTCCCCTCACAGTTCATGGCTGTTCGTCCGTGACAGGCGTTTGGTGCATTTTCCAGGTCTTTTCCTCACTAGCACTGCAGTGGGACCATGTGACATGAGCATTTCCTTGGCCCAGCTTGTCTCATAAGTTCCTAATGGTTTCCTCTTTGAGTAAACGATATACCTGGCTGCAAGGGGGAAACCCTATTGTGTATTTGGGTGTGTGTGTATTGTAGTGGAGGGAGGGTGATCAGAGAGCAATCCCTTCCCTTGAGGAGTTGTGCTCAGACACTGCCTGACCTAGCAGCCTCTCCTGGCCTGATGGAAGCAGGAGTTTGTTCTCTAGAAATAATCTGACCCAGAAAGCATTTTAGACCCCTTAGAGTAGCCATGATAGCCCTGCAGAAAATCATGAGATTTTTGCATTGGTGCATATGTGTGGAATGAAAGGTGTGGGATGAATGTGGATATGCACATGGCAACGGAGCCATGGAAGGAAGTCAGGCAGGGTCCACGGCACCGGGTGGGCCCACTTCAGCTTTCTTATGTTACTGAGTGAAGTTCCAGAGGTGCTTGTTCCTCCTGTGTCCCAGCTCCTACTCCCGACTGCTTCATGTCTGTTGTACACACACAAACACATGAGTGCACGCACACACATACAAACACACTTTTTCTTTCTTCGACTCTTAGAGAAGATCCAAAAGTTTAGGCCACTGTTAAGATCACTAGGAAAATGCTGGCTTGTTCCTCTGGGGTTGTCTAACCAAGGTTATGATCTTTAAAGGAATACACATGAGCCAGTCACTAGCTAATGCTGTCAAGTGTGGAGACTGAAAAGTCATTCTGAAAGCTACCAGGTACTGCCATGTGCCAGAACCGCCCTCAGAATACTCCATAGAAATAGGACAGGGCAGGTCCTTATTCCCGTCCCTCCAAGGAGGCGGGACAGATTAGTTGGAAAAGCAATGTTGCCTGCAGAATGAGAAGATCTGATCCCATTTAAGTTTTGGGATCTAATAGTGATGTGACTTTAGACAAGACACTTGAGTGGTCTGATTCTCCATTTCCTTCTAATAACTGGGCTAGTCATACTTGAAAGAGCTGCTGGGGGTTAATGAGAGAAGCTGCATGACAGCACCGAGCACAAGCCCTGGCACAAGGGAAGTGTAGATCCATGTCAGCCAGTCCTGCCTACCGGGAGAGATGCCGATTCTTTCCACTATCACTTCATGACCTTTGCCTCTCCATTTCTTATTCCCAGACATTTGCTCTGTGGCAAGAAGGCCGTAGAGAGCAGCAAAACTGCAGTTCAAAGAGAACTGCAAAGCCATGCATCAGCAGCCCAGCTCATGTTTATAAGGAATGGCATTTATAGCTGAGCATTTTCCAGGGTAGCATATTTCAATAACACAATACAAATCACACCAAAATACCAGCACACACACACACACACCCCTTTAAAAAGTATTTACTCTCAATTTTATAAGAAGTTGACGGAACTGTTGAAAGAATGTTGAAATGAAAAGCCACTTCTGAAACACCCCTTCATGCATTGAAACATTTTGGTGTGTTATTAGTATTATTCTTTTTAATCTGGAGGCTCTTGGCCACCCCCGCCTGCGTGACGGAATGAGGAAATGCTCCCATTTGAAGAGCAGGAATATCACTGGTTATCCGCTCCATGAACATTTGTTGATTCCAAATGAATCATCACCTGTGAAAATCAAGAAATGCCATTTACTGCTTAGACCCAACAGGATTGCACTCAGTGAACTAATTATTGGACAAAATGTGCCAATTGTTTCAGAGGACAGAGGTGCCCTGATTTCTTTTTTTTTTTTTTTTTTTGGTTTGTGATTTAAAAAAAAATCAGTTCAACTCCTCCTTTTTTTAACTTTTATTTTAGGTTCAGGAGTACATGTGAAGTCAACTCCTCACTTTTAAATGCTGCAAAGTGAGCAAACATTGACTAGTGTGGCCAGACATAGACAATGGTGTATTTGTGAGTAACGACCAAATTCATACAATCTACTGTAAATATATTTTCGTCTGTGTATATACATATATGTGTATATATGAGAATATTAATATAAATTACACATGTATGTATGTTAAATGCACTGCAAAAAATACATTCTCTCTCCATATTTGTATGTATGTACATATGACCACTCTCTGACCCCTAAAAATGAGGCAGTTAAAGAATATTTGATGACAAAGAGAAATATTAAAATATTAAGTTGAAAAAGTTTTGGAAACAATATCATATAGTATAATCCCATTTTGGAAAATTTATATGTATACACATATATATAAAACATGTGTAGAAAAAATGAGGATATATAACAGTATGTGACCAGTGGTTATGTCCATGCGGTGGAATTATTGGTGATTTGTTTTCTTTCTGCTTTTTTTTTTGCGTTTCTTCAATAAACATGTATTATTTTTATAGTCAGAAAAAGATCCCATGACAAATGTGAATTATTGGTGATTTGTTTTCTTTCTGCTTTTTTTTTTTTGCATTTCTTCAATAAACATGTATTATTTTTATAGTCAGAAAAAGATCCCATGACAAATGTTATTTTTAGGAAATAAAATCGAAAAAACCTGGTCTTTTCTATGGCCTCTGCTCAGTAAGCTGCCCTAGCCTTGCAGCTTTTGCAGTGAGAACTCACAGTTTCCTTGACTGGTCTGGCAAAGGCTAAAGAGAGAAACCTCCAGCAAGTTGGCAGAGCTCAAAGAGTTACCTGCACAGCACTGCCTTGTCGGAGGAAGAAGTAGGGGCCTCATAACCTTTAGGCTTTGTATTTGAGGGTAGAGGCGTCCCTGAAGCCAGGAGGTGAAGCTCCAAAGAGCCCCACTCTTGGCAGATGCCCTGTTGTTACCATGTTAAAAGTCTTAATAATTTTTTTTTTTTTTTTGAGACGGAGTTTTGCTCTTGTTGCCTAGGCTGGGGTACAATGCTGCAATCTCAGCCCACTGCAACCTGCAACTCCTGGGTTCAAGTGATTCTCCTGCCTCAGCCTCCTGAGTAGCTGGGATTACAGGCGTGTGCCACCATACGTGGCTAGTTTTCTTGTAGTTTTAGTAGAGACAGGGTTTCACCATGTTGTCCAGGCTGGTCTAGAACTCCTGACTTCAGGTGATCCACCTGCCTTGGCCAAAGTGCTGGGATTACAGGTGTAAGCCACCACGCCTGGCCAAAAGTTTTAATAATTTTTGAACAAGGAGACTTGCATTTTCATTTTTCACTGGGATCTGCAAATTATGTAGCTGGTATTGTCTGACACTCTGACCTCTCAAAGCAGAGTCAAAGAAAAACATGAAGAATAAAACAGCACTGCTTTGAATGTCTGGTCTTCAGGAACACCACCCAAGTTGAGTTAACCTGGAAAATTTTCTTTCCTCCATAGAATTTCACACCATTTCTCTTTATTAAAAACACAACGCAAACAATCTCAACAGTGCTGGAGGCTGGCACTGACATTCACTCAGCTCAGTGATGTCGTTTCTCTAGAGTGTGGCTCTGCAGGGGGACTTCTTGGCCAAGTACCCTTCTCATGGGGCCAGCTGTGGAATGCGTGCATCCCTTCTTTCAAAGATGCAGACATTTCCGAGCTGCTCTGGTGTTGGCAGTCCCTGGGAAAGGCTGTCCTATTCGCCAAGCTCTTGGCCCGAGAACATGTACCCTAAGATAATGTTTTTTGTTTTTCTAACTCAACTCCAAAAAGTACAATCAATAAAATGTACCTGCCTTGTTGGGTTGGTGCACTTCTAAAAAGGAAGAAGAAGAAGAAGAAAGAAGAAGAAGAAGAAGAAGAAGAAGAAGAAGAAGAAGAAGAAGAAGAAGAAGAAGAAGAAGAAGAAGAAGAAGAAGAAGAAGAAGAAGAAGAACAAGAAGAAGAAGAAGAAGAAGAGGAGGAGGAGGAAGAGGAGGAAGAGGAGGAAGAGGAGGAAGAAGAGGAGGAGGAGGAAGAGGAAGAGGAGTCTGCATTTCATTCTGAATGCCTTTTAAGGAAACCAAAAATTTGAAACAGGAGACAAACAGGATCATTACTGACTTTTCAAGCGTTTGAAAGAAAGAGGCAGAAAATCATTAGTAAAGTCTCCTCCATGTCTGCTGATATTTTTGGTTTGCAAAATGTTGAAAACTGTATTTTCAATGGAAAACATAAATATTTTAATAAATCGATCGT
This sequence comes from Homo sapiens, assembly GCF_000001405.40. Classification (NCBI taxonomy): domain Eukaryota; kingdom Metazoa; phylum Chordata; class Mammalia; order Primates; family Hominidae; genus Homo; species Homo sapiens. The sequence continues at coordinate 38,134,733 of NC_000005.10, forward strand.
ATATAAATATTTCATTTATGGAATACAATGAAAGCCTGCAGTGTGCTACACATTGCACGCGTTGCCTCCTGATGCTGGGGTGCGACTCTGTTTTAGCCATTCCCGAGGCCCTTGGGGTCCGCGTGGGCCTCCCGTGGCTGCCCTCTGCCTGCATTCCTTGCTGAGCTGCCGGCTTGTCATCTCCGCGTGGGTTAACCGAGCTCCGGCACGCTGGCCTCATCGCAGCCTGCCCTGATTAATCTTGGTCTCACTCGACCCTGTCCCAGAAATGGCTTCTCTTATTACAAAGTATCATCCTACCTCAGCTGTTGAAACCCGGTCATTTCGCACCTGCTTCGATGAATTCTGAGCGACTTGTGTTTTTGATGAGCTGCTCACTTCATAAATTCACCCCTCTCCAGTTATCAGCACTTGGTCACCGCCTGAGTATGTCCTCGCTCAGCCTTCTCAGCAGCACCAGGAAGAGGCCTCTTTGAAAGCCTCTGCTTGCATTAAGATTCCCAACTAATGACTTTAAGTCTGTCTGAAAACTTGAAATACCTAACTGACAGAGGATAAAACTTAGATCCACAACTTGACTCGACAGATACCAGTCTTTCCGTCATTGTCCCACATACCAGCAAGCGATCTGGAGCAGATAAAACGTAGAATTGAACATTTTCCTCAAATTAAAGTAAAAATATGGCTTACCTTCTCACCCTTGCATAGGCATTTGTTTGTTTGTTTTTTTCTTTCATGAAATCACTGCCTACGTTTTCTTTTCCCTCTACGGATTTTTCAACACCACTAATTGCTGGAAATACCAAAATAACAGGAGCTCCAGGGCACTTCTGGCATTTTAGGGCCAGCTCAGACCAGGAAATACTTCGAGTTTGGTTAGGGAACCTGATCGCTCAAGGTTTCCAGCCCAGATAGTTTTGGTATCCGAACCCTCACCAGCATTGCTGAGACAATGCAGCCTTCCTCCCTTTGTCTCTTGCTGAAAAATGATCCTCTCAGGTCTGATTCAAAGGGATCGGTATCAACTCTTCTCTCTAGAGGAGCTTTGGCAATCTATGTGGTTTGTGGTATCTGATTACTGGTGTGTGTTTATAGGTGGGCGTCTGAGTGTGTGTGTTCATTATGTACTGAGAGTGTTCAAGATCTTGCAAATAATAAACTCACTAGATTTACACCCACAACCCCAGTGGAGCGTTCAAAAGGCAGGCAGTCACCCAAGCCGGCTCTTCTGTGATTCACAACCCCAGCGATCAACAGTTTGAGAACTCCTTTCCTACCCCTCAGGTGTCTTTTCCAGCTCCTTCCAGAGAAAACTGGAAAGGCTCAGACTCACACCTTGGGTAGAAAATGCCAAGCCTGGGAAAAACTCAGTCCTGAGTGTCTGTCTTCCCAAGCAAGCCCCTGACAGGGACCAGCCCCAGAAGCACCTCCAGGCTTAATCTCCCCACCCTGGCTATACTCTTAGCCCTCACTCTGCGGCCTCGCCTCCCCGCCGATGGAAGGAGGTGCACACTGATTAGGTGTCATAGTCATCACTGGGATCTGCTTCCTTTGTTTCAATCCAGGCTTCCAACTCTTGACTCTGTCCATTTAGGATCCTTTGAGGACTTGCCTTTATGAGCTAAAGTGCGGTCCATCTGTGGGATTTTAGCTCAGAGTTGCCTCACTGTCTCCTCTTCCCTCTGGGGACTCAGAACCCACCCTCGGCTGCAGCTGCTGGGATGGGATTTTGATCACTTAGGTGGGATTCAGAGAAAGGAATTTGCTCCTTCTTCAACATGAGAAATAACCATCCTCCTATTGCTGCTGCCACCACTGTTGGCTCTGGGCTTTGGAGACTTTGCCCTCCTGGAAACAGCTGCCCAGCTGGCTTCTTCCCCCAACTGTGGCCCTTCCCAGAGTTCCCTCTCCAGGAGGAGCCACCTAATACCGTCCCTTGGGGTTCACCAAGTCAGAGGTGGTCAGCACCGCAGTACCTGCCTTTGCCTCCATGGCCCCAGAGGAGCTAAGCTGGGGGGACAGCACTCATGGTTCTTCCCAACCCTGCCGGGTAGAATCAGCCAGCATCTCGGTCTTCCCCTTGGCTTCTCCACCCAAGTCCCAGTGTCACATGGTGGATCTTTCATTTTCATTCACCCAAAGAGCCACAGTTCAAGTCCTCTTGTAGGGGCTCAGCTCAATATAATGAGCACAACAGGTTCACACCTTAAACTAGGCCTGGTGTGTATACCCTGACCCATTTCAAATAAGTTCAGGGTTCTTGCCTCTAGGAGAGTAGGAGAACTGCTGCCTATTCTCTACAAAATTGTTGTTTCTTCCTTGCTAGGCTGTTTCCCTAATTGGCCTCCCTTACTGCCGTAGCTGGGATATGCATGTAAGCAACCTCTGGGGCATATATCCCTGAGCTCTCCCACTCTTTTCTTCAGAAAAGGCTCAGACACATACTTCAGGCTTGACAGCAGAGATTCTCATGTGTCGCAGCACAGCACACTCACCTTGTCCCTCATTATACATGCATATTCCTTTATTCCATTCCTAGACGTTCCAATATGGTGGCTTTGACGTGGGCAGGGTGTCTCGATAATTAGCAAGCCACTCCCTCACCCAGGTGATTCTGATGCAGGTGGCTCATAGACATCATTTTGAGAAATGAGGCTTTACAGTCTTTGGATTACATCCTGGTTAAAAATAAATAATTACCAGGTAGTATTATTATCAAAATGATAAGTAGTTATGACATCCTGAGTTCCTGTGTTAATTGCCACTTTGGAGAAGTCTGAAATTCTTTTGGCTGAACTGCTATTATCTCTGCACTTGGATCTATGAATCCTGGGACTCTAGAGAGGAGACCAAACAGGTAGTAAGTGGTTAAAACCTGGCTACATGGATGAAATGAAATATTATCACATCATGCAAAAATGACAGACTATTTTTTCAAGGTATGTTTGGGGTTATCTGCCTGGAGTGTACAAAACAGGCATTTAAAATCTCCCGAAGAGAGGACATCAAAGAGATGAATGGTCATCTTCCAGATCTACTGAAACTGTGATGAAGAAGCAACTGGTCAAGACCTGCCATTTGTATTAACATCTCATGGGCGATACAGACAGTGACAAGTGTTTTTGAGGAGGTGGAGAAATTGGAGCCTTCATATATCACTGATGGGAATGTAAAACAGTGTGGGTGGCATGGAAAACAGCCTGGCAGGTCCTTAAAATGATAATCGCAGATTTACCACATAACCCAGAAATTCTACTCCGAGATGTCTACCCAAGATAGATGAAAAGGTATGTCCACACAAAGCCTTGTATGTGAATATTCATAGCAGCATTATTCATACTAGCCCTAAAGTCAAAACAACCCAAATGACCGCCAAGTGATGGATGGACAAACAAGATGTGATATACTGTACCATGGAATATTATTTGGCAATAAAAAGGAATGAAGTACTGATCTATGCTACAAGATGGAGAAACCTTGAAAACATTACGCTAATTTTAAAAGCCAATCACAAAAGACCTTCTGTTCTATGGTTCTATTTCTATGAAATGTCCAGAATAAGCAAATCTATAGAGACAGAAAGTAGATTAGTAGTTGCTTAGGGCTGTGATTGGTGGGGATGGAGAGTGATTATTAATGGTACATTTCTTTGGGGGGTGATGAAAATGTTCTAATAATAGATGATGGTGATGGCTGTGTAACTCTGAACATACTAAAAAAACATTTAATTTTATATTATACTTTAAATGGGTGAATTTTATAATGTATAAAATTACTTTAAATGAAATAAAGTAAAGCTACTTTTTTAAAAAGACACCATAGGTAGAAAAGAAATAGTCATCTCAATTGTAAGCCCAAAGTAAAAAAATCACAAGGGCAGATCCTTTAAATTGCAAGTGTCGATTTGAGGTAGAGCCGCTCCTGGGGGCAGCTCTAAAACCTTGGTGCAAGGTTTTTATTTAATGATGGTTAAAGATCCTGCCAAGCAATGCCAAGTTCACAGCTGGTCTAGGAGAGTGAGTTATCTGGTGACAGGTTTCCTGTACTGAGAGGCTCAATGTCTCTGAGTGCTTGGACCTCAGCGTCCCTGAGGGTAAGCACCCTCTGTAGCTTAAGCATACACTTTAGGGCAAAGTTTCAACAGTTCCATGCCGAGCTTAGAGACTTTCGCCTCTGACATGTTAGCTAAATCTGGCACAGGCAACAAGCCATGATCCAAAGAGGATCTTTGTGAAAACTACATTTCTTGTATAAAAACCTTTTCATTTTGAAAAATTGCTCCTTGTCCACCTGCATTTGTAACTTTATTTGGGTCAGTTGGCTGGAAAATGGATGGAATTTTTCAACATGATCATTTTACAGCTTGAAAGATAAACTTTTTTTTTTGTTCTGCTTCAAATATTCCACTTGTTGCTAAGACTCTGCCAATGAAAGTTGAGCTTCACCTTTAGAATTATTTACACTGTCTTCTATAATTCACTCTGGGTATTGTCATAACCTTAGACATGGAACCTCTAATTCAGCAACTTCATACTCGAGTTGTAACAACCTATTTTTGTTCCATCTCATGATGTTTCCCTACTCCTTTTCGAAGAACCTGAAAGAAGAGTCTAACTTCTTAGCCTCAGCCTTATTGCCAGACTGTGACTTTTGCTGACAACATTTTATTTTAATTTGATTGATTAAAAATGAAATATTATTGCTGAATGGGATGTTAGGGAGCTCATGGTTTGATACCTTCATCCTACAGATCAGGGCAAGGCTTCTTTGGAAGGTTGTGACCAAGTCACAGAGTTATTTATTTCAGATCTTGGTTTGCTCGTCTTTAAAATGGGATAGATAACATTTTCCCCTTAGTATTGCTTCATTCATAAAATTGTTATAAGGATAAAATAAGATAATCTTTGTGGGTGTGTTTTGAAAAAACTGTCTAGGGAAATAGTATTTTTAACAAACACATGCAAAGTCAATTTTATTCTGAGAAGGTTATTATCTCCTCTCAGAAAAACTGAAATCCTAAGTGAAGTCACATCTTTAGAGTGGACACATATTGACCTAGTCTGAAAAATACTGTCTGATGAGAATAGAAGAGTTAAATCATTTTTTTCATGTCCAGGAGGGAAGCTATATTTAATACACTGTGTCCACATATCTTTTAAATATTCATCACTTTGTAATTTTTAAATTAGATTAGTGTGTAAGGATTGGAGTATTGAGGGTAAAAGTTTGATTTTACCTTCAAAGTAAAGGTAAAATGATTTCCTAAATAGGAAGAAGAAGGCTTCAAGTGAAATTATGTTGCTACATCACCAATATGAGAGTTTCTTAAATCAGCCACAGGAAAGGTGTTGAGAGAAGGAGCAAGCTGATTTCAAAGAATGATACTGGAAAACTGGAAATAGATGTAGATTGCTGACGAACAGGGGAAGGTGGGAAGATTTAGATGTGCTTGGTTTTGACTTGAATTGAGACAATGTTTCTAGGATTCTGTGACATTATGGCAGCAATGACAGATTTCCAAGGCAAGGCAATCATCTAAATTGTGTCAAAGGCACCCATAACTATGTGGGGTGATGTGTCTTAGGAGCGAAATCAGGCTGAAGAACTTTAGAAATACACAAAGGGACTTCCAGATAGAAAGCACATGCAATTAAATTGAATGCAGCTAAGACCGATACATCCTTAAAAAGAAAAAGCCAGATAGATACTCCTGTCATGCTCATTGATGCTAGTTTGCCTTAGAGGACCAAGCAGGACTCAGAATGAACTGCAACTTTGCTTCCAACTAGGAGAGATAAATGCATTTGCACTGATAGATTTTCTGCAAAGTTGAGTGAGGTTTAGGACTAGACTGTTCTCTTTATATTAAAGCTCACAACTAAAAATGTTTTCTCTTCAGTTTAAGTGAAGAAAAAACTTGGAGGTGCCTACACACCCCATCCTCTGAGAATGCCTCCTCTCCTCATCCTTAGGGTGGGCTTCTGTGCCATCTTTATGGTGTAACTTCTCCCTCACAGTCAAAGCTGGTTGGACCTCTGGTGGACATCCAGCCCAGGCTGAACCAATCAAATCTTTTTGACTCAGAATGCAGAATCAGGAATCTAAGATATTGGCCAGATCTTGCTGAAGTTTTGAGCCAGACTGTAATGCACAATTGGGCCTTTGGTAGTCATATGCTTGGAGGAGCAGAGAGGCGTAATCAGGAAAGAAAAAATAGGATACAGATGTGCAGGCGAAAGCAGAAGCAAGAAGCTGTGAGCTCCTAGAGAGATGGGGAAACTGACGGGTTCTGACAGCTTTACAGTTTCTAGTCTAATTCTTTGTGAGGCGCAGTTAAACTTCCTGGCCTGAGATTCACACATTTGCTTAAGCTAGTTGTGGTGGGTATTTATTATCTTCAGCTTAACAAGCCTCAATGAAAATCTCACAGACATTGTAAAAGGGAAAATAATGGATTGTTCTTTTTTTGTTAAAATATCCTTCTTGGTAGGATAATTTTTCTTAAGTATTTTATTTTAGGAAACCTTAACTATGACACGTTTTTTTAAATGCCATTTGGATATCACTCACATTATTACACACAAATGCCACTCTAGCCAGGAAGGATACAAATTCTAGCATTGTAGCTGCTCACTAAATAGCTGTTAAATGAATGTTTCTTAGATAGATATTTACTAACTATTCCAGTACTGAGCTAAGTCACATATTAATCCTATGTTCCCAGAATTAATGATTAGTGTCCTTGGAAGATTGTTGTGCCTTTCATCAAAACACAAATGAAACATTTTTAATGGATTTGCTAGAACACGTGGCCTACATATGCCATATAGTTATATTTGTATTATTTCCATATAAGAGAGATTTATTGCCTCATAATAGCAATTAGGAGAGGAAAAGTGGTGTTGGGTCTTTGAAGACAGTTTATAGAAAGAAGCAGTGGTTGAATTTTCTACATGTGGTAAATTTAGTGGAAAATTTATTCATTTCCATTGCTGAGATGCCGTGTAGATGGCTAAATGTAAGGTTAAAATTCTTTTCCTCCATTTTAGAATTAGACCTGGAATCAAATCTTGCTCAGTGTCTGGGGAGATGAATTTAATACCTCTCTAAATTGCATGACATCATTTTCAGAAGTACCTTGAAACTGTTTGTGAACATGCTGATAAGAATGACCTCAACTGCCCAGGAGGAGGGAAGAAGTTGATCTCTATTGGAGACCTTCACATTAAGGAGTGATTCTACCTGAGGTTGATTTATAGGGGCCCTAAAGGACACTGGTGGGTTTCATTGCCCTCAGCTGACCATCCAGGCTGAGTAGTCCAGCTGGTTGATGGGATAAATGGTGGTCTTGGTTGTTCCCACATTAGCTACGCATAGCCTTTTGGCCTAGAAACTTTCTGAAAGTTAATTTGGCAAGAGATATTTCCTGAAATAGCCCATTGCAGTGGCCCATTTTGAGCCCCAAATTGATGTTGAAATAACTTATATGATTTTATAAGGATAGGTACTTTATATTATCTAAAGCCATAGGACATCTGAAGGTTTTCCTTATGCCTGGATTTATGTAAGAAATTGTTGGCTGAGTGCAGTGGCTCATGCCTGTAATCCCAGTACTTTGGGAGGCCGAGGCAGGCAGATGCCTGAGCTCGGGAATTCGAAACCAGCCTGGGCAACATGGCGAAACTCTGTCTCTATTAAAAATACAAAAAATTAGCCAGTCGTGGTGGTGGGCGCCTGTAGTCCCAGCTACTTGGGATGCTGAAGCAGGAGAATCACTTGAACTCAGGAGGCAGAGGTTGCAGTGAGCCGAGATCGCACCACTACACTCCAGCCTGGGTGACAGAGCAAGACTCCAAATCAAAAAAAAAAAGAAAAAAAGAAAAAGAAAAAAGAAATTGTTGTGTGATTTTCATGAGCAATGTTATTCCTGTTAAATAAAATTCAATGTAAGTAACATTCAAAATAAGAAGAGTGTAATGGGTTACTTTAAAGACTTGAAGGAAAATCACAGACAAAGGTAGTTCATTTTGCTTTTTTTCTAAGATGCAGAGTCGAATTTTCATTTGGTCCAGCAAATTGCCAGAGAAATAAGTCTGTATTTTGTCACTAGTCATGGCCGCAGAGATGTTTATGAAAAGCACGGACAATCTTCCTGAGCTGTATCAGGAAATGTGTTCAGCTACAAGTAACAAAAGCCCCAAACAGTGGATTACGCGAATTAGGGTTTTTATTTTTCTCACCTTTCCAAAAGTCCAGAGATCAATGGCTAATGGTTTTGCCTCAGTGGCTTACAGATACCAAGGCCAAGGTACCTGGGAAAATCTGGGAAGAGCAAAGAGGGAAATGATGCAGGCCTGCTAGGTCTGCCCTTCTGTAAGGCCCACCCACAAAACTTCTGCTCACATTTTGTGGGTCCGAACTCTGTCTGCAGAAGGTGCTGGCTTTTAGCGGGACACATTACACCTCCCAACAATGTTAAAGTCTGTGAGAAAGAGGGGCAGGTGACCAGCTGGTCTGCCCCAATATCATGGCAAACTAAAGACAAGGACAGTGTCCTCAACACCTCTGGAAATGAACATCTTGCTACGGATGGATCCATCTGAATATATCTCAAACCTGCTTAAATCTATTTATATTTTTAGCCAGTCTACATTTTTGAGGGAACAGTCAACAATGTTAGAAACAAACAAACAAACTCAAAAGTGTTTATTTTCAAGTTAGCCTTTCCCATAGAAGATAAAGAAGAGCTCAGTGGGCAGACAGTTGCTAAACATCACTGTTTGGGTGTTCCCCACTCTCTCCTAAAGAGCAACGTGGGAATTGCTAATACTTGGAGACTCCCTCCTTTCCCTACTCATCATTCCTCCATACGCATACATGTATTCAGGCCAGTCACGTAGACCAAGCTTCCATCAAGCCCCACTGTGCACCAGTGTACTGTGTGTGAGTGTGTATATATCTACATTATATATGTTATTTTCTCTATATTATGTTTTTTGCATCTTAAAAACCCTTTCTGCCTGGGGAGAGACTGCCTCTCTCTGGGCTAGCCAATTCTTAGAGACAGCAAAGGGCTCCGAGGGGAATATGTCCTTGATATGCAAGCTAAGCAATCTAGAGTCATCCTCCTCTATTTGGCCCAGCCACCCCAGGAGGCAATATAGCCTTGCTAAAGTTAAGCTCAGATATGGAATTATCTGTGTTGCAGTGGAAATGGTTAAGTTGCAACATAAATCGTTGGCTCATCTGAACTCTTGGGTGAGTTGGCTGTACTTTGGGAATGAGATGAAGTGTTTTTTTTTTTTTTAAACCAAGCCTTCACTGCTTCCACATGGAAGGCACCATATGGGTAGAAGGTGCCCAGTGCAAAGGATGAGCATTCTGGCTGATGAGTAGTTCTTCCAGAACAATATGGGGCTCCTGCCTTGTCCTGGGTGAGGCATATGACTTGTGCTACTTCTCCAGCAGCCGTGAAGAACTTCCATTCCAATATTCATATTCACATTGCAAATCTATTTGAGTTCTGCTGTGAGTCTGGGCACCATAAAAACAGGGAAGAGCAATCTGTGGTAGCAGCACCACTAGGGACAGCCTCCAGCTGTTTGTGGCATATAGGAACATTCGAGAGGGAGGACACACTCAATAAATCTTAGTAATGAGTTGAAAGTTGCCCACCTCCTTCCAAAAGTCTTTGAGTTGCATCTGCTCTACATTTCTACCTCCTTCCTCTTTCTCTATTTCCTTTCTGCCTAGAGCCTTCCATTATCCTGAGCTTTGCTATAAAATCATCAAAGGTTCATAGTTACCTAAACCTACTCTAGGCTGGGCCGATGTTCCTCTGATGTACTGTACTGTGTTCTCTGAATTGTAAAATATGTTCATGATTAACCCAAAACTAGACTGAAAGTACCTACGATTGGGGGAAAAATAAAAGGTCATTTCTTAAAAGGGTAGCTGGAGGCTGGATGGGAGAATGCTGTGACAAGGGGCTATGGGGAGGAAAACTCTCCCAAGGTGCGAAGAGCCCCTGAGGCAGGGGTCGAGAGATGGGAGGGACAGCTGGGCACGCCCTCAGTCAGAAATGCCCAAGGCGGTGTCTGAGCACTGTGCTTCCTGACGTCCCTACATGTCCCCCTAGATCCTGAGGACTAGAAGCTGCTATATATGCTGCCGGCCTCAGAAAAGAGATGCCAGGTATTGCCATTGCTATTGAAGTGCTTATGATTATGTTAGAAGTTGACTTTTGGGCTGAGACCTCTGGAGTTGTGTGTGGTAGGCATGATGGAAAGAAGGGGATGCAATCCTATCATTTCTCATAAGATCAAGAAAAGCATCTGTGTAACAGAAAGATAACGTGAGCCACATGGCTCATCTTCATTCTTCTAGTAGCCCTATTAAGAACCTAAAAAGATATGGGTGAAATAAATTTTAATAATGTAGTTATTTAACCCTATATAGCCAAAATATTATTTTAACATGTAATCAATATAAAATGTTAAGGAGATACTTTGTAAATGTTTTGGGTACAAAATCTTCAAAATCTGCTGTGTATGTTGTACTCACAGCACACTGTAATTTAGACCAGCTACATTTCAAGTGTTCAGTAGCCACACGTGGCTGGTGGCTCCTGTATTGATCAGAAGCACTCTAGGAAGATCCATTGCTTCAACATATCACGGCTGCTTTCATCCATCTTCACCCTGCCTCTCTCTCTCTGACCATTCTGTAACCTCTCCCTTCCTTCCTTCTTTCTACTTGCCCCCATTTTCCCTAACTCCTTTCCCAGTACTCCCCACTCTTTCTTTGCTCCTTTTCTTTCTTATGTCAGTGACTTTTTCACTGGATAGTAGAGCCAGAAAGAAAGGAACAAAAAGAGCTTACTTTTGTGCTAGAATAGAAGAGATACAGGAGCAAACAGTATGTAGTTCTAGCCCAAACCATACCAAATCAAGTTCCAGGAAGAAATAACATTGCTAAGTAAATTTTGTTTGGAAAGGAGGTCATTAAATTAATTTAATTCATAATAAAATAAGAAACACTAACTATTCTCTATGATTTAATGACTCTATGCACACGTGTATCAAATTTTCCAACAGTAGCCATACCAGATTTCTTTCAGTGGCATAGAATCTATTTAATTGCTTGATCTTTGTAAACTAGCATCCAAGCTCATGCAGAATGTGTGGGAAGCATTCTCAGATGCTACACTTCTCTTTGCCACCGAAAGCCTCACCGACTCATATCCCTGTTTCTCAGAAACAGGAATAAGGAGATACAGTCACACACTGCATAATGATGCTTTGCCCAGTGATGGTCCACATGTAGGACGGTGGTCTCATATGAAAAAACCAGTAGGGAACAGTGGCATGTGCCTGTAATCCCAGCTACTCAGGAGACTAACATGGGAGGATCACTTGAGCTCAGAAGTTTGAGGCTACAATGAGCCACAACTGTGCCACTGCACTCCAGCCTGGGTGACAGAGCAAAACTCTGTCTCAAAAAGAAAAAAAAAAAGAAAAAGAAAGTCTAGCACAACTATTATGCATTGTACATGTACATAATACTTAAAAATGATAATAAACAACGTTACTGACTTATACATAATTTTCATCACTATTTTAGAGTACTCCTTTTACTTATTTAAAAAAAAAACTGTAAAACAGCCTCAGGAAGGTCCTTTAGGAGGTATTCCAGAAGAAGGCATTGTTATCGTAGGAGACAACAGCTTCACGCGTGTAACTGCCTCTGAAGACCTTCCAGTGGGACAAGATGTGGAAGTGGAAGACAGTGATATTGATGATCCTGACCCTGTGTAGGCCTAGGCTAATGTTTGCATTTGTGTCTTAGTTTTTAACAAAAAAGTTTAAAAAGTAAAAAAGAATTTAATAGAAAAAAGCTTATAGAGTAAAGATATAAAGAAAGAAAATATTTTTGTACAGCTGTACAATGTATTCGTGTTTTAAGCTAAACGTTATTACAAAAGAGTCAAAAAGTTAAAAAAATTAAAAAGTTTATAAAGTAAAAAAGTTTCAGTAAGCTAAGGGTAATTTATTATTGAAGAAAGAAAAAAATTTTAAATAAATTTAGTGTAGCCTAAGTGTCCAGTGTTTATAAAGTCTACGGTTGTGTACAGTAATGTCCTAGGCCTTCACATTCACTCACCACTCACTCACTCACTCACCCAGAACATCTTCCAGGCCTGCAAGCTCCAATCACGGTAAGTGCCCTATACAAGGGTACCCGTTTTAATGTTTTATACTGTATTTTTACTGTATCTTTTCTATGTTTAGATTCAAAAATGCTTACCATTGTGTTATAATTGCCTACAATATTGAGTACAGTAACATGCTGTACAGGTTTGTAGGGTAGGAGCAATAGGCTATACCTTATATCCTAGGTGTATAGTAGGCTATACCATCTAGGTTTGTGTAAGTACACTATGATGTTCACACAAGGACAAAGTCGCCAAATGATGCATTTCAGAAGGAATGTATCCCTACCATTAAGTGACGTATGACAATAGTTTCTTTTCCCCTCTTCCCTCCTCTTTGATGTTGAAGAATGGCTTGGCAGAGCCTGGAGGTCAGTCACATAATGAAATGGTTGACTCCTAACTCTAAGATGTGGATTTCTTTGGTACAGAGAGCTGTTCTTCAAAGTCTTAAATATACAAGAATCCCAGCTTGGGCTCCCAGAGATATTAGGTGTTTTTCTCACCTCCTTATTTCCCTCTTGTTCAATAGTATTCACTATTCCATTGTGAAGTCTCCCCCAGGTCATTTTTGGTTGATTCTGGGCATCTTTCTTGATCATCCCAGCTCTTCCCACTGGTTGGGATACACTAGGAGCTTTTCCAAAATTTGATCTTGGGCTCTGCTATACCGGCATGCTGCCTCAAACAGACAGTCCCTTGACTTACCATAAGTCAATTCCATTGTCCAGCTTCTTAAATAGAAATCATTTGGTCGTTTTAATATTTTGACTGCTCATTCCTGCATTTATATATAATTATGCTTAGACTGCCTTTTTCTACCATGTGCAAATTCAACATGAAAACACTTCTCTCTTTAGCTTTAGCCTCACTGGCTATGCTGAGCCAAAGCTTTTGTTTTCTGTCTAGCTTATCCACCACCCACTTCATTTGACCTTATAAACATGTTTAAATAGATTTCTCGGATAATGACCATTCTAGCTGGCAACTTCCCGTTTAGATATTATAGCAGGCACAGTGCAAATTAGAGGGCAGAGCAAAAGCACTAAGAATCATGAGACCCTGGATAAATATAGTAGACCCGCTCAGCCTCATAGGACAAGGCTGGGTTCTTACCCCAGTTTACCCACTGACTCAGGGGGTGACTCTGGGGAAGTCCGAGTAAAACAATCATTGGTTTCATCTACTGGTGACTCAGTCATGTTGATCTCGATAAATGGGGGCAAAAGAAGGAGTCCGCTGTCACGGAGACACCTCATTTCCATCCTGGATATTTCACTGTTCCCTGGGTTGGCCTCTGAGTTCACTGGGAGGAAAACAAAGATGCCCTTTGTGCACTATTGAAGGCAGGCTGGGGCAACTGGCCGTATCAGCAATGAGAGGAATCTTTTAAAGGTTAGCAGATGGGCAAATAGGAAGAGCTGTTCAACCTGATATTAAAAGGTTGCGTTTCAAAGGTGGCTTTGTTCAATTCGGTGTTATCTTGCTTTAATATTTTCCACTGCTCTGCGATTTTGCTAATAGACCGTTCCACCAGTGATGAGAGCATTCAGTGAGAGCCTGGTGTTCTGCTCAGTACCAAGTGCAGCACTTTCACATGCTTGATGCTCAATGAATGTTGAAGGAGAGAGTGAATGGATACAGAGCTGAATGAGTAGGTATGGTTACATTGTAAATGGCCTTGCTCACATTCTTTGACAGCAGCTTTCTTTGCTGACTTGATTTTCCAAATGTCAGAATTGTCAAATCTGAGCTTCTTCAAGTTTTCTTTCTTTTCCTGATTTCTAGAGTAAGGGTTGGTTTAGTAAGCATTTTCAGTGACTCTCTGATCATCTGATGGGTCTTTTAGATTCAGCTATTTGCAGGAGATCATATTTTTGTGACCTAGAAGGGAAATTTTTTTGGATAAATTTTCATGAGTCTTTATTAAATAAACTTAGCATATCCTCCTTCCTCATTCCATAGAAATAGATCTCCATACTTTCTGAGTTGGAATAAGGAAATGAAATAATATAATATATAAAGTTGTACAGTAATTTGATGAGCAACTAGATTAATTGTTCTTCAAAATGCAGAAAATAAACCAGTATACTAAAGGAAAAATGCAACTTGCAAAATAAATTACTGTATAAAAAAACTTAAACATTCATATTTTTCCCTTTGAGGGAGAAGAGGCAACTTCAGATGGGTGAATGACATCATTGTTGACTAGTTAATAAAATCATCTTATATAATATAGTTCTTATACACTTTTTTTGTTGTCCTGAATACCTTTACGTCCTGATAAAAATTGCTTGAGGCATGAGGAACAAGTGTTCGGTACTCTTTGAAGAGATGTGGTAACTAAGCATTGGGGGTTGGCCTTGTTGCCTAAGATCACACAGTTTGCAGCTGAACTGAAACTAGAAACCGGGGATGCTGGATCAGAGTCCAGTACTCTTTAGAATATTAGAAAGAAGGAAAGTCAGCTGGGTGCGGTGGCTCGCACCTGTAATCTCAGCTCTTTGGGAGGCTGAGGCAGGCAGATCACTTGAGGTCAGGAGTTTGAGACCAGTCTGGCCAACATGGTGAAACCCCGTCTCTACTAAAAATACAAAAATTAGCCAGGAGTGCTGGCACATGCCTGTAATCCCAGCTACTTGGGAGACTGAGGCAGGAGAATTGCTTGAACCTGGGAGGGGGAGGTTGCAGTGAGCCGAGATTGGGCCATAGCATTCCAGCCTGGGCGAAGAAGCGAGACTCCATCTCAAAAAAGAAAGAAAGAAAGAAAGTCAGATGCACAAAATATGAATGGAAGAAGAGCTAATAATAATGAAATGTTTTTGGTAGGGTTTACCTCAATGAAAAGCAAAATCACCTCCACTATTTTCTCCCAATTGAATGAAATGTTCTAAGTATCAATCTAGGAGTTCCATAAAAGCAAGGACTGTGCCTCCTTCAGATCTCCTGGATCTAACCCAATTTCTCATGTAGTAGGTCCTAAACACATGCTTGATGAATGAATAGATAACTTTCCACAATGTCTTCTGTTGTTAGCTCCTTCTCTTATCCCTTAATAATCCTTTCACATATTTCCTCCCTCTGGGTGGACCATAAGTCAACTTCAAGATTAGACATGTGGCATAACATCATTGTGAATACATATTTATTGAGCACAGTGAGGAAGCAAGAGTTGAAGCAAGGGTTATATTTGTCTTCTTGGATTCCACTCCTTCATAAATAAAGAAAACACAACTAGTAGAACTTTTGGGGTTGAAGAGACTTTAGAGATCATGTAGTATATTTCCTTCAGCTGAAGTGCAAAGGTATGAAATGGCTAAGGAAGGCCTCATAAGGAGATGGGAGCAGTGCTGATATGAGATTGGCATCTCCCAAATTCCAGTCCCGTGTTTGTTCTAATGCACCACCTCTTGCCTTTCTGGTGCATGTGTATATGTGTATATATCTATATCCATATCCATATCTATAGCTATCTTGAAATGAGTTGGTCATTCTTGTCTAAATTTGAGTAACATCAAGGTCCCCGAAATTCAACAGGAAGGGTAACATATATTGCAAATGGTCTCTTTTCAATGAAATATGTTTTTGATTAGTATCTTATCAACAGTTTTCATAAGCAGTATAAGAAATGAAAATGATCACGTAGCACTAGTTGGACATTCACTTTGACTGCTTGTCAATCATTAAGTGTTCATTCACATGCCATGATGGACTGTAGGGCACCCTGTTGGATGCTGGAGGAGTAGGGATAAGAAGAAGGATGAGGCAAAATCCCTGTCTTCAAGGATCATGCAGTCAGTTTGGAAAATTAATATTTACATAAAAATGAATAACATGAGTGTCCATTAAATGGTAGAAGTGCAGGTAATAGTGCTGCCATCTCACTGCATTAGGGAGGCCTTTCTGGAGGAGGATGTATTTATGCATATAAAGGATTGGCCAAGCTAAAACAAGTGAAGGAGACTACTTTGGTGGGTCAGGGATGCAGAGAAAATGACAAAATCAAATGCCAATAATTCTAATGGTTTTCAAGATTCCTTAAAGTATTTTGGCCATCGGTTTTCAAGTATAGACTATAATTTGCACTACGTATGTACTAATCCTATTGTATTTAGGTTTTAGCGTTGACTCTCACAAAACCATAATCTGAAAGGCTCCTGTGACAGGCATTGACAGCTATATAGAACAACCTTTGGCTAAAGGATGGGCATCTCTGACCAGTAGTGTAGTGGCCACTTCTCTGCTCTTCTCACGTCCCCTCAGATCCATTGTGCCATGTTGGTGTGCCTTTCCCCTAGCTTCTCTGTGATTTTGTTTCTAGGTTCACCCTTGTGACTCTCTCAGAGGACTGCCCCATTGTCTGCAAGCCTGAAAACCAGAAGTGCCTAAGGGGTTGCATCCTCCCTGCACAGCCATTAGCCAATGACTGGCAAAGGAGAGGGAAAGCTCGGATCCATTGCCTCGTTTGGGAAAAACTCGGAGACATGATTCGCACTCTGGAGTTTTCCTGCAGGATCAGGCCTACATCCCCTTTCTGAAATTTCTCATAAACCACGGTCCCCTGCTTGGCTTTTTCCCCTTCCCTGCCCATCATCCATCTTCCTCTACTTCTCTCCTTCATTTCAGAATCTGCATCTGAGAAAACTGCCCTAAGATAAGGAATATGCTTATCTTCCAATTTGAGTTCTGTAAACAACAGCCAAGAGAGCAGGGGTGACGATACAGCTGAGCCACAATCAAGTTTCTTATTATTTTCCAGGCACAGAAGATTCCAGTCCACATCCTTTCTTCCTTTCATTCCCAAGATATAGCAATAGAAGTCTGAAGACGGTAAACTCTAATAACTGTTCCCTGAATAGAAAATAACAAGCCTTCCCCTCCATACCTAACAGTCCCCAATACAATTGGTGTTCATAATATGCAGTTTGAAGACAATGATGACCAATGACCAAAGGCATAATCTGAATCACAGCCCTATATCAGTGCTCTGGACCCACATATCCTCTTGCTTACCCAGTGATGTTTACCAGGAGGCATCTTGCCAGAAAGGAAATCAGCTGTGGGGGCTATACAGTTCCAGGAGCCAGCCCATCAAGAAGGCATTTGTGAGTTTCAGGGCGTGGGGATACAGTGGAACAAAAGTGGTGTCTGTTTGCTTGCATCATGGAAGCAGCATTGGAAGAAATCACTCCTGACCAACCGATGCCAGTTGGTGGAGCCCAGATTTTTAAAACTAGCTGATTGCCCATCAAGAAGGATGTCCAAGGGATGAACCCACCAGCCTGACTCTCTCCCTCCCTCTGTTTGATTTTTTCAGGAGTGCTACTCTGTGATAGGCTGCACTCATGTGATGATTACTGTATTGTGCATTTGCTGATTCTTATGATGTACAGACTTTCCAAAGCTCAGCTGCTTTATAATGTCCAAATTAATACCAACAGCATTTCTGGGAAGAGGAAGGGAACTACTGTGACATATGGACCAAATCTGATGATTCACATAAAACTCATCATCATTATTTTACCTCCTTTGTCCCCTTCTAGTCCTTTAAGAAATAAGAATCAATCATTGTCACATTGTCTAGTTATTTATGCTGTACTTACCCAAAAAGGTAAGTTTACATCTCATGAATTTTGACTTATTGAGAAGAAATCCAATCTCAGTCCTGGATTGAGACTGTTCTTGTTGTTAATTAATGAAAACTGAATTATAGATTGTTTTGTACAAAAAGTGTTATTGAAAGAAATGTCACACTAAAAGGTATATCAAAAGCCTTGAAAAAATTCAGATTCATTGTGTTTAGCATTAGTCTCATCCATCATTCTGGGAGAAGGCATATTCAAATCAACAAGGTTATTTTGACATAATGTACTCTTAGTGATTCTTCACAATTCCTCCAGGATGACAGATAGGACTTGGTAATCATAGCTGAAGAGGGTTCATCAATTCATAGTTAAATTAATGAATGAACAAAATATAATGTCATTCATCCATCCATTTATTCATCATCCTACTTAGTAACTCACTTTTTAACAATGCTTCCTAAAATGCTATGCACACTGTGAATTGGTTTTACAAGATTCTTTTAATCAAAGATGAAATTTATAACATAGAAACAGAAAACCAAATACTGCTTATTCTCACTTACAAGTGGGAGCTAAACACTGGGTACACACTGGCACAAAGATGGGAAAAACAGACACTGGGGACTACAGGAGAGGGTAGGAGGGGGACAAGGTTTGAAAAACTTCCTATTGGGAAGTTTACTCTCAGTAAGCTCAATACCTGGGTGATGGGTTCAATTGTACTCCAAACCTCAGCATCACACAATATACCCTTTAACAAACCTGCACATATACCCCAAGTCTAAAATAAAAGTTGAGAAAAAAGATGAAATTTAGTTCAGCCACAGTCTTACAGACAATATCGAATTAATAAAGTCTAAAGTTATGAAGTTATGAGATTTGACAGTTTTATAGTAGTTGACATCCATAGAATAGACAGTCTGGACTTTACGTGATCTATGGGACATCTAGAGGATGTCCAACAGAAGAGAGGCTGCCTTTTCTGTGTACCTCTTTTAATAAGTAAGGACAGCTTCTTAGAACCCCCCAAACAGGCTTCTTTCTGAACCAATCACTGACATGAGAAATGAAACAGCTACTTAAGATTAATGAAGATTTGCTCTCTGAGTCATGTAAAGGAGGGGCAAAGACCTGAACAAAAAGTAAAGGAAGAGAGAAATGACTGGTGGCCAATAAACCAACAGTGTCTGCTTCAGCTACGTTTCCAGGAGCCAGCTTCTTCTACAATGGTGAGAAGTGTGTTGAGGGGTCGTGAGGTGACTTTTTGCAAGGGTGGCTATTGCTTGTAAGTGAAGACACGGGGGCCATAAGGTATGATTGATGGAGGAACATTCTCACCTTCCCCAAAATACCTCACAAATGCATCTCCTGAAAAGTCCCACATTATGACTTTGGGTTACATTATTTTATCTGGAATTAAAATACCTATGAAAATGCATGTTTATAATTTTAGAGTGGGATAGCATAGTAAATAAACACTTTAGGATATTTTCTTCAGCAACTCTCTTTTAAGCGCCTAAGAGCAAGGCACTCTGCTAGGTGGGAGATGCAGGAATACCTCAAAGATAGCCCTCTATTCTGACAATCTATCAATTTGAGTGAACTCTGTGCACAAGGACCATAGTGGAAAGTGATACCATCGAGATGTGGCTGACATTGGAGTTCAAAGGTAGGAACTATAACTTCTGAATGATGTAGAGGAAGAAAGGAGAATGGTGGAGAAGGTGGTGTTAGAGTGGGCCGTGAACAACTCTAAAATGCAGATACAGAAAAAGACAATCAAGGCAAAAGGGTTCCATGGAGGTGTGGAGAAGCACAGGAAGCATGCAGGGGAAACAGAAAGATCCCCTTTACTTGGAGCAAAATGATGGCAATCCATGGCTGATAAGATGAGAAACAACTCTTAGAGGCGCTTGATGCCAGGTTAAGGAGTTCAGAATTTGTTACAGATACAGAGAGGATCCTTCAAAGGTATTAGAAAAAGAAAGTGACTTTTGATCAGAATTGTTATTAGGGAAATTGTCTGGTTTTGATGGGGGAATAAATTGAATGGAAGCAGGTAATAATAGACTTTGGCAGTGGTAAGGGCAGTTATGTATCTACTAATTATTTGCAATGACTTGGAGAGATAAAACATTTCAGGAAAAGTAGCATAGTCAGAGAAGTTTAGGTTCACACAAGTCATCTCCCTGTCTTGGGTATCCAAGAGACAATGTAAGGCCACTAGGGCTCCCAAGAAGTTTCTGGTGGGGGCAGGGGTTAGACTGAAGTCCAACAGCAATGTTTGCCATGTCGGCATTTGGCCCAGTGCAGAGATTTCTCCCAAGCACTGACAGGCTTTTTCTCATCCATGGAGACTGGGTTCCCAACCACTGTGTCTGTAGCCCCTGGTATTCCCTGAATTGGCACCAACCATTGCCTAAATGTTCCCCTTTGTTCTTAACTTCCTAAATGACTCATCAGATTCCTACTTATGTTGTCTGAGTTGTTTTATGAAACCCTAATGTGACAGATGAGACCTAATTCCCTTGGGGATTATTATTTCTCTAGGTAGTTTCCCATTATGGCAGTTTCAATTACATGTGTATTTCTGCCAACAATGCTTAGTTCTCTCTTTTGTACTTTAAAGATTCTTGATATCAGGTCCAGACTTCTGGAATTCACTTCCCCAGCTCTTTTGACTATATTTGAGTAGAAGTTCTGGCAGGGAATTTTTATGAAGCCATGCTATATATGATAGATTCTAACTGAAGAGTGAGATGTGGAAGATATTGCAAAAGCTAAGGGTTGCTACTGGCTGCAGTAATGATGGGAAACCCGATAATTCAGCCAGCCTGCTAGGTAGATCCACCTTTATTAACCTGAATTATCTATCTACCTATCTATCTATCTACCTACCTACCTACCAATGAGCATTTCACAACTATAGGGCAAAGTTGCACCAAGAAGCCATTAGCAAACGTATTTATTCAATAACACAAAGAGTCCAAAGAAATAGAGTTACTAAAGTACAATTTAAAATTTTTTATTTTTATCAGCATTCTCACCATTGTATAATCAAACAGAATTGTTTCAACCTAGTTGGCCTGTCAGGTTATCTTGATCAGCAAGGATTAATTCATTAGACCATATCCCTGTCTGTATGCAAGGAGAAATATAATTGTTAGGACATTCACGATTAGGACTGACTTTCATCTGGCATGCACTGGTAGAGCCTATCAGACAGCACCCATTCTCTTTACTGGTGGTGGTCCATGTAGTTAATAAATTGTTGGACTGTTACTCTTGCACAAATTGCTGAATTATAAATATAAAGAATTATAAAATAAGATAAAAATAGCCTGTTAAGGAAACCTAAACCCTCTGACTTTAATGCTTTCATGCTGATACATCCTGTGTCAGATATGACACCTATAGGTGATTTTACAACCACAGGTTATTAAGCACCAATGTACAGACCAAGGAGGAAAATAATGTAGTTATGAAAACTAAGTAGTATATTCAGAGGGTTCTTTGACTTACAAAACATTCGTCTCAACAAGAGTTTACAGTTCAGAAAAATCAGAAAAGTTTCAGGAACAAAATAAACATCTAGATTTTATATATTAATTTCCTACTGCTGCTGTAACAAATTACTGTAGATTTCATAGCTTAAAACAACACAAATATATTTTCTCATAGTTCTGGACGTCAGAAGTCTGAAATGGGCTTTAATGGGCTTAAATCAAGATGCTGGCAGGCTGCATTTATTCTAGAGGCTCCAGGGAAGAACCTGTTTCCTTCTATTCTCAACTTCTAGAGTTTGCCCGTATTTCCTGGCTCATGGCCCCCTTCCATATTAAAGCCAACAGTGGCCAGTCAGGTATTTCTCACAGTGCATCACTCTGACACTAATTCTCCTCTCTTTTCCACATTTAAAGGACACTTGTGATTCCATTGAGCCTATCTGGACAATCCAGGGTAATCTCTCCACTTCAAGATCCTTAACTTACATCCACAAAGTCCCTTTTGCCATGTAAGGTAACATATTCACAGGTTCCAGAAATTAGAATGTGAGTAACTTTGGGAGGTCACTGTTCTGCCCACCACAAAGTGTTTCCAAATGTCATAGTGGTCACAGTTAGTGTTTGATCTTGGACAACCTAGTCTCAGTCTCAGAAAACCTTGTTTTCTCCCTGAAGTTTGCAACTGAAAGACTGGGTTGTTCTGTCTGTGGGAATAACAGAGATGGTGGAGTTGAGATGAAAGATGGGAGTAAATATAAAAAGAAATATGGAATGATGAAAAGAGGGAAAATATGGAAGATGGAAATCAATCAAGAAATATTTATCAAATATGCTTTATGCTGAGTTCTGTAGGCAGCAAAAAATAGAGGAAAGCATGAGCCTTACTCTATGAAGCTTCAAGTCTTGGAGACAAAGCACATACACAAATAGCTAAAGTTTGTACACTTAGCCTCATTTGCTTGAAGGACTAGACTTTCTTGTGCTCTCAAGGCAAAGCACTTTGCTCATGGGCTGCAGCATGTTTTGGAATCCCTTCTGTGCTTTGCCCTGAACACTCAGGCGTGTCCCAGAGACAATCAGCAAGTCAGTTTGGCTGGAGCTGAGGGAGCATATCTTCCTTAAAACAAGATAAGGAGGGGCCCCAAATGTCTGTTAATAAGGAGCAGTTGGCACACGAATGACCTCACCAGGAATCTCTTGTTCCTCCTGCTGTACTGCCCTCTCCAGGTTTGTTGAGTTGGAGTGCTCAAGAGCTGGTCAGTACTGATGCTTGCAGCTAAGCTTCCCTTTTGAGGTTTCATTGCTACCACTTTACAATATCCAGGTTTTGTAAGTGGTCACAAGCAACAGTATTGTATCAGCTTGGAGGAAAGCTCCATTCTAAGCAGAGACCTTTGCCACATGTGTAACTTCCATGTCCATTCCTTGAGCATGGTTCCACTTGGAAACGCCTTAGTTCTAGCCCAGTTGTGTTATCTTGGAGAAACAGTTTCATTGCTCTAGTCTCATTGATTTTGTCCTTGTTCCTCTTTGATGTCAAAGTTAGGCTGGATTATTCCAGTTTGTTGTTAATGCTTCAACCAAGGCCATTAAGCAGGCCTTTTAGAGCAAGATGTGTACAAACTTCAAACCAACAGGGAAATTGTCCTAAGATGCAAATGAAATGGTCCATGGTAATAAGACATTGGATGTGGGTAGGAGGGTTCTTCCTCCCCTGCTGCCTCTCTATACTCCTAAGCACCCCTCTGTCTCCTTGGTATAGATGAATTAAGATGAAAAATTTACCTTTCAAATCTTGGTCCAGCTCAAATGTTAATGCACAATTATTTCTTATGTTTTCCTCCCAGAATTACAAAAACACAAGCTGTAATATAAGGAAACAATTAAAAGGGGAAAAAAAAGATAAATTCCAAAAGCAGTTCTCTGAAAAGTTGTACAAAATAGAAAAAGAAAAAACAGTTGTAAGCCTGATTAAAGGAAAAAAAGAGCAAAAAGGTTAGGAATGAGAATGGAGGCACAATATAGATATCAAAAAAACTTAAAGCAATTATGAGAAAATGACCCTATAGTGACAAAGTTGAAAACCTAAAGCAAATATATGGTCTGGTTTTGCTCAGAGTAGGGATAAGTAAGCTCTTACCAGACCAACCTCAAACTATAAACAAAATAAAAATATAACTATTTGAAAGAACTGGAAAGGTAGATTCTGGGGGCAGATTCTGGGTTGTCATTTAGAAGAAAGAAACCGTGTGGGGAGACTTCTCTCCCCTTTTTCTGAACACAGATTGCTTTCAAAAAGCAATCCAAAAGCAACAGCATACAGGGTTTTAAAAACAGAAAGAAACCCTCGATCTTTTTTTTTTAATAGCATGATTTACTGGATATTTATTTATTTATTTATTATACTTTAAGTTCTGGGATACATGTGCAGAACATTCAGGCTTGTTACACAGGTATACATGTGCCATGGTGGTTTGCTGCACCCATCAAGCCGTCATCTAGGTCTTAAGCCCCACATGCCTTAGGTACGTGTCTTAATGCTCTCCTTCCCCTTGCCATCCACCCCCCGATAGGCCCCAGTGTGTAATGTTCCCCTCCCTGTGTCCATGTGTTCTCACTGTTCCACTTCCACTTATGAGTGAGAACATGCAGTGTTTGGTTTTCTGTTCCTGTGTTAGCTTGCTGAGAATAATGGAGAAACCCTCAATCTTATTGGCTTATAGAGCCAGAAGACAGGGCAACCAGAGCCATGAGAAATTAAGGATGTCCTTGGAGAGAGCCAGAAAGGGAGAGCTACAAATTCTGTGTATAAACTCTGCTCAGATTTCTGGCTAACATCTGATTTATGAATGCACAGAACAGACTCTAAAAGTCCCTTCTAAAGCCAAAGGAACGGAGCTGAGATTTGAGGTGCCAGCCAAGTGATAGAGTTTACAGCTGGAATCCACCCAAGTTAATTGCCTGCTAAAACAAAAAAGTTTACAGCTTTGGGGAAAATACAACAGAATGTAGAGTATCTAGAACTTGACACTACAATGTTCAAGATACAAGCAAAATTACCTGACTTATAAAGAAACAAGCATGTGACCCATTCTTAAGAGAAAGAGGGATTTTAAGACAGCTCAGATGTTGGACTTAGCCAACAAAGGTTTAAAGCCGTGACTATAAATATGTTATGTGATATTAAGAAAAGCATATTCAAAATTAGTGAAAAGATAGGATATCTCAGCAGATAAATAGAAACCATAAAAGGGAATCAAAGCAACAGTATCTGAAATAAAACACTTATTGAAGGAAATTCAGAGCCATATGGAGATGACAGAGGAAAGAACCCATGAATTGAAAGATAGATCAATAGAAACTATCCAATCTGAAGTAAAAAGAGAAAAAATAGAGAAGAAAATGAAGAGGCTTGAGAACCTAAAGAACAATACCGAAAGATTTAACACATGTGTAACCAGAGTCTCACAGAGTGGAGAGATAATGGCTGAAAAAAATATTTGAAGAAAAACTGCCTGGAGAGTTCCTAACTTTGACAAAAGTAGAAAGTGTCCAGATTTACCCAGCTAAGCTCAAGTGGCATAAGCACAAAGAAAACTAAGCCTAGGCACATCAGCCTTCTGGAAGTTAAAGATAAAGGGAAAATCTTGAAAACGACTAGAGGAAAGTGTCACGTTATATACAAGAAAATAATGCTTTGAATGAATAATGAATGAATAAATTTTCTGCCCTCTTCTCAGAAACTTGAAGGCAAGAGCACAATGAGACAAAAATCTTTAAAGTACTGAAAGAAAAACAACCACTGCAACCAACACCAATCAAGCCAGATATCTATATCCAGTGAAATATTCTTTGAGAATGTAAGTGTAATAAAGATAATTTCAGATCAAAGAAAACAAAGGTGATTTGTCATCAACAGATCTGCTCTACAGAAATGAAGGAAAGGAGCTCATTAGACAGGAGGGAAATGATACCAGAGGCAAACCTCGATCTTTAGGAATGAATGAAAAGCATCAGAAATGGTAAATATTTGGGTAAATATAAAAAGTTGTCTTCTCCTAATTTCTTTAAAAGACATATGACTGTTTAAAGCAAAAATTACATCATTTTAACATTGTCTTGTGAGATGTATAACATAGATAGGCAAATAGATATGACAAATATATCATAAAGTACAGAGTGGGAGAAAATTGACCTATAGACAGTTGTAATGTACAATAGTAACTCTAAGGCGTTACTCTGCAGTAGCTCTGCAGACCCATGTCTATGCTGTAACCCTACATAGATCAGCTGATCTTGTATCCTGAATTAGGCTGAACTAAATTATTATTATGATTATTATTTGAGACAGAGTCTTGCTCTGTCGCCCAGGCTGGAGTGCAATGGCGTGATCTCAGCTCACTGCAACCTCCGCCTCTGGGTTCAAACAATTCTCCTGCCTCAGCCTCCTGAGTAGCTGGGATTACAGGCACGCACCACCATGCCCAGATAATTTTTGTATTTTTAGTAGAGACAAGGTTTCACCATATTGGCCATGCTGGTCTCGAACTCCTGACCTCATGAAATAGTAATAATATGCATCTTAGTCCATGGAGAAACCATTTAAAACTATAATAATGCAAACAGGTACAGCTAAAAAGTCTGCAGAGAAATTGAGATAGAATTCTAGAAAAATATAAAGTTTCCACAATAACCCAAAACAAGATGAAAACTTACATGTATAGAAAGTTTACCATGAGGATATTAGGAAAGTAATTAAAATTTTCAATTAAAATGTTACCATGACAAAACGGTTTCATAGTTGATTTCTAATGAACTTATTTTAAAATAAGAGATAATTGTAACAGTATTTACATTCTTTGTGACTTCAGAAAAAGAAGAAAATCTCCCTGTAAAGTCAGCACAGTTTCCACACAGTTGATTTCAGGGTTCAGCCATCAATCTTATGGGGCTGATTTTTAGCGGAGCTGATCTTTCTTGTGTAATCCTGTCCTTTTTGCTATTTTGAAGATTCACGTGCTCACTTCACCTCTCCCTAAAATTCCCACAACAATTAGCATTTGGAAATATGGGGATCACTAGTCTGATATCTCAGTTTTGAAAAGTTATTTATCCCTAGAATAACTGATAACTTTGTTTGTCAGGTGGAAAGGGAGGGAAGGAGGGAGGACAGAAGGAGAGAATTAATAGACCCCAATCGCCTGATATGTGCCAGCCAATTCTCAAGTGTTCTTCAACACCCCTAGGAGATCATCAATATTACTCCCCCTTTTATAGACTCTGAGAATCAGAAATGCTTTAAAAAATACAGGGGGCCGGGCACAGTGGCTCGCGCCTGTAATCCCAACACTTTGGGAGGCTGAGACGGGCGGATCACGAGGTCAAGAGATGGAGACCATTGGTCAACATGGTGAAACCCCGTCTCTACTAAAAACACAAAAATAAGCTGGGCATGGTGGCATGTACCTGTAGTCCCAGCTACTTGGGAGGCTGAGGCAGGAGAATGGCGTGAACCAGGGAGGCAGAGGTTTCATTGAGCCGAGATTGCGCCACTGCACTCCAGCCTGGGCAACAGAGCAAGACTCTGTCTCAAAGCAAAAACAAACAGGAAAAAAGCTCCCTCCTTCTGTGAGGTCGTGTAGTTAATAATGGCAGGTGTGAGATTTGGAGGTTGAGCTCTCTGATTTCAGGGCATGTTGTTTTCTGTTTCTTCCAACTGCCGGATGGATTTTTTTGAAATACTTAATGGGAAATTTTCTCTCTTTGTATTCAGTTTCTTCTAGAAACTCGAAAAGGCGCGTCTTTTTTTCAGTCCTGGTGTAGCATCTTCCCTTCTTCCAAGAGATCTGCCCTTTCCTGTTAGCATCATCATGAGAGTAACAAGCAGCTGAATTTTCTAAGAAGGGAGACTTGCTCTTCTGTAATGACCTAGAGCTTACTTCCCTCTCTGTGCCTTCCAGTCCCTTGTCTTTAATCTCATCTCTGGCTCTCACTAAGGTGGAATTTAGAGTCACTAACACCTTTGTTTTCATTCAACAACACCAACGATGAATTCGTAAGTTAACTATTTTTTGTGCCAAGTGACAGTGGGAAGCTTGGGAATGCCATGCTGTATTTCTTGGCCTCCTGGTGCTTCCATTCTAGTAGAATTAAATACTGTAACACAGGGGTTCTCAGCCCTGGCTACATGGTAGAAACACTTGGCAAAGTTTTTGTTTTTGTTTTTTGTTAATGCCTGGGCTCCTCCCAGAGGTTCTAATTTTTTGGGTCTGGGGTGAGGGCTGGGTATCAGCATTCTTTAACCTTCCCCTACCTCCCAACCCGCAAGACAATTCCAATGGGCAGCTTGGATTAGTAGCTACTGACGTAATGTGCTTCCCATCAAAGGAATTAATAAAAGGATGTTTGGGACAGTTGCTAAAGGAATATATCCTGAATGTGGAATTTCAGATATTATGGCTTTTAGATAAAGGAGATACTCTGGAGCTGAACGTCCTTCCCACCATCCCTCAAGTTCACGCCATGTAGCAGGTGAAAGCTCTGTCGATTGCTAAAGTCAACTTGGCCCCAAAGCTTTCTGGATCAAAATTCCCCATGTATCCTGCCTGTAGATTATATGGTATCATTAGTTACCATTCACTAAGTGCTACCTGAACGTTACCCTACTGAATTCTCACAGTGATCTTGTGAGGCAAGCTTTCTGAGTTTCGTTTTACAAATGAAGTCTCAGGGACGGTCAGCAGCAGCTGGAGGTCACATAGCTAGAAAGTGAGACGGCCAGTGCCAGTCATCAGCTCTTACTCATGACACTGCATCCCAGAGGCCAAGCCTGTGGTGTTGAGCAGATTAGTTTGAGAAAGAGGCCAAGAGAAATCATAATTCAGTCTCAGACCTGCTCAGCCCATAGGCTCTGCAGACCCATGTCTATGCTGTAACCCAACTTAGATCAGCTGGTCTTATATCCTGAATTAGGCTAAGCTAAATTATTATTATTATTATTATTATTATTATTATTATTATTATTATTATTGTTTGAGACAGTCTCACTCTGTTGCCCAGGCTGGAGTGCAATGGTGCAATCTCAGCTCACTGCAACCTCTGCCTCCCGGGTTCAAGCGATTCTTCTGCCTCAGCCTCCTGAGTAGCTGGGATTACAGGCCCACAGCACCACGCCCGGCTAATTTTTGTATTTTTAGTAGAGACAAGGTTTCACCATATTGGCCATGCTGGTCTCGAACTCCTGACCTCATGATCTGCCTACCTCGGCTTCCCAAAGTGCTGAGATTACAGGCGTGAGCCATCGTGCCTGGCCAGCTGAGCTAAATTACATGTAATTCCCTTTGTTCCTTCTCAGCGTTGTCACTCTTAGAACACAGCACTATCTCTATTCTTAACTATCTTTTCAAAAACAAGAGTGAAAGAAAGACTTTGTTCTTCACATCTTCCTTTCCCCCTTTT
Organism: Homo sapiens; assembly: GCF_000001405.40. Taxonomy (NCBI): domain Eukaryota; kingdom Metazoa; phylum Chordata; class Mammalia; order Primates; family Hominidae; genus Homo; species Homo sapiens. The sequence continues at coordinate 38,163,493 of NC_000005.10, forward strand.
GCCTCGTCTATCAAGTCAGCCATAGGTATTTAGGGCTAGGCAAAACTGGGAAGTGACTGATACATGTTTTCATCATCATTACCCTCTCCCTTCTGTATTTTCTTCCCCTTTGTGGAATCTAGACCTTTAGCCTTCTTAACCGAAACTTTCTCAGAAAGGATAGGATAAATTCATTACACTACAGTGTGAATGACTGATAGGATTTCATGTGCCACCTTTCCCAGGGACAGGCACATTTTAACAGGGGACAAAGAGTTCAATTTGGGAGTCCGATACATGTGAATTTAAATCTCAGGCTGCCTTCTGGTTATGTAATGCTTGGCAAGTAACCTAACCTGTCTTAGCTTCAATTTCCTCATCTCTAAAAAGAGAATAATACTTCAGAGGGTTGTGATGAGGATTAAAAAGATTTGAGACTGTGCCTAACACAGTGCCTGGCACATAGTAAGTGCCTGTTAAATGTTTGCCCCCTTTTCCTCTCACCTCAATGGCAGAATTCATGCATCAGGCAGGGGTAAAAGTTCTTTGGGACATGTTGTTTCAGAAATTTCTCAACAGCACATGGCCTCCTACTTCCTCTACTCCATAGACCAGGCATTGTTGAGGAACACATTGAACTTTTCCCCAGTGAGTCACATTAACACACACATGCTCCAGGACCATGGTCGTGGGATATAGGCATTTCAGGTAGGAAGGCCATGGCTATATTTTACATCGAGGCTTCGTCTGCCCTTTCTTATAAGTCTAAAGCCTCCCCTAAAACACAGGTATGAATTCACAGATTAGCATCTAATCTCCAGTGTACTAAATGTTTGCGTACTGCCAGCATTTTGGAAGAAACAGCTACCTCTTGGTCTTTCTTTCTGCAGAAGTTGAAATGCAGTTCCTCTGAATGAAAAGCTAGAGGTTGCGTTCACTCAGAGTGTGGCTGAAATGCAAATATATTTCAGACTTTGTGCCTTTATCCCAATGCAGTAAAAAGGTGACGACTGTTATTAAAGAACAATGCAAAGCCTTTAATTACCAAGCTTTCAAGGAAGCTTTATGTACTGCTTTGACTTTCATTATCTGTCTTTGTCATCCTTGTAAAATATCCCATTAGACTTTCCACTAAGGCAGAGAAACCAGACTGACAACGGAAACTAAGTTGTTTAATTGTTATTATGTTTCAAAGTTTGAAGTACAGAAATTTTTTTTTGTAATTGTTTCAGGAAAAGAAGCTTGGATTTGAGGACTAGGTTGGGTGAGTTAAGTATTGAAATAAAGCCTGCTGCTGGATCCAAATTCTTATGATATTACAGATCCTGCCCAGTTACAGTAGGATTCTGGCTTCACCTTGACTGTGTGTACAGAGCAGGCTTGAAGCCCCAGTGGTCTTGGTTCAAAGCCTGACTAGGCCAATTACTGAATGGTAGACCTTGGCAAGTTCTGTAATCTCTCCACGTCCCAGTTGCCTCATCAGTAAAATCAGCAGAATGACAGTATCACAAAGTGTCTTTGTGAAGGTTAACAACATACTTATGTAACACACTATCACATCGACCAGAGAAGAGTCAACAAATGCTACTTCCCTTTCTCCTTTATATGCAATCAAAAGTAGTTAGTCCAGAACAGTGACATCTGATGAAATCAAAGTGGGCATCAAGGGCAATGCTGGAAGAAAATCAAAGAGAAGTCATAGTGGGAAAGTGGGAAGATACTGTCCAATGTGTGTGCGTGTGTGTGTGTGTGTGTGTGTAAGCCCCAGTCTTTGAAACTCAAAGTGTTAACTATAAAAATTCCAATACATTTGGATATGTACCTTATAATGAGGGCTGCAAACATGAGTCTCAACACCAGCACAGGCAAGGGGTGCCATTTACTTGGTGTGGCGATGTTAGTTGCCACCAAATGTCATGTTCATAGCAGAGGATTTGATGAGTTAATTCAATCCAAGTCCAGACACTAAATATCTTGCAGAACAAACAACAATGGGTCATGCATTTTTGAGACATGTTTTCTGCACCGCCCCTTTTTTTAAACTAAAGTAGTCTTTCCTGGCTCCTGAACACAAGCTGTCCTCATCTATTTCCTAAGATAATCCATTATAAATTATGACAGGTTCCCCAGATCCTGGCGGCCGGCGCAGCCCAGTGTGCTGCCCAGGTCTCACTTTTCTGTCCTGGTCATCTCCGACAAGTTCCATGCGTGACTGGTCAGGAGACGGCTAATTCCAGTCCACGCATTTTTCAGATGAGCTTCATTTTATTTTTAATTTCCCCACAAATGCACTCCAGGCGCAGATTTCGTCAGTTACAGACATAGCTCTCTAATCTGTGCCGCCCTTCCGTAGCTCATACTACCAAATGAATTAAGGTCCAGTTACATATAAAAGTGATTATGATCAGCGAAATGTCTGCCCAGAGTGGCCTCCCAAAAAAAGGGAAAGATTCGAGGCTCTGACACTCCCCTTTGGCCATCTTAGGGCCATGCACTGTACAATAAAAATGATCCCATCGACAACTTTCTAAAACATACACTGCCTTCAGATTTTACAGCTCCAGGTCCTCTGGCCCCCATGGAACAGATAAACAAATAGCTTTCCTCTGTTGGGGGAAATTATTTGTTTTCTGTCTTCATCCAACGAGATTTCTTTTAGAGAGATCTGATCTCATCCTTGTGAGAGCTTCCTATTTCACCTCTCCAGGCATCTGGCTTTCGCTTGGAGGCAGGCGACTTCTTCCAAATCCTGACATTTGAGGGGCAGGACTGTACGTCATCTTTGGGATTCTGGAAAGGCTCACGGGGCGATTCTCAGGATAGTGTCTGTGTGGACTGTATTTTCCCCTCAAATCAGGAAAGCAGCTCATGGAGTAGGCACTGCATGGAGACTCATAAAGTTAAATCAGACCAGGGAGCAAAGAAATAAAGGCCATCTTCCTCTGTTCTCAGAGTTTCTAATGTAACTCAGGGGCGAGTAAATATTCCTAAGGACACATTTAATTATCGAAAGTTATCTTCTCCATAAGTTAATGGATACAAAGAAGACCAAGAGAACAAGGAGGAATTTAATGGAAAGAGTAATAGAGACAAAGAGGCAGGGGTTTACCACCAAAGAAGTATGTGATCCCGTATACTTCTCTGCCTCTTTCTGGTGCTGGTCCCCACAAATATAAAATCTAGAATATTCTGGACTTCTATGACAAATGGCAAAAGAGTTAGGGGAGATTCGGGAAGCTTTCCTCGTTTCCACCAAGGTTTCTAGAACAATTATTACAAAGCATAACCAGTCTGGGCCCGAGGGGGACAGTGATGTAGTCCTCCCATGAGGCCTCTTACTGGGGATTTTTCCAACCTGCTGTGCAGAGCCCAAAGCTGATGAGGTCAAGTGTGCTCAGCCTTTTGATATGGTTCTCGTTGGGGTGGAACCAAGTCGACAAATGGTCCAAGAATCTCTCCTAGATGTGACCTCTGAACAGAGCCCGAGGTGGGGTGGTGAAGGCGGAGAAATGCTGCCCCACACGGCAGAAGCCAGCCAACGCCTGCTGCCCCACCACCCGCCAGGCCATGGCCCTGCTGCCCTCTGAGACAAGCCGACCTTGGTAGTCACCCAACTTGCGAATCTTTTGAGCTCTTCCTGTCGCCATGCCCCGCCCATCCCATTCCACCCTCTCCTCTTTTTTCTCCTCCCTGGCAGCCACTCTGTTTTCAGATGTTTATCCAGAGTCAGGTCCTCAGTGGCTGTGGTGAGGCCTGGGGGAGGGGAGTGCCCTAAAAGCGGGGTTCCTCTGGGCTTCTAGGGCCCATCACATGGATGCCCACGTGTGTGTGTGTGTGCGTGTGCACATGTGTGCGGGTGTATTTCACTGGTTGACCGTGGTCTGTATCTCTGGCTTGCAATGTCATTAGTCCTAGATGAGCCCATGTTGGATGCCTTTTCTGGGAACACTGGTATCATCTGTGCTCTGAATGCTCCATCTCAGTGGTCTCAATTTGATCAGGATATCCGGATTTTGTAACATCATTTTCTAACTGTTCCTCCGACCCTGATTCCATCCTTCAGAGCTCTGAGGACATGTAACTAGAAGCCACTCCAATTACGCTCCCCCTCTGTGGTGGACCCGTGTCACCTGCCGCCCTGGCATCATCACCCAGGCATGCACTGTCACACTCCCAACCGGAATGTCAGCTTGCTGTTTGAGATTCACACTGACACTCGGTCCCCAGAGGGCTCCTCCTGGAGCCAGGGCGGCCTGTGCTTGGGAACACATAAAAGCACAGGAGTCCCCTCGCTTTTTGGCAGCACTTCAAGCACTAGCCCAATGAAGAGATCTTGACAGCATACTTGTAAACTCCACAGGCCCCAAGGGCTCAAACACCACGATATTTATGCTCACGGGTGGGGAGCCAAAACAGTTGGGTTGTTATGCAGACATGGATCTCTTACCCAGACCAGCATTTCTGACACCTGTTAATTGGCATTTGAAAGAACTGAGTCGAGGCGGGTGGGGGACTCCGGAGCTGCTGCCAACCTGTACCTGAACCGCGGGGAGTCCTGCAAGGTTTTGGCCCCTCCAGCTGGTCAGAGATTCCCTGGAGAGATGAGAAAGTGAGTCCCAGGGTTGGCAGAAAGGATCATCAGAGAAGGAAGAAAATAGGAAGGCGGGTGAGAAGAAAAGTAAGAGACCAAGAGGGAAAGAAAAAACTAGACAGGGTGGGTATTTTTAGATTTGCTAGTGCAGAGCTTTGTGCCTGCAGCACAGGTCCCTGCCTCTGCAGCACCAGTTCTGCTGGCCCAGGGTGGGATATGCCCTTCTTTTCCCCTTCCCCCCTGGGGCAAGAACTCTCACCTGCCTTTGAAGGTTAGAGACCACCTCCTCCAAAGAGCCTTCTCTGAAAACCCCAGACAGCCAATCTCCTCTTCCTTCAGGAGTTCTTATTGTAACGTACAGTTTAGCGCTTCAAACCTTTTTGTGTGTGTCTTGTGTGTCTCCCTGACAATTTCCTCCACACCGCCAACTTTTAACTCCTTGGGGTCATATTAGAGAATTTTTCTGGCCCGCTGTGCCCAGCAGAGTCCTAGTTTCAAAGTAGATTCTCAGTATCCACAGCTGATGGATTGATTTTCCCCCCTCTGGATGTCTTTTTCTCTTTTGGGTTCCAGACCTCCCTGCCTCAATTTCCACTCAATCTGTCCCCACATAGCTTCAAGCTGACTAGCTGGGCTCTGTGAGTCTCCTTCTCTGCACCTGTTTCAAGGTGTGGATGGCCCAGAGTTCGACCTTATGTGAGACTAAGTTTAAATGACATAGTAAAAAGTTTCTATATTTCATTATTAGTGCTCAGAAAATATTCATCAAGTGTCTATTTATGAATTGACTTGTGTTCCAAAAGTTAGCTTGTGTTTTAGTTTGAATCCAGAAGTCTGTAGAAACAACATTATAAATGAATTCCTTCATTCATTCCTTCAACAAATACATCTTGAGCACTACTACAAGCCCTGCACTATTCTATGTGCTGGGAAATCTGCAGGGAACAAAGCACATACAAACCCTTGTCCTCAGGGAGCTTATATCCTGGTCAGGGGAGACAGACAACACACAAAGAAGCAAGTAAAATATATGACATGTCAGATGATCCTAAATGCTAAACGCCATAGAAGGGAATAAAATAGGAAAGCGGAATAAGGTGTCGGACAGGGCTGGGATTGTACAAGAGAGAACTTGGTGTGTTCTAGAACAGCAAGAAGCCAGAGTAGTTCAAGCAGAGTGAGTACTGGGGTGAGGAAAGTACTGGGTGGTTTCCCTGGCCAGCACACTGATAGTCTACTTAGCGCATTAAGAAGTCTGAACTGCAATTCTAATTCAACCATAAACATTTACTGCACGCCTATACGACGACAGGGATTAGTGCTAGGTGTTGGTACTAATTCTTTCAACTACCCTTAACCATGTTTCTATGGGAATATCCCTTCTGTGTATCAGCTAGAGAGGCAATTTGGGACATTAGAACCGTTTCCTTTTTTTTTTTCTTTTATTATTATACTTTAAGTTTTAGGGTACATGTGCACATTGTGCAGGTTAGTTACATATGTATACACGTGCCACGCTGGTGTGCTGCACCCACTAACTCGTCATCTAGCATTAGTTATATCTCCCAATGCTATCCCTCCCCCCTCCCCCCACCCCACAACAGTCCCCAGAGTGTGATGTTCCCCTTCCTGTGTCCATGTGATCTCATTGTTCAATTCCCACCTATGAGTGAGAACATGCAGTGTTTGGTTTTTTGTTCTTGCGATAGTTTACTGAGAATTATGATTTCCAATTTCATCCATGTCCCTACAAAGGACATGAACTCATCATTTTTTATGGCTGCATAGTATTCCATGGTGTATATGTGCCACATTTTCTTAATCCAGTCTATCGTTGTTGGACATTTGGGTTGGTTCCAAGTCTTTGCTATTGTGAATAATGCCGCAATAAACATACGTGTGCATGTGTCTTTATAGCAGCATGATTTATAGTCCTTTGGGTATATACCCAGTAATGGGATGGCTGGGTCAAATGGTATTTCTAGTTCTAGATCCCTGAGGAATTGCCACACTGACTTCCACAATGGTTGAACTAGTTTACACTCCCACCAACAGTGCAAAAGTGTTCCTATTTCTCCACATCCTCTCCAGCACCTGTTGTTTCCTGACTTTTTAATGATTGCCATTCTAACTGGTGTGAGATGGTATCTCATTGTGGTTTTGATTTGCATTTCTCTGATGGCCAGTGATGATGAGCATTTTTTCATGTGTTTTTTGACTGCATAAATGTCTTCTTTTGAGAAGTGTCTGTTCATGTCCTTTGCCCACTTTTTGATGGGGTTGTTTGTTTTTTTCTTAGAAATTTGTTTGAGTTCATTGTAGATTCTGGATATTAGCCCTTTGTCAGATAAGTAGGTTGCCAAAATTTTCTCCCATTTTGTAGGTTGCCTGTTCACTCTGATGGTAGTTTCTTTTGCTGTACAGAAGCTCTTTAGTTTAATTAGATCCCATTTGTCAATTTTGTCTTTTGTTTCCATTGCTTTTGGTGTTTTAGACATGAAGTCCTTGCCCATGCCTATGTCCTGAATGGTATTGCCTAGGTTTTCTTCTAGGGTTTTTATGGTTTTAGGTCTAACATTTAAGTCTTTAATCCATCTTGAATTGATTTTTGTATAAGGTGTAAGGAAGGGATCCAGTTTCAGCTTTCTACATATGGCTAGCCAGTTTTCCCAGCACCATTTATTAAATAGGGAATCCTTTCCCCATTGCTTGTTTTTCTCAGGTTTGTCAAAGATCAGATAGTTGTAGATATGTGGCGTTATTTCTGAGGGCTCTGTTCTGTTCCATTGATCTATATCTCTGTTTTGGTACCAGTACCATGCTGTTTTGGTTACTGTAGCCTTGTAGTATAGTTTGAAGTCAGGTAGCGTGATGCCTCCAGCTTTGTTCTTTTGGCTTAGGATTGACTTGGCAATACGGGCTCTTTTTTGGTTCCATATGAACTTTAAAGTAGTTTTTTCCAATTCTGTGAAGAAAGGCATTGGTAGCTTGATGTGGATGGCATTGAATCTGTAAATTACCTTGGGCAGTATGGCCATTTTCACGATATTGATTCTTCCTACCCATGAGCATGGAATGTTCTTCCATTTGTTTGTATCCTCTTTTATTTCATTGAGCAGTGGTTGGTAGTTCTCCTTGAAGAGGTTCTTCACATCCCTTGTAAGTTGGATTCCTAGGTATTTTATTCTCTTTGAAGCAATTGTGAATGGGAGTTCACTCATGATTTGGCTCTCCGTTTGTCTGTTGTTGGTGTATAAGAATGCTTGTGATTTTTGTACATTGATTTTGTATCCTGAGACTTTGCTGAAGTTGCTTATCAGCTTAAGGAGATTTTGGGCTGAGACAATGGGGTTTTCTAGATATACAATCATGTCGTCTGCGAACAGGGACAATTTGACTTCCTCTTTTCCTAATTGAATACCCTTTATTTCCTTCTCCTGCCTGATTGCCCTGGCCAGAACTTCCAACACTATGTTGAATAGGAGTGGTGAGAGAGGGCATCCCTGTCTTGTGGCAGTTTTCAAAGGGAATGCTTCCAGTTTTTGCCCATTCAGTATGATATTGGCTGTGGGTTTGTCATAGATAGCTCTTATTATTTTGAAATATGTCCCATCAATACCTAATTTCTTGAGAGTTTTTAGCATGAAGGGTTGTTGAATTTTGTCAAAGGCCTTTTCTGCATCTATTGAGATAATCATGTGGTTTTTGTCTTTGGCTCTGTTTGTATGCTGAATTACATTTATTGATTTGCATATATTGAACCAGCCTTGCATCCCAGGGATGAAGCCCACTTGATCATGGTGGATAAGCTTTTTGATGTGCTGCTGGATTTGTTTTGCCAGTATTTTATTGAGGATTTTTGCATCAATGTTCATCAAGGATATTGGTCTAAAATTCTCTTTTTTTGTTGTGTCTCTGCCTAGCTTTGGTATCAGAATGATGCTGGCCTTCTAAAATGAGTTAGGGAGGATTCCCTCTTTTTCTATTGATTGGAATAGTTTCAGAAGGAATGGTACCAGTTCCTCCTTGTACCTCTGGTAGAATTCGGCTGTGAATCCATCTGGTCTTGGACTCTTTTTTGTTGGTAAGCTATTGATTATTGCCACAATTTCAGCTCCTGTTATTGGTCTATTCAGAGATTCAACTTCTTCCTGGTTTAGTCTTGGGAGAGTGTATGTGTCGAGGAATTTATCCATTTCTTCTAGATTTTCTAGTTTATTTGCGTAGAGGTGTTTGTAGTATTCTCTGATGGTAGTTCGTATTTCTGTGGGATCAGTGGTGATATCCCCTTTATCATTTTTTATTGCGTCTATTTGATTCTTCTCTCTTTTTTTCTTTATTAGTCTTGCTAGTGGTCTATCTATTTTGTTGATCCTTTCAAAAAACCAGCTCCTGGATTCATTAATTTTTTGAAGGGTTTTTTGTGTCTCTATTTCCTTCAGTTCTGCTCTGATTTTAGTTATTTCTTGCCTTCTGCTAGCTTTTGAATGTGTTTGCTCTTGCTTTTCTAGTTCTTTTAATTGTGATGTTAGGGTGTCAATTTTGGATCTTTCCTGCTTTCTCTTGTGGGTATTTAGTGCTATAAATTTCCCTCTACACACTGCTTTGAATGTGTCCCAGAGATTCTGGTATGTGGTGTCTTTGTTCTCGTTGGTTTCAAAGAACATCTTTATTTCTGCCTTCATTTCGTTATGTATCCAGTAGTCATTCAGGAGCAGGTTGTTCAGTTTCCATGTAGTTGAGCGGTTTTGAGTGAGATTCTTAATCCTGAGTTCTAGTTTGATTGCACTGTGGTCTGAGAGATAGTTTGTTTTAATTTCTGTTCTTTTACATTTGCTGAGGAGAGCTTTACTTCCAAGTATGTGGTCAATTTTGGAATAGGTGTGGTGTGGTGCTGAAAAAAATATATATTCTGTTGATTTGGGGTGGAGAGTTCTGTAGATGTCTATTAGGTCCGCTTGGTGCAGAGCTGAGTTCAATTCCTGGGTATCCTTGTTGACTTTCTGTCTCGTTGATCTGTCTAATGTTGACAGTGGGGTGTTAAAGTCTCCCATTATTAATGTGTGGGAGTCTAAGTCTCTTTGTAGGTCACTCAGGACTTGCTTTATGAATCTGGGTGCTCCTGTATTGGGTGCATATATATTTAGGATAGTTAGCTCTTCTTGTTGAATTGATCCCTTTACCATTATGTAATGGCCTTCTTTGTCTCTTTTGATCTTTATTGGTTTAAAGTCTGTTTTATCAGAGACTAGGATTGCAATCCCTGCCTTTTTTTGTTTTCCATTTGCTTGGTAGATCTTCCTCCATCCTTTTATTTTGAGCCTATGTGTGTCTCTGCACGTGAGATGGGTTTCCTGAATACAGCACACTGATGGGTCTTGACTCTTTATCCAATTTGCCAGTCTGTGTCTTTTAATTGGAGCATTTAGTCCATTTACATTTAAAGTTAATATTGTTATGTGTGAATTTGATCCTGTCATGATGATGTTAGCTGGTTATTTTGCTCGTTAGTTGATGCAGTTTCTTCCTAGCCTCGATGGTCTTTACATTTTGGCATGATTTTGCAGCGGCTCGTACCGGTTGTTCCTTTCCATGTTTAGCACTTCCTTCAGGAACTCTTTTAGGGCAGGCCTGGTGGTGACAAAATCTCTCAGCATTTGCTTGTCTGTAAAGTATTTTATTTCTCCTTCACTTATGAAGCTTAGTTTGGCTGGATATGAAATTCTGGGTTGAAAATTCTTTTCTTTAAGAATGTTGAATATTGGCCCCCACTCTCTTCTGGCTTGTAGGGTTTCTGCCGAGAGATCCGCTGTTAGTCTGATGGGCTTCCCTTTGAGGGTAACCCGACCTTTCTCTCTGGCTGCCCTTAACATTTTTTCCTTCATTTCAACTTTGGTGAATCTGACAATTATGTGTCTTGGAGTTGCTCTTCTCGAGGAGTATCTTTGTGGTGTTCTCTGTATTTCCTGAATCTGAATGTTGGCCTGCCTTGCTAGATTGGGGAAGTTCTCCTGGATAATATCCTGCAGAGTGTTTTCCAACTTGGTTCCATTCTCCCCGTCACTTTCAGGTACACCAATCAGATGTAGATTTGGTCTTTTCACATAGTCCCATATTTCTTGGAGGCTTTGCTCATTTCTTTTTATTCTTTTTTCTCTAAACTTCCCTTCTCGCTTCATTTCATTCATTTCATCTTCCATCACTGATACCCTTTCTTCCAGTTGATTGCATTGGCTCCTGAGGCTTCTGCATTCTTCACGTAGTTCTCAAGCCTTGGTTTTCAGCTCCATCAGCTCCTTTAAGCACTTCTCTGTATTGGTTATTCTAGTTATACATTCTTCTAAATTTTTTTCAAAGTTTTCAACTTCTTTGCCTTTGGTTTGAATGTCCTCCCGTAGCACAGAGTAATTTGATCGTCTGAAGCCTTCTTCTCTCAGCTCGTCAAAGTCGTTCTCCATCCAGCTTTGTTCCGTTGCTGGTGAGGAACTGCGTTCCTTTGGAGGAGGAGAGGCGCTCTGCTTTTTAGAGTTTCCAGTTTTTCTATTCTGTTTTTTCCCCATCTTTGTGGTTTTATCTACTTTTGGTCTTTGATGATGGTGATGTACAGATGGGTTTTTGGTGTGGATGTCCTTTCTGTTTGTTAGTTTTCCTTCTAACAGATAGGACCCTCAGCTGCAGGGCTGTTGGAGTACCCTGCCGTGTGAGGTGTCAGTGTGCCCCTGCTGGGGGGTGCCTCCCAGTGAGGCTGCTCAGGGGTCAGGGGTCAGGTACCCACTTGAGGAGGCAGTCTGCCCATTCTCAGATCTCCAGCTGACTACTGGGAGAACCACTGCTCTCTTCAAAGCTGTCAGACAGAGACATTTAAGTCTGCAGAGGTTACTGCTGTCTTTTTGTTTGTCTGTGCCCTGCCCCCAGACGTGGAGCCTACAGAGGCAGGCAGGCCTCCTTGAGCTGTGGTGGGCTCCACCCAGTTCGAGCTTCCCGGCTGCTTTGTTTACCTAAGCAAGCCTGGGCAATGGTGGGCGCCCCTCCCCCAGCCTCGCTGCCACCTTGCAGTTTGATCTCAGACTGCTGTGCTAGCAATCAGCGAGACTCCGTGGGCGTAGGACCCTCCGAGCCAGGTGCGGGATATAATCTCGTGGTGCGCCGTTTTTTAAGCCCGTCGGAAAAGCGCAGTATTCGGGTGGGAGTGACCCGATTTTCCAGGTGCCGTCCGTCACCCCTTTCTTTGACTAGGAATGGGAACTCCCTGACCCCTTGCGCTTCCCGAGTGAGGCAATGCCTCACCCTGCTTCGGCTCGCGCACAGTGCGCGCACCCACTGACCTGCGCCCACTGTCTGGCACTCCCTAGTAAGATGAACCCAGTACCTCAGATGGAAATGCAGAAATCACCCGTCTTCTGCGTCGCTCACGCTGGGAGCTGTAGACCGGAGCTGTTCCTATTCGGCCATCTTGGCTCCTCCCCCGACTGATGTCCTTCTTATAGGAATGAGAACCATTTCTTGATTTAGAGCCTCAGGCATTGAATTTGCTGCTGAGTGTTGCTTTTTGGATTGCTTGGGCAAGTTGCATAACCTTCCCAGTTCTTGATTTCCTGGAGTTGATAATGACTGTTTTGCCTTTTTTGTGTGTGTGGTGTGTGTGTGTGTGTGTGTGTGTTTGTGTGTGTGTGAAAATTAAATGAGGTTAGTGTACATGAGAGAGCCTTGTAAAACATCAAACAGTCTACCGATGTGAGTTGTCATGATTTTAGGTGAATTATTCTGTCTTCTACATCGGGGAATTAAGGGACAAAGACTCAGAAATAGACATCTCTAGTGACCCCTCCATACACAGAAGTTTTGGGTAAGTTTTATGTTAGCCATCTAATCTCTTCTGAAAAGGGTAATGGGGCCAGCCACTTTCAAGATGGTGAATAACTCAGCTAAAAGTGTCAAATGGAAGAAGAAACAGGTCAATGAAGACGCCTGACTCTAGGGAAGGTTGTAGAGTAGAATTTGAGGAAACGTTTATAATTCATTTCAAAAATGACAAGCAAGAGGACAGATCCAAACAAATCATTACACAGGTAAAATCACATTTCCCCTCTGGACACTGTTCTTTTCTCTCCATTTTCCTGTATCCTTCATGGCCCGTTTTCCACAGCGTTTAAGCTGCCCAAGTAACCCAAGTCCCACCACTCTGATTCCAGCCATCCAGTTGCTCCCAAGCCTGCCGCCTTTCCTTCCCCTGCTCTTTAGAATGGAGGACTCTGTAGAGGCAGATCTTTTATTGACAGAGAACTCACTTCCTTATTAGAAGGCAGGCTGTTCATTCAGGAAAGCCCTTGTTATTAGAATGTTTTTCCTGAAAGCCACTTAAAATCTGCTTCCCTGTGCCTTCTCCTCCTAAGTCCTGGGTCACCCTCTGAGGTCCTCAGAAGCACCCTAACTCCTCTTCCAAGACACAGCTTTTCAGGTATCTGAGGTTCGGTCCCTATCCTACTGCGCAAACCCCAACACACTCAGTTTAAGATTTTTCTCCTTGGCTGAGCGCGGTGACGCATGCCTGTAATCCTAGCACTTTGGGAGGCCACAGCGGGTGGATCACCTGAGATCAGGAATTCGAGACCAGCCTGACCAATACGGTGAAACCCCATCTCTACTAAAAATACAAAAATTAGCTGGGTGTGGGGGCGGGAGCCTATAGATCCAGCTACTCGGGAGGCTGAGACAGGAGAATTGCTTGAACCCAGAAGGCAGAGGTTGCAGTGAGCTGAGATCAAGCCACTGCACTCCAACCTGGGCAACAGAGCGAGACTCTGTCCAAAAAAAAAAAAAAAAAAAAAATTAAAATTAAAAAAAATTAAATAAAAAATGATTTTCTCCTTATTCTTAGTGTTCTTCAATGTTGCTGTGAAATATTGAGGGGTTTTGTTGTCATTCTGTTTTTTTGCTGCTTTTTAATCCTGCTTCTGTACACAGTACGTGCTTTCTTTCCACTCTAAGAATTCATGACCTTCTTCAGTCATGAAGTCTTAAAAACTCTTTTTTAATTTTTATTTAATTTTTTTTTTTGAGACAGAGTCTTGCTCTGTTGCCCAGGCTGGAGTGCAGTGGCACCTTCTTGGCTCACTGCAACCTCTGCCTCCTGGGTTCAAGTGATTCTCATCTCAGCCTCCTGAGTAGCTGGGATTACAGGCGCACACCACCATATTTTTAGTAGAGATGGGGTTTCACCATGTGGGCCAGGCTGGTCTTGAACTGCTGACCTCAGGTGATCCGCCCGCCTCAGCCTCCCAAAATTCTGGGATTACAGGCATGAGCCACCATGCCCAGCCTTTTAAAATTTTTAATTTTATTTTATTTTTATGTTTTAGAGACGGAGTCCTGCTCTGTCGCCCAGGCTGGAGTGCACGGTACACTCATAGGTTACTGCATCTTTGAACTCCTGGGCCCAAGCGATCCTCCAGCCTCTGCTTCCTAAGTAGCTGGGACTATAGGCATGTGCCACCACACCTGGCTCAGTTCTTAAAAATGTTTAGCCATCTCTTCTTCAAGTATCATCAGCCTAACTTTCAGTTTTCTTAACAGCGCTTTTATCTTTCTCTCTTTATTTCTCTGAGCTGTGAAATTCATTAGAACTGTCTTTCAATTCATAATTTCTCTCTTTGATGATGACTAATGTAGTGTTTACCTAATATTGTTTTCTTTAATTCTATGTATGTATTTTAATTCCATGTATGTATTTTAATTCCATACTTCTCTTTAGAAGCTGAACTCTAGTCTGCCTCTCCTGCTCCAAGATTTGGCTTCTTGTTCTGGATTACTTTCCCTTTCTTTGTTTTCTTTCTTTCTTTTTTTCAATTTACCCAAAATAGTACTTCAGAACCTTTCTATTAAATTTCTATTGCACAGAAATCGCCATCTTAATGTACTGCTCTTCCTTTTTTCCCTTTTTTATATTTTAATTAGCATGATTACATTTTCAGAATATAGTTATGTTTTCTCAAAATGGAAGCTTAACTCTGTCTTGACTCTGTCCCTACTGTCCTTGAACTGCCCTCATGTGCCTGATCTCCTGAGCTTTCCTTAGCAGTATTGCTGTCTGTGATACCCAGAACTGAATGCAGAGGACTCTAGCAGGTGTCCTGAAGGCCAGTCTTAGGGACAGAGAGCACTGAGCAAACAGGACTTCTAACAACACATGTTCTTTTATGGAAACATCTATAAGAGGATAAAAGGCAGACACCAAAGAAGTTTCCTTGAAGCAATTAATGGGTGGGCCTAACCTGCGTAGGGGTTGAGGTCGTCTGTAAGGGCTGCAGTAAACAGCCTCTGATAAACAATACTTCTTGATCCAGGTGAGATCAGGCCAAATTCCAGGTAAGAAGCCTCCAAGGGGAAAAGAAATCATCAAAGGCCAGGCTGGGGGCCTTTGTAGAAATAGGAGAGCCATCCATGCTTTGGCATTAGAGATAAGAGTGGTTCAAAAAAGTCAAATGAAACACATCCATATGGACCTCAGGTGCTTCCTGACACCACATTAATCACCTTCCTTGTGTTTACTGTTACTCCATGATGGTCTGACTATAGGTGAGGTTGGCTGGAGAGCAATTGCAGAGAGGAAGTAAACCTCTATTTACAGACTGTAAGAGTTCTCCCTGTTTACAGCAGAGAATGCGCTTGATAGGAAAAAGTAATCATAGGTCATTATGATTATTCTTCGGTTTGTCAAAACATCCCATCTGGTAGAAGAGCATGAAGTGCCAACAATTATTAGCCTTTTTCAAAATTGTGTGTGGAGTTGTCTGCTGAAAACCGTATATGAGTTCTGAATTCCAGGCTTTAGAATCTCAGCTTTATCACCTACTAGCTGTGTGATGGTAGGGTGGTTTCTTAACTTCTCTGAGATTCAACTTTTACTAAATCATACCTATTTTATTTTAAATGAGGATGAAATTAAATATTGCATATAAAGGGCATAGATTAAGCTCAATAAACATTCATATGCCCTCTCCTTTGATCAGGTGTCATTTGACAGAGCTAGGGGTGAGGAAGAAAGGAAGAAGGTGAAAAAAATAGAAGAATTTGTTTAAAAACGGGAGGAATTGTTAAGGACTGTTGCAAAAGGAACTAAAGCCACTTTGGCCATTAGCAGTTGATGGAATCTAGTGATAAATGTCAGTTGCACCCAACAATTAGAGGTGGGTGGAACTGCATATCTTCTTCCCCCACAACCTGGCTACTTGTTGGTAACAAGGAAAGCAAGTCTCAGACCCAATTCTATCTTATTCTACCCCATTCTAACATTGACCAGCAGTCAGGTCCCCAAACAATACAAGCTGATTCTGTAATCTTAGAGTGTCCTACTCTCAGTCATTTAAGGCAATCTGATAAGTCTGGTGCATGAAAAACTTACACTAAGGCATATGCATCAAACATTCTGACAGCAGAGTCAGTGCCCACATCCTTCACCATGCATGAGGTACAAAGAATAAATGAACTCCCAGGCCTGGAGCACCTATCTGAAGGTAGTAGGTTGCTGGGCTCACCAGATTCTTATACTCCTTTCATGCCAGGACAGACGTGTCTTTACAAATTTTCTAGCCAGTCATTTAGAGTGAACACCACTTATTTCACCAACAAAAAAATGTTTTACCATTCTTTATGCTAATTAACCAACTTTCAGATACAGGCTTAGAATTGAGAGAGCTGAAGTATTTTCTATTTCTTCCTCTATGGCATACATTCCTGAATGAAGGTCTTTCAGTGTTCACTAATGTAGATTACAGTTAACTTGCATTCACATATATACATCACACAATCAACACTGAAGTATTTGAAGGGAAATTACAGGCACTATAACAAGACTGGCAGAAGACTGGAAAGGACTATA
Source organism: Homo sapiens (assembly GCF_000001405.40). NCBI lineage: Eukaryota > Metazoa > Chordata > Mammalia > Primates > Hominidae > Homo > Homo sapiens. The sequence goes on from NC_000005.10 coordinate 38,179,941, forward strand.
TTATTTTTAAGTGAAAGCTGAAGAAAAATGGGAAATTGCAGTCACTTGTTTAGACAGGAACAGACAGTACTCCCTCAGATCTGAATGATTTCCATCTCATGGCTTGTTTATTATAATCCTGTTTTTTGGCCAGGAAATGACTTAGTTCCCACTCAAATTTGCTCATTCTACCACCATTCCCCTCAGTCTGCAAGAGACAGTTCTGATACAAAAAAATTCCCCAATAGACTTGAAGCTTCAGAGCTAGCGTAAAGACCATGAAATTATATACCTACATCTGCATGTCTTTCAAATTCTAGTTTGCTAAGTACACTTGGATAGCTAACATTCCACCTTAGGTAACACTTTTCTCAGCCTCTACTCTCCCTCTAACTTTCCCCATTAGCTTGGCAGAAAGACCTTGGGCTTCATCTGTAGGTGGATTTTGAATAAAGCATGGGGGTGTTGGGATTGGGAAGCCAGCACGCACTCTGAACCTCTCAGTATAGCCAAAGGTGATGGAGACACTAGTAGATGTAGACGTCACTCTCCCTCCATTGCATAGTCAAACACCTGCATTTAATTATTTTCATTTAGCTGCCGATTATGAAAAACCACACTAGGTTAGGAGCCAAACGCCCGGATTCAAGCTCCAGTTCTGTCATTCACAGCTGGGTGTGTTTGGCTAAATCCCCCAAGGCTTCTCAAGCCCAATTTCCTAATCTGTCAAATGGGGCTAGTGAGTCCACCCTGCCTCACAGGGTAGTCATTGGATTGAATGGCAGATCTGGCAGATTTTGCTTTGTAAATTATAAAGGGATTTATGGGTACAAAGAAACATTTGTATCAATTATGTATATACACTCAATTATTTCTTGCGAACATACTTTTTCAAGTAGATTTTAAGATTCTAGAAAGGAAGACTACAAGCTATGTACTTCGCAGTAACTAACACTGCCATGCACCTACTGGTACTTAATGTATAAGTGAAATAATGAGAATCTTTATTCTGAAAAGAAGGCAGAGACTTGGCTTAATATCATATGGTATGCCTAGGAAAAACATTCAACATCATTATTCACCAAAAAGTTATCGAAGACCTATTGCATTTAAAAGTTCTGTGTAAGGCCTTGAACATAGGATAAGTAAGATGTGCCTCTGCCTTCAGAAAATTAAGTGGAATAAACGACTAAAAGAGGTAAGAGGAAAGTCCATACTAAACACAAAGAAAAGGTTGCCAACTCACCCCATAAAGTGTTGGGGGTGGACATGAGGAGAGGAAGGAAGAGCTTCATACAGAAGGTGACACATGAACTGAGTCTTGAAAGATGAAAGAGTACTAGGTCTAAATGTTTAGCTTTCAACAAAAACTTATAGGTTGAAACCAAATCCCTATGTAATGGTAGGCATTTTGGGATGTGACTGAGTCATGGGGGTAGAGACCCCATGAATGGAATTAATGCACTTATAAAAGAGGCCCGTTTACCCTTCCCCCATGTAAGGATGCAGTGGGAAGTTGCCACCCAGTCTATGAGAAAGTGGATTCTTACCAAACCCTGCAGGCACCTTGATCTTGGACTTCCCAGCCTTCAGAACCTTGAGGAATAAATTTCTGTTATAACAGCAGCCCAAACAGACTTAGACAGAGGGCATTTAACACCAAGGCATCATGTTCTCACTCATAAGTAGGAGCTGAACAGTGTGAACACACGGACACACAGGGAGGGGAACATCACACACCGGGGCCTGTTGGGGGTGGGGGGCTGGGGGAGGGATAGCATTAGGAGAAATACCTAATGTAGATGACGGGTTGATGGGTGCAGCAAACCACCATGGCACGTGTATACCTATGTGACAAACCTCCACGTTCTGCACATGTACCCCAGAACTTAAAGTATAAAAAAAAAAAAAACACTAAGGCATCCAGAGGGCAAGGGCACTCTGTTCAAGAGGAATAATTTGAGCACAAAAGAAACAGAGTGAGGTCAAAGGGTTACCAGTCATTTGTACGGCCAATGAGTAGGGAGCAAGGCAGGGGTGTGGTCTGAAAGAGGTGAAACTAGAAAAGAAAATCTTTTCCCACTCTTAGTTTCTAAGAAAGGAGATTTTTCCTACTCACACTCCTGACTTTCCTGCCCTTTATTTTCTCCATGCTTGAGGAGGTGCAGTGGCTTCTGCCTGGCAAACTGGGAAAGAGTAGACGGGCATGTTCTGCTCAGCCCCATCCTCCTTCTTTCTCTTGGGCCGGGGAACATCTGCCACATGGAAGCCTCTGCTCCTCGGTACCCTAGTCCATATGCCTAGGACAGCAGGTGACTCTGCCTAATTTAGGGAGTCAAGTAACCAGCCCATTTGGCTCTCATTCTAAGTTGTGTTCTCCAATTTAGCCTGGATCTGTAATAAAGTTGATGTTGTGGCCCAGTTGTCACCCTTTGTTTTATTTTGCCATTCATTCAGAGCCCATGTGTATTGGGTGCCCCCCAGGTAGATCAAGGCCGGAATATGGAGAGCTTGGAATGTTCTGCCCAGGAGTCCAGAATCACGTGGCACAAAAAGTCTCTACCATGATGAGCATAAGATGAGATGCCTGCAAAAGGAAATAATACCGGCAGACTTAGTAGAAAGAGCATGGACTTGGGTTTCAGGAGAACCAGGAGCCAGTCCTAGCTCTGCCACTAACCAACTGCATGACTTTGGGCTAGTCACTTAAACTTTCCAGCCTTTTCTCCTCCCCTGTATGGTGAGTTGGGTTATCGAAATCGCTAAGGGCCGTCTCAAATTATATAAACTTTTAAAAAAAGAGGATTTCCTAACAGGAGGAAGTTTTGACACAAGGGTACATTGAACACTGGGACAGATTGTGGAATTTCTTTCCTTAAAGATGTGGAAGAAGCAGCTGGTTTAGGATCCCATGTAGATGAGCAATTTAACATGTGTGTATGTCAGGTACTCTATTATGAGCATATTGCACTATCTCATTTCATCCTCATGCAAACCCATGAAACAGACAATGTTATCATTCAAATTTTACCAAGAAAGAAACTGAGGCTCAGAGGAGTTAAATAACTTGTCCAGAGCCTACAAATAATAAGCGCCACTACTAGGTTTTAAACATGGGCAGTCTGGCACCACAGCAGCACTCACTAGCACTACACTGCACCACCTTGTGCGTAGGGGCAGATCTGGGTCCTCTCCCAAGAGCGCATCGTGATCCATGGTGTCTCTGGAGGGACCCGTTTGCAGCTTCTCAGACACGTGCAAAAGGCAGGTGCTTGGCTAGTGTGAGAAACCAAACTCTTTTGGCTCTCTCTTAGCTCTGTGCCCTACGTTTTGACATTCAGGGGTGAGAAGCATTTGTTTGGCAATTAATAATACAGTGCCTTGTGACATCTCTTGTTTTGATGTCTTTATTGTTTTCCAGTTTCTATGTGCTTATGATTTTTCTCTTTCCTTAATATTGATTGTATATTGATCATATGTCAGGCACCGTTCTACATGCTTTAAGTATGTTATTTCACTTAATACTCACAATAACACTTCAGGGTAGGTACTATTATTATTCCCAATTTACAGCTGAGAAAACTAAGGTACAGAGGGAAAGATACTATTATACTGCCTGTAGGACAATGACATTGACAGCATATACTAGACCTTCAATAAACATTTGCAAATGGATTGATTGAGTCAAGGGTCATATATTTCAAGGATTCCCTTTGCCCAGGTCCTTCCATAGTCTTCTATTTATTCTCTGCTTACCCCAGTTTTTACTATGTTTCCTTTACAGACTGTGTCTAAGATGCCAATTGAAGACTGGAACAGCCATATGAGTGTGGGGTATTCCTGGAAACCTGTTCTAGTAGGCACTGGAGAAGACACAGGAACCTCTCAATACAGAATAGACACACTTTGCACTCAGTAATAATGCACTAATTGACGAATATATTGACGGAGTGTTGGTTTGCTTCACAATCTGCTGGTAAACATATTCATTTTTGGGTGAATTTCAGGCCTTATAGGTAAAATCTGTTTTTGCTTTTTCCATTTTTTTTCAATCCTCTAATTTTTGGCTTTCTTTGCTACTTAGAAGCAGAAGTGGAAGAAACTAAAATCAGCAGAATGAGGGCTGCATGCAGGTAGACACACTTTTCTGAATGTGTGTGTGTGTGTGTGTGTGTGTGTGTGTACATACATACATAGTTCTTAGGTTGGAGAAAAATACCTTTCCCCTCTACCTCTTGGATATTGTATGAACTGTATCTCAATTCCAAAGCCACAATTCCCATTTTTCCTTTGGGATCTGACAAGAATTTCGTCTTCTGCAGTGGGAATGCATCCACTGTGGACATGCCAGTCTACCCTAGCATTACACTTTGTAAACCAACACGATCTGACTGTAGCTGGGACAACAACCTATAGTGACAATAGTGGCAACTTACACTAATTAGGACTAGAGAGATTTTCAAACTGATGTCCATTCATCCTACGCCCAGCACCTCTTGTATCCTGGCATATAAGCACCTCTTCTATTAGCAATTTAACATGTATGTATGAGCTTGTATCAAAGGACACAGGCACCTCTTGTATCCCTTGTGGACAAACTCCTTAGTTTTTAATTTAAAACATTAAGCAAGAATTAACACAATAGGCTTTTTGCCTCTTCATTGCCAATCTTCTTCAGTGAACACTCTGCTCCAAGTTGTAGTTAAAGAAATCTCAAATTCAATCTTGGGCATATTTCCTTTGGCTTCACTTGTGACACGTCTCTAAATAAATATCAGCATTTTGCAACTTTGAAAAATATCAGGAATGCACATTTCTCCATAAAACCCAGGAAATTCTAAGTATTAGAGCATGAGCCATAACTCCATGACCCTTTATGTGGAGGATTAGTGGGCATGGCCTCCCTCCAGCACATGCTTAGGTCTCTCCATATCGGGTGGTACACATGGCCATCTGGATAGAAGCAACATCGGCTTAGCAGCAACTGCTGTGAGAACTCTGAATTTCAACTCTCTGATGGGAGACTCACATTTTTAAACAGTACATTGCCCTGGAAGGTACACTCATGCCACCTGCACTGGCTGGTATGAAGGAAACATGGGTACATTGAATGCACTAAGGAAAGGTGATCCTCGCCCACACAGTCTTGTGGCACAAGTGGGAGCTATGTTAGAAATTTTTCAAGAATGCGGTTCACAGTGGTGAGATCTGGTCAGGCAATCTATGTCTTTCCTGGGATAGAGCGTAAATACAGTCCACCCATGGTAAAAATCAGAGGCAGGCAAAAAATAATGAGGAAGCCATTCACAGAAGAGGAAGCACAAATAGCTACTGAACATAAGACAAAATGAACAATCACAGTGGTTATCAGGGAAATTATAGGGAAAACTGCAATAGGTTACCATTTTATGCCAAAATGTATGAATGGGCATTACATGTCTGATACTACCAAGTGATGGTGTGGATATTGAATAACAGGAGATCTTATGCCCTGCTGGTGGGAGTACACATTGGTTCAATTACTTTAGAGAAAAATTTGGCATTATTTAGTCAAGGTGCAAATGCACATTTGCTATCCTCCTGGTAGTTTTCTATTAGAGCAAATCCCACACAAGCGCTCAGGGAGATATATACATGGATATTTGGAGAAAGATTGTTAAAACAAAACAATGAAAACAACCTGATGTTCATCAACAATGCATACCGAAACTGCGGCACCTTCATATAATTAAGTGTTACAACGGGGGTGGGGGTAAAGCGAGGGGAAATGAACAACTGCTACGTGCATCAACAAGGATGAAGCTCACAAAATGTTAGAAAAAAATCTACTTGTAGACTAATAAATACAATATTTTATTTCTAATATGAAGCTTAAAAGTAAACAAAATATATATTTCTCTTACACATGCACACATATATATAATAAAAAGCATAAATATATGTATGAGAATAAAAAATACAAAATTCAGAACAGTGAGTTCTTCTGGAACAGAGAGCACACTTGGGGAAGGATACACAGAAAGTTATCTACTGCACTGATGACTTCTATTTCTTAAGCTAGGTGGGCATTGATTGTATTCTTCTTTATATCATTTTGTATGTCTTAAATATTTTATAATACATTTTAAAATGTTATTTTGAGGCGTCAAAGAATTTCAGAGCTACAAAGACCTTAGAAATCATCTAGTTCAACAACCTCGTTTTAAACACAATGACAAATAACTAAAATCGGGAAAGAGGAGGTACAACTGATGCCACAGAAACACAAAGGATTATAAAGGCTATTATTAACACTTATATACCAGCAAATTATATAACCTAGAAACAACAGATAAATTCTTAGAAACAGGTTATATAAGGTTAAATTCTTATAACCTACCCAGACTCAATCATGACGAAGTAGAAAATCTGAACAGACCTATAATTAGTAAGGAGATTGAGTCAGTAATCAAAAATCTCCCAACAAAGAAAAGCCCAAAACAAGATGGCTTCATGGGAGAATTCTACCAAACATTCAAAGAAGAATTAACACCAATCCTTGTCAAACTCGTCCAAAATATTGAAGAAGAGGGAACACTTCCAAACTGATGTTATGAGGCCAGCATTACCCTAATACCAAAGCCAGACAAGGATACTACCAGAAAAAAAACTACAGGCCAGTATCTCTGATGGGTATTGATGTAAAAACTCACAAGAAAATACTAGAGAATGGCATACAATAGCACATTTAAAGAATTATACATTTATAATCACGTGGGATTTATCTGTGGGATGCAAGGATAGTTCAACATAAAAAATTCATAAATATAATACACCACATCAAAAGAACAGAGGACAAAAATGGCATGATTATCTCAGTTAATCCAGAAAAAACATTTCACAAAATTTAACAACTTTCATGATAAAAACATTCAACACACTAGTAATAGAAGAAAACTACTTCAACATAATAAAGTCATATATGAAAACCCCACAGCTAACATCATACTCAATGATGGATACATAGAGAACTCCTACAACTCAGTAACAAAAACCAAATAACTCAATTAAAAAAATGATCAAAGGACTTCAGCAGACATTTATCTAAAGAAAATAAACAAATGACCAACAGCATATTCACAGATGCTCAACATCACTAATCATTAGGAAAATGCAAAGCAAAACCAGAGTGAGATATTACCTCACCCCCATTAGGATGGCCACCATAAAAAAAAACAGGAAAACAAATGTTGATGAGGATGTAGAGTAATTGGAACCCTTGTTCCAATTGTAACAGGAGAAGAAACAGGCTTCAGCAGTGCAATCCTGAAGACAAAACACTGTTGGTGGGATTGTAAAATGGTGCAGCATGATGGAAAACAGTATAGAGATTACTTGAAAAATTAAAAATAGAATTGCCATATGATTCAGCAATCCCACTTCTGAGAATTTTTACAAAAGAACTGAAAACAGGATCTCGAAGAGACATTTGCACACCCATATTCATTGTAGCATTCTTCATAATTGCCAAGATGTGGAAGCAACCTAAAAGCCATCGGTAGAATGAATAGATAAAGAAAATGTGGCATATACACAAAATGGAATATCATTCAGCTTTTAAAAAGAAGGAAGTCCTAGTACATGCTACAACAAGGTTCATACCTTAAAGACATTAGGTTAAATGAAATAAGCCAATCACAAAAAAAGACAAATATTGCCTGATTCCACTTCTGTAAAGTGTCTAAAGTAATCAAACTCATAGAAACAGAAAGTCAAATGGTGGTTGCCAGAGGCTGGGGACACAGGGAACCAGGAGCTATTCAATGGGTATAGGGTTTCAGTCATGCCGAATGAACTTTCTAGAGCTCTGTTTGTTATACAACAATGTGCATGGCATATAGTTAACAATACTGTACACTAGAAAATGGTTAAGAGGGTAAGCTTATGTGTTTTCTGGCTGCAATTTAGACAAAAAACACGATGAAAGCAAGGGCCAGAGTGACGGGATGACATGCCCACCATCAGGAAGTTGGCCAAATCCAGATCATTGGCATTTTTCCTGCCTCTTGTCACCTCCTCTTGTCCTGATTTCTGTTTTATTTGTAACAGCATTTCAGAAATGTGAGATGGGCTTTAGAGATGATTGCTCTAGAAGAGAATCAATTCTTTGTTGAACCGTGATGTCTCCACTTTAAATGTTTACCTGTATCTTTGTGGTTTGCTCCTTACACTTCAACTGGCTTTTAAATTGAGTTTGTGGTTGTATTGTAAATAATTATACATTAATATTGCACTCGGCTTTTGCTGCCTTTCAAGCACAGAGCTCAAGGTCCTTCTGAGGCAGTTAAAATTCAGGATTTGCTTACCAGATGAAATGGAAGCTACATTATGGGGAGAAAAATTTGAGACCTAGAAAGGGTAAAGAACTTATCTAACATTACAATGCCATTTTTGTTTGGAGGGGAACAAGTTTCAAGTTTAAATCATTTAAAGCTTCTCCACCCTCCCCTCAGGTCACAGGACAATGATTTGCTTCACACTTTAGCTGTAGAAAGTAAAATGTAGGAAATAGAGAAGTTTTAATACCAGTGGGCCCACATTTTGCCCTTGGAAATGCCCTCCTCCCCACCAGCCTGTGTTCTACTCTGACCACATTTCCCTGGCTCTGACACCTTTCTGCATATTTTCATAACTTTGGGGTAACTGAGACTTTGAGATGAGTGGGAGCATGGGAAACAGTCCCCAGAGGAGGAATTTCTGCTTGTTGAAAATGAGAAGCGCCCGCAAATGGAACTTAACAGCAAAAGGTGTCCTGAGTCATCATTCAGTCCTCGCTGTGGCAGTCATAATTCATGATATCCTGAGCCCTTCATAGGTTCCTGAGAATAACGATGGCTGCCTCCTTAGGCACCCATTTGCCAGGCACGGGGCACAGCTGGGCAGACAGCCCCCCTCTGGGAATTGAAGCTGGGCACCTGGTCAGCTGGCCTGGTTCTGCTCAGGTTCTTGGCTGAGAAAACAGAGACTGCCAGTTCTTTATACCATCTTCCCTGATTATTTGCTTTTTTTTCCGTGAACATGTCTAAGGAGGGTTCCAGAAAATATGTAACTCTGCAACACATAGAGAGGGCAGACAGCTAGCACAGGGGGGTCTGGGCTGGAGGCTTCTCCAAGGCCCTGCTGCCTAGCCACAGACAAGTGGCCTGAGCCCCCGGAGCCCTGGGCCTCTGAGGGTTGTCCGCTGGGTGCCTGTTGAGCCCCTGGATCTGTGTGTTTGGGGCTCCCTACTGGCCGGGGACTCTCGCCTTGCATTCCTTGCCTTGATCCGCCTCTGGGCCTCCCGTCTGACCTCCGGGGCCTGGGTGTTGGCCCGGATTTATGACCCTGAGCTTCTTTTTATCTCTTCGGGAAGTAAACGTTTTGGTTGGAAAGTTTTTCAATTTCCTCCTGGCCTGGACCAAACCGCTCATATTTCCAAGGGCAAGATTCCCCTCTCCTCACAGGTTCTTGTGCCCTGAAGTGTAATTAGGAGCCTCACTCCACCTGCAGACAGGCTCCTGCAAATGCTTTGATGGTGGTGACCACGACAAAGACAGCAGGCTGCTCTATGCTTACCCAAACCTCACATTTGCGGAGTAGAGTTATTGGTTTTTTTTGTTTGTTTGTTTTTAGCAGCTGTAGACACAAGCCACTCCCCTGCAGACCTCCTCCTCTGATTCCCAAAGGAAAAGACCTTTCCAAAATGTATATGAGAGGCAGGGGCACAAGTTCTTGAAGCTGGATGACCGTTGATTGCCTTCCCCTAAGTGTGCCCTACAAGACAATTACAAACTCTCTTGAGCCACAGTCTCTCAGGAGAGGGCTAGAAACCAATACTTTTACCGAGTGTCCCAGGTCCTTCTGCTGCACCCGAAAGCTTTAGAACTGCTGCTGTAGAAACTGTGCAGCAGATGGAATGGGGCAAAGCGAATCTTAGTCCTCTTGCTTTTAATCCCCTTGAAACCCTAAGCATTGTTCTCAAGAAAAGAACATGAACCCAGGACAGTTCAGCCATGTCGCATATTGGGCCTCTCACCAATAACAGTGCTCCATGGTTTTATTTATTTTTTTGCCGAAAGTTTCCATCCAATTACACACGCATCTTTTTTTCTCCTCCACAGTGTCCCATCCTTCCAACTCCCATACTCACCCTCCCAAGCAGTTTCCCTCTTAGCCTGGTCCCCAACACGATGTCATTTGAAAGTCAGGGCATCCCTTTTATACCGTCGTGAATATCTTCCAATCTGATGGGTCCTTTTATCCTGAAACGCTTCACCCGCTTTCCACCCCAGCATAACTTCACCCACCACTGAAGTACCGCCAGCCGGCTCAGGAGGGTGAGCGGCAGCTGTTGCCCTGTTTAGGGCAGGAAGTGAAGAAGAACATGATATTCAATTAAAACTGCAGGGGGAATTCAGCGAGACAGCAGGGTCTAATGGAGACTGATGGCCTGGGAGACCAGCCGGTCTGAGTTCCATTCCCATCTCTGCCACCGGCTCACAGGGGTGACCTTGGGTCTGTCACTAAAACTTTCTGGGCCTTCGTTTCATCTGAAAAATGGTAGTGATGATACCTGCATCCTCACAGGAATAGTTACGAGGATTAGGGAGATTAGAAAAATACACAGGGCTCTTTTGATCCCTTTAAAGTCAGCAGTGAAGGATGGATGGATGCAGAAAGCGGTCTTAGGCTAAGTAGAATTGGCTGCCAACAACAGGATGTGATTTGAGGTGTAATCAAAAGTCGGCCGGTGCTGAGATAGCTCCCCTAGCAGCCTGTGAGCTGCTCTGAAATCCCACTGCTGGACTAGAGAGCCAGGCTAAAACACAAGTGTGACAAGTCGCAGCAATAACATACCATCAGCCTTTGCATGAGTTAGCTGGAGTAGGTTGCTGGTTTCCCAGGAGAAAAAAAAAATGGGCCCTGAGTGATTGAGGCCCTAGAACAGGTAACTATGACTGACGGAGAGTTTAGATAGAAAGAATGCAGGAGCTCAGAGTCAGGGGAACTGTGGTTAGGGACTTTGTGGGGAGCAGAGTGGTGTGAGGAGAGTGCCAGAGCCATGGAGAATGTTAATTACAGAAGCTGATTTTCAAAGTACTACAATAGGCCTGGCGCAGTGGCTCACACCTGTAATCCTAGCACTTTGGGAGGCTGAGGCAGGCAGATCACTTGAGGCCAGGAGTTCAAGGCCAGCCTGACCAACATGGCAAAACCCTGTCTCTACTAAAAATACAAAAATTAGCTGGGCGTGGTGGCATGCACCTGTGATCCCAGCTACTCAGGAGGCTGAGGCAGGAGAATAGCTTGAACCTGGGAGGCACAGGTCACAGTGAGCCGAGATTGTGCCATTGCATTCCAGCCTTGGTGACAGAGCAAGACCCTGTCTAAAAAAAAAAAAAAAAAAACAAAACACTACAATAAATGTTAGATCATTCGTCCCAGTAAGAGCCTTCCCTAGGCAATGTCTGATGTCTAACTTTCATGTAAGACACTGTAGACATCACTTCTTACTAACCTTTGCTCTTTATAAAACTGGCGATCCTACATTATGTGTTCATGACACCAAGAAAAAGCATTGCCCTCGTGAAAGTGCTATGATGATGATGATTGCAGCTGTGCGGGCCAGTATTATCATTTCAATTTCAGTCGGTACCCATTTGTTGAGTGTCATCACACTAGGGAGGATGGTGGGGGAGGAACAGCATGGGATTTGGCGTCCTGGGGCTTGGGTTGGATTCCCAGCTCTGTCACTTTGTTCTGGAACCTTGGATACTTAAGCTTTCAGGGATCCAGTTTCAGCTGGTAAATTGGGATAACAGACCTACCTCACATGCTTTCCAGAGGATCAGATGAGGTGATGCAGTGTGAAAAAGCCATGCTGGATGTGACAGAGGGCTACACAAAGGTGAGCTGCTGTCTAAATCAGGACAGGCTGGGGTCTGCTGCTGTAACAAACAAACAGTAACCTGACATTTCAATGGCTGCATGTCAGCCACAAGTCAGCCTAGGGGGCACTCTGCTCATCAGAGTCACACAGGGACACAGGCTCCTGGAGGAGCCCTTAGCTGCCTGCTCAGGAAAAAAATATGGTAGAGTCTGCATTGGCTCTGAAAGCTTCTGCTTACCTTTCATTAGCCACAGAAAGTCACATGGCCACATCGACTTCCAGTGAGCAGGGAAGTGCCATCCTATCATGTGTCAGAAGGAGATAGAGTTGGAATATTTATTCACAGCCTATGACCCGAACAGTTGCTACTCTACAAGGCTGGATAAGATGTGGTCCTTGTCCTCAAGACGCTTACCAGAGCTCACCTCAAGATCCCTACCCAGGGGTTTTGGAAACATCTCCAGGAAAGTGTACCCTCTTCTTTCTGCCATGGATCCCTGCCCCTGCCTGCCCACCACACGGCCAGGGCCTCATCACTTCTAGCTACCACATGAATGGCTTTGCTAAAAGCAGCTAGAACACCCACATGCTTCCCTGGCCTCTGCCACTCTTGTTGTAAAATAACCTCCAAGGCCTCTTTTTCGGAGCTTGTGCCTTCCCTTTGTCCTTCACCCAGATGTTGAGGAGAGGTGCCCAGGTGGCCAGGTTCGTGACGATCCCCCAGGCTGCAGCTAATTGCACCATGCTTGAATGCAGCTGGGAGGAACAGCTCTTTGCTTGCCTGGAGCCCTTCTTGTACCAGATGTCTGCGGACCTTCCCACCGCCCAAGCTCAGGTCTTACTGCCTTTAGGGAAAGAATGAAACAGGAAAGCTTAGCTCATTTGGTGTCTCTCACCCCAGGTTAGAACCATCTTTCTGTTCTTCTGCTGGAGCAGAGACATCTCTGTAGCTCCCTTCTCCATCACCCAGAGATTCCTGGGGTGGCCTGAGACTCACCAAAGCCTTTTTCTTCCTTCCTCTTGAGTGGTGTCCCTTCTCCTTGGACACTTTAGTTGGAGTCCTGAGAGAGAGAATGAAAGAGTTTAATGCAATACTATTAGTAATAACAATAAATATAATAGGTTACCATGTGCTAGGCTCTGTTCTGAGTGCCTTGCATATATTAACTGATTAAATGTTCACAAGAAGCCTATGAAGTAGGTATTATTAATAGTCCCACTTTAGAAATGAGGAAGAAACGCGCTCAGAGAGGTTATGTAGGTTGTTGAAGGTCACACAGCTAATACGTGGCAGAGCTGCGATTTAACCAAGACCGTGTGACTACAAAGCTCATACAGATCTGTTTTTATCATGGCAATTAGGTCTACAGTGGTTGAGAGAGATGGTTGAGGTTACAGATGGCAAGGGCGCCTTTATTCCTGGTGCTGGCAAAATGGCCTTCCCGGTGTATTAGGAGGTCGTGCCTGCCCTCTGCTGGTCGTGAATGAGCATTGCCACTCAGAGGATGTGGACGAGAACCCGCCGGCAAAGCACTTCACAGGTATTTCAAAGAGAGTAAACAGGCAAATAAACTTGCAGCTTACATGCAGCAGCGGCATATTGACTATTTCTTTCCCTCTGGTTTGGTGTGTTTTACATTTGTTTTTTTCTCCTGGAAAAAAAAAAAAGAGGAATAAAAAGCAAACAGGCAGCTCTCCACCTCTGAGAACAAGCAGAAGAAAACCACAATTATGCAACTATCAAATAACAAGTCTATGTGTTTATTGTCTCATGGAGATTGTAATGTAGTACTAGATGCCCAAAATGTCATCCTAAACAGATGTAAAGGCACATTTTTGGTCGTTCATAACTAAGTTAGGGTAAAATAGTTTCCTAAGTTAATCAGGGTATTCTTCCACTATCGAACGTTGCATGCAAAAAGATTCTTCATTTAAAAAAGTTCAGCTGTTTTGAATTATCTATGTTCAAATAGAAATTTTGTGTCCCTTTCTGATTTGCTGTAGAAAGACAAAGGTGGCCATCTCTGACTAGGCTGCAGTGCAAGTCAGCCGGAGACATAGCACATAGCACATTACAGGGACCCAAGATTTTTGGGCTTATAGTAGTGACTACTCTTAAGGGGACAATCTGGCTTCTTCGAAGGCCCCCAGCCAAGAGGACCCCTTCAGACAAGTCAGTCCTGCCCACTAAATCTTTATGGGGAGGGGAGTAGAAGGGAGAGGAAACACTGCCACGAAAATCTAATCCTGAAAACTGTCCCTGGGGATTAACCAGCTGAAGCCAAGTATTAGTTCTCACACTGCTATAAAGAACACCTGAGATTGGGTAATTTATAAAGGAAAGAGGTTTAATTGACTCAGAGTTCCACATGGTTGGGAAGGCCTCAGGAAACTTACAATCATGGCAGGAGGTGAAGGGGAAGCAAGTCACATCTTACTTGGCGGCAGGAGAGGGAGACAGAGAGAGGAAATTTACAATCATGGCTGGAGGTGAAGGGGAAGCAAGGCACGTCTTACCTGGTGGCAGGATAGGGCAAGAGAGCAAATAGGGAAGTGCTACTTTTAAACAAATCTCATGAGAACTCACTCATGATCACAAGAACACCGTGGAGGAAACCTCCCCCATGATCCAATCACCTCCTACTGGGTCCCTCCTTGGATTACAATTTGAGATGAGATTTGGGTGGGGACACAGAGCCAAACCATATCAAGCCCCTTGTAACAGGTACGTGACCTGAGGAGTCATGGCCTCTAAAGGTTGGATCTTCAGCTCCCAGACAGAGAATTGTCAGCATTCGTAGTTCTTAACTTGGATATTTAAAGTTTCCCTCTCTGAGAAGTTTGAGCAAGTTACAGGACATAGGTCACACCCACAGCAAAACTTTCATTGATCAGGGCTCTTGTGTGTATTTTTCACCCCCTGCCAACACACTCTACTTAAGTAAATGTGAAAACCTCAAGAAAACTGCTGATCAGAAGATTCAGTAAAGCGGACCTACTTTCAGGACATACCTTAGGATCTGTGCATATTCAGATATCCTGCATACCATGCTTGGACCAGGTACATTTATATCACGACCTTGGCTAACTTTTTCTCATCTATGCTCACTGCTTCAAATAATCGCCTCAACATGGGGCACTTGCAAGTCTGCTTCCTTACTGCTGCCTCTGTCCTGGGATCTGGATTGGCGTTTCCAACTGCCTGATGGGTAGCTCCATCTAGATGTCCCCCCAGGACCCGCAAGCAGCATGTCCAGATCTGACCCAAGCATCCCATCCCTGAAAGTCCCCTTGAATGCTTTATTTCTTTTAACGTCATCACAATTCTCCTTGGGATTCCAGCTCAAAGCCCCAAACTCCTCCACTTTGCCTCATGCTCTGTCCCACCAAATGGACCTGGCCAGCTGCGATTCTCTCCTACCTCTGTGCCTTCTTGACCTCCCCCTGTCCTGACTCCCTCCTGGCATGATGTCCTGGACAAGGGGGAGTTTCAGAGCCAGACATGGGTTCAAATCCCAGCTCCATTATTTATTGCATATCTGAATGTGGACTTTTTCCCTTAATTTATTCGAGCCTCATCTGTAAAATTGAAACAAATATGTACCTCGTAAAAGTAATTGTGAGATCAATCAGATAATATAGATTAAATGCCTGGTATAGGGTGAATGTTAAATATATGTTATTTTTCTACCCTCTCATTCAGGCTTCATTATTTCTCACGGGGGCTAACTTTGAGTAGCCTCCTAATTCATCCTTGCCTCTTTGCTCTCCATCACAAGCACTGATTGCATATCCACTACTTGCCAGGCACTGGGCTAGTCACCAGGAAGAGAAACATTAAACAAGTCCACAAGGCCCTGCCCCTGTGAGGCTTACAATTCAATGGAGAAAGTAACATTCTCTCCTTCCTGTGATTTATTGTCACTCTTGTACCTGATGGATCTTGCTTAAGCACAGATTACATGTCATTTTTCTACTCAAGACTGTTAGTGGCAGCCCATTTCCCATCTCATGAGATATCTTTCTTTGGCTGGCATTTAAGCCCTTCTGAATTAATAAAGTTCTCATTTGCTTTTGTAGCCCAATTTCCTTCCACTGCCCCTATGTATATCCTCCTTTCTGTCCAAGTAGAATTACTTGTCAATCCCAGTATAATGGACATTTGTCTTTTTAAAAACTACCGATCCTTGTGGGACATCTTTTCTGTTTCAGAGAAATCTCCATGAGTGAGTCTTGGTGAAAGGCAGAAACTCACAGTCCTTCTCTTTACTCGGTGGATACCAGCATGTAAGCAAATAAACCGGGCTCAGCCAGTCAAAAACTCTACTCAAGATTCTGAGTTTTGGGAAAGTGACACAGTATCAGAAGACACACGCAGAGTATTTAACTCGAGAGACTTCAGTGAAGAGAATATTTACAGAGGTATAGTCAGGGTTAGAAAAACAAACAAAAGATGGTGAAGTTCCTCTGTCCCAGGACTAGCAATGCCCTTGGGGTTCACTTATAAAGATGAATGTTGATAAATGCTTATGTACTGAAACAAAACAGAAAATTGTGGTACTTTTCTCATTTTATCTGCAACAATCTAGGGAGTCACATAAGAATGTGTTCTCAGGCCGGGTGCAGTGGCTCATGCCTGTAATCCCAGCACTTTGGAAGGCCGAGGCAGGCAGATCACTTCAGGCCGGGAGTCAAGACCAGCCTGGCTAAAATGATGAAACCTTGTCTCTACTAAAAATATAAAAACTACCCAGGTGTGGTGGCGCACCCCTGCAATCCCAGTTACTTCAGAAGCTGAGGCACGAGAATCGCTTGAGCCTGAGAGGTGGAGGCTGCAGTGAACTGAGATCTCGTCGCCACTGCACTCCAGCCTGGGCAACAGAGTAAGACTCTGTCTCAAAAAAAAAAGAATGTTTTCCCAGGTTGCCTGGCCAAAGAGGGAAGGGCATGATTTTAGCCTGGACCGGACTTACCAGTACAGGTGCACCTACCAGTGACTTTAGTTCCAGCATTTGAAAGTGATCTCAGTTGTTGGCTTGGTGAATAGATTGAAGCCACTAAGTGATATTATGAGATCAATTTCTTAACATTAAGTAGAAAAAGAAGTCAAAAAATCTTGAGAGATGGGAATGCTGGAGTGAATGTAGCCTGTTTGACCAGGACCTATCCCTCTGAGTTTCTGGAGAGGACCCAAAAAGGCCTTTGCTAAGGCCTTTGGCAATAACACTGGAGAGGAGACCTGCCATCTTTGAACAGTGCTTTCGTGGCTGTTTGGGGTAGGCTGGGTATGCTAGCAGAAGGTGCTACAGTTGAAACAGGTTCTCTGTTTCCAGTGGGGTTGGGGAGCTGGTTGGGAAGTGATGGGGGCAGAGGAGAAGCACTTATCCAGCAGAGACAATGGGGGTGTATTTACTGTGGTAGGCAGCAGAGTTGACTCGGTAATGCGAATAATTTAGCTATCAAGGATCTTTGGCAGAAGCTAAGCGATCCTGAAGGTCCATGGGTATATGAGTAATTCATCAAGTTCCTACTGGATTTGCATAGCTAAAAAGAACTCTCAGGGTGAGAGGCTGTGGATTTGCCAAAATTTGTGTAGTATAAACTCATGGCCAAGAAAGAAGAACACTAAAGCAGCCACCACCCTCTCAATCTCTGACCTCCATGAGGAAATGAGAGGCTTGAGGACTGTGGATAGCAGTGCCACTTTCACATGGGCAGATGATTAAACACTGAGAGGCATCAGTTCATACTTGACCCTACCTGCACTTCAGCAAAACCAAAATTCAAATTACTGAGGAGGAGCAGCTGTGATCAATGGAGAACTTAAAGTGCTCAATTTAAATGGGTAATGTGGAAAATGTCTATTTTTTCCTTGATTTTACATGTATGTGTCCAACTAAAATAATCAATTTTAGTGACAAAATTGAGAACTTAGACCACTAAACACTGAAGTGATCCATGCCTTGCTGATTCACAGTTTACCCATTTAGTATGAAGTCCCACCCCTCGCAAACAAAGAGGACTGGAGCCCGGGGAAAATTTCATTTCTTTCAGATTTTATCCATCAGATCTTAAAGTGCTATGGTGATGTATCTGGAGAACTCAGGCCACAGTCTTAGAGGTTTCTTCACTATTGATGAAAAAGGAATCCAAAGGTAGTTTAGAATGGATGACCCTCCTGTTAGCAGAGTAGTAAATAAAATACTGTATTGGAGTCAAGTGTCCCCGTACACTGACCAGTATGGAAAAGTCTGTCCTGTTGGAAACCTGGTGGTAAAACAAAAATCTCCTACTTTAAAGTATTTTGATAAACTAAACTGAAGAACTAAATGGGAAACTTCACTTTCAGGCCCTGATGCCTAATTTGAAAATTATCAGTAACTTCATCCCATGAGATATTAAATAAACACATAACTTCCAGATTATGTGACCATGTGTCTGATGGAAGCTAAGCCACTATGGCAGAAAGTGACGACAGATAGGGCCCTGGGCAGTACATAAAGAAGTTGGAACACCAAGGTAGGACTGCCATAATACCTCAAGGACAAGAATCGGTCCTTCCTCCTAGTTTTCCAAAGATAACTGAAGACCACTTACCATGGTAACTGAGTACCAGGGAAAGATTATTTTGACATTGACTCTAAACTAACAAATTGTTAGAGATTGGAGAAGGGGCTTATGGAGACCATGAGATTAGTGACGTTTTGCCCAAATCCACTTCAAATATGGCTTCATGAGATCCCCATCATACCTGGTTGTTTCACCAGTCCCTAGGCATATAGTTAAAATCAATATTTAACAGTTAGAAGAATCCTCACTTGTGAAGAAAGATATTTCATGGCAGGAAGGACCCAAAGAAAATGGCTGGAGGGCTCTACCAAAATATTAAAAAAAAAAAAAAAAAGAAAGAAAGCAAACGTTTCTGGGAAGTGGGGGAAGGAGGAATGTACCCATGCAGATTAGTGCTAATTGGAAGGTGCAGGCCAGGCGCGGTGGCTCACGCCTGTAATCCCAGCACTTTGGGAGTCCGAGGCAGGCGCTTCACGAGGGCAGGAGATCGAGACCATCCTGGCTGACACAGTGAAACCCCGTCTCTACTAAAAATAAAAAAATTAGCTGGGCATGGTGGCGGGCGCCTGTAGTCCCAGCTACTCGGGAGGCTGAGGCAGGAGAATGGCGAAAACCCAGGAGGCGGAGCTTACAGTGAGCTGAGATGGCACTGCTGCACTCCAGCCTGGGCGACAGAGTGAGACTCCGTCTCAAAAAAAAAAAAAAAGAAAGAAAAGAAAAAGAAAAGGAAGGTGCAGGGATGGTGACCCTTCA
This sequence comes from Homo sapiens, assembly GCF_000001405.40. Classification (NCBI taxonomy): domain Eukaryota; kingdom Metazoa; phylum Chordata; class Mammalia; order Primates; family Hominidae; genus Homo; species Homo sapiens. The sequence goes on from NC_000005.10 coordinate 38,199,151, forward strand.
AAATAAGGATAGTAATATTGTTTATCTCGTAGAGCTATCGTGATGATTAAATGAGTTAATACATGCACGATGAAAATGATAATCACAAAACAAATGCTAGCTACTCCTTTTGCAATTATTATACTTGTAACTCCTATTTAACCCTGCATAGGGATATGCAGAAGACAAATGACCTTCAAGCATTATTATAGGTTATTTTAAGCATAATTAGGTGTGGTAAGATTCAGGACCTAGAGAGTAGAGGAATAATCCTCCTCCCCAAATACAAGGTCTTTTTACTTCAATTTGCTTGGGAAATTCAATGGGCTAGGGCATGTCAATATATCTCCTCCTGGGTGAAGGCACATCCCTGTACCCGACACCTCCTACCAAGAGGCAAAAAGCTAGGCACGCCTCTTTGGATTTTGAGTGGGGTGTGAGTTATATTTGCATTGTGCTGCTCTGAATCACTTTTAGCTAATTTAACTTAGTGTAAGATACCCAAACAAGAGACAGTTCTCCATCTGATCTAGCAGTACCACTCAACTTTCTGATTCAGGAGTCCAGTGGATCTTGAAGTATTTGCAGCAGTTTGAGTTTCTGTGAGGAGCCTATTGCAACCCCCAACAGGAGATCACAGCAAAGGCCCTGAGAGTCTTTGAGCAAAGCTATTCTATTTCAATCAACAACTATTTTCTTTTGAGGACTTGCTACGGAGCCTTAGTAGAAAGTGAACCCCTGACGACAAAACATCAAGTGGCCATGTAACCTGGTTGCTTATCGTGAACTAACTGTGTTATTTGATCCAACTAATCATAAAGTCAGTTGTGCCCAGCAGTGTGGGCACGAAACGTCAGGTGGCCATGTAACGTGGCTGCCTATCATCAACTGTTATTTGATCCAACTAACCACAAAGTCAGATGTACCCATCAGTGTTCCACCATCAAATGCAAGTGGTAGATATGGGACTAGGCCTGAGCAGCTTCTGAAGGCACAAGGAATTTGCAGAAGTGGGCAGCTCACACTGCCAGCTTGCTGGAATCTACATGACCCTCAGCTCACACCTCTGATGTCATGGGGAGTTTGCTAAGAACAGGCCACCACAGAAACATGAATCATTGGTTTAGAGCTGGTGCACATGATGTGCAGGTCCTGGTTATATAGAGATTGTTGTGGCTTTAAAACCCCACTTGGTGTGGCCCTGAAGGACAATAGGGAAGGAAAATCTTTCTGGGAGCAAAACTTAAGGCTGTACATAACCATGTCATTCATTTTGCCTGGAAGAAGAGAGAGCTTGAATTATGACAAACCAATTCACAAGCAGCAGTTAATAATTTGTCCAGATTGAGACTTGACATGTTGTTGGTAGGTTGGTAACAATGAGGTTGGGTATGTGTCTCCTGAATTGGGCCTGGAATGTGAGAGTACTTGTCTCCCGTGATGATGGTCACAAAAGGACTTCATGCCAAGGTGGGTCCTTCCCCCACCACCTCAATGCTTGTTTAATCAGTTCCTGAACTTGTAACTATGGCAACAGGCATGGAGGCTATGTAGGGACTCCCTGAAGGGATCAACCCTCTGTCTGTCCAGGTAGATTACACCAAGCCCTTTCTAAGATGGAGGAGCTAGTGATTGTCTTCACTGGAATATAAGATTTTCTGAATTTGCATTTGCTCCTCTTGATAGATTCTGAACAAACTTGCATCTACCAGTGTCACCATCAATGGGCATACTGAGTAACTCATGATCTTCCACATCATAATGCTTTTGACCAAAAGGAGCTTACTTCTCAGTGGAGAAAGTAAAGTAATGGCAGAGGCTCAAGGGACTCTCTAGTTGTGGTAGATTGGGTGGCTCCCCACCAATTTTAGTGTCCCTCTTTGCCTGAGGATTACACATGCACGCCCTGTTAAGCCCATGGAAGGCCATGTGACTTGCTTTGGCCAATAAAATGTAAGTGTGAGTGGAAGTAATGTGTGTCACTTTCAAGCAGCAGCTCTTGAGCCAGCATATGGTTTCCTGTCATGAGACCAACAATGCTCCAGAAAGAGGCTGCTCCATCCACCTGTGTCCCAGAGTAAAGATGTCATGAAGCAGAGGTGAACAGTCCCATGCACAGTGAATGAGAAAGAAACATCCATTGTTTATCACTGCAGCATGACTTGTCTATGCAGACTACTCATGCTCTCCTCTTTTTCTCTTTCTTTATTTTTCTCATTTCTTTCTTTCTCTTTCTTCTTTTTTCTTCTTCCTCTCTCTTTCTCTTTCTTTCTTTCCTTCCTTCCTTCCTTCCTTCCTTCCTTCCTTCTCCTTAATTTCTCTTTCTTTCCCTTGTTTCTCATTTCTACTAGCAGGTATCAGTAGACTCTATGTGCTGGTCTTTGGCAGATACAGCATGGAGCCTTCTTCCTGGTCCCAGCACTAGCCACACCATGCCCCGCCTGGCAAACTAGTGCTGTCATCCAATGCTGCCCATCAGGGGTGCTCCAGTGCTGCGGTTCCAAGACAGTGCTCTGTGGTTCCAGGAGTGTCCCCAGTGGCAGCCCCTCTTTGGCAGTCCCAAATAGCTGGGTGGCATTCCTGGAAGTGCCACGGAATGAGCTCCTGGCTGTGGATGGAACCACCTTATCTTTGTTTCTGCATTTGTAGGGATGGGAATATCTTCCTTCAGATACTCATCTCTGGGTTAGGCAACCCAGAGCCCTTCAGGTTTTGCTTTCTTTGCCCAGTCATTGTTTTTGTAACTAATTCCTGGAATTAAATCCTTCATGTTAGAAGTATTTAGCTTGTTTTCTTGATTGAATCCTGAACAATGCATGACCCTTTCCTTTAAAGCACATCCCTAATGCCTTTTCCTCCATGAAGTCTTATCCGAGCTCCCATCTAGAGGTAATCTATTAACTATTTACAATTATTTGACATTTTTAGAGTTTTTTGGCATTTGTAACTCCATTTTGTATGAAATTCACTTATTTTGTCCTGCCCAACTTCCATTACATTATGAACACATTGAAAGCAGTCACTGCATCTTCATAATGGTTGTGTTTTCTTCAGCAACTAGCTCAGTCCCAAAAACTCAGTTGATATTCTCAGCACATGTGGGTTGATTTGAATTGACGTTTCAAATGGAAACCCACAGTCTTAACAATGTCTTCAGCTTTCAAAAATTCTGTTTGTTTTCTATGCTGTAATAGATTAAATCAGAAGTAAAACAAAAATAACTGTGGGTGAATTGCAGAAAATGTTTTATTCAATGATTTCCCAAAGAGCAATGAAAATATTTGCACATCCTATTTCCCACACTCACTCATTCATCCACTTAAAATGATGCTTTCCAATTTAATAAAGCATTTTCACAAACATTATCTTATTTAAACCTCACATTGAGAATGTAAAATAGAAATGAATGCCCTCACTTCACACAGTCTTAAATGGCAGAGCTGGGTTCCTACCCCAGACCTTCTAACTCAAAAGTCCAGCACTCACCTTACCTTTTGCTTGAAGCTGGGGTTCTGGTCAGCCAAGAATTATAATTCACTAATTCTTTTCTCACTGCTAATAAATGCCATTAGACATGCAGACTTCCCTGTTTTGTACAAAAGTCCAAAATCACAGATTATCTCTGATTCCTTTTTCATATGAAATAAAGGGGAAAATGACCATTTTATTCCCTTGGCTTAGAGAATATGGGCAGTCATGTTTTCAATTTCACAGTTCATTGCACGTACATTTATTAGATTAGTGCTGGTTTAGAAACGCACCATGGAACCTCCCAATAACTTGGCAGTCACTTTTTGATGGCTTCTCGGAATTGTACTGTCTTTTTCTCCCAAGACTCTGACCAAGGTTTAGTGACTCAAAACTGAAACGCTGCAGGCATAAATTGAATCCAGCCCCAGCAAGGCTCAAGTTATTACTTTTCTCCACCTGATTATTATTCTGGTTTTCACTGGTGTCAGTTCTTGTCTCAGGGGCTGATGTTGTAGAAGCAGATGTCCTTTCCAGGCTAGGAGACTAACAGCGACATGTGTGCCCTGGTTTAGAGGGGAGCCTTATTCTATCACTCTTCTGCATTGGACCCCAAACACCTGAAAATATAGCCCCAGCAAGCTCATCTTACATTTGGGTAGAAAAAAGAATTGTTCCATGGCCAGCTATACGAGGTGTTATTTGAAGGGTACTGGAAAGGTCCAGGCATAAATGTCATTCCCTGCACCATACCACTTACCTTGCACTGCAGTTGATGTCTAAATTCCACCAGCAATAAGTTATTTTTTTCATTTCCATTTGGTTTTTAAATCACATATTCCTGAGTTTAACACAATTGATTTGCTTATCTAATTTTATCTGATCTAATTTTCTGATCAGTTTTGGCTCCAGAACTTTAACCACTCTTAACCACTCCCTTATTTTGTTTCTTTAATGTTGGGCAAAATACTTACAATACTGGTTGGTGCATAATAAATCCTTAACCATTGGTAGTTTTACTGTTGTTATTGTTATTTAATTTGTTTTACTAGCCTAATGAGTTAATAATAATGGCTAATATTTCTTGAACACATGTTATGCTAAAGATTGTTCTAGGCCCTTAGTTTGTTAGTTATTTAATTATTGCAACCATCCCATGAAGTAGGTACTATTTTCTGCCTCATTTTAAGGATGAGGAAATGGAATCAGAGAGGTAAAGCAACTTTCCCAACATCAAAGAGCTACACAGTGATAACACCAATATTCAACAGTGATCACCAATAGTGGAGAAATTGAAGGGAGAGGAGGAAGGAGGATTCCAACAAAACCAGCCACCTACCCTAGTGATGACTGAAAGATAAGACTGATCTCAAAAACATCTAACTGAATTTGTCTAGACAAAATAAAGAATTTAAAGACTTGTACCATTGAGGAATAGCATGGGCTCTCTTTCTTCTAGGAACTTTCAGAGTTGGGTACATGGGTACATAGTATCTGGAAGGTACTGAACTTAGTTTGCCTAGGGGCAGAAGATACATTACAAATAAGATGCTCACCCTTTTTTTGTTCATATCAGATTTATATGGTAGGTGATCCCCGTAGGGTGTGCTCAGGTTTGTTTGTGCATGACTCCCAGCCTTGACCTGTTTGTCTCTCCTTCGCTCCTTCACTCGGGGAAGCATATTGAAAATTAAAAGAATGAAAGTGATGTCTCTGGGCCACACAACTTTGATGAGCATTATTCTAGTGCCATGAATGGGCTATCTCCAAGGGAAAACCCATGGAGAGGGCTTTGAGGCAATCTGTTACCCTGACCTTCCCATGCCCTTACAGGATGTCTGTGGGTACAGTCATGCCTAGGGTTTCAGAGCTGGAGACTTCTTGACAGAAAAATAGGAGTGAGTAAAAGGACAGAGGTAGGATAGGCAAACCAAGATCTTGCAAACAAGGTTCAGACATGATAGAGAAAAAGATGGTCATGCCATCTAGCCAGCTCTCTGTAAACCCATGGAAAGCTCCCAGACTCACCTGCAGAAGGAAGTCCAGCCCAACCATGGGTCTGGGACACTGGGTTGGGGGTGTACTGAACCTGGATTGGCAACTAGGAGAGCAAGGCAGCTGGTGGGACAGCATCATTCCCTAACTCTCTTGTGACTGCCCTGGCCCCTCTTTCTCCTGCTTTCTGCTTTCCCTCTTCTCCCATCCTACCGTTCCTATTCTCATCACCTTTCATCTCAGTAGTCACTTTTCAGTATCACCAGTGTTGGCAGTGGGGAAGCAGTGAGTAGGAGCCCATACTCCTCATGTTATAACCTGCCAAGTCCCAACATAACATCCCAAGGTGGGCAATTATAACTGTTTGAAGTGTACTGCAACACGAAATACAAGAGGTCTTCAAAAAGTTCATGGAAAAATTTAAAATTATGCATGGATTTAATTTTTTTTTTGCACCAAAATAAGCTTCCAGTAACTTGTCATAACATGTCTAAAGGGGATCTAGTTTGAGGTACTAAGAAGCATAAGACACCAATTTGAAAAGACTCTCTATCAGAGCCACATGATTCCTGCTAAAATAAAGCAAGAAGAAACATTACACTTGTGCTGGAACTTGGGTGAAAGAATAATGAAATAACTGATACTGTGTGAAAAGTTTGTGGGAATAATTCCCCAAAGAAACTAGCAGTTCACAAGTGGATAACTTGCTGTAAGAAGGGACAAGATGATATTGAAGATGAAGCCCACAGCACCAGACCATTCACATCAATTCACAAGGAAAAAATTCATTGTGTTTATGCTCTAATTGAAGAGGACTGGCAGTGTTGACAACACAAACAATAGCCAACACCATGGACATGTCAGTTGGTTCAGCTTACACAAGTCTGTCTAAAAAATTAAAGTTGAGCTAACTTTCCACTTGATTGGTGTCAAAACCACATACCCAGATCAGATCAGCTGCAGACAAGAGCAGAGCTTTTAATGTAAAGCTTAAGTGAGTGGCATCAAGGTCCCGAAGCATTTCTTTGAAGAATTGTAACAGGAGATGAAACACAGCTTCAGCAGTATGGTCCTGAAGACAAAGCACAATCAAAGCAGTGGATTCCAACAGGTGGAAGGGGTCCAGTCAAAGAAAAAGCATCAAAGAGCAAAGATCATGCCAACAGATTTTGGGGATGCTCAAGGTAGTTTGCTTGTTGACTTTCTGGAGGGCCAAAGAGAAGTAACATCTGCCTATTATAAGAGTGTTTTGATCCCAGCACTTTGGGAGGCCGAGGTGGGCAGATCAGGAGGTCAGGAAATCATCTGGCCAACATGATGAAACCCTGTCTCTACTAGAATACAAAAAATTAGTCTGGCATGGTGGCGCATGCCTGTAGTCCCAGCTACTCGGGATGCTGAGGCAGGGGAATCACTTGAACCTAGGAGGTGAAGGTTGCAGTGAGCCGAGATTGTGCCACTGCATTCCAGCCTGGTGACAGAGCAAGACTTTGTCTAAAAAAAAAAAAGGTGTTTTGAGAAAGTAGTTAGCCAAAGCTTTAGCGGAAAAATACCTATGAAAACTTCACCAGAGAGTCCTTCTCCACGATGACAATGCTCCTGCTCTCCCCTCTTGTCAATAAGGGCAACTTTGCAAGAGTTTCAATGGGAAATCCTTAGGCATCCACCTTGCATTTCTGATTTACCTCCTTCTAACTTCTTTCTGTTTCCTAGTCCTGAAAAACCTTTAAAGGCCACCTACTTTTCTTGAGTTTTTAACATAAAAAAAAATTGCATTGATATGGTTAAGTCCCAAGGACTCTCAGTCCCAAGGACTCTTGGGGATGGACTAAATGGCTGGTATCATTGCTTACAAAAGTGTCTTGACCTTGATGGAGCTTATGTTGGGAAATAAAGCTTATCTTTTTAATTTTTATCTTTTCATCCCATTTTCTACAAACTTTTTGAAGAACCCTCATATAGAAGTACATGAAATCAGCTACATAAATTGTGAAATACAGTTTAGAAATTTAGTTTTTATGTTATATATGCATCTTGTTTGCCTAACAGATATGTGTATGGGTGATGTACATGTGTGTGCTTGTGTGTGTCCATGGAGTGGAGAGAAGTCTCTACCCACCATCATTCTCCCCATTCCAACTCCCTGGATTTTCCATGAGAACTCTCGGCCTCTTTCCCTTTCTGCCATGGCTTCCTTTACCCTTTTCTTATTTTCCCTCCCAGTAGCATCCACCCTCTTCCCCATCTCCTCTCTCTTCTTTTTCCCCTAGATTTCTTCCTTTTCCTCATACTCTCACTTTTCTGCTCCTCTTTGTCTCATTCGTCTTTTACAGCTACTGTATGATGGAAAATAAAAATGACAAACCAAAACTCTGAGTAACAATTAATCTCTCCCTTCTAACATTTTTTGTCAGAGATTTAGAACATGCATGCAAAATTTTTCTCTTCTTACAAGGCTTGTGAATTTTTTGTTGGAAATGGTGACATGCCATCACAAAGCTTTGATAAGCAGAAGCTATTAACTGAGTCCTCAATTATCTACAACTTTTGTGGTGCTCTATTTTTAGGAGGAAGTTAAATGACAAGAGAGCAAGCATAATGAGTTTTGAAAGGATACCCCCGAATAGTAAGCTATTGCCATAAAAATGCTCTATGACGAATAACCTCAAAACTCAGTCGCATAAATAAACTTTTTTTTTTCCCACACAGTGGCAGGTCAGCCAAGGGGTGGCTGATCCAGGCTGGACTGGGCTGGACTCTAAGCTGCTGGTTGATTCCAGGTCTGTCCCATGAGTCTATCTCCCCTCATCCTTGGATTAGTAGGATTCTAGGAGCATCTTCTTCTCATAGAGAGGATAAAAGTTGAACCCTGCAGGTGCAATTCAGGCCTTTGATTGCATCACACCTTCTAACATTTCACTGGGCAAAGCAAGTCACATGGCCAAGCCCAAAGTCAAAGAGTGGAGTACACTTTGCTTCCAGCAGGAGAAACTGCAAAGTTACCTAACAAAGGATGTGACTATGGGGCAGGATGAAGCATTGGGATCATTAAATTTAAATTGCCACATCCCCAGTCCTGGGACAGGAACTGCTGCATTTAAAGCCACTAATAGCCAGCACCCTTGGATAAAACCTTCACTTTAATAAACTGATGGTATAAGGGTCCCTTTCTTGAGGCTGAGACAGTGAGGTAGAAAGGAAAGCAGGCATGGGAGTGGCTCATGGTAATGGGGCACCAAGATAATACTCTTTACTTCTCACAGGGGAGCACTTCCCAGGGCATGATCTGTCTCTTTTCATAACCTTGAGGCTGCCGCTTGTCTACTTTGAGCCTCTTTCCCACCTGTAGAAGGAACACATTGGAAATGGACTGTAGGACCTCAGAAGATTTCTTTCAGACTTTGAAGGGGTTTAAGATGTTGACATACACACCATAGAACATTATTATTAATACCTCCCTTGGCCTCCTTTCCCACCTGTAGAAGGGGCGCACTGGAAATGGACTGACTGTAGGACCTCAGAAGATTTCTTTCAGACTTTGAAGGGGTTTAAGATGTTGACATACACACCATAGAACATTATTATTAATACCTCCCTTGGCCCTTCCTCCCAAAATTGTATTCACCTAGCAAGACCTGACAGGAGCATTCATGGCTCAGACCACTTGCAAAGTTCATGTAACACAAGCAAGAAGTAAATCTTTGTGTGGTGTATGCCACTGAAGTATTGGGGTGACTTGTTACTGCGCATAGCCTAGTGAAAGCCGACTTACATAACTTTCCTTTTAGCTTATCAGACTAACGCATACAATGAAGACGACCTTGTAATTAAGGTTCCACTGTCTCAAGTAGAAAGACCTATATTTGACATCTAGATCTGACACTGGATTTATTACCTTGGATAAATCACTTGACTTCTAGATCTTATTTTCCTTGTTTTAAAAAGGAAATAATAAAATATTATGTTTTTTCTAATAATTGTTATTTTTCTACTACAACCATTAATAATCATTGCTACCACTTTTTCTCCCTTCCTTTTGAGCTCGTATCAGTCACTGGGGCTAAGCATCTTCCACGGGTGGGATATTCACCACAATTTCATGAGGTAGTTTAATTACTCCCATTTTACGGATTTAGTACTCAAGATCTTGCAACATCAAGCAATCTGCCCATGGCCACACAGCAGACAAGAGTAGACATACAATGTTGGCTAAAGCAAAGTGTGTTGAATTTAGCAAGGGTCTCAACTATACAATTTAGATATGTAATATTTTTATTGTTCTTAATTACAGTACCTAACACAACATCATGCATAGGTGAGAACCTTTGATTGTTTCTGGATTTTAAAAATTTTTGTTGCTTCTTGCCACAAGATGGCACCCAAAGCCAACAAGCTCTAACAAGCTACTGGGTCCTGCCCTGAGTCAGTTCCCAGCACGGCTTTGTCAGATAGGTTTGCAAACAGGCCTCACACCTTGCTCAGACCAGGGGGCCCAACCTGGCAGAATTTATCAGTGTCTATTTGGGTTCCAAACATCTGGACACCTCAGCCAACACTGGAAACACATTTGGAATCTTTCCCCATATATTTCACATTTTTCCAAATCAAATAACTTTACCTTGGAAACTTCCACCAAATCTTCTTCTTTTTAGAAATTCCAGAGGTCCTCTTCCAGAAATGATATATCTGCCCACCTCTGGCCTAGTTGTATTATTATAAATGTTGCCATTTAATGCAATAAAATAGATATTTAATGTAACTAAAGCTTTTGAGCTTACTGTTACATTAAAAATCCCACTATACTACCCAACTATGGCCCATGGGACTGTATTGTAGGCCAAACCTGGGAGCTTATTAGAAACACAGAATTTTAGGATCTGCTCCTGGCCCACCGGATCAAAATCCGCACTTAAATAAGATTCCACTGGTGGTTCATATCACATTAGAGTTTGAGAAGATACACAAGAGCCACTGGCCCACAGGTGATTTTCCTATAAATTAAAAAAAGTGCTTCCTGGATTTACATCAATGAAGTATCTAAAATAATCAATTCTATAGAATCAGAGAATGGAATGGTGGGGCTGTGGGAGAGGGGAGAGGGGGACAACTGGTGTAGGTTTCAGTCAAGCAAGATGAACATGCTCTAAAGATCTGCTGCATGATATTGTACCTGTAATCAACACTCATGCATGATATGCTTACATGTTTATTAACAGGATGTATCTCACGTTAAGTGTTCCCATCACAATTTTTTTAAAGTCCTTTCCTATGGACAGATGCTGCCACAAACTGGTGAGCACAGCAGGATTTCAGGTCATATTGTGCATATCCTCTCCCTCTTTCTCCCTCTCCCTCCTTCTCCCTTTCTCTTTCCCTCCCACCTTCCATTTCCCCCTCTCTCTATGGTATATATACCCACAGATTCACCATCATATACACATATATTTGTTTAATTAAAACACAACAGCTTATCTTGCAAATACGTCTGCAAAAATCACTGTTTAATATTCAGCTACTTGGGATATTTGTGTCACATCCATTAGTCCTGGTAATCAAAAATTTGTTATTCTCTGAATCCTGGGATAAACATACACCCACTCACAAACTCACACTGCAAAAAGCGTAAAAAGAATTGATTATGTATGCATATCTCTCTGACTACATTCACACCAACCCAATACAACTTGCATATGTCTTTAAATGTTTTAGGATCTTTTTAAAATGTAATAACAAAATATTCTTGATGATTTTTGCTTTAATTCTCATCTTGTTCTCCCTAAGCCTTTTCTGTCTGATGCCCAGTGTCTGAGGAATTAAGTTAAATCCTTCTGGAAAGCCCTGAGCTGGGCCAAGCTTCCCCTTCCATTATTCCCAGGGACAGTGACGTCCTTGGTTTCAGGTGCTGCCAACAGAGCTATGTGTCACCCAAAAGAAGAAGGATTACAAAATGGCAAAAAGAGGATCTTGCAGGAGCACAGAGCAGGAGGCAGAGATGTAGAAAGAGAGGAGGAAAGGGGGAGGAGTGAGAAAGGAGTAGGAAGGTGGAAAAGTGAAGAATCAGTGAGCAAAAGAAAAAAGAGCACTGATGGCACAGAATAATAATTATTATTATAGTAAATGATACGAATAATGTTTCTCAACTCATGCAGAATTAGATCCAAAGTCCCTGCCAAGGCACATCCCTGTCCTCTTCAGATTCTTTTCAACTCTCCACTTTATCTTCCTCAGGAATCACTTCCTCCACCCTGCGCTGCTGGGACCACACCCGCCTCACCCCAGGATCTGCCTGCAGGCTCTGGCCTCAGGGACTTTGCACGTGTGCTGCAACATGCTTCCCCACACCTGCATAACTGTCTTCCTCCCTTCGTGAAGTCTTCAGCTCAAAATCTCTTCCCTGACCCACCCTACATAAAACTTCCTAAACTCATCTCCCCTAGCCAACCTTTAACCCTGCATGATTTTCCTTTTCAGCCCTTATCACCTCCTGATAGCTTACATGTCTATTTGTTTCTTTGTCTGACTTGCTGGATCAGTATATCAGTTCCAGGAGAGCAGGAGCTTTGTTCTGTTTGCAATTGAACCTCCAGCACCTAGGACAGTGGCTGACGCTCAGTGAGGGGAAATCACCATTCATGGAGGTGACTGGGGGGCTTACCAGGTGCCGGGCACTCCTCTAAGTGCATTGCATGTATCAGCTTGTTCAATCTTCACCATCACCCTACAAGGTGGGCTTTTGACTCTAGAGGAAACCGGGGCACACTAAGGTTTCTTTGTTTCCCTTCTTCTTAGACTTTCCCTTAAGTAGTGTTTCCCCACTGGAGGATGCTCGAGAACAGAGGCTGGCAAACAGCTCGCTGGCCAAATCCATTCTGCTGTGTGTTTTTGTAAAGAACGTTGTAGTGGAACACAGTTGTGCCTATTTGTTTAGATATTATCTGTAGCTGTTTTTGTGCTGCAACGGCATAGTTGATTAGTCGTGACAGAAACCATATGGTCTGCAAAGCCAAAAATATTTACTGTCTGATCCTTTACAGAAAGAGTTTGCTGAACACTGCTCTAGAAGATAACCCAACATGAAAACAAAGCAAAACGTTTGTGGCCCTATATTGAAGGCAGTGGTTTGACTATGTCTTTTCACAATCCAATGGGTTTGATTATGTCTTTCCTATGCATTGGGATGAGTTGAGAGAAAAATACTCCCATCTTGGATTCAATAAATGTGTGTTCTCATCTTCACTGTGTTCCTAATTAGCTGTGTGTTCTTAGGTAATCATTTCATACCCCTCGATGTCTTTTCCCACTTATCACAATAATAATTCTGTAGTAATAGCAATAATTATAATAGTAATAGTAATAATGACTCTTGTTAAATGCCAGGTTTTGCTCTTGGCATTTTACTGTGAAATAATAGTGTGTGGTACTCTAAATTCACAAACCTGCTGGATTGTGAAAAGACATAGTCAAACCACCACCTTCACTATAGGACCACAAGAGTTTTGCTTTGTTTTCATGTTGGGTTATCTTCTAGATACTCTAAATTATAATTACTTGGGCTTTTCATAAATATTCTGATTCTGTTCTTACAGGCATGTGGTTGAATTTTGTGTCCAAATCCACTTGTAGGTAAATGTGGCCATGGGGCTTGCTTTGGGGAATAAAGTTTTAGAGGAAGTGATACATGTAACTTCTGACCAAACTTTAATGGCCAGGATGCACACATCCCCCATTCTCTTTACTCATCTTTCCTTCCACTATGGCAACCAGAAATGTTCCAGAAAGTGGGAGCTCTGTCAGCTGGGTCTCAGAGTATGAGCAATGCAGAGCAGAACTCCCAATTGAAACCTCATGGTGCATAAACATTAAACATACCTTTTTTAAAAAGCCAGTAAGATTTGGGGCTATTTGTTACTGAAGCACCAGCTAGCCTATCCTGACTAATAAGATATCCACTGAGATTCTGGTACTGTTCAAATTCTAGAGTTTTAAGAATACAAAGACCTCTTCTTCCTCAAAGGTGGGAACCTATTTGTTTTTGTCATGGGAAGATGTTACCCCATGATGTGCAGAGGAAGAAGTGATAGGTGACCCTGTTAGTCATATCTAGCATATTTAATTAGGATACAGAGGAGAGGTGAGGAGATGGACAAGGCTTTTTTTGAGTGAAGACAGTAACAATCCAGTTTAACCTGTTGTTATTTCAGTTATAGTTTTAGGCAATCTTATTCCCAAATATCTGCACTTGTGGCTATTTTAACATTTCATCCCTGCTGATTCCTTTGGGTTAAGGTTCTAATGGATCTTATTTAAATGTCTATGAATGCACTTGCATGCAGGTGTATGATTTTAGGAAGGGTAGTACATTAAGTTATTAGTAATCATAAATAAAAACCAATGCATCAGGTATTATTTATTGGAAGGTAAATGAATAGGGCCTAAGAAAGATACATTTTGGAAAGGAAAAGTCTCATAGACCGAGATTTC